>NC_000009.12:108845552-109470552 GCF_000001405.40 Homo sapiens
CACTTTACAATTTATAAAACACTTAACCTGCATTTTCTCCTTGATCTGCAAATCAGTGCTGGGAAGTAAGGACAGGTTATAACCAATTTACAAAGAAGAGCCCAAGGCTACAAGAGTTTAAATGGCTTGCCCGAGACCACACAACTCGTCTCCACTGATGTGTACAGCCCCAAAGCTCTCCACGGCCTCCTATGCTGGCTCCTCATGCTCCACACAGTTGGCTAAGATATCGGTTTTCAAACTTGGCTGCAAGTTTCAAACTGGAATCATCTGAAAAACTTATAAATATTAATACCTGGTCCCACCCTTAGACATTTTGATTTAAAAGGTCTAAGCTGTGGCTTGAACATTAGGATATATATTTTTTCCCTATCTATGTATTTAAGTTTTTACTTCGATTTTTTATTATGAGATTATGGTAAATTCACACGCAGTTATATAAGAATTGATATAGAGAGATAATAGGTACCTTTAACCAGTTTCCCCCAGTGGTAACATCTTGCAAAACTATAGCATAATGTCACAATTATGATATTGGCATTCATACAATCAAGAAGAAGTCAACAGTTCACCACTACAAGGGATCCTCCCAATGTTCTTTTTATAGCCATATCTACTTCCCCCTACCCACTCAACCCTAACCCTTGGAACCACTAATCTGTTCTCCATTTCTATAATTTTGTTTTTTCAAAAATGATACATAAATGGAATCACACAGTATGTAACCTTCAGGGATTGACTTTTTTCTAGCAGCATAATTCCCTGGAGATTCATCCAAGTTGTTGCATCTATCTATAGTTTATTCTTCTCCAATCCTCATGGGTGCCTCTCAGTAAGAACTGGAAAACCTGCTTTGTTTTTTGAGACAGGGTCTTGCTCTGTTGCCCAGGCTGGAGTGCAGTGGCACAATCAGAACTCACTGTTGCCTCGAATTCCCGGGCTCGTGTGATCCTCCCACCACAGCCTCCCATGTAGCCAGGACTACAGGCATGGACAACCATTCCTGGCTAATTTTTTAATTTCTTTTTTTTTTAAGAGATGGAGTCTACGTTGCCCAAGCTGGTCTTAAACTCCTGGCCTCAAGCAATCCTCCTGCCTTGACCTCCCAAAGTGCTGAGGTTACAGGAATGAGCCACCGTGTCTGGCCCTGCTAGAAAAATTTGAATCCACTACTGCTTAACCATTCACCCATTGAAAGATATCTGAGTTGTATCTAGTTTCTGGCTGCTATGAACAAAGCTGTTACGAACATTTGTGTACAGGTTTTGTGTGAAGATAGATAAGTTTTCATTTCTCTGGGATAAATTTGCAAATGCAACTTCTGGGTAGTATGGTAGCTGCATGTTTCATTTTTAAAGAAATTGTCAAACTGTTTTCCACATTTTACATTCCCACCAGCAATGTATGAGTGACCCAGTTTCTCCTCATCTTCATCTTCACCAGCTTTGGTGGTTTCTTCTTTTTTTTCCCATTCTGATAGATGGATAGTAAGGTCTCATCATGGTTTTAACTTGCCTTTCCATGGCTAATGATGTTGAACATTCTTTTCATGTGCTTATCTGCCAACTACATATCTTTTTTGGTGAAATGTCTGTCATGTCTTATGTTCATTTTTTTAATTGGATTTTTTAAACTGTTAGTTTTGAGGGGTCTTTAAAAATTCTATATACTTGTCCTTTGCTGGATATAGTTAACATATGTAGTTTAAACATATGTAGTTTACAAGTGTTTTCACTCAGTCTGTAGATTTTTTTTTTTAGCTTCTTTTTTTTTTTTTTTTTTTTTGAGACAGAGTTCCACTCTTGTTTCCCAGGCTGGAGTGCTCACTGCAACCTCTGCCTCCTGGGTTCAAGTGATTCTCCTACCTCAGCCTCCCCAGTAGCTGGGATTACAGGCATGCACCACCATGCCCAGCTAATTTTGTATTTTTAGTAGAGATGGAGTTTCTCCATGTTGGCCAGGCTGGTCTCAAACTCCTGACCTCAGGTGATCCGCCCGCCTCAGCCTCCCAAACTGTTGGGATTACAGGCGTGAGCCACCATGCCCGGCCTCTGTAGATTGTCTTTCTTTTTTTTTTTTTTTTTTAGTTTCATTTAAGAAAATTAATAGACTTTAGTACTAGTCCGTTTTCAAGCTGCTGATAAAGACATCCCCAAGAGTGGGCAATTTACAAAAGAAAGAGGTTTAACTGGACTTACAGTTCCATGTGGCTGGGGAAGGTCTCACAATCATGGCAGAGAATGAAAGGCACTTCTCACATGGCAGTGGCAAGAGAGAATGAGGAAGAAGCAAAAGCAGAAACCCCTGATAAATCCATCAGATCTCGTGAGATTTATTCACTATCACGAGAATAGTATGGGAAAGACCAGCCCCCATGATTCAGTTACCTCCCCCTGGGTCTGTCCCACAACACATGGGAATTCTGTGAGATACAATTCAAATTGAGATTTTGGTGGGTACCCAGCCAAACCATATCATTCCATCCCTGGCCCCTCCACATCTCATGTCCTCACATTTCAAAACCAGTCATGCCTTCCCAACAGTCCCCCAAAATCTTAACTCATTTCACCATTAACCCTAATGTCCACAGTCCAAAGTCTCACCTGAAACAAGGCAAGTCCCTTCCACCTATGAACCTGTAAAATCAAAAGCGAACTAGTTACTTCCTAGATACAATGGGTGTATAAGTACTAGGTAAATACAGCTGTTCCAAATGGGAGAAATTGGCCAAAACAAAGGGGTTACAGGGCCCATGCAAGTCTGAAATCCAGCAGGTCAGTCAAATTTTAAAGCTCCAAAATGATCTCCTTTGACTCCGGGTCTCATATCCATTGTGTGCTGATGCAAGAGGTGGGTTCCCACGGTCTTGGGCGGCTCCATCCCTGTGGCTTTGCAGGGTACAGCCTCCCGTCCGGCTGCTTTCACAGGCTGTTGTTGAGTGTCTGCAGCTTTTCCAGGTGCGCAGTGCAAGCCGTTGATGGATCTACCATTCTGGGGTCTGGAGGACAGTGGCCCTTTTCTCACAGCTACACTAGGCAGTGCCCCAGAAGGGACTCTCTGTGGGGGCTCTGACCTGACATTTCCTTTCTGCACTGCCCTAGCAGAGCTTCTCCATGAAGGCCCTGCACGTGCAGCAAACTTCTGCCTGGGCATCCAGGCGTTTCCATACATCTTCTGAAATCTAGGTGGAGGCTCCCAAACCTCAATTCTTGACTTCTGTGCACCCACAGGCTTAACACCACATGGAAGCTGCCAAGGCTTGGGGCTTCCATCCTCTGAAGCCACAGCCCAAGCTGCACATCAGCACCTTTCAGCCACAGCTGGAGTGGCTGGAACACAGGACACCAAGTCCCTAGACTGCACACAGCATGGGGACCCTGGGCCTAGCCCACAAAACCACTTTTTCTTCCTGGGCCTCTGGGCCTGTGATGGGAGTGGCTGCCAGGAAGTTCTCTGACATGGCCTGGAGACATTTTCCCCATGGTCTGGGGGATTCACATTAGGCTCCTTGCTATTTATGCAAGTTTCTGCAGCCAGCTTGAATTTGTTCCCAGAAAATGGGTTTTTCTTTACTATTGCCTAGTCAGGCTGCAAATTTTTAAAGTTTTATGCTCTGCCTCCCCTATAAAACTGAATGCCAGCTGGGCGTGGCGGCTTATGTCTGTAATCCCAGCACTTTGGGAGGCCAAGGTGGGTGGATCATGAAGTCAGGAGTTCGAGAACAGCCTGGCCAATGTGGTGAAACCCCGTCTCTACTAAAAATACAAAAATTAGCTGGCACATACCTATAGTCCCAGCTGCTCGGGAAGCTGAGGCAGGAGAATCGCTTGAACCCGGGAGGCAGAGGTTGCAGTGAGCCAAGATAGCGCCACTGCACTCCAGCCTGGGCGGCAGAGCAAGACTCTGTCTCAAACAACAACAACAACAACAAACTGAATGTCTTTAACAGCACCCAAGTTAGCTGTTGAATGCTTTGCTGCTTAGAAATTTCTTTCACCAGATACCCTAAATCATCTCTCTCAAGTTCAAAGTTCCACAAATCTCTAGAGCAGGGGCAAAATGCCACCAGTCTTTTTGCTAAAACATAACAAGAGTCACCTTTGCTCCACTTCCCAACAAGTTCCTCATCTCCATCTGAGCCTGCCTCAGCCTGGATTTTATTGTTCGTATTGCTATCAGCATTTTGGGCAAAGCCACTTAACAAGTCTCTAGGAAGTCCCAAACTTTCCCACATTTTCCTGTCTTCTTCTGAGCCCTCCAAACTGTTCCAATCTCTGCCTGTTACCGAGTTCTGAAGTTGCTTCCACATTTTTGGGTATCTTTTCAGCAATTTACTGTATTAGTCCGTTTTCATGCTGCTGATAAAGACATATCTGAGACTGGACAATTTACATAGGAAAGAGGTTTAACTGGACTTAGAGTTCCACGTGGCTGGGATTACAGGCGTGAGCCACTGTGCCTGGGCTATAAAGTTAATTTCTTAGAAAGACCTTGGGGCCAGGCGCAGTGGCCCATGCCTGTAACCCCAGAAATTTTGGAGGCCAAGGCGGGCAGATCACCTGAGGTCAGGAGTTCAAGACCAGCCTGGCCAACATGGTGAAACCCCATCTCTTCTAAAAATACAAAAATTAGCTGGGCATGGTGGGTGCCTGTAATCCCAGCTACTCAGGAGGCTGAGGCAGGAGAATTGCTTGAACCAGGGAGGCGGAGGTTGTATGAGCTGAGACTGCACCATCACACTCCATCCTGGGCGACAAGAGCGAAACTCCATCTCAAAAGAAAAAAAAAAGAGAAAAGAAAAAGAAAAAGACCTTGGGCAAATAACTCTTACAGCAAACTTAGTAACAAACATTTGAGGGAGAGAGATCAGACTGCCTGGACAGTGAGGAAAACAAGCCTCTTGCCATGTGGAAGTGGTAGGACTTCACCACTTGATGTCACTCTAATGCTTATGTCTCTGGAAGGTTCCAGCAAGACAAATCTCTTCTTTGCTAAAAGATTGGCATTTTTAACTTTGAAACCTCAGGATAATGACTATGAAATTACATCAAATTTGTTGTACATGATTTGAAAGCAATTTTTATATGTAAATTTTTCTTCTTGGAAAAGAGATTGATAATTTTCAGAAAAGTAGGAGACAAGGGCAAAAAGGCATTGTGGAATCTCAAAACTTCGATTTAGCACAAGACTTTGGTTTACCAGATGGGTGACCTTGCACAAGACTCCTAACCTTTCCAAGCCTCAGTGTCCTCACCTGTAAAATGGGGGGAAATACTGTAATGTCCACCTCACAGACTGGGAATAAATGAGTTCATTTGGCATGTACTAAGCACCAACTCTGTGCCATGCTCTGCACCAGACTCTGAGAAAACTAAAATGAGGGAAGCACAGTTCCTGCCCTCAAGAAGCTCTGAGTCTAGCCTTAGGGACAAATATCTAAGAAGTGAATATATAAGATAGCAGTCAACAGACACTCTTTGGTCTCTGCCTTCAGTGTAGTATGTTATCTGATATCCTCTGGTACCTTGATAAAAATTATTCTTATGTAGTTTCTTCGTAAGGAAAAAATGAATTGTTGGTCTTAATATTTCAATTAAAAGAGGCCTCTCCAACCCCAGTCTCTTCTCCATGCAAACCTGCTCCAGAGGAATGCTGTTGTTGAGAAGGAAATTGACGCAGCTAGAATGCTCTCAGTTGCAAGTAACAGACACACAACCCTAAGGCACATGAATGATGAAGTTGAATGCATGGCTCACAGAACTGAAATACCTGGGAGTGGGTTCAAACTCTAGGCATGGTTTGATTCAGAGGTTCACTTCGTCCCCAGGGCACCAGCTTTGTTTCTCTGAGCTCCACAATCCTTGGTGGGTCAGCTTCAAGCTGGCTTCTTTCCTAGTCATAAATGCCACAGCAGTGCTAGGACACACCCCTCAACTTCACATCAAGCTTCCAAGCAAAAAGCGTAGGATTCACTCTCCAGGACTCACTCTACTGAGATCGCATGTTCACCCAGAACCAATCATTATGGCCAAGGAGATGGATGCTCCGACTGGCTGAGCCTAAATCACATGCTCTGCCCTCGGTGCTGGAAGGGAAGTCAGTCCTGGGCCACGTCCGATGCCCATGCAGAAACCAGGAGTTGTGGAAAGTGATAACAGGAAAGTTGGAGGCATCAACTATTCTACCTCGGGAATATGAGCTAGTCCCAAGTGTGATTCCTGGTCTGGAGAAGGGACAAGGGGGTGCAGGTGAGGCTCCTTGTCTGTTCTTCACATGCTTCCCTCCTCCTTTTTCTATACCAGCACCACTTTTAGAGAGAGAATTCAACTTCTTTCTTCCTAAGAAACATACCTGTAGAGGCAGCCAGTGTTCTTACCCCTCTCTCTACCTGTGAGCATGGAAAGCCACAATTCTTCAGATAGAGACCACGGGCACCACCCCTCCTCAGCCCGTTCCCACTCTCACATGCTTCACTGCTATGTCTTTCCTGTCTGGCATTTCCAAGTTGCAAATTCCTGCCCATTCTGCAGGACAGGAAATTCCTACCCTTGCTTCTTTCCTTGGTTCCCACCTCCACTCTCTTTCTTCCAGAATCAGGTAGAAATCTCTAGTCCCTGTAGTTCCCCTACCATTCTCTTTATTTGCACTGAGCTTATGCATTTATATTCTCTACTATGACTCCATGGAATCTGAGAAGGGAGGGGAGATAAACACACAGGGTCAGGAGGTCATCTTAAGCTGGAAGTCACTGACCCGTGTTTTTCCACCAAAAATAAATCTCCTGCTGAATCCTCTGGTTAGCTTAAATAAGTTCATGTCAGGGATCTAGCAATTAGTGTTTTTACAGCCCCTGCCACATGAGGGATGCTTTTGAGGAGATGACCATGTGTTGGAGGGACTGAAGCAGTGACTAGAGACAGGAGAAGTTGCTGAAGATGTGTGGAGTGAGGAGAGGAGATAAGGAGGGAATGGGGTTCACACGTAGCACTTACTGCGTGTGTGATTTGGGATATATCACTTTCCCTCTATAAGCCTCAGCTTCCCTCTCTGTATTTCATCAGGCTTTTTACAATCACTTGGGTTACAAGCAACAGAAACTAATGCTAAGGAAGAAGTTGTGTTGAAGCAGCAAATATATATGAAGACATCAGTGTGGCAGGGACGTTGGCAACCTCGAAAATGCAGCCCCACAGAAAAAAATTCACATTCAAGAAAACACTTGTACACTGTGATGGCCACATGAAACATGTCTATTGGCCACCTTCAGCCTCCAGGCCTCCAGTCTGCAACATCCCTCTATAGGAAAGAGCCCAGGTTCCATGCCTGCTGCCAACGCCCTGTTTGACCAGGGGTATTCAAACTCCAGGCTAGATGCCCAATTCTGGACAATGGGGAAGGACTAAAGAGCAGGGCCTTAGGTGATAATGACTATGTCTGGTTCTTGCCCAAGTCTGCAGCCCCCAGCACTGGGCCCAGGACAGAGGCAGCCTCATGGGGTGCCCCAAATCAGGACCCTTTGCTTAAGGTAAGAGGTGACTCAGGGATATTTAAGTCTCAGCCCATCCAAGACTATGCAGCTCATGGATGTCTGATCCCATAGATGGCACCAACTGGGTCATGAACTCCATTGGAAGGTGAGGGTAGGGAAGGGGGCAGGAACCCACTCTTCTAAGTAGGCAGTTAGTCACCAGCTGAAATCTCACAAGCCTCCACAGCCTCTCCCTCAGCCCCAAAGCCAATAAGTGGACACCATGCCCAGCAACTTCTCCACTTACAACATTCCAATGCATCACCACTACCTTCTCACCACCGTGAACACTTAGCTCAGACCTTGACTCCCTACCAATGTGGTTGTCCATTAGCTGTGTGTGATTGCCAAGGGTAGAGACTGTGTTCTGCTCATTTCTCAGTCCCCAGCACTGGGCCTGACCCACAGTACATGCATGGTAAGTGCTTTGGGTTGCTGACTAACCATTAAGAACCATGTTTATACCCTTATGGGAATAATCCTGATGTGGATCAGGAGACCTGGGCTCAACCACTGGCATTAAGCTGGCTCTCTCCTCTCTGGTCTCAGTTTACCTATCTCTCTTTTTTTTTTTTCTTTTTGGACATGGAGTCTTGCTCTGTTGCTCAGGCTGTAGTGCAATGACGCAACCTCAGCTCACTGCAACCTCCGCCTCCTGGGGTCAAATGATTCTCCCTGCTCAGCCTCCTGGGGAAGCTGGGATTACAGGTACCCACCACCATGTCCAGCTAATTTTTGTATTTTTAGTAGAGACAGGGTTTCACCATGTTAGCCAGGCTGGTCTCGAACTCCTGACCTTAGGTGATCCACCTGCCTCGGGTTCCCAGAGTGCTGGGATTACAGGTGTGAGCCACCGCACCCAGCCCAGTTTCCCCATCTCTATAGCCGGGAGAGGACCCGATTTCTAAAGGACCTTCTGGTTCCTCTGACATCCTCTGGAATCAGTGGCTCTGCTTTGTGACTCTGGAAAAATAGCTGCAATTTTGGCTGTGGTTGAAAGGGGTACGCCCACAGATGGGTTGAAATGGCACTTCACACTCTGGAGATGCACTGGCACAGCCTTAGGCTCCCATATTGAGGGTGGCAGGCACTAGGGGGAGGTTAGGGAACCTGGAGTGATCAGGCAGTGTTAAGGTTGGGAGCACTTGTGAACAGCAGAAACAGGAGACTGGAGTCGGACACCCAGCTGTGCATCTCCTCCAACCTACCGCTAGGTGACCCAAGCTAGTCCCTTCATCAGAGCCAACCCCCTTAGTTGAGCCAGCGATGAGGAGTGTCTTTGGATCAGGTTTTGAACCTGGAGGTACTAATAAAACAGGAGGCCACTTTCTAGGCCCTGAGATGATGTCACTATCATGAGGCAGGCAGAGGGGGTGGGATCAGTATGGTAGCCCCCTTCCTTACAGCCCCCACCTCCAGTGCAAAAGGTGCTGCCGCTTCTAAGCCCGACTCCCCCCTACCCTCTGCTATCAGATAGAAGCAAGAAACCCAGACTAGACAAGAGCCATTTCAGAGTAAACCTTTATGTGAAATTCTGTAAATGTGTATAGAGAGGCCTGTGGCCATCTGTGCTGGAGGCCTTGTCTGTGGAAATGCCGAGGCTCAGCACTTGCTGTAGATGGCCACGCTGCCCCGCTCCTCAAACTCTTCCTTGCTGACCCAGAGCTGTTGGAAGGCCTGCAGGGAGGCCAGGATGGAACCGCCGGTCCACACGGAGGTCTTCCTCTCAGGAGCGGCAGCCACTGCAGGGCTGTCCCCGGGGCAGAGGAGGCTCAGCTCCCTCTGGAAGCGCTCGGGGAAGCCATCCAGCATAGTGCAGCCGCCACACAGTAGCACGTTGGCGGCCATCTCCTCCTTGAAGCCCGTGTCCTGGCAGCGGCCCAGGCAGGCAGCTGTGAGCTCCGGGAGGCCCGGCTGGGTGCTGCCTGCCAGGGAGGGCTGGAAGAGCATCTCAGAGCAACGGAAGCGCTCCTGGCCAATAGTGATGAGTTTGCCGTCCGGGAGCTCGTAGTCCACGCGCAGCTCCTCCGGGACCAGGCCCAGCTCCTCCTCGGGCAGGAAGGCCGCATAGCAGCACTTCTTCTTGATGTGCTCTATGATGTGCAGGTGGTCGTCCGTGAATGCGTGGCCCGCCTCATTGAGCAGCTGCATCAGGTAGTTGGTGAGGTCACCCCCAGCGTAGTCGGCGCGGCTGGTCAGGCCCGGCAGCACGTCGCCCTCGGATATGGGCACCACGTGCGAGACGCCGTGCCCGCTCTCCACCACCAGCCCCGAGGTCTTGCCGTAGGAGTAGATGGACAGCAACGACTGGGACGTCACGTGCATGGCTGGGATGCCGAAGGTCTCAAACATGAGCTCCGCGTACTTCTCCCGGTTGCTGCTGGGGCTGAGCGGAGGGTCGGAGACCAGCACAGCGTGCTCCTCGGGGAGGATCTTCATGGCGGTGCGGAAGATGTACTCCCAGATGTCCTGCACGCAGTCCCAGTCCACCACGATGCCGTGCTTCAGCGGGTTCACCAGCTTGAGAGGCGCCTCCGTGTTGAGCAGCTCATGGCCCACTAAAGTCCACTTGCGGGTGTCGCCAGCGTCGGCCGCCTCGGGGCAGCGTTTGCCCACGGTGGAGGAGATGAAGTAGGTGGGCCTCGGCTCTCCCGCGTAGCCGCACTTGCAGTACTGGGAGCCCAGGTCGATGATGACCGCCTTGATCTTGTGCACCTTCCTGGGCTTCATCTTGAGCTGAGTGGCCGCACCTGTGTCCCGGAGGCTGGCGTCAGGGCCGGGCCGTGTTCCTGCCTCTCCAGGGTCACCCTGAGCCGTGCCCAGGGGCATGGGGCTGTTCCTTGTCGCCATCTGCCTCCCTTGCTCCCCTTCTCACATCCACAGCCTAGAGCCCCCTGGGGAGAAATGAGATCCCCCACCTCCAGCAGTGCCATGACAACCACCCGGGATTGTGATGTCACTCGGGGCTGGTCCATTCAGGCAGCAGGGGAGGGCCTGGCTTTGGTCGGTTCTTGGTGTGTCACCCCCACCTCTCTAACTCAAGTTTGCTCCCGGACAGAGCAGGTGGCCGGCAGTTTTAGAAATCCAAGCACACTAGGGTCTCAGAGGTTTCTGCTCAGCCCCCTTGCATTTCCATGCCTAACCTGTTCACTACTGGACACCTTTCCTCTTCTGCTTCTTGGTGGAGAGGGCCTATTTGAGCCCCTCCAGTAAGGCAGGCACTGTACTAGTTACTTCACTTATGTTGTTCTGCAGGTAGGCAGAGCTGAGGAAATGAGGCTCAGAATTCTAAGGACTTGCCCAAGAGCAAACAGCACTTGGGGTGTTTGTACCTTAACCCAAATTCATCAAACTCCAATGCACCAGGCCTCCTTAACCGCCCCAAGAGTTCTTTCCTCCCTTCACTCCACATTTACTGGAGTATATAGTAGGTCCCGCCCAGTGCAGCCTGCCAGTGATAGATGATTAAAAACCCAGGCCACCAGCAGTGCCCAGTCTAGACAAGAAAATGGAATGGGTGCCGATGGGTTTGCAGGAAGAAGTCTACTTGGAGAACTCATTTGAGACAGGCAGTCAGAAGGTGCTCTAGAGAGGAGGTGATGCTTAAGTTGAATCCTGGAAGAGGTGTAGGTATTTGTCAAGTAGTTAAGAGGAGGGGAAGACATCCCAGGCAGAGAGCACAGCTTGAGCAAAGGCTCAAATGGAGGCACGGTGAAGAACTTCCCACAGTCAAAGTGTTTGGAAAAACAGATGAAGCTAGAGAAGTCACAGAGCCAAATAGAAAGGGCATCAAATGGCAGGAGTAGGTTTAGACTAAACTGAGGAGAGCCAGGGAAGCTATGAAGACTTTAAGCAGGGGAATGATCAGATTTGCCCTCTAGAAAAATGTTAGAAAGGGCCGGGCGTGGTGGCTCATGCCTGTAATCCCACCAGCACTTTGGGAGGCTGAGGCAGGTGGATCATGAGGTCAGGAGTTCAAGACCAGCCTGGCCAAGATGGTGAAACCCCATCTCTACTAAAAATACAAAAATTAGCTGGGCATGGTGGCGGGTGCCTGTAATCCCAGCTACTTGGGGGGCTGAGGCAGAGAATTGCTTCAACCTGGGAGGCAAAGGTTGCAGTGAGCTGAGATCGCACCACTGCACTCCAGCCTGGGAGACAGAGTGAGACTCCATCTCAAAAAAAAAGAAAAGAAAAATAAAAATGTTAGAAAGATCTGCATTGGGCTGTAATGTAGAGAATGGATGGGAGGGGCAAGACTAGAAACTGAGACCCGAAACGAGGCCATTGGAGAACTTCTGATAAGACTTGAAGGTGGCCTGACCTAGGGCTGTGAGAGTGTGGAAACAAGGAAGAGCCTAGTTCTAGAGAAACTTAGAAAGTAGAATAGAATCCAATCTGTTTTTTCCCCAACCATCCCTCACTTTAATCCAAGCTCTTACTCTGACATTTCAGGGCTTCCCTCATGGGCTCCTGTGATGTGGGATGTGAGGCAGAGGGAAGGATGAATCGCTTACTTGTACCCGGGCAAAGAAAGATGGCCTGTCATCCAGAAAGGACAAATTCACGAGAGTGCCAGAGGGACCTGCAACTTAAGCTGCCCCCTCCCACTCCAAAAATCAAAAAGGCAGTTTAGGGCTTTGGTGGTGAAGAGTCAACAGAAAAAGGGGAAGAGCGGCAACTGGGCCTGAGGAAGTTTTCTGGGAGAATTAAGATGAGCAGAGGTGCCTGAGGAATTGATTAGGCAACATGCATGGGGGAAAAAGAGTTAAGAAATACTGCCATGGAGCATGTAAGAATGCTAATGAGGAATGTGTGGGGATTTTTGTTTGCCAAATTTTTGTTTGTTTGTTTGTTTCTGAGACAGAGTTTCGCTCTTTCGCCCAGTCTGGAGTGCAGTGGCGCGATCTCAGCTCACTGCAACCTCCGCCTTCCAGTTTCAAGCGATTCTCCTGCCTCAGCCTCCCCAGTAGCTGGGATTACAGGCACCTGCTACCACGCCTGGCTAATTTTTGTATTTTTGGTAGAGACGGGGTTTCACCATGTTGGCCAGGCTGACATTGAACTCCTGATCTCGTGATCCGCCCGCCTTGGCCTCCCAAAGTGCTGGGATTACAGGTGTGAGCCACCATGCCCAGCCCGCTGAATTGTTTCTTGGAACATGGCAGCATTCAACTATATTATTTGGGTAACAACTTTCTAAGGGTTATAATTATGAACATCATGACCCAGAAATGCCCTGTGGTGGGATCATGAAATCACAGAAGCTGAGGATTGGACCCTTCAGTTCCTTCTAGAACATTCCATCCAGTAGTCTGACATGGACAGCTCACCCTATTTTGGCCAGCCATGAGTGATAAACGTTTCGTCACACTGGATTGGCATGTGTACCTCTCTGAAGCCATTAAATGGTCTTGGGTCTACTCTTGAAGTTCTACGGGGCAAGCAAATTCTTCCACGACAACTCTTAGGCTATTTAAAGGCAGTATTCATGGACTGCCAGAGCCTACTTTTTATCCATTCCTTACAGAAAGGCAGTACAGAGCAGATGGAAGACTGAGGAACTGGATTCCGAAGACCTGGGTTCAAACATAGACTTATTATTTATAATCTGTATGACTTTGGGTAAACTACTTGAAATGTTGTTTGAATGTGATTACCATTTTGCTATGTCCCCTCGTCAACTTGACCCCTACCCACAGCCTCCAGGTCTCTGCCTTGAGCTGCTAAGTGGATGATGGTGACACACACACATACACACACACACACACACACACACACACACACTCACATTTGGGGTCTGCTGACTTAGAGATGCCCAAAGGTCACTAGGCTGTGGGACACTGGGCTGGAGCACATGGAAAGGGAAGCATCCGGATCCACATTTGCATGCTCAGTAGCACATCTGCCCCTGAAGACAGCTCCTCTCCCTTCCACCTCGGGGAAATGGACACAGTCTTGGGACCTGGGTGTCCACACTGGGATCTGAGCTGTGAGAAAGCAGCTCAAAGTGCCTGTTTGGCAAGGATCTTCTTTGTTGGGAGCTCCTGACTCAGGGGTTCTCCAGCATATTCAAGAGTTGGAAAGGCTGTGGTGGGCTCCAGTAATTTTTAAGAAAAACTCCAGGTGATTCATGAGAAGAAATGCCATGCTGGATTTTCTTTTTTTCCCTCCCATTGCTGCTAAAATTCCAGAGGCCTGGCTCACCTCTCCTCCAAAGGTCAAGGGTGGGCAGTGTCCCAAAACTGAAGCCAGGAGCCAGGATGCACCTCAGGCAGAAGTGTGTTCTTTAATCTCACCTTTCCATGTTCTCTCCCTCCACTATAGAAGAGGATCCCAGGGTTGCATTTGAAAAGGGGTCATCCCATGGTTTTTTTGGTCTTGAGCCAGAGGGCTAAAAGTAGGTGTGATCCCATTAGAAAATGTGGCCCAATATATTTTGAGCACTATAGGGTGCCTCTCCCAAGAGGGACCTCACTAGGGACCCCAGAGGGCCCACACAGACCTTAGCTGGTGACAATTATGGGGGGTGTGTGTGCTAGGCAGTGGAGGTTTGGGGCACGGTGTCCACAGTCTCTGCATTCTTCCATCATTACCACTAACCGTGTGATGACCCATAGAGGGAGAGAAGAGGCACAGAGGGTAACAGGAAGCTTAGGGGAAACAGGGTTTTTATTAGGAGCACCCAACATGTGAAACTCAGTGGTGAAGTAAAAGGAGGGCAAGTGTTTCATTGGCTTTTGCTCAGAGAATGTGAGGGGAATCCCTATGCTCAAGGACCTTACAGACTAGATAGAGTGACTGCCTTACACTAAAGCATCACCTCTTCCACACACAAATGCAGAAAGTGTGATGACAGATGACAGATGGGCAAGCCTGGGCAGCCCACGAAGAGCAAATGAGTCAGAGCATGTCAGGCTTGGAGTGTATTAGCAAAGAGGGAGGCACTGAACAGGTGAAAGGGTCCTCCAAAGGTGTCCACATCTTAATCCCTGGGACCTGTGACTATATTAACTTTCATGCCAAAAGGGATTCTGTGGATGTGATTAAATGAAGGAATCTGAGATGGGGAGAGTATCCTGTATGGCCTGGGTGGGGCCAATGTAATCACAAGGGTCCTTATATGGGGGATACAGGAGGGTCAAGGGCAGAGAAGCAGATGTGACAATGACAGCTCTAGTCTGAGAGTCTTCCAAGATGGAGGAAGGGACTATGAGCCAAGGAACACAGGTGGCCTCTAGGAGCTGGAGGCAAGAGGAAGTATTGTCTCCTACACCTCCAGAAGGAATACAGCCCTGAAAGAACCTTAATTGTAGCCCACTAAGAAGAATTACGAACTTCTGACCTCCAAAATAGTAAGATAATAACTGTGAATTGCTTTAAGCCACTAAATCCATGGTAATTTGTTACAGCAGAAACAGGAAGCTAATACAGGCTCTTCTAGGAGTCCAGGTTAGTGAAAAGGCACCAAGCAGCTATAGATTTCGCAACATTCAAGTAGGGTTTGGGAAGAAAAAAATGGAGGGTTTTAAATTACATATGCCTTTGGTTACCATATACAGCACTTTTGAAATAAAGTCAAACAATCTGAGTTGCCCACGCAAATCCCTGAACGGCAGAGGCAATTAAACTGTTTTTCAGGCAGCCAGGCATCAAAAGTACTTTCCTATTTTTCCTTTAAAATTCCATGCTATTATCTCACCCACTAACCAATGAAGCAAGAAACTGAGATTTTGTCCTTGGGATGACACCTTGCTGCCCCCATCAGATAGTCACCACAAACCTCATGAGACTGGACTTGGTCCTTTTCTTCTCTCATACCCAACAAGGAACTGAGAGCAACTCCCGTAGCCTCTCTAAAGGAGAAAGCCCATTATTGTGGTGACTGCCTCTTTTATGAAGGGCTGGGATCAGGTTCAGGGTGTGGCATAACATAAGGTTGGATTCTGCCCTGAGTGTGGCAGGCATCCACACCAATGTGTCCAGCTTCAGAAATGGCATGCAAGATGGTGGCCAAACAGCCTAAGAGTTGCACGCTAGGTCCCATCAAGCTGTGTCCCAGCACATCCTGGGGAGGAAGCCACAGTCAGGAGAGCTTGGCTACTCCTGGTTGGATATCCTTGGGTGAGCTATGCACCTAAAAGCCTCAGTGTTGTCAGTGGGATTTTGTAGAGTCTAATTTCACTGTCTAGCCAATGACCCTGATGAAGGCACAGTAAGTGTACACATGTATATCCAAAAATAATTCCCCTTAAGGTTGTTCTAAGGGTCACCCTTAGTGCCCTTAGTCACCATAGCAGCAAAGGATTCCCACTAACATCTAAATCAGATGGTGTCAGTGCTCTGTGCCAAATCCTCTAGTGCTTTCTGACCTTACCCACGATCCTTGCATTGGCCTATGAGGCCTACCATGAGCTGCTTGCCTTCCCCCACCCCATCTCATCTACTTTTCCTTACTCCTTCTATGCCAGCCACACTTTTCTTCCTGCTCCTCCTTTAACTCGAGAGGTCGGCAAACTTTTTAAGGGTCAGTCAGTATTTACTTTCTTTCAGCTTTTTGGGCAATGCAGTCTTCAATGCTGTGACTCAGCTCTACTGTTGTACTGCAATGGCAGTCACGGACAATACGTACATGAATGAGCACGGCTGTATTCCTATCCAACAAGCCGGGGACCGGATTGGACTGCAGCCTGCTGACCCCTGATCTAACTCTTCAGTCACACATCTGCCTCCAGTCCTCTGCACCTGCTGCTCCCCTGACATACACATGGCTCTCTCCCTCACCTCCTGCAGGTCTTCATTCAAATGTCACCCTCTCAGGAAGCCCTGCCCAGGCCACACTAGCACTGCCACCCTGCTTTTGCTCTTAACGCTCATTTTGGTTATTGTCTGTCACCCCCACCCGCCACCGACTAGAATAAGGGATTTTGTCTGTTTTTTTCACCAGCGAATTCCCAGCTGCCTTGTATATAGCAGACATTCAAGAAATATTAATTAATTGAATAAATCAGTCTTGTTACGAAATTTAGGAAAAGGGGAGCCATTTCAAAAACAATATCCCAAATGTACCCTAACACAGGATAAGGGTTTGCAATATCTAGAAAGCCCAGGTCACCAGATTACATCATAATTAGTGATGTCACTGTTGGGAAAATTCTCAGGGTATCCTCTGATG
Source organism: Homo sapiens (assembly GCF_000001405.40). Lineage (NCBI taxonomy): Eukaryota > Metazoa > Chordata > Mammalia > Primates > Hominidae > Homo > Homo sapiens. The sequence continues at coordinate 108,862,256 of NC_000009.12, forward strand.
TAGGCCTTTCAGGCCTTGAATCCAGTGGGATTGAGAACTTTCTAAGAGTGGTGCGGCTCTTGACAACATGTGGGCTCCACCAGCAGCAATCATGGGGGATGGGCCCACCAAGAAGGTGGGCAACCAGGCCCCCCTGCAGACACAGGCCCTCCAGACTGCCTCTTTAAGGGATGGCCCGGCGAAGCGGGCCGTGTGGGTCCGCCATACGAGTTCAGAGCCACAAGAACCTACTGAATCAAAGGCAGCCAAGGAGAGGCCCAAGCAGGAGGTGACCAAAGCAGTGGTCGTGGACCTGGGCACTGGCTACTGTAAATGTGGCTTTGCCGGCCTGCCAAGACCCACCCACAAGATCTCAACAACGGTGGGCAAGCCCTACATGGAGACCGCCAAGACTGGGGATAATCGCAAGGAGACATTCGTGGGGCAGGAACTCAACAACACAAACGTTCATCTCAAGCTGGTTAACCCTCTGCGACATGGCATCATCGTGGACTGGGATACAGTGCAGGATATCTGGGAATATCTCTTCCGACAAGAGATGAAGATCGCCCCGGAGGAGCATGCGGTCTTGGTTTCAGACCCGCCACTGAGCCCACACACCAACAGAGAGAAATATGCTGAAATGCTGTTTGAAGCCTTCAACACCCCTGCAATGCACATCGCCTACCAGTCGCGCCTGTCCATGTACTCCTATGGAAGGACCTCCGGCCTGGTGGTGGAGGTGGGCCATGGCGTGTCCTACGTGGTCCCCATCTACGAGGGTTATCCTTTGCCCAGCATCACCGGAAGGCTGGACTACGCGGGCTCTGACCTGACAGCCTACCTGCTGGGCCTGCTGAACAGTGCGGGGAACGAATTCACCCAGGACCAGATGGGCATCGTGGAGGACATCAAGAAGAAATGCTGCTTTGTGGCCCTGGATCCCATTGAGGAGAAGAAAGTCCCTCTCAGTGAGCATACGATCCGCTACGTGCTGCCGGATGGGAAGGAGATTCAGCTGTGCCAGGAACGGTTCCTCTGCTCGGAGATGTTCTTCAAGCCATCTCTCATCAAGTCCATGCAGCTGGGCCTCCACACCCAAACCGTGTCCTGCCTTAACAAGTGTGACATCGCCCTCAAACGGGACCTCATGGGGAACATCCTGCTCTGCGGGGGCAGCACGATGCTCAGTGGCTTCCCTAACCGTCTGCAGAAGGAGCTAAGCAGCATGTGTCCCAATGACACCCCGCAGGTAAACGTGCTGCCTGAAAGAGACAGTGCCGTGTGGACCGGTGGCTCCATCCTGGCCTCACTTCAGGGTTTCCAACCATTGTGGGTCCACCGCTTTGAGTACGAGGAACACGGGCCTTTCTTCCTCTACAGAAGGTGCTTCTGAACAGCGACGAGGATGGACACTGCACTGGCAGTGCCTACCCTCGACAGGGTGAGCGCACTCCTACACACAGGGGGTGGAGCCGGCGCTTATTCCTGTAGCATTAAACACCCCTCATATGCCCCTCCACAGTGTGTTTCTCTACTTCCTGACTTCATAAGAAACAACTTCACACGTGCAGCGTCTGCCTTAAAATATACATTTCCCAAAACAAAAGCAGGAGTAGGGGGAGGATGAACAAAAAAGGGCATGCATTGTATGTGGATTGCTTAAACATTCACTTGTTCTAAAATTATGCTGCCCCTTATTTTGTGCATTCCCCGCTTTAGGAACTACTTTACGGTTAAACTCTGCTTGGAAGGGGGAGTGCAATGAAGATTAGAGGGTAAATGCTGTTGGGGCATATAAGCAGTTCCCTTTCCATAAATGCCAATAGGAAGTATGCTGTAACAGTGCAAACTCCCACAAAGCATCAGTGTCCATTTCATACTTCATCAACAACCCTGAGGGACTGGAAAGAGCTGGCAAAGCTGTCTGAGCCCTGCTTTAACAGGAGTTTCTTTTAGTTCCAACAGTCATTTATGTCTCAGTACCAGTTCTTACTAAGCCATCACAGCGACTGGCTGCTGAAGCCTAGCATATTACAAGCAAGGCATTTGTATGTGCCTTAAAGGGCAACTCTTCAGAGAACAAGTGCTATACAGATTTCCCATTTTAAAAACTGAAGTAAGACTGATCTTGGGTTATCAGCAGAGAGGTTAGGGATTGAGGCCACAGTCATTCTCTAGACACTTCAAGTAGTAGCTGACCATCTCCCAGCAGACTGGATTCTCCATCAGCCTAGAACACACACGGTTGGAGTCTGGGGTGTGCTGAGGATAGAGGCTGCTGGTTCTGGGGCTGATGATATGGGTCTGTGGGAGGCTGCCCTATGTGGGTCATTCTAACCCCACTGGGGAGCCCAAAGATACACAGAGACCCTCAGTAGCCAGGGAAGCCCTTCCAGGGCCCAGCGAGCTCTCTGGTGTTCCTGCAGGGGGAGTTTGTAATATGAGCACTTTAAATTGGAGATTCTTTAGAACAGCCTCCAATACATTCTCTGTCTTGTCTTTAAAGTTCAAAATCTGAACACTAGTTGGTGCACAAAACAGAGGATAGAACATGGGCTCTGGACTCTGTGGTTTGAAACGCAATTTTGCTACCACCTAACTGTGACTTGAGTTTGTTTGCTTGCCTGCAAAACTGAGTATAAATGCCTACCTCACACAGCTGATTAAAAAACAGCGAAAAATATCTGAATACCAGTATCTAGACTCCTGGGGGTCCTCACAATAGCTAGCTAGTATCTTTAGGTTTCTACCTCTTATGCAGAAGGCCAGAAGTCTCTTACTATAGTCCTTAGCCACACAGGTACTCAAAGGCAGGCATTCTGCATTTAGAGGAGAGCTGGCACCTCCACCATCTCCAGGGAGAAGCCCTCCAGAGCTGCTCACTGGTTCCAGGCTTGCCTCGACAGCCTTGAAAGACCTAAAGTGCCTGACCCTGGATCCAGGTCTGGTGACTAAGAGTATCTGGCTGGCACCAGCAGAAAGAGAGCCACAGAGGGGCATGTGAGGTTCCCATGGTTCAGCACGGATGACTAAGCCTTATGCTGGACTGTCAAGGAATCAGGAGTTGGGGACACTGACCTGAGAGAGAGGGACATCTTTACCTCAGTTTCTGCCCAAACCGCTCTACTGTCAACCCATGATCATTCACTGATGCGCAAGTTGAAGTTTGGTTAGTTCTTAACCTTTGGACCTCTTTGGCAGGGGTGGTAAACCCATAAACCTCTTCTTAGAATAATGTTATTAAATGCATAAAATAAAATGTATGATTACAGAGAAAACCTATCATACAGAAGTATGCTCTATCTACCGATCCCTTAGGGGTAAATAAACCCCATGTCAAAGATCCCTAAAAAAGGCGAGGGTCTTAATGAAGAGGAGGGTTGGGAGGTGGTTCTGGAGGATGGGCGTCTCCAGGCCTTCCTAGGCCTCAATGTTCATTTTTAAATGAAAAATGCCAACTGAAGGCTGAACAATTGTGCAGTCTTTTTCAAACCACTTTATGAATTTTCTCACTTGATCCTCACAAGTATGCCCCAGTAGAAAAAGAGAATCTCCTCATAAAAAAGTGATAGTTACTAAGTATTTGGAACTTATCTTAGCACAGTAGTTCTCAAGCAGGGGGCAACTTTGGCCTGTAGGGGACATTTAACAATGTCTAAAGATATTTGTGGTTGTCATAACAGGGGTGGGAGTGTGTACTACTGGCATCTAGGGGTTAGAGATGAGGGAAGTCGTTAAACATCTTACAATGTGCAGGGAAGCACCTCCCAACACCCAAAGAAAGAATGACATGAACCAAAATGACAACAGTGCCATTGAGAAACTCTGCTTAGCTTGATGGGCACACACAAGACTGAAGGAAAGCAAGGCTCAGTGAGATTAAGTGACTTTGTCCAACACTGCTAAGATGGTTGGACACATGGCCCAAAGCCTTGTTCTTTCCTTTATAACCAGGAGGACAACTGTTGTTCCTAAATGTCCTGGGACTGTAGAGCCAGTAAGAATAGTGGTGGAGCAGCCCACTGCAGGCACAGGCAAGGGCTCAGGGAGCACAGAGAGCACAGAAACACGAGAATCCAAAGCAGGCCTTCAGCACTGCCAAATGTTACCAAATTAGCTTTGTCTTATCTCCAGCCTCGTGAATATGTACAGCTACCTAGCTCCTAAGATGTTTATTTGCACCCAGTTACTAATAAATACAACAAACAAGAAACAACAGCCAAAGACTCCCCAGGGCTTGTCCAGGCGGTGCTTCTAGAGAATATGGGAGTACAATAACCAGCACAAGAGGAAGAACAAATCTAATTTTGCTTCTCAAATTTGCAGTCACCTTAAGTTACCAAGCTTCATCAGTTTTACTTATTTTTAAAAACACCCACTTCAGCTATTGCTATGACAAATCTCTCAAATGTGTATGTATATATACATGCATATATAATTAAATTTAATTTAAAATATGCAGCAGGGCTAAGAAATTGCACCAAGCTACATCCATAAAGGCATATAAAAATTGCTCCTAAGTTTTGTTTTGTTTTGTTTTGTTTTTTTGAGACAGAGTCTTGTTCTTGTCCAGGCTGATGTACAGTGGCACGATCTTGGCTCACTGCAACCTCCACCTTCCCAGGTTCAAGTGATTCTCCTGCCTCAGCCTCCCAAGTAGCTGGGATCACAGGTGCCCACCACCACACCGCCTAATTTTTTTTCTATTTTTAGTAAAGGTGAGATTTCACCATGTTGGCTAGGCTGGTCTCAAACACCTCAGCCTCCCAAAGTGCTGGGATTACAGGTGTGATCCACCGCACCCGGCCTCAGTTTTTTCAAAAGCATAAATTTAAAATGCACTTTGACCGAAGAAGACAGTCTTCTGCAAGTTCCTTCTTGAAGTTTAGAGCATCTGAGCAAAGCTATCTGACTCAATGGAACCAAGAAAAGTGAAGGTTTTAGCTTATTGCAGCATGAACTTGCTTTGGGACAGGATCCAAATTTATGTACTCTTTTCTAAAACTTGACAGACTCTTTCCCCCAAATTAAGCATTCATCACTCAGAGGAGTTTCCTCCTTTTCTCATACACTCAATTTTCCCCCATGAATATTCAATTCTTGGCTTTGCCTCAATTTGGAAGGTCTCCTCCTGCCTGCTTCTTCTAAAAAGGAACAAAATCCAATCCTGCTCAGATGAGAGAAACAGTAATTGATAGTAATTTGCATTCAAACAAATTATTTCTTGCTGCTTCAATACATTATTTAAGGAAACTGAATGTCCAGGAAAATTCACACCATTATCAATAAACACATTTACTTCTATTTCCAGTCTATCAGCATGGGTCCCTTTACAGTTATCCAAAGCAAGAGCACTATATTTCAATATAAGTTACCATGCTTATTTACCCATGCCAAAGAGTGATTACAAAGTACTTGCAGCCTTTCAATATTGGGCACTTAATTACAGCAAACCCATGTAAGTCAAAAAGTAGATTTCTCCAAAGCAAAGTATATCTTCTTTCTCTTCTTTTTAAAAACTCCTATGAGATTGTGAAAATGTTCAAACATACAGAAAAGTTGAATTTTACAGTGAATACTCCTAGATTGATTCTATAGTTAACATCTTGCTATACTGGGAAAGGCTTCTTAAATTACAATTTTGGCTATATCACTTCTTTGAGGATCAAAAGCAGCATTTCCTGTTAGTTTATGTACAGTGCTGTAGTTTAGGCATTTGTTTCCCTAAACCTCATGTTGAAATGTGATCACCAGTGTTGGAAGTGGGGCCCAATGGGAGGTGTTTTGGTCACAGGGGCAGATCCTACGTGAATCGCTTGTGCCATCCTCGTGGTAATGAGTGAGTTTTCACTCTATTAGTTCCTTTGAAAGCTGGTTGTTGTTATAGAGACACAAATGGGCTAAGATACACAGTAAGAAAGGTCTGGTTCTGATATTTAAAACATGGAAGAATTTTTAATCAGAATGAAGTGGGCGTTTTCTAGACTCACCATGAAAATAAAATATTCTCATTTTGAGACAGTTTTTTTTGGTGAGGGCGTGGAGAATTGAATAAAGAGAAGTCAGTAAAGTACCATGACGAAAAATAAATGAAGTGGCCTAGACACTAACAAAAATATCTGAGTTAAAGAAACAGTATTTGGAGAACAGAGAATAATTCACAACCATGCATGCCATACAATGCACACTGATCACTCACACCAACTGTGCATGATACTGTTTAGAAATTCTAATCTGTTCTAGCTCTAACATTGCTAACTCTCTAGCAGAAAATACACAGGCAGTAAAACAGTCCCTATAGACATTGTAATTATAGGAGGCTCAGCCCAGTTATAACTGAAAGCACATGACCTGGTAAGATGTTACAAAATAATAGCTGTCAGCAAAGGAGGGCTTATAATTTCAAAGGATACTTTTTATTCTGCTTTAGTTTAAGGTGACAAGAAGCTATTTAAGTGATTACATTTGACCAAATGTAGCACTAATAGCCATTGTAATCTTCTCCGCCAACAAAATAAGACAATTTAGAAACATTGTTTTACTTGTCTTCACACTTTGGAGGTAGAAATCATGAAACATTAATCTCATGATTACCATAATTATGCTCTCAAACAGCCCAAGTGAAAGAACAATCATTCTCACAAAATGGTGCCATAATGGTTAAAGCTTAATGTCTTGCTAATGATCAAGATGTATACACAACATAAAATAAATAGAATTGCTTGTTGTCTGCTGAAGTTCTTGGCAATGCTAAGGTAAGTTATCATTTTACTCTTTCCAGTTCTCAATAGCCAGCCCTCAAAGAGCAAGGGGTGGTAGGACAACAGGAATGAGTGGAAATGGTCTTCTCTGTCGGATCCCTCCTAACTGCAGTCACTCAGTCTAGCAGGCTCAGCTTCCACTGGGTTCTTCTGTTGATCTTTGGTGGTATAAAAAGCTCAGCATCTAAAAGCAAGAAAGGAAGGGAAATTGTGACAGACATACTCTTGTTGGAGGGCGCTGAGGCAGTAACTCTAAACTAAACAAACTAGGCAGGTGGAGTTTGCAGCAATAAGACCATCAGAGCCAGAGTTCATGTGTCTGCTACCCCTGCAACCTCCAGGTCAGAGCAAACACAACCTGGAGGCCCCGCCCTGAGAGGAGGGACTGCATTTCAACCTCAGGCATGCTCACCCAGTGATTCAAAGTGGAAGAATGTTCTGTATTTCAAACTGGTGGGAGGGGTGGTGGCAGCAGTCACATGGCTGTATACATTTATTAAAACTCATCAAATTGTACACCTGAAATCTCTGCATTTCACTATATGTAAAGTCTAGCTCAATTTTTAAGGAATAGCAAAATGTGATAGCACATATTCAGTAAGTGAAGTTAATGGACAGGAACTACTTTATGATGAAACTTCGACAAACATGTTGATCAATAAAGATGCCCCTGCTTTAAAAAAAGTGAATGGAGAGAGAGGGTTAGGAAAAGATTCTGTCATTGTAACCTAAAACTCCCAGGCACTCTTTCACTTAGATTTGTTAAGTTTCTTTTCTAACCAGGAATCATATACTGCAAGCAGAGATAGGAGAAAATATGTATATATAAGGATTTTCTTTTTCAGCATTATTTATGATAAACTTCCAGCAGTAAATCTGTACATATGAGCCATGCAGGCATGAAAAATTACAGTTGATCCTTGAATGTAGGGTTATGGGTGCGGACCCCCCTGCACAGTCAAAAATCTGCATATACCTTTTTTTTTTCTTTTTTTGAGACAGGGTCTCATTTTGTTGCCCAGGTTGGAGTGCAGTGGCACGATCATGACTCACTGCAGCCTCGACCCCCTGGGTTCAAGCGATTCTCCTGCCTCAGCCTCCCAAGTAGCTGGGACTACAAGTGTACACCACCATACCTGGCTAATTTCTGTAGAGACAAGGTTTCACCATGCTGCCCAGGCTACTCTCAAAACTCCTGGTCTCGTTCCACCCACCTCAGCCTCCCAAAGTGCTGGGATTACAGGTGTGAGCCACCACACCTGGCCCCATGTTTAACTTCTGAATCTCCAAAACTCAAGTACCAATAGCTTACTGTTGTTCGGCAGTGTATTGGCAGCATAAAAAGTCAGTTAACAAATGTTTTGTATGTTATATGTATTATATACTACATTCCTACAATAAAGTAAGCTAGAGAAAAGAAAATATTAAGAAAATCATAAAGAAAACAATATTTACTATTCATTAAATGGAAGTGGATCATCATAAAGGTCTTCATCTTTGTCATCTCCACGTTGAGTAGGCTGAAGTAGAGGAGGAAGTGGAGGGGTTGGTCTTGCTGTCTCAGGGGTGGTAGAGATGAAACAGGTAGGGGAGGTTAAAGAGGAGGCAAGAGAGGTGGGCACACTCAGTGTCACTAACTTTACAGAAATACACCATAATTTCTGATGTTTTTGCTTTTTCATTTCTCTAAGGTACCAATCCTTCCACAGTTTCTTTTAGTTTCAGTGCCCATAACATAGAATCATCCATGTTGTAAAAGAAGCCAAAGGCAGTCTTGAATAATTGGAACCTTTGGAACAAATGTCAATTTATTTTCTGGCACTGCTTCTTTTATGTAATCTTCCTCATTGTCTGGCGCTGGTTTGGAAGTACTCATCTCCATCAAGTCATCTTCTGTTAATTCCTCCGGTGTGATGTCTATCACCTCTTGAATTTCTCCAAGATTCCTATCTTGAAATCCTTCATGCACCATTTTTTTTTTTTTTTTTTTTTTTTGTGCCAGATCCACAATCTTTTTCATGATTTCCTTGATTGGCTGTCGTAAAGCCTGTGAAGTCATGCACATCTGGACACAGTTTTCTCTAGCAGGAATTTATTGTCCTGGGCTTGATGGCTTTCACAGCTTTTTCTATAACAATGATGGCATCATTGATGGTGTAATTCTTTCAGACTTTCATGTTCTGTCAAGGTTCTTTTCCATACATTTGACAATCCTTTCTATAGAGTACTGTTTGTAACGAGCCTTAAAGGTCCTTATGACACCCTGATCTAGAGGCTGAATTAGAGATGTGTGTTTGGGGGCAAGTAGATCACTTCAATGTCTTCGGTGTTGAACTCATGGAGTTTGGGGTGGCCTCGGGCATTCTCCAGTATCAAAAGAACTTTAAAAGGCAGTCCCCTTACTGGCAAGATACTACTTAACTTCAGGGACAAATCGACAATGGAACCAATCCAGAAAAAGTGTTCTCCTTGTCCAAGCCTTCTTGTTGTATGGTACAACCAAAAGCCTGGCAGCTGGTGTTAATCTTTTCCCTTCCAGGCTCGGGGGTTAGCAGCTTTACAGATAAGGGCAGTCCTGATCATAAACCTGACTGCCTTTGCTGCTGCCTCCTGGATGGCAGGAGCTGCTTTTCCTATTATCCAGACATTTACAAAGCCAAACCTCTTTCTAAAATTATCAAACCATCCTTTGCTGGCATTAAATTCTCCAGCTTTGATCCTTCATCTTTTTGCTTTAAGTTCTCATACAATGACTGTGCTTTTTCTCAAATCATAATAGTTGTATAGGTATGCCTTTCTCATAGCAATCCTGCACCCACATAAAAGCTGCATCTTCAATACAACATAAAAAGGTATTTTGCAAAAAGTACAAGGTTTTCATGCCTGCTGGCATAACTGCAGTGACAGCTTCATAAATTTCCTTTTCTTTTATAATAGTCCTTGCACTGGGTTCATTTATCTTGAAGTGGTGGGCAACTACAGCTGCAGACCTCAATCTATAGTACATATCGAGCAAGTCAACTTTTTCTTGTAATGTTATGACTTTTCTCTGCTTCCTGGGAGCAACACTTGTGGTACTTCCTATAGGTCTCATGGTGTTATTTAAGGTTTACGATATTACATTAAACGTGATAAAAAATACACGACAATGCAAGAGATCACTTTTCGCTGCCATATGCAATTAATGGAGACTCTCATGTGCTGCTCATGTGGAGATGGTTAGCGGCACATGGCATTTTAAGCAGATATTGGTAACACTTGAGCTCACTCACCACAATAGCAACAGGAGGTAGCTACAAAATTATTACAGTAGTGCAGTACATACTACAGTTAATTTTATGCAGTTATGATTTAATACTACATCTTTATGTTTGTTTACATTTCTCTCCACTAAATGGTGCCATAAAGATATAAGAATATCAATACTGAAAAAAGGCTACTTAAATAAATTCACTATCAACAAGGTATTTCATAAATTCCAATTAAAGTTGGAATAAGACTTTATCTTAAAAAAACTAGTTACAGGCCGGGCGCGGTGGCTCACGCTTGTAATCCCAGCACTTTGGGAGGCCGAGGCGGGTGGATCACGAGGTCAGGAGATCGAGACCATCCTGGCTAACACGGTGAAACCCCGTCTCTACTAAAAATACAAAAAAATTAGCCGGGCGTGATGGCGGGCGCCTGTAGTCCCAGCTACTCAGGAGGGTGAGGCAGGAGAATGGCGTGAACCCGGGAGGCGGAGCTTGCAGTGAGCCGAGATTGCGCCACTGCACTCCCGCCTGGGCCACAGAGCAAGACTCTGTCTGAAAAAAAAAAAAAAAAAAAAAAAAAAAAAAAAAAACTAGTTACAAAAATAATGTGCTCTATCTCATTTTTTAAAATTAGGCATAACTACAACTATATTTGATTCTAGACTTAACTTGAAATAAACACAAAGTACAGACTTTTGGGCAAGAAAGTAATTATTCTGACAAATTATATGACAGCAGGACATGACATATTTCACATTTCCATATGTGGATTTCACAGCACACAAAAAAGGCCATTTTTATAAAAATAACTTGAGGGCTTTTCAATTTTTCTAAGGACCTCTCTCAATCCTTTGATAGTCAAAATCATTTGAAGCACTTATTTTGTCATCAATTGCAACAAGTCCAACCCAGCTGTGATTCAAGTACTTTTCCAATATCATTTTAATCTATTTTATGTAATACTAAATTTTTGCAAGACTTGCAATTGATCTGCATGATATTGTATTGCATCAAAGCAGGAAACAATCAGAAATGACCCATCAAGTCATTGATTTCACTTGTGGGGATGTGCCAATATACTTAACTATTGTTAGCTGGGGAGGGGCAGCTGAGTAATATTTGAGTGGCACTAATTTTGTGATTAGTTCATCAGTGGCAATTTTTGAATTATAGGAACTTACCTTTTCCTATACATCCTTGAAACCACAAGGGTAATGATAATAAACACTCAGATAATGAGGGGCTCTCAAATATTACAGAGTGTCTTTAAGGCTCAGCTGGAAAACAAGAAAGTGCTCTTTGAAGTGGGAAAGCCATCTAGAATACCCTGGGGAATGATGGGACTGACCTAACCTGAAGGTCAGCATCAGGCCAGCAACGAGGAACACAGGAGGCAGAAATCACAACTGGATTGGACTACAGCACAAAATAAACAATGACCAAATGGCCTCAGGTCTAATGTAAGTTCCTAGCATCTGGGAAATAAGTGGGCTGGGCACAGGGGCAGACGCCTGTAATCCCAGCACTTTGGGAGGCCGAGGCAGGAGGATCACTTGAGACCAGGAGGCTGAGACCAGCCTGGGCAACATATTAAGACCCCATCTGTTTTTTTTTCTAAATGAAAAAACTTAAGAAAAAAAAAGGAATAAGTGGATATGTCGAAACTGATACCAAAAGAACCTTGCCATTCTCTAGACAGAAGAGGAGCTAGGAATACAGTAGTTACAGTCTGGATGTATGAGTTTAGCTGGGATGGAAGGTAGCTGTTCTTCCTGGTAGCAACATAAGCTGTTAAAGTCAAACTTAATTTGAATCCCCACAGGCTACTTCAAATGTCATCAAAATGCTATTACAGTGTAGCACTTCGGTGAAAAAAAATTTCAGAAAGTTGCTTGTCACATGCTAGAAATGCAAATAATAGCAGTTAAAACTGCCAATTATTTTAGAAACTATCATTCACTTTTCAAAGCTAAGATGCTTCATTGATCCAACTATAAGTAAGGGCAAATACTGAAAGTCCCAAGCTGACTCATCAAATGTTTCTAACCAACTTTCAAAAGAAAGCGCTTAGGGTTTTTAATTTTTAGGGATATAAGTAATCTAATTGAGAATCATCTCCCCTCAACAAATAAAACACTTCATGCATAACTAAACAGGAAATATGTATAAAATGCTAATATTCTTTGGATTTGCCTTCAAATTATATTGTCAATCCTAAACATAATAAAAAGGTCCCACTCATAAGCAAGGTTTATGAAAATGCCCCCAAGATGCAAAGCATAACTGCCAATAGCCAGTAATGATGCTTCAGAAGAATCTTTTGATGTATATGTAAATGTAGACAGTTTAGACTGAAACTGGAACTGTGGTGTGCCTTTATGAACAAGCATATGCCACATAAATATTTTTAAAAATTACACATACAATGGTCATGCTGGATTTTCCTGCACCAGGTCCCCCACCGCTAGAAGCATGAAACTGATCATACTAAAGATGCGGTCTTAGAATTGAGGAAGAATTGTAGTCAATTTTTTGTAGTGAAAAATTGTATCCAATCTCTCCTTATACTGCTGATCTTCTCAATACTTACAGAAAGATAGTCCTTCTGCTTAGTATTGTAATATTAAATGAGAAAAAATACTAACCAAGAACAGGAACCGAAGTCTTCTGTTGCTGATAAGATGCCATGATACTATTTGCAGTAGAATTGGGACCTAGAACCTGAGGAGAAAATAGACTGTATCAGCAAAGATTATCTAATACTTCTCAAGACTGCCAATACCAAAGGCCAAATCCCTACCCCCAGAAAACAGCCTGTCATTTCTACTGGTATGGTGTGAAACACAGTAATTCTCTTTCCCAATGTGATTTTAATTTGCCAGTTTCTCCAGCTGCAACTCAGACTTCTAATTCTCCTTTCTCCCAGAACAAGGTAAAGATGGGGGGTGGAGGAAAAGAAAAGAAACGAAACTCTACAGTGATATATCTTGGCCTTTTCTAAATGAGCAAACCACTCCCTGAGGAAAGGGAAAAGAGTAAAAGAGGCTACAAATACGTAGAGTATCAATTATACGCAAAGAGTTATGGGAAACAAACATTTTTAGGTTGAAATAAATACAAACATGTGCATACTATGGAGCAGAATGGAAACTGTGCACATGTGCTCCAGGTAAAACACAAGACTCCGCAGGAATTTCAAGCCTGCAGCGAGCCTCTGGGCACACCCCTGGTTAGTGCAGACCCTTGGTGGCACACTCTCAAGAGCAATGCCATGAGAAGTCACTCACGGTATCCTGCACATACCACAACCATACTTCACCAATCAAAACCACAATCATAAAATTGATGTCTTAGAACTTAATGTGGGAGGCATGGTGGCTTACACCTGTAATCTCAGCACTTTGGGAGGCCAAGGCAGGAGGATCACTTGAGGCCAGGAGTTCAAGACCAGCTTGGGCAACACAGCAAGACTCCCTCTCCCCATGTCTAGGAAAAAATTTTAAAATTAGCTGGGCATGGTGGTGTGCACCTGTGGTCCCAATTACTCAGGAGACTGCGGTGGGAGGACTGCTTTAGCCCAGGCATTCGAGGCTGCACCAAGCCATGATTGATCATACTGTCACTGCACTCTAGCCTGGGTGACAGAGCAAGAAAAAAATAAAATAAAATAGACCTTAATGTGAATATGTGATCAGAAGAGAAGATCACTCATGGGAGTGGTATTATAAATTATTATCTTCAAGCCGGGCATGGTGGCTGATGCCTATAGTCCCAGCACTTTGGAGAGGTGAGGTGGGCAGACCACTTGAGCCCAGGAGTTGTTCAAGACCAGCGGGGACAACTTGGTGACACCCTGTCTCTACAGAAAATTTGAAAATTAACCAGGTGTTGTGGCATGCGCCTGTAGTCCCAGCTACTCAAGAGGCTGAGGTGGGAGGATCACCTGAGCCCGGGGCGGTGGATGCTGCAGTGAGCGGTGATCACTGCACTCCAGCCTGAGCAACAGAGTGAGACCCTGTCTCAAAAAACAAAAACAATTATCTTCAAAAGTACTACAGTTTTGAAGATGATGATCACATTTCTTCTAAGAAATACCTATTATAATAAATTCAAGAAGTTCTGGGGCCCTGATTCCTAGTTGCTTTTATTTCAACGGTTTGTAAAGTGCTTTTACACACACCCTCTTATTTAACCTTCAAAGCATTCTATTGAAGCACACAGAGAAGTCTTATGCCCATTTCTAAATGAGGAAATCAAGACATGATAAGCGTATGTGTTTCTAAACACTGAGCTGATTTGTAATCTCTCAGCTCCAACCCACCCTTCTATCCACTGCTTGTGGTGCTGGGGCTGGGCACCTGAAAGATATTCTTCCTTGCTGCTGGCTTCCCATCATGTCCTGCCTACAGTGAACACCAGAGGGGGAGTACAAAGCTGGAGGATGAACAAAAGATTTCTAGATTTCTTCCGTGATTGGCTGGCTTTTTTTTTTTTTTTTTTAAACGGAGATTCGCTCTTGCTGCCCAGGTTGGAGTACAATGGCACGATCTTGGCTCATCACAACCTCTGTCTCCCAGGTTCAAGCGATTCTCTTGCCTCAGCCTCCTGAGTAGCTGGGATTACAGGCATGCGCCACCATGCCCGGGTAATTTTGTATTTTTAGTAGAGACGGGGCTTCTCCATGTTGGCCACATTAGTCACGAACTCCTGACTTCAGGTGATCCGCCTGCCTTGGCCTCCCAAAGTGCTGGGATTACAGGCGTGAGCCACCACCACACCTGGCCCGACCGGCTGGCTTTTCCCCCAGCAGCAGCTGTTCCTTCCAGTTTCCATTTACTTCTGTACGCTTGGAACCAGCTCCCTCAGAAATGCCAGGATTAGCTGGCTGGCACCCTCCTCTCAGAGGTTCAAGAGCCAGCTCTACAGGGCCCCACTTCCAGGCTTCTAAATTCTAATAATTCCCAACAACTCCTCCTGTTCCCTCAGCTAGAGGGTAAAGCTGCTTCCTACAGTTACTATCTCAATGTCCTTCCTCTGTATTTCCCTTTTGCCTTGTTTAGTCCTCTAATACTTATTTAACAAATCCATATATTAAATTCTGTGATAAAATAATAGATAGGCTTTTGTTTTCCTTTCTAGATCTTGACTGATACACCAGCCTTTTTGAATCCAAATAAAAACTCTTAACAATAGACTTGAAGTATAAGAGAGTGAACAGAGGTATAAATAATAAACAGATGACAATATACTAGAATTCTGCGATACAAAGCTGATTCAGCCTTAAACACAACCCGCAAAGTCCATCATAACAACATAGAAGTGACAAGTCAAATTTTTCATAAAACAAAAGGAAAAGCAATTGCCTGGGGTCCCTTTAAAGCCTGATCCCATCCCTGAGTTCTGAAAGGAAAGTGAGAGGCCGTCTCTGACCCCATCTTCCCCCATCTCTCCCCACTCCAACCTCATTGAAGGCCAGGAGCAATCATGTGACTTTCCCATTTTCTCCATGACAGCTACTTCATCCAGAAAGGAAAATGACAGTCCATTTAACCTATGCCAAGGTATACTAGTCACTCTACAGGCAAATATCAAATCTTACTGACAGCTTACACATAAATCTAAGATAATTTAACTATGGCATCTTATGTTTTAAGAACAGGAAAACTTTTTGACTTGGAGATTGTGTGAATACAATAACCCATGAAAATGATGAAAAAAATGCACACCGTCTCTGAGAAAACTTACCGGGGTAGCTGAATTCTGCTGGTAAGTAAGAGTCCAAATTTCTGGAAGTGACCTTTCCATCAACTGCAGCGTATCTTCAAAGGCCTTCTGTAATTCCCTTCCTTGTTCATCAAACTCAAAGAGAAAGAGTACCTTTAAAATATGGTATACTTCATCTAGAGAGAAGAAATTTGAAAGAGTGGTAAGTTATATTCCCAGCTCCATTGACAGAATCATACATAGCTTCTATCCAAAGCCAAAAATTTCTATGATCCCACTGCAGGTCCTTTCTCCCACATTATCTTTTTTCTTCCCAAATGCTGGAATAATTAAACACATGTACTACAAAAAGAAAATCAAGCACGCTGGGGGGCCTACGCAGAAAGCAGTGTCCCACAATTCTTTATCCTGGCCTAAGCATCTCTCCCAGTTCAGTTAGGGGGATGCCAAATGGAGGAAGGCTTCTCAGTTACCAGCTAAGAAGGGCTGCTTCAGGAATGTGTGCAGACATGACCCTTCCTGCTAAAAGTTCTCATCTTTCCTCAAATTGGGAAAATGGTAGCTTAATCACCTACTGAACTCTGCCTGTCTGTACTGCCTATTCACTATTGTTTGTGGTCAGGAATCATCATCAGGACTGAGAATATACCTTTCAGGTTTTCAGTGTTCTGCACCACTTCACTCAGTGCCTCCAGGAGGGCCAGGTCCTCCAGCGGACTGCCTTCTTTGAGGCTGTGCTTCTTCCGCTCCGCTTTTCGGCGATTCTTGGATGATCTCCTGTTAGAAATTACACAGATATTTTTAAGCCTCCTGAGTAGCTAGGACTACAGGCATGTGCTACCTTGCCTGGCTACTTTCTTGCAGTTGCTGATGACCCCACACAACTTCACAGATCTCCATTTTAAATTCCTAAAGCAAAATTCAGTTTGAATATATAATCTTGCATTGCTTTACACATCCCAAGCAAGACTATAAACTCTTATAACTCATATCTCCTTATAAGTTTTTGGTAACATCTACTGCACCTACCATATGAGTGCTGAATAAATATTTCTGACAAATTACTATATTTGGTAAAAGTGTTATGACTTATTTTACATTTATGGTCTCTTCCAATCCTGATTTTGAATTGAAGAAGCTTATCTTTTCATTTTTTCAGTGCCTATAATTTAGTCACAACATTTGTTCAAAAAATAAAATCAGATGTTAATATAAACTGAGCATTCAGGGGAGGAACTGCCTCGTGGGGAATGGGAAAACACACAAGCCACAAGGCTGAGGAAGAAAACCTTCCAATGCCAAGTTTAATGTCTCAGATATGCTGGGAAAGTGTCTGAACAACTTCCACACAGCGCTGAAGAATATTCTCCCCACTCCCACTACACCGTCCCAGTAGAAAACCAATCTATTTGCTTCCACTTTCCCTATATGCCCAGGATATAGTCAATGTGCTGAATCAATGTGATACGTACGCTGATATCCTGGAGTTACTATGGGAGTATTTGCCACTCATCTCACTGCCACTCACGACACTGCTAGTTTCAGAGAAGAGGTCTGACTCTTGCCCGTGGGGTACCTCATCATCTAGAAAAGAAGAACCAGAAGCCGATGAAAACACTGCCTGCTAATGTGTGGGTTTACTTTCAGGGCGGTAAATGAACTAACTAGAGTCAACTGGTGCATATCAAAGGATGGATGAAAATGATTGCAAAGTTGATCTCAAAATGAATGAGATAATATTAAATACAGTAATTACTAATGTAAATCAGTAGTTTCCTGAACTTTTTTCTGGAAATGAGGAAACTCATTTTGTTAGACACGGAAGTGGTCAGCTGCTCTGGGTGAATGGGGGTAGGTGGGAATGTCTGGCAGAGCTCTCCCCATTCATGCTTGGTCCTGCCCTTCACCAACACACAAACACAGACACAGAGGGCCCTGAAGGGGCTCCACAGAAGCCTCACACTTGCCCATGGCACAGTAATCAGATTGCAGGCGGATCACCAAGCAATCTAGACAATGTGTGGCGTTACCCAACCCCACTGCCCCCGCACGTCGATGGCCTTCACGCAGATACTCACCCAGACCTGCCTGCTGGGCTTGCTCCTTGAGCTCTCGAACTACCAATAAACGTTTCTTGTGGCGACTGAATGTGGCTGTCTGAGAGTCCAGAAATGCCATATAATTTTTCTGGGCTGGAGATGCAGAATGGAAAATAGTTTGAGCATGAGGTTTAAGCAAAGAGAAAAAACTAAAGGCGGGGAGCAGTGAAGGAGGGTTAAAATTCAGCAAAAAGAAAGAGGTTACTAGGTTTTCCAAGCGAGCTCTTTTTCCTTAATAAGCATTAACAAATTAGAGACTGAGATTCCAGATCTTAGAGTTCATCAACATTATCCCAGAATATGCGCTACCACTGAACTTGTAAAATCACCTGAACGAAGACTTGATACCTAAAGCAAGGGAGGATTGGCAAAACAAACAAACAAACAAAACAAACAAACAAAAAAAGGGGGGGTAGGGGAGGGGAGCTCAGTTAACAAAAATAAGAAGAAAATTACCTAAATGTTTCTGGCTAAACATCCATCAAAATGCCCATGGATGTGGAAAAAATGTATCTAATAAATATTGTCCAATGGAAAAATACACAAGAGAAAAATAACACTAGTAGAATACATTTTAAAAAAGCAAAATACTACTATCCAAGGATGCATTTTATTAATAGGTTTTGGGCCTATGTAGATGAATTATCGGCATTTATCTAAGAAAGGTTCTCATTAGTGGTGAAAATCTAAGTAAGAGCTGGTTAGATTATTATAGATGAGGAATGATGTTTTCAGTACCCAGTTAGAGGTACCTAAAGTGAATGACATAAAAAGTACCCCAGCAACGTTTTAATTAGGATGGAGGAAGGGGGTGCAGACAAGGTAAGAATGTGCATACATGTAAATGTCAGAAAGGCCAGACGTTACTTACAGGGTAGATGTGCATAAAAATGCAGAACTTAAAATCAACCACTCCCTAAGGTTTCTATAAGTCAAACTGATGTCCTTCTCCACTTTGCTTTTAAGAGGTCACAGTGACCATCTGAGTATTCTAGAACTGGTAATATTCATATGTTCTCTAAGAACCACAAACTTCATTTGAAAAGGTAACTTTTAAAAAATACTTTGAAACGTTGAAACCTACATAAAAGTTGTAAGAGTTCAATGAACACACATATACCCTTTACTTTGATTTACCAATTACTAACATTTTGACATTTTTTTGCTT
This sequence comes from Homo sapiens, assembly GCF_000001405.40. NCBI lineage: Eukaryota > Metazoa > Chordata > Mammalia > Primates > Hominidae > Homo > Homo sapiens. The sequence goes on from NC_000009.12 coordinate 108,881,241, forward strand.
CCTGTTTCTCTGCATGCATACACACATTCATTAATACTTTTGTGGAACCTTTTAAGAGTAAGGCAGAGATATGATCCTTCATTCCTAAATATTTCAGCATTTATCTCTTGAGAATAATAGGATATTATCTTATATAACCACAACATGATTATTAAATGCCAGAAATTTATCAGTGTTATATTATTATCTAATATAGTTCATATTCAAGTTTACTATTTCCAAATACAAAGATTCTTAATCATATTTGATCACAGGTTTCTAACATTTAAATATTTTGTTACCATTTAATAGTTCAGCATATTTAAAAATTCTAGTGAGAATTAAATATTATATCCAGGTGGTAATTTTGATTGAGTCTACATGACATATTATTAAGAAAACACAGTAAATAGGAGGAGACTCTCTCATCTCTCTCTCCTCACCTTCTTCCAAATGAGGAATTCTATCTAAAATGGAACCCTCACCTTCTAAAATGGAAGGCTTTACGTTGGTTTCTATAATATCCAGTCTGTTATATTTGTATACCTAGAAGGAAAAACACAATAATTTTAGGAAGGAAAACTTCTAGTCACTGGAGAGTTAAGATACTTAGAAAGACATGGATTACTTTCAGAGGTAATCAGAATATTTTCCTGAAAAACAGGCCTCCTACAAGGCAGCCAAGGAAATTCAATTCATTTCAGTAAAAGACAGTAATATTTCAAATTATTATCAAGAATGATAAAAATGATTTTAAAAACACCGCTTTTCCTTAAGCCAGGAACCTGACCTATTTCTACTTATTTCATGAACCTCAGAAGACAAGAGATTCCAACTGACCTGGAATCCCTTGCTTGCTCTCTCTGCTTAGCACCCAACATCCAGAGGATTTACAAGATTCTTACCAGCCTCAAAGCTTCTTCCCAGGCAGCTCCTTCTAACAGCAAGAGCACAGCTTCTTCATAATCCTGACAAGGGAACAGGAAGAAGACAACAAGTGAAGAGAGCATGTCAGATGTCATCACAGCCAACTACAAAACTAACCACAGACCTGCCTCTATCTCCCTGGCCAGGGGAGAACTCCTAGTTCTCAACATCATGCCTATCCTAGAGTTCATGACTCCATAAATATTGATACAAAAGACAAGGAAGGGGTGTAAATCCTGAAAATAATGACAAAACACAAGGTAAGCATCATCTCTCTGCACGCCTGGACATCAAAACCACCAGAAACGTCTGTTAGACATGCCCATCTCCCCAGCTTTACTACCAAGTTTGATTTAGCAGGTTTAGGTGGGCTCCAGAATTGTTAACAAGACCACCCTTTGAAAAAATAGTAGACTAGAATAGCAATCTTCTAAATTTTTTTTTGTTCTTTTTTTTTTTTTTTTCTCAGACAGGGTCTCACTCTGTCGCCCAGGCTGGGATGCAGTGGCATAATCACAGCTCACGGCAGCCTTGACTGCCTGGCCCCAAGTGATCCTCCTGCCTCGGTCTCCCATGTAGCTGGGACTACAGGAATATGCCACCACACCCAGCTAATTAAAAAAATGTTTTTAGACAGGGTCTCACTATGTTGTCCAGGTTGGTCTTGAACTCCTAGCCTCAAGCAATCCTCCTGTCTCAATCTGCCAAGCAGCTGGGTTTACAGGCGTTTGCTCATTTCAAAATTGATTTAACTGGCTTTCTGTTGTTGAGCTGCAGGAGTTCCTTACATATTCTGGATATTAAACCTTTATCAGATATAGGATTTGCAAATATCTTCTTCCATTCTATATGCTGTCTTTTCACATTCTTGACAATGTCCTTGATACACAAAAGTTCTTAATTTTTATTAAATCCAATTTATCAATTTATTGATTGTGTTTTTGGTATTAATTCTAACCATCCATTGCCAAATCCAAAGTCATGAAGATTTAGCCCTGTTTTCTTCTAAGAGTTTTATAGTTTCGTTCTGGTTTTGAGACAGGGTCTTGTTCTGTTGTCCAGGCTGAAGTGCAGTGGCGTGAACTCAGCTCACTGCAGTCTCAAACTTACAGGCTCAGGAAATCCTGCCACCTTGGCCTCCCAAGAAGTTGGGACTACAGGTGCACACCGCCATGCCTGGCTAATTGTGTTTTTATTTTTTGTAGAAACAAGGTCTTTCTATGTTACCCAGGCTGGTCTCAAACCCCTGGGCTCAAGTGATTGTCCCACCTCAGCTTCTCAAAGTGCTGGAATCACAGGCATGAACCTCTGTGCCCAGCCTTCAAGAGTTTTACAGTTTTAGCTCTTAAATTTTTGTTGATCCACTTTGAGTGGCCAGCAGTTTTTGAAAACTCGGAAAATACTGAATCTTTTGGAAAAAAAAAAAAAGAATAAACATGAAAGGTCATTAAAAAATTTCCTTAAACAATCATTGATCACTTAAAGCAAAAGCAATAACAAAGTATTATGGAGTGAATACTCTTGTAAGGTTTTTACACTATATATGAAGTAGTATACGATTATCTGAAGATATGGTCAGTTAATGATATTTATTATAAATCCTACAGCAACCACTAAAATACTGAAATGAAGAAGTATAGCTAATAAGCCAACAGTGGAGGTAAAATGGAATTATGAAAAATACTAAATCCAAAGGAAAGCAAAAAAAGAAAAAAACAAGAAACAAAGGATCAATGAAACAAACAAAAAGCAAACAGCAAGACTGTAGGTTTAAATCTAACTATATTGGTAATCACATTCAATGCAAATGTCTAAACCCTCCAATTAAAAGACAGAGATTGTCAAATTAGATTTAAAAAAAAAAAAGAACCAATAATGCTATCAACAAGGAACGCACTTTCAAAATAAAGACTACATTCAGCTAGATTAAAAGTAAAAGGATAGAAAAAGATATGCAATGAAAAGACTAACCAAGAGAAAGCTGGAAGAATTATATTAATAACATTAAAGTCAAATTCAGAATTAGGAATAGTAACAGAGAAAGAAGGATATCAAAATGAATACATCTATAACATACTCATAAACATGTATGCACCTATAACAGAGCTTCAAAATACATTAAGCAAACACTGGTAGAATCAAAGGAGAAATAGACAAATACTGGGAGACTTCAACACTTTCCCAGTCATTGATAGAGCAAGTAGTGAGGAAATCAATAAGGATATAAAAAGCTAGAACAGCATGATCAACCTAATCTAACTGACATTTATAGAACACTCCATCCAATAATAGTAGCTTTCATATTATTTTCAAATACACACACAACATTCTGTAAAACAGACCATATTATAAATTAAAATAAATTATAAATTTAAATTAATAAAATGTATGTTCTCTAATCACAACAAAATTAAAGTAGAAATTAATAACAAAAAGATGGCTGGCAAATCTCCAATATCTGCAAGTTAAACATACTTCTAAATAAGCCAAGGTTCAATAAAGAAATCACAAGGGAAATTAGGAAATGAAAACAAAACATTTCAAAATTTGTATAACATAACTAAAACGGTGCTTGAGGAAAATTATGGCATTATATGCTTAAACTATAAAGTAAGGAATCATCTCAAATCAATAGCTTTAAGCCATCACCTTGGTCAGGCACAGTGGCTTACACATGGAATCCCAGCACTTTGGGAGGCAGAGGTGGAGGGATCACTTGAGGCCAGGAGTTTCAGACCAGCGTGGGCAACTAGTAACACCCCATCTCTACAAAAAAAATTAAAAATTAGCCAGGCATGGTGGCATGCACCTGTAATCCCAACTACTCTGGAGGCTGAGGGGGGAGGACAGCTTGAATGTAGGAGTTTGAGACTGCAGTGAACCATGATCGTGCCACTGCACTCCAGCCTGAGCAAGAGTGGGACCCTGTTTCTTTAAAAAAACAACAACAACAAAAGAAAAAAATAAGAAAAAAATAAAAGTAAGCCATCACCTTAAGAAACTAGAAAAATAAAGAGCAAATAAAATAATAAAATAATAAAAAAAGAATGATATAGAATACAGAAAAATCATAGAGAAAAACAATGAAACAGTTCATTCTTTAATAAGATCAATAAAATTGATAAACCTCTGGCCAGAATAATCAGAAAAAAGAAGACACATCAATATCTAGAATGAAAGACAGGACATCACCATAGACCCTACGGACAGTAAAATAAGAGAATACTATAAACACTTCATACCAATAAATCTGACAATTTAGATGAAATGAACAAATTACTTGAAAGACATAAACTACCAATGCTCATTCCAGAAGACACAGATAAACTTGAATAGGCTAATGTCTACTAAAGTAACTGAACTAATAGTGGAAAAGCTTTCATTAAAGAAAACTCCTGGCCGAGATGGCCTTACTGGTATATTCTACTAAACATTTAAAGAAAAAAATATCTCCCAAGAGCTGGGAGAAAGAGCTGAGCTGTCAGGTGTTGGAGTAGCTGATCAAAGCAACAAGTCAAAAATGAATTAAGCCTTCAGGCATTGCATTGGTATAAGCAAGAGGCTAAAACCAGGGAAAGCACCAACTCTCTCTGTTCCATTTTTTCCCAAGGAACAACTCACTAGTCAAGAGTCAGCTGGATCCACACAGACATGAGGGTTGGTTCACTGTTGAAGGAGCTTGGAAAAAAAGGCTTTAGCAGTTTGATGGATCTTGGGGGTATGGGTGCAAAGGAAGGGGGCTAAGGGTGGAAAAGTACTGGGTAGTGAGTCACAGTGGAAAAAAATGTCAAGGTTTTTCCACTCCTTCTTGCATAAACAGGCCTTGGCAGAGGTGCCTGAAGAAGACCTTGGCCCATGGCCTCAGATAGAGAGACCTAAGAATGAAAGTGCCAGGACTCTCAATGCAAATACTGTTACAAGAGCATGACTAACAGGGGGCCCTGAGTCCTTGACTGCAACTCCCTTTAGAAACTGTAATGCATTGGCAGTACGCCAAGTCTGGTGTAGGGAGGGCAGCTTTTCCCCATGTGGCCTCCTAGGTAAAGTCTGTAATTGTTTATGGTCAGGTCTGAAACATCACACATAGGTTTTTAACCATAAGCTAGACTCTCATACCAATTCTACATGAAATCCTCCAGAAAACAGAAGTGTAAAGGACACCACCCCTCATTTTTGTCACCCCTCAATGACAGCAGCATTATCCTGATACCCAAAACATGGCAAAGACACGAAAAAACTACAATATCCCTCATGAACACAAACACAAAAATCCTCAAGAAAATTTTAGTAGATCTAATCTGCCACAAGAGAAAAAGGGTAATAAATCTATAATACCAAGTGGGGTTGAACCCAGAGATGCAAGGTTGGTTTAACAGTAGAAAATCAATCACCTAGTCCCCCATATCACTCGTCTAAAAACAAAACCCTTCATAGTTGAAAATGCATTTGACAAAATTTAACACCCATTCATGATACAAACTCTCAGAACAAGGAACAGAAGGGAATTTCCTCAAACCAAGAGGGCAGGAATTGGCAAATTTTTCCTGTAAAAGATTAGACAGTAAATATAGGCCTTATGGGCCAAACTATCTGTGTCACAACTCTAACTCTGCTGCTGTAGTGTTAAAGCAGCCATACACAAGATGTAAACTAATGAGCATGGCTATGCTCCAATAAAGCTTTATTTACAAAAACAGGTGGCATGCTGGATTTGTCACAGGTTGTAGTTTGCCAACTCTGCAATAGAGAGCATTAAAAAAAAAAAAAAAAGCAAATATCAGGCCAGGCACGGAGGCTCATGCCTGTAATCCCAGCACTTTGGGAGGCTGAGACAGGCGAATTGCTTGAATCCAACAGTTCAAGACCAGCCTGGGCAACATGGCAAAACCCCATCCCTACAAAAAATACAAAAATTAGCCAGGCATGGTGGCATGTTCCTGCAGTCCCAGCTACTCAGGAGGCTGAGGTGGGAGGATCGCTTGAGCCTAGGAGGTCAAGGTTGTAGTGAGCTGAGATCACACCACTGCACTCCAGCCTGGGTGACAGAGCAAGACTCTGTCTCAAAAATAAAATAATATAGAATAAAATTTTAAAAAAGCAAACATGACACTTAATGCTAAAAGACAAGTGAATTTTCTCCAATATCAGGAAAAAGGCAAGGATGTTCACTCTTAACACTTCTATTCAACACCACACTGGAAGCCCTAGAAAATGCAATACAGATAGAAAAAAGTATTGATTGTAAGAAAGACATAAAACTATATTTATAGAAACCATGTTTGTTGATGTAGAAAATCCTAGAGAATACACCCAAGAGCTTCTAGAACTAATAAATGAGTTTAGCAAGGTTGCAGGATACAAGGTCAATTATACAGCCTCCCTGCAAAACACTTCAGCTATATTTCTATATACTAGTAATAAAACATTAGAAAATGAAATTAAAAACTAGTCAAGCCTTGAGATGACTCTAGCCCTGGCCAATACCTTAATTGCAGCCTTGTAAAGGACCCTGAGCCAGAGGCCCCAGCTAAGCCCAGCCAAGATTCTTGGCCCATTGAAAAAGTGGGATAATAGGGTCTGTTGTTTTAAGCTGCCAGCTTTTAAGGTAAGTTGTTACGTAGCAATAGATAATACATCTAGTGTCACAGTAATACACCCAGTGTTGGTGAGTATAGGAGTCACTGAAGCACTCTCACATATCACTGAGGGGAATGCAAAATGATACGGCCACTGCAGATTAGTTCTGCAGCTTCCTAAAAAGTTAAACATCCACTTACCACGGGATGTGGCATTCCTACTCCTGTCCCCATAAAGACCTGCACTAGAATGTTCATGGCTGCGTTATTCATAATAACCCCAAACTGAAAACAATCCAAATGTACATCAACTGGTAAATCAACAAATTCTGACATATACATATAATGGGATACTATTCAGCAATACAAAGGAATAAACTACAACATGGATGCATCTCCAATGCACTATGTGAGTGAAAGGAGCCAGATTAAAAAGACTACATACCATATGGTTCTGTTTATATGAAATTCTAGATAATGTGAAACTTTACTGACTGATCAGTTTGCCAAAGGCTGGCAGTGGAGGGAGAAGGCTGACTGCAAAAGGGGAAGTAGGGAACTTTTGGGGGTGTTAGAAATGTTCTAGATCATGAGTGCAATGGTGGTTACACAGCTACAAACATATGTCCAAATGTACTGAATTCTTCATCTAAAATTGGTGAATTAGCTTTATTATATGTAAATTATACAACTGTACAACACATAATTTTATTGTATGTAAATTACACAAAATAATTTTATGCATTAATCTTCCTTTACAAAGAAAAAAAGATAATGACATCTTATCCATTTAATTAACCCTCGATGTGGTATATCTTTCCAACCCAACCTATCTACCCTTTTAGGTATGTTTCATTCACTGGTATTTTCAATTCAATCACCCAACAAATATTCTCTCCAGGATCTAATTATATAAAATTTTAGTTATCGTCTTTCACTTACTGTTATTACACAAGAGACAATTAAATATTTTTAAAGCACAATTAAGTTACATAAATGTGCTATCAGTAACAACTGTAAAAAACACTCTCTCATCAAAGGTCAAAACTCTACAAGGCAATAATCCCTGGTGTCAACTGTGCACCTGTGTACTGTTAGTCTGTGGCCAGTGTTACTGCAGTTTTATTATTTTCATAATAAATCCTATAATACTACCAAATGCTCATATGGGTACTTATCCTTATAATCTGCTGTACCTCCAGGTCCCTGAGGTAAAAGAGACATTTCCAATAGGGAGAATGAGAGTAAAAGCCAAGAGTATGTAGCCTTCAATGATCCTGTTTTATAATGGTCCTTTCTCATTGTTTCTACTTTGGCAAACTCAATTTTAAAAAGCACAGCTACCTTGAGATGTAATTAAGTACTTTCTACCAAGGTCAAACCAGTGGTATGTTAAAGTAGAGCACCTTCATATTCTACCTCACCAAACTTAGAGATGTACTAAATTTAGATTTCCAAGTCAAGCCAGCAAGATAAGACCTCTGGGGCAAACACTATCTCTGGACTTAACAATTATGCACAGTTCCTTTAACTTTCATGATCACTAAGATACAATTGAGAAGACCTTTCTTGCTGACTGGGGGGTTTAGAAGGGAGGAATTGAGTTTACCTGGGCACACTCTTCCAAAACCATGGCCGCATCAATGTGCTTCCTCTGCTCAACCAGCTTTCCTGTAGAGACAATAAGCAGCAGTTGACTACAAAGTTAAACAGATACTTTAGCTCAAGTGCTTCTTTAATATGTCTTTATTATGTATGAAACTATGTACTTTCTGAATTTCTGTGAGGGAATAGGTATATACACCACAGAGTCCTATCTTAAATGGCAGCTAGAATCTAAATTTAGCACAGGAATTGAAAATCATATACAGCCAAAATTAGCCTTGAAAGATGCTTCCAAAGCATGTATATGGGAAAATGACCTGGTATCTCTCACTAAACCACTTCGTCCCTTAACAGTAAGAGACCACTATTTCTTTGGTTGAGCACTAGATGGAGGTAGCTGACTTATGTTTGAGTCATGCAGTGTCTTTAGATCCTAGAATCACTCTCAGCCCAATTGAGATAAACCACAATGAGAGGCACAGAGAACCCAAGGCTTTCGAAGGAGCTGGTAGATTCCGGTCTCTCATTGCATGCTCACTCCAGTGCATATATCACTAAAAAAAGTAGGTAAAATCACCTCCACTATTTAAATAGTTACCTTTCTTTTGCTCTCTTGTGTAAACTGCCTACGTTAAATGTACACACAGAGTGACTCCAGTGTGTAACATTTCTCAAACATCTTTGACCACTGCCCTCCCCACCTACTTTTGCTAAACATCTGAGAAAAACTAGAAATACTCCCTCATAAGACATGGGAAATAGCAAGCTAAGAGCTGTAAAGAATAGAAGAGATCCAAGAACAGAGATAGAAGGTATAAACAACCAATATCATAAATTTCTAAAGCAGAAAGGAACAATGGAGACCGAACGAATAACTAAAAGGCCTGAAATAAGGAATTCTCGACATTTGTAAAAAGAGGCCAGCATGGAAACGGAGGGATTTGGGAAAGGCTAATAACCAGAAAAAGAAAAGTGATAATCCCATACACTGGTATAATCCCAAGAAAAAAAGAATACTGCAAATGACAAAGAAGGACTGGTACATAAATTTAACAAAATTTAACAGGATAGAGTTTGGAATTTTTTTAGGACTGCTTTTTATTTTTTTCTTTGAGATCTCAACAATATTTACAAGTTAGGGAAAAAAATATACCAGTCATTGCTTTACTTCAAGCACTGCTGAGATGACCAGAGCTTCTGCTCATCTCTTTTCATAGGTGTCCTTACCCTTTCCTCCACTCTGGTACTAGAGCCCCTGGTACCAGCCTCGCCTCTGGTTCGGGCAACCCTTGTCCCTGACGCAGCTAAACTGCCTTTGCTTTCAGAATGCTTCGACATTTGGCCTTTTATTTTCCCCACCTCATTCCTGGCTATTCCAACAACCTACTGTCTATAACAGAATGGACCCATCCAAAAATTCATCTTTACCTTCTTACAGGGCACAGCCCATCCAGCTACATGGCGTGGCCGAGATGGAATAGAAGGTGATAGTTTAACTTCCATCCAGGTCATTTCCAACTTAAAGGTAAATGTTTTACCATGATTCTAACTTCTCCCCACTCTCCTTCCTTCCCCACAGCTGTGGAGATAACCCAGCTACAACCATCTGCCTAAAAGGTTGCAGAGCCACACAACGGAAGGGCCTATAAATCCCTATGGGAGAGAGAAATAAACTTCTTTCCATATTGGGCCACTGCATTCTGGGACTCTTGCTGTAGTAGCTTATCCTTTAAAGCATTCTAAATTAATTTTTATCAGTGAGAACAAGACTGTCTCAGAGTATTCTGCCCTAAATTTATTTGCAAAATTACCAAACAAAAGAAATAAATTTTTTAAAACCTTTGTAGATGTAAACATATAAATGATTGTACTTACCTGCCAGAGTTCTGCCGAGGCCCACCAGCTGGTCTTTGGTAAAGTTAAGCTGGGCTGCCACACAGAGGGCTTGCTTCCAGTTGCCACATGTCAGAAAGGCTGAGAGAGCTTTCTCGTGGGCACCGCAACGGGCAAACATGAGCCCCGCTGGCTCATACATGTGCTCCTGCATCAGGTGCTCCCCATAAGCAATGCTGATATCCTGTGACAAGAGGAGATTTAGGACTGAGGAGGAAATATGACAATCATTTCTCTAAAGCTCCAGTGTAGCTGCCTTAGTTCCTATACTTGGAACTCCCTTGAAAGAATTACCTGGGAAAATCTTACAGTTGATCAGTTAGTACAGTCATTTTTTCATTCAAAACCTTACTGAGGATGTGCCATTTATTCACTCAACAAATAATTACTCTTAACTACATATGCACCATTCTGGGCAGTATGGATACTACAGCAAGGCAAAAAATAAAACCAAACAAATGAAAAACCATATAAGAACCACCACCAAGTTGCTGCTCTTATAGTAACAGAGGATGGACTTAGGGACAAAATATAGTCTATAGCATAATGGCAAACGTGAGTAAAGGGACAGAGGACAGTCTCCTTGCAGCTCTCAGGGAGTGTGAGCTCTAATGGCTGTCAGGAGAATAAACCACGTGATGAGATAGGGGGCACCAGGCAGAGGGCAGAGAAGGCACCATGGCCATGCAGCAGGAATGTGTATAGCAGGTCTGAGGAGTAACAGGACGGCCAGTGTGACTAGAGCAGAGAGAGTGTGGAAGAGAACAGAAAACAAGGGCAAAGAGGTAGCCACTGGCCAAATCCTCGATTCTCCAGGCTGGATGTTAGCCAGAGATTCAGAGAGGAATACAACATGGAGTCCCTGCCCTTAAGGAGCCCACAGCCTGGTGGAGGCGACAAACCAGCTAATCAGCAGTTTGACAAATGCAATCACCAAGGCGAGGGCAGGCTGCTCTGGGGGCTCAGTGTTTGGCGCCTGGTCCAGGAATGGCATTCAGGAGTAACCCAAGGGTTCTGATGGACAAATGGGGCTAAAGGAAGGCTGGTGGGTAGAGAAATGACAGAGGAATCACACGATGTGACATCTGTAGAACTACCTACAAGTAACTGGGAATGTGGACAGTGGCAGAAGCTGGTGCTAAAGAAGCTGGCAGGGGCTTGATCAAAGAAAGATGTGTATATTGTCTGAGGACAAACTGAAAATGGTGATGCTGGTGGCATGGTAGAGTGGTGGTTAATGGCATGGGCAGGGTGGTCAGGCAGCCTGGGCTCTGTATCCCAGGTCCAGCACTTTGTAGCTCTGGATCCTCAGGCAAGTTGCTTCCTCATCTACAAATTGTGTACAGCACCCTATGAGGCTGTTAAGAGGATCATATAACACATTTAACTTAGAAGCAAAGTGTGTGGTATATAAAAAAAGCTAAAGGGATGCTTTTTCAAGCAAACAAAAATTTCCCTTTATGCTGAAATATATGGGAAAGATCTGTACTTGTTAGGATAATCAGACTTACAGCAGTAAGGTTGGGCTAGAGGAGGGGTGGGAAAGAAGCAGGGAACCCCACGAGGAAGGTGCTGTGGTATTCCAGATGAGGAATCAGAGAACAGGTCAGGACCATTCTCCCAGATAAGAAGTTCAAATTGAGGCTAATTAGTTTTAAGATAAATTTTGAAGCCAAGGATGGTGTTATGAACTTAGGATCCTCACTCCTTTCCTACTAAAGCAAAAAGCAAAACCAGGAGAGCCTCATTTTCACATACCACATACCTGGTACTGTTGTGAGCTTGGTGAATATAACTTCAGAGCTTCGTTATACAAGTTTTTATCTTTTATCAAGTTTAAGCATTCTGGGAAGTACTCAGGTCCTGCAGGAAAAAGATTCACACAAAGACAGGCTTAAGACATGGGAAGCATAATGGACTTCATTTATACCAATGGTCACCAAACAAAATAAATGAGGAACTTTTTAAGACCTAAATAATCAGAGAATCTGAAGAATGGGATCCTGGAATTTGAATTTTTAATGAGCACCACTGCAGATTCTGAGGCAAGAGCAGCACTGATTGGGATCAGCATCCTACTTAAGAGTCCCAGCTTTCCAGCCCAGTGTTTTCTCAGCCTCCTTGAAAAGACATCACCTGGGAAGCTTATTAGACACATGCACGCCTCAGTCCTATCCCAGACCACCTGAATCAGATTCTCCAAGGATGCCAGCAGCTGAAGGCTTAACATGCACCCCAGGTGATTCTTCCTTTCCCCCATCAGTCCTCAGTAAAGAATCACAACTGTTCCAGCATGGGAAGAACAACTGGCACCCCATCACTGTCAATTAAAACTGCGTCTTGCAGGGCACGGGGAGGTGGCCTCATCACTCTCTCCAGACAAGCAGAGTTTCCCTGACATGTCTGCAAACAGCATGAGAAGGAAGAACTGACAACCAATTTTGATTCTGAGACACTGAAGTTAACTTCACAGGTGCTCATTCTTAACCAAAAAAGGATCTACTTGACGTTCTTACCTAGGGAGCTCCTCCAGTTCATTAAAAGTGATTACCTTCAGCTTTTCAGAACACAGGACAAAATAACGTGAGCATACATAATTGTTAGAGTTTTCAGGAGTGGGAAGTGAAATCAGTCACTGTCTAAACTAACAGTTTAATTTATACCTTGCCTAGTTCCAAAGAAGATCTGAAGTAGAGATAAACATACTAATCCCCACACTTACCACATTTGCTGAGGTGGCCAATGGCTTTTTCATATCGTTTCAAGTATTTGTCTATAGTAAACCGCTGATAATTAGTTTCCATTTTCTTAAGTGTATTAAGAAATGGAAGATATTCTTTGGGATCCTAAAAAAATGATTAATGAGAACTTTATTACTTGTGATATTCATATATAGGAATAGAAACTAGCATTTACATATAGCAATAAACCCAAAGCTACATAATTTTTAAATGTGTATTATATATTAACTGCATATTATATAATATATAAAATCAAACTACAGTTGTCCCCCAGTATCTATGGGGAATTGGTTCCAGGACACCCCAAGGATACCAAAATCCAAGCATACCCCAGTCCTACATTTGACCCCATGGAGCCTGGATACACAAAATGTTGGCCCTCTGTATCTGCAAGTTTCAAATCCTGCAAATATTGTACTTTTGATCCACACTGATTGTGGATGCAGAAGCCGTGGACACAAAGGGCCAACTGTGTTTGAGAGAGATCCACATTTAGATAAACCCACACAGTTCAAACTCGCACAGTTGAAACTCACGTTGTGCAAGGGTCAGCTGAACATCAAACAAGCTTTGGCAAAAATGCTTTCACATACGGATATTAATAAGTTACACTTGGAATAATAGTAACTTCCTTAACTAAGTCTCACAGTATCATTTATTTCATAGGCTAATAAGGGAAATAAGGTTTCAGTCTAGAAGATATTCAACAAATGCATCTAAGTTTCTCCTAAAAGTCTAAGACATTGCTCTTGGTGCTGTTTTCATGACATTCCATGCTCTCCTGAAATGATCACATTAAAACAAACATAAAATTATACTGAGTTGGACACAAAACTCTGAGACCCTGCCAACCTAGTATTTATTGGCACTATCATCTCCAGCTCTATGCCATGCCCTGTAAGCAAATTGTTTTTCTTCCTAATGGAGAGGTGTTTCCTGTTTTTAATGCAATTTCCCTGGGCTGACAGGATAAATACATGTAAGAACAACATAGGAAGAAAACCCAAGACAACAAATAATTAAGTGCTCATTCCCAGCACTCTGGGAGGCCGAGGCAGATGGATTGCTTCAGCTCACAAGTTTGAGACCAGCCTGGGCAACATGGCGAAACCCCGTCTCAACAAAAAAAATTCAAAACTTAGCCGGGCATGGTGGTGCACGCCTGTAAGCTGAGGTGAGATTGCTTGAGCCTAGGAGGCGTAGGTTGCAGTGAGCCAAGATGGTGCCACTGCACTCCAGCCCGGGTGATAGAGCCCGACCTTGTCTCAAAAATAAATAAATAAATACCGCACTCTAGATAAAGACACACTGTAGTCTGCAGGGGTAGGCACTGTGTGCAACAGAAGCATATAGGAGGGTCACCTCACCCAGTCCCTGGAGGGAAGCATGAATGGCTTACTGGGAAGAGGCCACCTTGGCATCCTTTAACCTAGATTAGTGAGAATTAGCCAGGGGAATGGTGAGGGTGGAAGCAGTCAAAGCCCATGGATGGCAGAAGTAATGCTGCCCACCAAGGCATGTGGTGGTGAGGGGCAAGGGAAGGGGGACAAAAGCATTGTCTTTCCTCCATGGGCAGAGGAAAAAAAGACAATACCAAGAAGTGAGAATGGAAAGATACACAGAGGCCAGGTCAAGGAAGGGTTTTTAAGCAGTATTATGGCTTCTGAATTATATCCTCGGAACAATGGGAGCTCATGAAGTATTTTAAGCAGAGAGATGAAGGATCCGATTTTCATTTTTGGAGAGGTCATGGGGAAGAGACTGAGGCTGCAAAAAAATAAATAAAAAATATGCATACCAGTGGTGTTCAAAGTTTTTGATCATAGCAAATGTACCAACATAGGAAAGGAGGCCATGAGCCTTCTGTGCTCCATGTGCCCACCCTCCACTAGAAAAAAGAGCCATGTGAGAAAGAACCGGAGTGGAACATGAACCACTTGTTACATTTCCTTTATAAGAGAAGAAATTAGCTCACACATATGCCCATCATCTTAAAAATAACCATGTAATTTTAGGCCGCACATGGTGGCCCACACCTGTAATTCCAGCACTTTGGGAGACTGAGGTAGGCGGATCACGAGGTCAGGAGATGGAGACCATCCTGGCTAACACAGTGAAACCCTGTCTCTACTAAAAATACAAAAAATTAGCCGGGCGTGGTGATGGGCACCTGTAGTCCCAGCTACTAGAGAGGCTGAGGCAGGAGAATGGCGTGAACACGGGAGGTGGAACTTGCAGTAAGCCGAGATCGCACCACTGCACTCCAGCCTGGGCGACTGAGTGAGACTCCGTCTCAAAAAAAAAGAAACAAAAAAAAGCCATGCAATTTTACTTCACTTCTTCAACCTCACAATCAAAACACTTTCATAAGCACAGGGGCTTAGGAATGTGGGCCCTAGAAACTCACAGATCTGTCTCCAGCCCTGCACTCACAGAGTGATAGCAGAAAAGCTACTGCACTACCAGAAGCAGGGTTTCACACTATCATTATATAAACAAGAACCAAATGGCATAAAAGTAAGAACTCCACATACCTTCTGTGACTTCTCAGCTACCATGAGGACCAAATCAAAGTCATAGGTGCCAAGAGAATGATCATATAATTCATTAACATCTACCAGATGCAGCAAATATTTCAAGGCCTCTTCAGCACTCACAGCATCAGGATCAGAGGGAGCATTTCCTAACAGTGTTTAGAAAACAAAACAGAACACAATCATTTGGGGAAAAAATCCACAGACCTAACAACATAACCAAAAAGACAATAAATTTTTCTCAATAGAACTGGACATCAGAAGAATATATACTTCTGATACTTTTATATATGCTTTAGAGGGCAGCACTGAAAAAAACTGACAAGGGTCTTAAAATGGCAACTAAAAAGTCACATGTTAAATCTGTGGTGTGGCAATGACATGGTGATTGTCACCTGCAGAAGACTAGTAGCAGTCACGGCCACCTTAAGCACTTTCTCTGTGAGCGGATCTCTACCTTGAAGCTCGTGTACTTTTTGCAGTACAATTTCCAGTTCTGGGGTTGTCTTCTTTACATGAGATGTAAGTATGGATAGGCAGTATCTGAGGTAATAAGTGAAGAACACCAGAATGAGAAAGGTAAGTAGGCTGGACAAGGACAACTACACACTTCGGTTTTTCAAAGGATGCCACCTGGTGACAGCATACATACTTATGAGGATTTATGCTCTCCATGACTGCTCTCATAGCATCGCAGACAAGGTCTATTTTATTCCCGTCAGGATCCCTGGACAGGTAGACACTGCTGGTAACTGGTGCAGGGTACATGGTCTTCGTGACATCTTCTTCTCTAAGAACAGGTGTGTATGGAATGGTCATCAACAGAACATGTAGCCCAGCGATCAAATTACTAACATACACCTGGCATGCTGATGATGATAAATAAAAATGACTTTTGGAAAAGAGTTGAATTATAAAAATATTGAGAAATAAAACATGTCCACAAAAGACTTATACAAATGTTTGTAGATGTTTTAGTCACATTAGCCCCAAACAGGGTAGTACAATCCACATGTCCAGCAACAGGGGAATGAATAAGCAAATAGTGGTGTATTTACACAACGGCATACTACTGACCAATAAAAAAAGAATGAACTAGTGATACATATAAAAACACAGATGAATCTCAAGACAATATGCTGAATGAAAACAGCTTTATGCAGAAGAGTAATACTGTATGCTTCCATTTAGGTGAAGTTCTTGAACAGGCAAAACTGATTTATGGTAAAAAATTCAGAAGAGTAGTTGCCTGGGGAATGGGACAGGGACTGATTGAAAGGAATCTGAAGCAGCTTTCTGAAAAGGAGTAAATGCCCTCTAACTTGACAGAGGTTCAGGTTACATGAAGTGTACATTTGCCAAAACTCACTAAGTGGCACACTTAAGATTTGGACATTTCACTGTAGATAAATATGACCTGAAAAAACACAACAAAACCAACCCATACACAAAGAATGCCCTCTAGTTAATGATATACAAGGAGAAGTACAGGTGGTAGAGTGGACTGATGTCTACAACTCACTTAGCAATTTGTCTACAAACAAGATGAATGATGGATGGACAGATTATAGAGAATGAGAATGTGTATACAGAAAAATATAAACTGGCGAATCCAGGTGGGGTATATATAGGTTGCTTACTGGACAATTCTCTCAACTTTTCTCTATTTTGAAAGTGTTTCATTAAAAAGTTGAGGGGAAAGATCATCAGAGAGAAAGATGCCATTTGATTTCAGTCTCCTAGGAAAAACAAGTAGTTTTATATGTATACCTAAAAATCAAGTGAAATAATAATTCTGAATGACATGTTTTAAGGACATAGTTTTAAACAGGCTGTTTTAAAAAGAACGGAAAAGAGCAAAAAACCAACTGGCATCTAAGAGTTATAGCAATTTTTAAAAATGAACAGTAAGGAATTTTTCTTCTCTAGCTATTTATGCTTGATTTCCTTAACAAGAAGAGAGAAAACTATGGAAAAGATACACATGAATTATTCAAAATACTTACTTCAATTCTGTAAAAAACAAGTTAATATGATTCACAGAATCTATCTGTTTAATGAAGGTTTCCACATTTCCAAGAAACACCTACCAAAAAAAGGACAAAACATCTTCGTTCAGATCATATTAGTTTAAGTACAAAGTAAGCTAGAGTAAATGACAGCTTAGAAAGTTACCTTAGGGTTATGATCATAAATCAGATTGAGATTGATTCTCAGCTTTCTCATGCATTCAAATGCCTCTTTAAACATAAGTCTGTGAGAAGACAGAGAAAGAATAGAAAAGATATTCACAAAAACTGAGCTCCATGGGCCCAGCATATTTTCATTATGATACAAACCAGTTATAATCAGATTACAGCCCCAATGCCAAGCTGCTATCACTGGATTTCTACTCTGAAATTACAGAATAAAAAAATCAGGTACCACATTCATTTACCTTCTTAAAAGGTGTAATTTAGTCATCATGACTGTCTGAGAACTACATCTTCACATACATACAACAGAAAATCATTACAGAAGCCCGGGCACGGTGGTTCACACCTGTAATCCTAGCACTTTGGGAGGCCGAGGTGGGCAGAACACTTGAGGTCAGGAG
Organism: Homo sapiens; assembly: GCF_000001405.40. Taxonomy (NCBI): domain Eukaryota; kingdom Metazoa; phylum Chordata; class Mammalia; order Primates; family Hominidae; genus Homo; species Homo sapiens. Next base: position 108,899,092 of record NC_000009.12, read on the forward strand.
TTTGAGACCAGCCTGGCCAACATGGTGAAACCCTGTCTCTACTGAAAATACAAAAAAAAAAATTAGCCAGGCGTGGTGCACACCTGTAATCCTAGCTATGCGGGAGGCTGAAGTGGGAGGATTGCTTGAACCCAGAAGGCAGAGGTTGCAGTAAGCCGAGATTGCGCCACTGTACTCCAGCCTGGGTGACAGAGCAAGACTCTGTCTCAAAAAAAAAACAAAGAAAATCATCATGGAATTCAGGTCTACTTTTTAAACAAAACATTAGTATAGATCTTTCCAATACAAAGTTTCCTCCAAATAGGTTCAGAAAATCAGTCATTTCCTTCACAAGAGTAGCTCAGGCTTTTCTGGGTCATAGGCCCCGCTGTAAATCTATTGAAAGCTGTGGGCTTTCTACTTGAATAAATACACAAAGACAAGGTTTGGTGTGTACAATCTCCCTGGGTTCACAGGCCACCTAAAACCCACATGTGTTCCCTCAGGTTAAGAGAAGCCCTCCTTTATATGATGAGTGTCACGATTCTTTCTGCTAGGAATCTCCACTACAAAATACTGCATTAAAGTAAAAAAGTTAAAAAAAAAAAAAAGAGCCTCTAAGAATCTGATTGATGATATAGGTAATGAGGGCTTTTCATAATTTTAAGTTCTCGAAATTGTAATAAAATACTTATTGTCTTCACACATAAATCACAAGCTAACTAGTCGCAAACAGTACAATGGCACTTACTTGTCCAACCACTTCCGAATCTGAGCTAAAACCAGGGCTCGATGATGAACAACTTCTAAGTTTCCCCTTGGCATCTTAAATAAATTAAAGCAGTAACATTTTTAATTAAGTAGAAAACATTTAAATAGCCAGGATACACCATTTTACCTAACTCTTCACAGAGAATTACCACAACTCTCTAAAATCAGCACACTTTTAGCAGAATCTTGTTGTTCTCTATATTTATCTTGACTTTCAAGAAAAGTTTCGCTTTGAGCCTTATGGTCACAGCCTGTATCAACACTCCTTTGAATAAAGCTAACAGAAAACTATCAAGGAAAGGTTTACAATAAACGATACAAAGAATAAGAAAGCCTAAAATACAACCTGCAAGAATTATGCTTGGTACTTGGCTGAATGACAATCAGACTATCTATCTTGTCTGAAAAACCAGCTTACCTGTAATACAAGCTTTGTGTCCTGGGGCACAACAGTGACAATCCGTGAACCCCTCTCCACTTTCCGCAGAACTTCCCCATGGGACACATGATTGCTGCTCAGGCCGGCCTGTAATGCTAAACACACCATTAACTAATAAGCCTTAATTATCACAACAAGCCACTCTCCATTAACTGCAATTGAAACCGCACACATTATGTGAAATAGAAGAGAACAAATAACAACCATGTGCCTTAGCTCTCCCACTGAACCTCAAGACTATCAGCCCTGCTGATGAACACGCTCATCCCTGGAACTTGCCCTCTCTCTTACAGAGCCCTCATGCACATTCACATACACAGCTTCTCAAATGATGTGGAGAAACACAGTTAAGAATTGGGGCAACTTCTCTATTTCTTAGCATTATCAGTGTACTATAATCATATCAATGAAAGAAAGATTCCCTATTTCCAAGTTGGAAGCAAAGAAAATAAGTTGGCTTTTTAGAATAAGGAACACACACACACATACACGCCACACACACATACACGCCACACACACATACACGCCACACACACATACACGCCACACACACATACACGCCACACACACATACACGCCACACACACATACACGCCACACACACATACACGCCACACACACATACACGCCACACACACATACACGCCACACACACATACACGCCACACACACATACACGCCACACACACATACACGCCACACACACAGAGATAGATAGGGCATGGAACAGAAGACAAAATGCAGCCAATATCCTACAAACCACTAGATGGAGCGCAGATGTACAGTGGAGGGTGGGCACAGTGGGAAAAGACTACACAGAAGGTAAAACATTGGGGATCTACATAGTAATTCCAAATAAAATATTAGATCAGTTACATAATAAAATTTCCTGAAAAGTTTTTAACTTTAGAATGTGCTGCTTAAGGAAGGAACTCCCTTCCTTGGATGTCTTTACTAAAGTGCAGAATGATTTAACTGAGATATTATGTTGAGATTAGGGTCTAAGTAAAATAACTCTAAAGATTTTCTCCAGCCTAGGACTCCTTGATAAAAAGCCAAAATAAATGAAGAATTCAAAAAGTCATCAAGACTCCAAAAGACATTGGAGAAGGGACCATTTCTGTTTTATACATTGAAAACTTACTTTTAAATGAAGCATCCCTCAGGCAAAAACACTGGCAGGTATGGGAATGGGTTGTCAACAATAAAAACTCATCATATACTGCAAATGACGTGATATTTGACGCAACCTGCAAGAGAAGGCCAGAGAGGCATGGGTGAAAGCTAGCTAGATTACTCGGAGCTAACACTGTGAAAAGGATCCAACACCAAACCAAGCCTTGATACCTCAATGTCATTGATGAAAAAGCGACACCTGTCAGTCAGACCAAGGACACATTCCTGCAAAGAAATAAAACTGAAATCACAAGCAATTCTATCTCAAATCAGTTAAACCTACCTTTTCTATCACATAGTTCTACCACCCTATGATTTCACACCTAAGTTCCTGTAATCAGGACTAAAGATAGATACCTAAGACGTGGCTGGTCCAGTGCAAAATGGAATGTGAAGCCATCCAATCCATCAGTGAGCCCTGACATCTCCATCTCCTACACATATCTCAAACCCATCTCCTTTTTCCCCTCACTAACTCCACTCAACCGGTGTTGATCCCATATTCCAGTCTCGTCACTCTCCAATCAAGTCTCTTCTGGGCAGCCAGAATCACTGTCCAAACCATGAAGCAGAACACATTACTCTGTTATTAAAAATCACAAGAAGTTTCTAATCTTTGTTCAATTAAAGAACCCAAATTCCCTCCTATGACTGTCACTGAGCTCCAGCCACAATACTTCCATCCAGTCCCTTGAATAAGATGAGCTCTTGCTAAGCTCAAGGAGTTTGTTGTTCCTTCTGCCTGGAGACAGAGCCTTCTTTTTCTTCACATCTCAGCACACACATCACTGCCTCCGAGAGGCCTTCCTGGACCACCAGATGCAGGACTCCCATTCTCATAGCCACCATCCTCAAATTACCCCTCAAACATCTCAGTATTCTCTACCAGTATACTCTGTCCATTTCCATCACACTCCCAACAAAGGGAATCATTACATTGAAATTAATAGATCACAAGTTCCAGAAGAGCAGGAATTAGTCAAGCGGTTTTGTTTTCCAGCCACTGCATTCTACCATCCACCACAATTATAGGCATTCTAGTATGTGTTGAATAAAAATCTACTAAAACTATTCTCAAGATCACATTTCTGTTTCCCCTCCTAAATAAAATTAACTTTGAATGATTTGTACAACTAGGGATAAAAGGTTGCTAATCACATATATTATCTCATTTAGTCTTCTGAACCCTGATAGACAGATACTGATTTTCCCATTTTATAGATGAATAAGGTGTGGCTTATGAAAGTGAGATCATTTCCCACTATTGTCTAGGCATTTAGTGGAGACCCAAGTCCACCTCCAAAGCCCACGCTCTTTCTACTTAATGCCATCAGTCCCTGGGTAACTACTTTAAGTAAATTTCCTGCTCCGTGTTCACCTACCTCTTCTCCAATCATGGCCAATTCGGTCTGGGTGCATGGATAAGGAAACCGAACAGGAAATCCACCAGAGTTCTTCCATGGTTTAATAGCCAGAGAAGGTGACTCTGCAAGATTCACAGATCTAGTTCACAAATAGCTGATGCGCTCTTTGCAAAAAACCATCAACATCAACATTTGCTAAAACACTTAACATGCAATTTCAATCACTTTTTTTCTCTAATGCTGGCATTATTTATTTATATATATATTTTTATTATACTTTAAGTTCTAGGGTACATGTGCACAATGTGCAGGTTTGTTACATATGTATACATGTGCCATGTTGGTGTGCTGCACCCATTAACTTGTCATTTACATTAGGTATATCTCCTAATGCTATCCCTCCACCCTCCCCCACCCCACGACAGGCCCAGGTGTGTGATGTTCTCCTTCCTGTGTCCAAGTGTTCTCACTGTTCAGTTCCCACCTATGAGTGAGAACATGCGGTGTTTGGTTTTTTGTCCCTGCGATAGTCATCAATCACTTTTTTAAGAGTACGTTAGTTCATTAAAAGAGGAAACAGGAGTAGAATACACTTGCCAATTCCACTCTAAAGCTTAGGGTTTTCCAGGGTAGTTAAAAGACCTGACAATCAATATTGAACTGACAAGATACAAGTACATGTTCTTAAGAACTAAGCATCTATGTAAGTCATAACATGCTTTCCTAACACCTTGATACTCACCCCAAAGGTACTTAAATATCTGGCCATCAGCCAGCTGTAATACTACTGACTTGGTCTTGGAATTGCAACATAGACTGATTATGACCCCATCCACCGCTGCAGATGAACTGACAAAAAAAAGGAGAAGGGAGTGTAAACAGACCATTTTTCTCAAAAATAGTGACATTTCACTGATTTTGAAAATCAACAATTTCCTTTTGATGCTGCACTACCTACTTCAATACAATGTAGACAAAATACATATATACACACCCAATACTATACACACACACACACACACACACACACACTTATACACTTAGAGACAGACGGTTAGATGAATAGATAAAACTACTCCAAACCAAAGCCCAGATAAAGCCACATCTGCTACATGACACCATTTTCCACAAACCCAATAAGGTAGTTGTTTACACTGTGAAGTCATCATTCCTCTTCTGGCCACAACTTACTGCAACTTATTACAAAGTATTGCCTTCATTAGACATGGATGGTACCAATATCATTTCTGTCTGCTTAAAATAGTTAAAGCAGCTGGTCTGTAGGAAAATGAGCACACTCAATATCTCTATCACTATCATATCGATTGATGGAAAATTGTGGATTTTCACTAATGAGATGAAGGGAATTTGTTATCACCATTACATTTTTTCCCTGAGTCAATGGAGCGAAGTAAAATTTCACTATTTTTTTTTTTTTTTTTGGACAGTGTCTTGCTCTGTTGCCCAGGTTGAAATGCAGTTGACACAATCACAGCTCACCGCAATCTCAACCTCCTAGGCTCAAGTGATCCTCCCACCTCACCTTCTCAAGTAGCTTGGACCATAGCCACGGAAGCAGAATTTCTCAAAAGAGGAGGAAGAGGTAGTGATTAAAAAAAGAAAAAAGAGACAAAGAAGTAGTGATAAAAGCAAATGATGTTAATGCTAACATTTAATTCAAAGTTTTTAACCAATCTACAAAAAAACTAAACATTATAACAATAGGGAATTCCTCTACAAATGCTTCAAATTTTGTGAGGATAAATTATCTGTCAAGAAGAGAACAAACTCTGGAGCTAGACTCGCTGGGATTTGATCCTGGCTCCACCTGCATGATCTCAGGCAAGTTATCTAACTGCTCCATGTCTTAGTTGTCTCATCTGTAAAATGATGGTGCAAATGGCATATACTTTACAGAGGTATTATGAGAAATAAGTAAGCTAAAACAGACAAAGCATTTAGAAGAGTATTTTTTACAAAGTATAAGCTAAAGTAAATGTAAACTAAATCGAGGGACTTTGTAGTCCTCAAAAGCATTAATATTTTATATGAACAAAACAGTCTTTTTGAGAAATAAAAGTCAAAGCAGTAGAAATATACTGTAAATGACTTCTCATTTCCTTTACAGCAAATGAGATGACTGCATCAAGCTTTTGCCTCTACAAGCTAATGATGAAGAATTTCAAATCTGAAGAAGTAGAAACTTAGTAAATTGCTCCGCTTTTCAAAAGGTAATCTAATGGCTTACTTTAAGTGCTACATATTTCTAGAACATATTCTGCATTTAGACATGTTAACAAAAGGCTTTTTCAAAATATCACGAAAGACTATGAGTCAAAGAGTAGCAGCAAATGACTGCATTAAAATGTTTTATGTCTATAAATTTATGTAATGTATATATATAAAGGAAAGGTTCCTAATTTTGCAACAACGTTTCTCAGAAATCTCACCAGTAGGGCTTTAATTACAAATTAATCTGGGGATTAGTGTCAGTGGACAAAGGTGCCAAGTATTGACACTGGAAACAAGGAGTTCTGGGAACTGGCTAGAAAATGCTATCAACTATACAACAGGGCTTACATTACACAGAAGAGCATTCATTAACTGAAACCTGTTACATAATGAAGATATAGTCAGGAATCAAAACAAAACTCAGGCCCAGAGAACAGTGAAATTTCAGCAAAGAAGAATAGAGACTTTCTAATGGTAAATGTAGTCAGGTACAAAATAGGATATATAGAAGAGGAGGCTGGAAGAAGCATTTTGAAGTCACCACATCAAAACAAAGCATATATGTGCAATTATGCATCATTTAACGATGGGGATACGTCTGAGAAATGTGTTGTTAGGTGATTTCATCATTGTGCAAACATCATAGAGTACTTACACAAACCTAGGTGGTGTAGCCTACTACACCCCTAGCCTATGGGGTATGGCCTATTGCTACCAGGCTACAAACCTGGACAGCATGTTACTTTACAGAATACTACAGGCAATTGTAATACCATGTCAAGTATTTGTGTATCTAAACATAGAAAAGGTATGTATACACACACACACACACACACACACACACACATATATGCGCATGACTGCATTTATACAAAATTTCTTCCCATCACATTAGCCCATGAGAATTAGCCACTCTAATTATGCTTGACAGTTATTAAAATCAATTATAACATATAACAATCACGCTGGAAAAATGTGGGTAGATGCTAAATTAAAATATTTAACATATCTTTAAAAAGTTGCTTCATCTACTAATATTTATCCTATTTTTCACCACTTTTTGATATATTTTTGGTCTGTTATTTTGACATGGCTCATAACTAGACTTAACCTTCTTGTTAAGTGTGTCTAACAAGAAAGCTACTGCTCCTCAACCTTGATCAATAGAAGTCAAAAGTTGTATGCTCATAAAAGACAAAAACCTAACTCCATTTGCTTAACATGTGGAGTACAGGGAAAAACTGCAATACCTGACATTGAGCTGTCCATGCTCTTCATCCATCTCAGAAGAAGCTGCAGTCAAATGGTGAATGACAGACCGGGGGCTGAACTCACTGTGGCTTACAGCCAGGAAGACGTCTTCTTCAATCCAAGTGAGAAGGCCTAGTTTCAGCGGGTTTACATCTTGATCTTCATTATTCTCAAACTGGATTCTATTGTAAATATTGAAGAATATCCAAGACATGAATAAAACTTAAAAACCACTGAGACGTTCCTGGATGAAGGAAGACTGAAGCATCTTGTATACAGTCCACTCCTAATTATTTGGAGGGACAAAACCTGAGATACTACCAAATACTACAAAATCTAAAATTAATCTTTGTCTGGCTTAAGAATACGTTTTTATATTTTCCCTAAATTTCTCATACCCTGAAATCTTTAAATTTGAAGAGAACACTTGAGGAAACTGACTACACAAGAAAATTACCAGCCCTAGTCCCTACACTAATGAACCCCAGAGCTTTTCCACTGCCATGACTTACCAGCATTCAAACCAGGCTCTGGCAGGTATGTCACTTGCAGTAGAATGGGTCCTTTCCTAAGCACCTCACATTAAACTGACTGACTAGCTTGAGAGATGGTCTCCATGTCTCTAATGCATTCTTTGGTAGCATTTATACACCTGACCAGCGCACTGTTCTTGTCACCTCACGTAGGAACCGACAATGGCTACTTCCTGCCTTTTAGATCAGGTGGCAAATCCGCAGCTCCCACTGAAGAAGTTGGTCACTAGCCTGATCTTCCTCCTCAAACATCTCTCCCCGGACTCAGGCTCTCCATTGCATTCACATAGAGTATCCCATGGAGGATCAGTCCCACCTCTGGTTTTCACTGACACTTTCTTCCCCACCAGACCCAATGTTCCCAATTCTTTGCCAACCCCAAACCTATCCCTTCCCCAAGATCACGATGAGTACTCATGTCTTCTGTGAAATCTCAGACGAATTGGCATTATCCCCATCAATTTTTTTTAAATGAAACTATATTCTAAACTGCCTCATACTTTCTAATTTGTCCTCTATCTCTACTCTAGTGGTTTCAAGTCTATGAAGTGAAATAATGCATGTAAATGCTCTTTAAAAACTACTAAGCATTATACAGGCAGCCTCAAAATCATACAGAGGTTGAACACTTCTGCTGTATTTATTAAATATATCACATATATTTAAGAAACATTATTTATTAAATTCTGCTATTTGTTGTACTCAGTTAATTATTTCTATTAATCTAACAATAAATGTTCCCTGGAGGCAGAGTAGTTTAGTAATGAAGAACATGGACTTATCAAACAGAATAGAATCAAACCCTAAATTCTCTAGTTACCAGGTCCATGACCTTGGGTAAGTTACCTAACCTCTACACTTTGTTTTTTTAATCTGTAAGTACTCAATAAGTGGTACTTTTTAAAAAAGTTCTCTCACAGATGTGGCATTATAATTTGGTTTCTAGGTCATTTTGCAAATGCCTATAGTGTACCTGAGGTATTCAATAACATCCAATTGTTTACAATACTGTTTCAATGGAAGAATGCATTCTGATTTCCATCCCAGGAGCCTCAAAGCACAGCACCCAGAAGTTCTAGATTCTGGGATGGAGCAAAGACAGAGGCTGCATTAGGTCATCCATGTTAACAACCCATACATCCCCATTTATGTAAGAGAATGCAGCTCCGCCTTATCATTGTCATCTCCATCTTTCCCACATGATTTTTCCTGGAGAACCAAGCGCTATTGGGAGTAGGTCCTAGGCTGGCTTACAACTCATGCTCTCCTGCTACCTATCAAATTATATGGCATTCAGACAAACTACATGACTGGCTTCTCCAATCAGATCCGAAAGTCAGGGCCTGGGTGTTGTCTTTATTTCTTGTTCCACTCAGCAACAGGCATAGAACTGTTATCAGATGGCTGAATTTAGGACTGCATGCTGGCTGATTCTGTTCCCAGAAGCCCAAGATAATTAAGAACCTACTTGTATCTCTTTTCCAAATGAGGAGTTCTAAGGCAAACTTTAAATCCACTTCCACCCACAGCTCCCAGTTTCACTGTAGGGTCAGCACTTGGACAATCACCTGGAAAACAAAAATGCAAATATTATCATCGTAAATTATAAGATTTCACCTAATACTAAGGGGATGGTGTCTGCAATTAATGAGTTCTAGAAGGCAAACAGCAATCTAGAAAATAATCACATCTCAACCTCCTTAAAATTTCTGCTTTCCTCTTAAGAACACATCAGTCATAATCTTCCCTGACAAAGGCCACATCTCAGCAAGACCAGGTGAAGGGGCTACCCTCTCAGCCCAGTGCTGTGGACAATTTCCTCCACTGTCTTCAACCACCTCTCAATATCCTCAAATTCTCCAAAGTCCTAAGCACCTGCTTAAAAGACATTTTCTTTCTATTCTTCATCCAGTTTATTCACTGCACAGCAGCCAATGCAAGCCTTTAAAAAATTCAGCCAGAACACTGCACTCCTCTGTTCTAAGCCCTCTGGTGGCTCCTATCTCACTCGGAGTAAAAGCCGCAAGGCCCTACAAGAGCAGATTCCCATCACCACTCTGAACTCACCCACCACCTTCCCCTCCTTTGCTCTGCTGCAGCCACCCTGGCCTCCTGGCTATTTCCTAAACACAACAGGCACTTCGGTGGTTGCTTTTTACTCTGCTTGGAACGCTCTTTCTTTTTTCTTCTTTGCCTTCAAGCATAGAATGCTTGGGACGCTCTTACCCCAGATGTCTGCGTGGCTCCCACTGTGATTCTCACCAGGTCTCTGCTTCAATGTCACCTTCACAGAGAGGCCTTTGGGATCACACTAAATAGGAAAGACACCTTCCCCCTGTAAACCCTTATCCTTAAGCTCTCCCTACCCCTTATTTTGCTTAATTTTTCTCCACAGCACTTGCCATCTGATAGATCATATTTAATTGATATCTTTTGTCTACACCTAGAACAACAAGTTGTAGACAAAGTACAACTAGTTTTCTAGTACAACAAGCCAAGTACTAGAAAAAAGCCTGGCATATAATAAACAATCAAGAAGCAATGAGGGGGAAAAAGGAGTGATACTCAGGATGCATCAAACACCATCTTTGAAAACTTTGGCAACGAACTTGTCTCCACACCACTCAAATGTCTACCACTTGACTCCAAGTTCTTAATTTCCCTTCCACTTGGGCACGGAGCCCTGACCTGTTCCAGTCCAAGATCTCTTTTTCCAGATTCTCTTATATCCAAACTCTCCCCAGTGGGTTCTTTAACTTCTCAGGGTTTTTACTTCATGGATTTGTTATGATCTTTCTCTTCTTTCCATTTCTATGAACACTGCTCTGGCTCAAGCTCTTGCTAGCTCCTGCCTGGACACTTGACAACAGCTTCTCCTAACTAGAATCTCTGCCTCCAGGTGCCCCTGACCTATGGCCAACCCCACATATTGATGCCGAACAATCTTTCAAAAGTGGAGCTCTCAACCTGTCCTATCTCATCACAGGGAGTTTTCTCTCAAGTAAAATGAATGCAGGGTGGTACAGGGTTTCATTCTGAGGAGATAAAAACGTCCTAAAATTGATCGTGGTGATGGCTGTACAACTCTGTGAATATACATATATATACATATACATATGTATATATATTCATACACACACATATAAACCATTGAATTGTACACTTTAAATAGATGAATGATATAAAGCTATTTTTTAAGTGAATGCAGAACAAAACATACCATACATCATAAAGTGACATATAAACTCATTAGCATCATACAGTTAAGTCCCACAAAAGCTTACATCTGATTCTTTTTGCCTTGACAATGAACATATTTGCACTTTTTTTTAAAGCTATTTTGAAAAGTTTAAGGAGGACTGTAACAGCATTTTACACACTGAAACTATAATCAGAGAAACTGGTGATACATCCAGATAGGATCCATGTACACAGTGGGCTGCTGACTTAACAGAAAAGCTGATATGAAAGTAAGGACTTCCCATTTAAATTAATTAATTTTGATTATTCTCTCTTGGCAACTATCTAGGCTTTTTCTGAGAATTCAAAAGATATTTGAAAACAAGGCTAACACTGCCATATGCCAGCAGAATTTATGACATAACCACAGAACTCACAAGTAAAAACAAATTTCAGATTCTCCAGCACATCAGGAAAGTAATGAAGAACTGACAGCAATGGGGCTGTGGCAGGACAAGTGGATTAGGAGCTAGAACACCTGTGTTGAGGTCCTTGTCCATTCTTGTTCAAACAAATTACAAAACCTCTGACACTGTGTTCCCTCATCTACAAAAGAGGAAAACCCCATCTCTGACACAGCTCCTAGGAGGGATGAGATCAACTGAAAATATGTGTAAAGGCTATGAAAAGAGTAAAACATGTTAACAATGTATAACATACTATGTTATTTCCAGAGTCCAATGTTATTCTTAAATAACTGACTCTTCAAGTCAGTAAGGGAAAAGGAATGGCTCGTACAAACCAGTATAGGATTAAAAAAAAAAAAAACAAAAACCCAAGGCAATTAAATATCATAATGATAATGATATCAACTGCAGACTTAAAAATTTTGAGAAACACTAGACCTATGGCAACACCAAACTATAATTTGCTTTTATGTAGGAGTAGAAGGGACTTGATTCAGAACATCTTGGCAAAAGTTTTATAACATACCACATTTATAAACAGAAATCTGGTTACTGGCATCTAGAACAGCAAGGTCATTACTCTTTTGAGGGTGTGCTAAGAATGTGACTTGATTCACAGGGTGTGGGAACAGCAGTTGGTAGGTGCACATGGGAGGCGGAACCACAGTCTGCCGGAAGACTGTCACCAACACCCTGTCTGCAGTGAAAAAGAAAGAAGAGGATTAGACCTAGGGATATTCAATTTGTAAGATAAGCCATCTGAACATCACAGTATATCTAAACAATAATGGCAATTCACAAAAAAATAACTTTCAATGTTTTTCTCAGGAACAAGTCTAAAAACAGTGTGGGATGGGGAAATGTCATGGGTTCTGTCCATAATTGGCTATTGTCACCTCTAGGCCTAGGGGAGTCCATCTCAGTACCTGGAGTTTCAGGTGCCAGGGACTAAGGCAAAAAGGCCAAGAGGTCAGACCTCTAGCTTTAAACCTGGGCCTGCAACCAAGCCACACTAAACCAAGGGAATTAATACTTTCAAAATCCTTAAAGCACTTTCCTATGTGTGGATTTGGTAATAACGCAGATCTGATTAAGTTCTCTATATAGAATACATGACTATAAAATCAGTATTATGTAGAATATTACACAGAATATGAATTAATATACCACCTCACATTACAATCTTAGAAGCCAGTGCTCCCTTTCATATCAGCAATGAAACTATTCATTAAGGTGACTACTTCACTCTTCAGTCTTGCCCTTCCCACCCCACCCCCTAAAAAAACCTTCTACCTCATTATAAAATATAAACCTAATCTTCATATTAGGCAAACGTTTATGCATGAACTGAACATACTGGAGAGGTATATATCAGCAAGCATTTGTATCAGGAAACAAAGCAACACAAGTGGGGTGGTATAAGGGTCAATTATAAATCTGTGTCAGGGCAAACAGATAAAGCTAACACACCCAATCCCACAAGACTGTACTGTTGTCATCCTCTCTACCTAGAGTCAAAGTTTTCAGTGTCTTCAAAGGCCAGGCAAGTAAACGTGTGAAGGCCACAGATGCAGTATAACAGGAAACTGGTGGGGGAGGGGGGACAATGGTTCTCAGGAGAGAACATACCCCACCTTATATCCCATTCAATAAAAAAACAAGTAACCCAAACAGCCAAAACAAATAAAGATTCCCCACTGTTCCAGTCAAACCACCACATCTGCAGGCCCTAGGCTCAGGACCCCTTGCAGGCTCATGGACACACTTCCCAGGAGCTTACTTCCATCAATGACAGCCACATTGGACAAGTCACTTGAATTATCTCCCACGCTCCGGTCAGTCGTCCAGTGCCAATCATAGGCGAGGTAATGCCAGCCCTGACAGAGAACATGCAGCCGGTATGGGGTCACAGGGTCCCACATCAGAGACACAATCTTGCTCTTCCCACAGGTGCTGAAGGATAAACTTTGCTTGAGATACCAGTGATAGTTTCCAACAGTCCAGAGCTGAACTGCAAGGGAAAATGAAAAGAAGGCCGTTAGAGGCTGGGAAGCAGACTTCATCCCACTTGCCAGAGGGGTTCAAGGGCAATCTTTTCTTTTTCAAAGGACCCTTCCTGCTCAGCCTCGTCTCTAAAATAAGAACAATAATAACTGCCAAAAAATAGCTTTCCATGCAGATAAAATATCAAGAATCAATAAGGTCAGAAATATATGTTTATTTTCTTGTTTTTTTTCTATTTTTAACTTTTATTCATATGTTTATTTTCGTTTTTTTTTTTTTTTTATTGACACAGAGTCTCGCTCTGCCGGCCAGGCTGGAGTGCAGTGGCGCAATCTCGGCTCACTGCAAGCTCCATCTCCCGGGTTCATGCCATTCTCCTGCCTCAGCCTCTCGAGTAGCTAGGACTACAGGCGCCCACCACCACACCCGGCTAATTTTTTTTTTTTGTATTTTTAGTAGAAACATGGTTTCACCGTGTTAGCCAGGATGGTCTTGATCTCCTGACCTTGTGATCCGCCTGCCTCGGCCTCCCAAAGTGCTGAGATTACAGGCCTGAGCCACCGTGCCTGGCCCACATGTTTATTTTCAACTTTACTTCCAAACTTTATGATCACAATGGAAGGCTACCAGGAAAAAGCATTCTTTTAGTGGGTTTTCTCATGAAGATTTAGGAAGAAGATAACTTGGCAATTAGAGTAAAAGTATTAAAACACTTAATCCAAGATCTAGACTAGCATCATTGTGTTGTATTGGGCTTAAGATGCTTATTTTCTTTCAGGTGCTTTGCAAGCACTTATGTTCAAGGCTATCTGGGTATTAATCCTGATTCAGCTGTCCAAAGAAGATAAGCATGAAATTATCCTTCCAACATCTATTAAGCAAGCAAGACTTAATCATGCCAAAACCAACCTTTACTAAACAGATGACATATAAATTAAGACCTTAGTTATATTAGGAATTATAGTTATATTAAGAAATATTATTTATATTAAGGATTTTCTCAATCTCCTTGCTCACTAATGCTTAACTTAGTGATCACAGCAAACATAACCTAGTCTCAAACCGCATTATTACAACACTTTGAAGTTAGACCACATGCTGATGTTCTGTGAGCACAGATGTTGTGGCTGTTCTTGTGCAATGTGTGTGTGTGTGTATATATATATATACATGTTTTTGAGATGGAGTCTCACTCTGTCACCCATGCTGGAGTGCAGTGGCTCAATCTCGGCTCACGGCAACCTCTGCCTCCCAGTTCAAGCGATTCCCTTGTCTCAGCCTCCCGAGTAGCTAGGACTACAGGCGCGCACCACCACGCCGGACTAATTTTTGCATTTTTAGTAGAGACAGGGTTTCATCCTGTGCAATATTTTTATGCTCAGCATATCACAGTGCCATCCCTTGACACACTGGTTAATCGGTGGTTCTCAACTGCGGCTGTTTAAAATCACTTGGGGGCTTTTGGTTTTTAATTAAATACTTACGTATAATCTCCATTCCAACACACTGAACTGAACTCTTGAGATGAAGCCTGAATATCATTTTTTTTCTAAAGGTGTGGCCAGGGTTAAGAACTATTGTGTTGAATGAATAATGAGTTTCTTAACATTGCAGTTAAAAGGGTTCTACTGAGGCCGGGCACGGTGGCTCACGCCTGTAATCCCAGCACTTTGGGAGGCCGAGACGGGCAGATCACGAGATGGAGATCGAGACCATCCTGGCTAACGCGGTGAAACCCTGCCTCTACCAAAAATACAAAAAATTAGCCAGGCTTGGTGGCGGGCGCCTGTAGACCCAGCTACTCGGGAAGCTGAGGCAGGAAAATGGAGTGAACCCGGGAGGCAGAGCTTGCAGTGACCGAGATCGGGCCACTGCACTCCAGCCTGGGGGAAAGAGAGAGACTCCGTCTCCAAAAAAAAAAAAAAAGGGGGGGGGGGTTCTACTGATTAAAGAGTTTGAAAGCTACTTAGAAAATAATCAAGTAAAAAGATTTATGAACAAAAATGTACCATGCATTGCTGTTTACAATAATGAGAAATGACAAAACTGTAAATGTCTAACAGCATGAGATTTAATGAACGAGAATAAACGAGTATTATACAGCAATTTAAAATGATGCAGATGTATCACACCTACACTTTTTTTTGTTTTGTTTTGAGACAGTCTCACTCTGTCGCCAAGGCTGGAGTGCAGTGGCACGATCTCCATTCACTGCAAGCTCCGCCTCCTCCAGGTTCACACCATTCTCCTGCCTCAGCCTCCTGAGTAGCTGGGACTACAGGCGCCTGCCACCACGCCCAGCTAATTTTTTGTATTTTTAGTAGAGATGGGGTTACACCGTGTTAGCCAGGATGGTCTCGATCTCCTGACCTCGTGATCCGCCCGCCTCGGCCTCCCAAAGTGCTGGGCCCCCAAAGTGCATGAGCCACCGCACCTGGCCCATACCTACTACACTTTTAACAAAAACAAGATGATAGCTATACTGAGATATATACATGAAAAACCTAGAAGACAAGAAAATTTGAATAGTGATTATTACGAAGTGGTAGAACTATGAGATTTTTTTCTCATCTTATTTTCTAACATTTTCAAGTATTATTTAATACTTAAAACCACACACTTATACATTTTAAAAGCTATAAAAATATTCTTACTTTTACGCTTAATCTAAATCTTCTTTCACGTCCACAGAATTCCTTTGGTTAGTGTTTTTTCTGTGGTAATACCATGCACTAGGGAAAGCACGTGATGACTTACAACAGTTAATTTTATTGTGTCAAGTTGGCTAGGCTATGGCACCCAGCTATCTGCTAAACTCCAGATGTTGCTGTGAAGGTATTCTGTAGATGTGATTAATATTTATAATCGGCTGACTATAAGGAAAGCAGATTATTCCCCATAATGTGGGAAGGTCCCATTCATTCAGCTGAAGACCTTAAAAGCAAAAACTGAGGCTTCGCAGAAAAGAAGAAATTCTGCCTTAAGGCTGTAACAGAAATCCTCCCTAAGTTTCCAGCCTGCCCTACAGATTTCATACTCAAGACAGCAACATCAATTCTTACCTGAATTTCCAGCCTGCCAACCTGCCCCCACAAATTTCAAACTTGCCATCCCCTACATTAGCTAATCTTTTAAAGTAAATCTATCCACACTCTATTACTCTCTCTCCCTCCCGCCCCACCCTATTCCCTCTCTCACCGTCTCTCTATGTAAGTACAGCTGACCCTTGAACAACACAGGCTTGAACTACACAGGTCCATTTATATTCGTATTTTTTTCAATGAATACAGTCGGCCCTTCATATTGTGGATTCTATACCCGCAACCAAACGCACATCAAAAATATGGTACTTGAGGAATGCAAAACCCAAGTATACAAAAGGCTGACTTTTCATATCTGAGTGTTCTGCAGGGTTGACTGCAGGACTTGACCATGTGTGGATTTTGGCGTCCATGGGCAATCCTAGAACTAATCCCCCGAGAATACTGAGGGACGAATTATATATATGTATTATTTGTTTCTCTAGAGAACCCCAACCAATACATGACTGAAATCCACAATCAATCAAAACCTAACCACCCCCATTTCCACCTACCCACTTCAGCATCTTTGATTCTACTAAGGGACTAAGTAGAAGGGATGAAGGAAATCCCATACCTGTCTACTTTCAACTACGTTTTATGGGGCAGAAGGCTGGGGTACTACAGCTGTCTTACCACAGGTTTTCGGAATGGAGCTTTCTTCTCTCTGAAGGTCTTCCAGCCAGACTGCAAGCACAGAGGAATCTGCATTCCAGAGCAAGTCATTTACCTAGAAGGGAAAAAAGATCTGTCATTGGCTTTCAGTTATGGATTTACTTCCAAATCTTTATAATAGCTGTATTTCCTCTCTCAAATCAAATAATCCCACTACCTGAGCTCATCCCTAGCTGTAAATCACTAACCTACAGAGGCATTAAACAAATCTGTAAAATATGTCATTATTATGTAGAGGACTTAAAAAAAAGAAATACATTATGCTTAAAGATTAAAAGAGACTTAAGAAACTTAACCAAATACAAGGTGACATTTTTAGACAATCAGAGAAACTGGAATATGGACTGGGTGTTAGACAACACAGAGATAAGATGTAATAATAGAATTATGGTTATGTAAAGAAAAATGTCCTTAACTGTTATAAATAAATATTGAAAATATGATTTCTAGAATTAAAACTCCAGGAAATAAAAATATATGTAAGTATATATATGTATAGGCCAAAGAGTTGCGGACCGATGAAAATAGTTTTGCAAAATGTTGGTATCTACTGAAAGTGAGTAATAGTTACATGGGAGTTCATTAAACTCGTCTCTCAACTTAGGATGTTTAAAATTTTACACAGAGATACCATTTGATGTGTTCTCACTTCAGCAAGAATCTTAATGGTATACAAACCACTTAAGATTTAAATGTTATAAATGAAAAACATCTTCATTACTGGAAAAATTATGCTTTTGTCAAAATAAACAATAAAAACTAGCATTTTTATTTCCTACTTCTGTTTTATCTAAGGTGGGGGACAAATGCTATTATTTGCAAAATCACTGGAAAAACAATATTTTATTAAATAAAAATCAGTTCTAGGAAGCCACCATTTTTATTACTATTTACTCTAAAGCTACTATTTATATATCCATATCAAATATAAATCCCCTCTATAGGCCAGGCGTGGTGGCTCACGCCTGTAATCCCAGCACTTTGGGAGGCAGAGGCGGGTGGATCACCTGAGGTCAGGGGTTTGAGACCAGCCTGACCAACACGGAGAAACCCCGTCTCTACTAAAAATACAAAATTAGCTGGCTGTGGTGGCGCAAGCCTGTAATCCCAGCTACTCGGGAGGCTGAGGCAGGAGAATCACTTGAACCTAGGAGGCGGAGGTTGCAGTGAACCGAGATTGCACTATCGCACTCCAACCTGGGCAACAAGAATGAAACTCCATCTCAAAAAAAAAAAAAAAAAATTCCCTCTATAGCTATGGAAAGTCCTCTACATTCGAGGGTGAAACAAACTCAGGCACTTACCTTAACCTCATCTTTAAGGAAGGGAAGTGTAAAGTGTCCATGAAGGAGTCCATTTTTCTCAAAAAACACAATATCCTGCTGGTTGGGTTTATCTTGTGTAGATGCAATCAAACTGCCTGAGGGTCTTAAAGCAAACTCAGAGTGTTACAATATCGAAAGCTCACCTAACTAAAGAATAGATAAAATCCAGAAGAGTTTTTTTTCCAGCAAACATGAATGAATGAATGAACGAATTAATGAATATCTTTATCCAAGGAAGTTTTAAATCCCATGTGTCCCTTGTCTCTCGGCGAGCGGTTCATCCCACTGTGGGACTGTACTTGCCCAGAGGAAAGAGTGCCTTTTCCTGTTTTACACAGAGGCTCCATTTGCCCACAAAACCTTACATATTTACATTGCATTTGGATGACTTTAAAAATAATAAGTTATCTAAACCATTCCAGGTATAATGTCCTAAAAATCAAAATCTATTTCTCCTTCCATTATACAACTTCAGCAAATATTCTATGCTCCAGTAGGTCTTTTTTAAGACTTCACCAAATGTTGAAAACATCTTAATTGCCTCATCTTATTCATATTTGTCTCTAGGGTTTTAATTCAAATACATTTCTCTTCTGCTCTATCATATAATACCATTCAGATACTGGTGGGAAACAAGAGGTCTACATACAACAGATATCACCGAAACAGAGGAGATACATCTTCTATCTAAAATCAGGCAGCCACATATGACAGGCAAATTGTAACCTGCACAAGGGTACTGGGCCAAGGAGGAGAATGGAAGGAAAGAGCAGGGTCTGAATCCAGCCTGCATGCTCCTTGGCAAGCAGATCCTCTGCTGTAGGAATTTTGTGCCAAGGAAGGAGGCTCTTTCCCTAATTTCCACAAAAGCACCATTTGCCCCACAGAGCCTTGCAAACTGGGCCTTCCCTTCTAAACACCATTTTCTGCTCTGTACAATGGCTTCATATATACCCTGCCTTAAAACCACAGCCTTTTAAGAGTTAGGAATGCAAAATATATGCGGCCTTGGAACAATGAAATCTGTGAAGAAGCGTAAAATCTACTATTCGAGTTGAATTCAGACTTCAGGGAATAAGAAAAAAAAAAAAGAAGAAACAAAGATAGATACAGCCTTATAACCAAATGAAGAAACGTAAAAATCCTTTTGTGTTACACAAACATCTGTATCATCTGTATCCATGTGTACCACCACCTCTACTCTGGTTCCAAGAATTTCTCTAAGGTTTCTTCTCCCACTCACTTCCAAGCCAGGGCTGGTCCCAGTCCTGCCACAGGCTCACTGGTTGACTGCAAAGCAAACTCTCGGTTCCACACTCTGACCTTCCGAGCCCCTGTGCGGGAGTGGAGTCAAACACACATACACACTTAAAACATTATGATAAAAGTTGTCAATTCAGAACTATTCAAACACCTTCCTTACAAATAAAAACTGCCATGGTTTTACATAGCCAATTAGATTAATTTTGTTACAAATTTGTGTCCACCAGGTAGGAGGATGGACCAAATGGCCTCAAAGGACTCTTCTAATTCTTAACTCTAACCTCATTTCACATTTAAAGCAGCACATCCTTGCCTCATATGTATAATTAATACCCTACTCAAAGCAAAAGAAAGAAAATTTTCCTTAATTTTAATAAGATAAAAATTTTTTATTGTTGTTTAACTGCAATATATTTCCATACCTGTTTCTGGGCAAACAACACTCACAGCAAAAAACTGTCCATCCCCCCGCCAGGTAACTTGTGGTCTATGGTCATCCCAGGGCAAAGCAGACTCATGCTAAAAAGGGGAACAAACACCAATATTACTGGGGGACCTTAAGTATCCCAGAATCAAACAAGCCTCAGACCACTAGATACAGATGTTTTTTAAGAGGTTTAAGCTACTTTGAAAGCCTGCCTCTAGAATCAGAAACCATCCAAGGGTTGGTTCTTAGAACGCAGAAATCATCAAAAAGAAGAAAAAAATGTAAAACAAACAAAATCCTCCTTTCGGCATTAAAAAAAAAAAAAGTGGCCTCTGAGAACAGCAAAAGAGGAAAAGAGCTACAGATCTAGATCCTGAATATAATGAGCTAAGGAACCTATCAGGTAACTACAACAAGGAAACAAGTGTTCCATTTGTCCAACAGGGTAGAGTTTTGTTTACATATTGTGTAAGCTTCACAACAGGGCACAGATGAGTTAAGATGTGAACAAGGTGAATAGGGAGGAGCCACAGAGGTGGTAAAGGCAGCAGCAGACAATGACGAAAACATGGAAATGTTCTCATTCTGCAGCATGACGGGAAGAAACGTCTCCTCCAGGGCCACGTGTATCTCAATCCTGAAGCCAACTCTACCGGGTGGGAGACAGATGACCACCCGGGCATTCATCATCATATTCTAGTAACAGCCTAAGAATTCTGCTAGTACTGTACTGTAGTCTGCACAGTAGGGAATACATAGGTAGCCTAACAAAATTTATTCTCAATGAAACTGTCCTAGGGTATAGAAACCAAACCTCCTTTACTGAAGGGTTAAGGCCTGAAATAGGCATTATATGAAATAGAACTGGAAATAATTAAGGACAGAAAACGTAGATGGCAAGCAGGGTATTATTGAGTCATCTATTCTAGAAGAGTAGCTCATAGAAATTTCTACATATAATTATGCTTCCATTTGTTCAGGCCCAACCCTTGGTATCCTCCTCAATTCCTCCCTCTCACCCAATTTTTTTTTTTTTTTTTTTGAGACGGAGTCTTGCTTTATGGCCCAGGCTGGAGTGCAGTGGCACAATCTTGGCTCACCGCAACCTCTGCCTCCCAGGTACAAGTGATTCTACTACCTTAGCTTCTCAAGTAGCTGAGATTACAGGCATCTGCCACCATGCCTGGCTAATTTTTGTATTTTTAGTAGAGATAGGATTTCACCATGTTGGACATGCTGGTCTTGAACTCCTGACCTCAGGTGATCTGCCCAACTTGGCCTCCCAAAGTGCTGGGATTGCAGGCATCAGCCACTGTGCCCAGCTAAATGCAACCTCTTGAATCAGTGTTACTGGGCACTAGGAGAGCCCAGGCAGGGAACAGGCTGAGGGCTAGAATAACACAACTTAAAAAATCAAAGTAAATTATGCTCACATGAGTACTTGTATCTGCCTACTCCATGGATTTTTGTTTTCTTTTCTGAAGGGTAGCTGTGAACTTTCAAACCAAGACGAGGCCCTAGAAAGCCTTTAGAAAAAGTTCATGAAAAAAAGCTAGAGTAGTTTACTGGATAGTACATTAGATAACAGGATGCTCGGTTTTTTTCCCCCATTACCTGGATCATCCTATACCATTAATAAACCCTAATTTTGTTAATACTAGATAAGTCTTACTCTAGCAGGTACCAGTAGTAAAGTGTCATCTTCTCCAGAGTTTAACAAAGTATGGAAAACTGCCTTATTTTCAAAACTACCATAGATTCCTTTAAAGTACTATTTTTTAACACCTTTACTGGGATATAATTTACATATTATTAAGGTTCACCCATTTGAAGTACACAATTCAATGCACCTTGGGATTTTTTTTTGGTTGTTTAAACTCAGTGGTAAGAATCAATGTTTTTAAAGTATATTTACAAAGTTGAATAGCCATCACCATAATCTAAATTTTGAGCATTTTCATCATCCCCAAAAGAAACCCCATATCCATTAGCAGTCACCCCTTCCCCACCCCACCCCACAGCCCTACCCAACCACTACTCTACTTTCTGCCTCTGTGGATTTGCCCCTTCTGGGCACTTCATACAAATGGGATCATATTATATGTGATCTTTTATGACTGGCTTCTTTCACTTAGCATAATCTTTATGAGGTTTACCCATGTCATAACATGTATGAGTAAAGTGCTATTTTTAAATCGAAAAGATATGGTCTTAGAAAGCTGTACCATAATTTACTTGTTGCTTATAGCAAGAAAGAATATTCAAATTGCACCAACTATTTACTTGGTCAAGTTCCTGTTTAGTCAAGGATACCTTTTAAGTCCTGCCAAAAAAAAAAAAAATCACTTAAAAATCAGGGGGACATGAAAACCACTTGTCCAAAGCTGGGCAGTTGTAGTGGATCACCCCCAAAGAAGCAAGGTTGTGTCTCAGAGTACTTACTCCATGTTTCTGCCCTCTAATAATCCTTTACTGTTCTAATAAGTCAATAGCTTTCAGAATGTTAAATTAGACCCACTATGCATATTTTACTCACAATAAAGTTGTTTTGAAATAAAAACTACGCTTTAAAAAGTTTCAAAAATTATTTGTCTACTAAAACAAAAGCAGCAACTACCATTTGAGTGCCTACACTGTGCTGATGCTATGATAGCTGTTTTATATATGCTATTACCTGCCCATCTCAACCCTTGTAAGGAGACATTATGTTGTCCACTTTACAGAGAATACTGAGGCTCAGAAACATTAGGAAACTTCCCTGCCAAGGTCTCATAGCTTCTAAATGTTATGAGGATAATGTAATCTGTACTTTTCTAACAGAGATCTGTAATGCCCCTGGGGGTACTTGGTAGTGTGCCAGAGGGTAAATATGGCACATCTTCTTGGGGCATTAATTTTACTCAAGGGTAATACTTTTCAATTCATAGTTTTAAAAAATATTCATATTGTATAAATTAAAATAAAATATAAGAGTTTAAATGAATTTAATGTGACACGGACACTACTTCCCCAGGTGCCCCAAGAGTCTGCACTCTTCTTGTGTCCACACACCTCTGCCTTCAGGGGCCGCCCCGCCTACATTAGAAGATTAAAAAGTCCTGCCTTGAGTCATCAAGACATCATTATATGGTCTTCAGAATTTTCCAATCCAGAAGTAAGGAAAACAAAGAGTTTCATCCAACAGAAAAAGAAAAATATCTAATATACACATATATGGGAAAAGTATGAGAACATGCATGTGAATGAAGGATGGCAGCTCTCTCTGGAGAGGAAGGGGAGGGACATCGGGACGGGATACACAGGGGGTTTCCTTTGTCTGTGATGTTTTATTTTTTAAACTGGGTGATGAATATTGGTTATAATTATTTGCTACTATGAAAATAAATCACAAAGCAACTTGGCAATAACAAGGAAAAAAAGGATCTTTCTAGAGGGATTCATTTCCTGAAGGTTCTAGGCAGTTTTACTAAAGCAGAAGAGAACTGTTCATTACTGGCATCTAAGTGGACACCAAAGAGTTCCTGGTGGGTGGCAAACTTACATTTGTTCCAGTCAAGGCTTTTTATCCATCAAACCAAACTTACCATTTGCATCTGAAAAGCTGCTTGTCTGCCTTCTGATCCATGGAACTGTGTCTCCTTCCTACCCCATCCAACAGTGATAAACTTGCCTACAGAACAATTGGCAAGACAACTAATAAGCCACATGAAATGAAACAAAAACAGTTTCACTGCTATTCTTCATGAAGTTAGTCATTGGCAATTACTCAGGTCCTCTAACGCCTCTCAATAAATTGACCAGCAGTCAATATTTGAGAAACCTATGTTTCAGGCTGGGCATGGTGGCTCATGCCTATAGTCCCAACACTTTGGGAGGCTGAGGCAGGAGGATCACTTGAGTCCAGGAGTTCGAGACCAGCCTGGGCAACATAGGGAGACACCCATCTCTACAAAAAGTATACAAAATAAGCTGGACATGATGGCACACACCTGTGGTCCCAGCTACTCAAGAGACTAAAGTAGGAGGATCACTTGAACCCAGGAGTTCAAGGCTGCAGTGAGCCCTGATTGTACTACTGCACTCTCTAGCCTGGGTAACACAGCGAGACCCCCATCTCAAAACAAACAAACAAAACCCATTTCATATTATATGCAGCAGTGACTTTGAAGAATTTGAAATGCCCTTCCTTATTTTGGAAAGCATTTTACTGCCATCTTACATATTCCAAGTTTCTTTGATGACACAAGTCAGCGATCTCACCCTCACCTTATAAGTAAGAAGAATGAAACATAAAGAGTTTACAAAATATGTCCGGAACATAAAACCCCAAGATGAGAACTGGGAATAAAATTCTGATTGCAAGCTCTCACTGGTGATAGAGGGGCTGCAGGTCACAAAACAGCTCCTCACATAGACTTAGAGATTGAGACCCTCCCTAATGGTGGAGCCAAAAGTTAGAACACAGGTCTTCTGCCTTCCAGGCTGACTGGGGTTCTTTCTAGATCGTAACACTTCTCTTATATAAACTATTAGGCAGAGTTGCTGAAACAACACAACCCTTCTGTTCCTGGAGGTAGGATCCATTTGCAAGAAGCACAATAAAGATGGTCCTGAAAACATCACCTAATCCAGGACCCAATACTTTCCTCCTGCCATTGATTCTGATTCTGATGAAGCAGGGCTGTTTGCAATTCCTATAAATTATGGGTCCATATGACCATTTCCTGTCTGCTCACATCCAAGTGCTACAGTACCTCAATTGCTGCTGCGTACAAATGGTAGTGACTATCCTGGTGCAAACCCCCAGGCTTCTATCTGCAAGTTTCCACAGAAAGATTAAGGACCAAGGAATGAAGAAAGAGAACTTTTCCAATGGAAGACAAGAAATGATGCGGTTACAGCAGGGATTTGCAAAACTACAGCCTACATCTGCTTTTACAAACAAACGTTTACTGGAACATAGATGTGCTTATGTATCATGTATAACTTTCACACCTCAACATTAGAATTGAGCAGCTGCAACACAGATCATACAGCCTGCAAAGCTGAACATATTCATGACCTAGCCCTTTTCAGAACAAGTCTACTGACCCCAGGATAGAGGAAAAATATTCATCACTCCATAGAATGATTTTTTTTTTTTTGTACTGAGAAACACATTTCTGAGACCTAAGATCTTAACTTGGCCTACATTTCCTTTGATTTACTGCATTAGGATTTGTGTGAAAAAGTCAGTGGGAAACACCAGGCCCAGAGCACTTTCCCATCCCAAAGTATACTGTGTGCTGTTACTCTCTCTCTGACTGTCCTCAAAGCTGGATGCCCCAGAGTTCCACCCTGGATTCTAGACTCTTCCTGTACAGCATCTGCTCCCTGAGACAGTCCATCTGTTCCCAAAACTGTCAGAATTTCCTACATACCCACTACTCTCAGTCCATAGCTCTGGCCTCTCCTGAGCTTCAGCCTTATATTTGCATACTCCACATGGCAATCACATATGGTCCTTCAACAAATCCAAAACAGATCTCACCACCCACCCCTTACAGACCAGCACTTCTCCATCTTCCCTGTTACTGGCATCTTTATTCCCAACACCTGAGGTTCTGGCTGGAGTCCTGCTCAACTTTTTCTTATTCACCTTACATACGCAAAGCCTATTTATTTCACTTTCTAAATTGGTATTTCTCAAACTGGCCTAGGGCAGAAGGGGAATCATGCACATATATTCTAAAAAAGTTTCCCAGCTAATTCTAAAAAATGTACTCCCATCCTCATTGTGAATCAAGTTTTTTCCTGAATGATTCCTGCTTCTAGCCCCACACAAACCTTCCTTATCTTTCATCTGGATTCCTGTAGCAACCTCCTACCTGATCACCCTGCCTCTCATCTCTTCCCTCTCCACACACAAAAACAACAAAAATATGCCATCACGAGCCATCTTTCTATTAAATAAATCTCTTTAAACCTCTTATCATCAAAACTTGTAATGGCTGATCAACTATAACTCAATGTCCATATTCCCTACTACAAACTCAATCAAATCTGTTCCATTTATTTCATTCTACACTCACATTCTGCCACTTCAGCAATGCTGAATTACTCACAGTTCCCTGAGTAACCCACAATGTTTCTATGAAATAACCCTCCCTTGAAATGGACACTTGAAATGGACACATTCACTTGCTTGGACTGTTCCCCACCCTTATCCCTCACCTACCCAATACCAATTCAGCTGACTACTCCAAACCCTTATCCCTCACCTGCCCAATACCAATTCAGCTGACTACTCCCCACCCTTATCCCTCACCTACCCAACACCAATTCAGCTGAGACTCAGCTCAAGTTGGCCTCCTAGGGGAAATAAATCATCCCTCTCTAGTTACTCGTTTCCTTCCCTTATGCTACCCCAGTACCTGCACATCATGTCATTACTGTGCTGATACCACCAAGCCCAGCTAATTTTTAAATTCTTTGTAGATGCTGGGTCTCCCTACGTTGCCTAGGCTAGTATCAAACTCCTGGGCTCAAGCAATCCTCCTGCCTCATCCTCCAAAAGTGCTGGGATTACAGGCATGAGCCACTGTGCCCAGCCCTCCAAAATTATTTCTGAACAAATACATTATTTGTAAATAAATGGGTAGAAGTTGTCTAAATGATTTCTCAGAGTTGATGGAGCAAGAAGGCAGGAAGTTAGACCATAACAGAAGTTGGAACATCTTCTTCCCCATCCCTCTTCAATCAGGCCAGCTACTTTGTGACTTCAAGATGGCCAAAGCTTATGCTTAATAAGCGTCTCTCTTCTCCTGCACTGCCCTTCAATACCCCCACAGCCTTAATGCCCAGATGACCTTGGCTAGATTTTAGCAAGAAAATAATCTGATTGTTCCCATGGAAATGCAGATTGGATCTAATCGTAGTAACAAAAACCAGCCTTCTATTCCATCTTTCTTCTTTTCTTCTCCCTAAAACTGTATCCCAGAAATACTACCTTGTACAGTCCCTTTCACTGAAAGCCCAGCCTAAGACTTTCCTAGGGTTTGGGTAATAACTATCTAAGTGACCTTAAACCCTCAGACCTGGAGAGGCATCAGTAGGCCTTTTAAGATTTGGGATGGGCTGAAGGAACTGGGCTAATAGACATTTAATAGCTGGGGGTTTAACTTTCACAGTTCTTTGGCCTAATGACATGGCTATTAGTGCACAAGGAAATGGTCAAAAATGGGAAGAAACGTAGGTCACAAAATATTGCACAAAGCTATACTTACTTTCACCAAAATCATCCTGATGGATCTGCTGCTCCAGGATTGGCTCAAAATCTTTTGTCATCATAATCAGGGTCTGTTGACCTTAGAGAAACACAAACAAAAATGATTTTGTTTTCATGTAACAAATTTGCCATTCCTAAGTACCTATGGCACTGTAAGCTAAGGAGCTGGAGTTAGTCTGAACAGAGCAGACAGAATTCATCCAAAATGCTTTGACTTAAAAAAACAACAATGACAAAAAACCCCAAAAAGCTTTCCCTAGATAAGTCACCTGGTGCTTATGCTCAGCTATTAATGTGTGTACAGTTGAACTTAAAAGTCCACAAAGCCCTCCTCCACTAACTTCAACACTCCTTGTCCCCAAGATACCTCTAAATATAAATGTCATCAGTGGAGCTGGTTTACTAAACTCATCTGGAATGATGAGACTTAAAGGGGAAAAACAGCAACAGAACCCAAGAAGGGCTTTTAGAATGTGTCCATACAGCAACTCTTAGAATAAGTTAAAATACATATTGCTGACATTTTTAACTCTAACTGGGGACTTAGCAGCCTCCCCAAGTTTTATGACTTTGTTTCTTACTCCCAAAGACTTAAAAAGTTACATGAAACAACTTTTTATAATGATAGACTAAGAGGCAAAACTTCAGTCACCAAAAAAAAATCACTCTACGTTTTATATATATATACACACACACATACATAATTGGTATTATACTGGTTCATAATTGGTATTATACTGGTTCAAAGAAATTTTTTGAAATTCAAGCAGCCTAAAGCTGATGAAGCCTGTAAGACATCTGGAATAATGTTTTAAAAAAGCCAGTGAGGCACCAGTAACAAGCTTACCTGTGGCAAGAAGCACCAGCTCTTGGTCAGGACTCCAACTCATAACAGAGATACCACTGGCTACACTCCCAACACACTCCAGCTGAGACAGAGAAAATTGAAAAGAGAGATTCAAACACTAGCATCTCAGTAAAAACTGACTGCAACTTCAATCAAAACAATTAAAAAAACAAAACGAAAAGACATCAGTATATGGAAGAGATATCTGCACTCTCATGTTTGTTGCAGCTCTGTTCACAATAGCTAAGATTTGGAAGCAACCTAAGTGTCCATCAATGGATGACTGGATAAAGAAATTGTGGTACTATACACAATGGAGTACTATTCAGCCATAAAAAAAGAATAAGATCCTGTCATCTGCAACAACATAGATGGAACTGGAGATGATTACATTAAGTGAAATAAACCAGACACAAAAAGACAAACATCACATGTTCTCACTTATTTGTGCGATCTAAAAATCAAAACAATTGAACTCACGGACACAGAGAGTACAAGGATGGTTACCAGAGGCTGGGAAGGGTAGTGAGGGGCTGAGGGAAGTTGGGATGGTTAATAGGTACAAAAAAAAATAGAATAAATAAGACCTGCTATTTGATAGCACAACAAGGTAACTACAGTCAACAGTAATTGCACATTTTAAAATAACTAAAAGACTGTAATTGGATTGTTTGTAACACAAAGGATAAACGCTTGATGGGATGGATATCCTATTCTCCATGATGTGGTTATTTTGCACTGCATGCCTGTATCAGAACATCTCATGTAGCCCATAAATATATGTACCTACTATGTACTCATAAAAATTAAAAATTTATATTTAAAAATTAAAACAAGAACTTACTCAACAAACATTTCTTCAGTAATGGATATCAAGAGAATAGACCTGTTATTAGGCACAGGGATTAGAAATAAATATCTTTTTCTTCCCAGAGCTGTCTCACGAGGGAGATAAAAGAAGACCCTACAGAGGATAACAGCAATGACCAAGATCTCTGGAAAGCAAAATGCGTCTCAGCACAGGGAATGACAAGTGGCCCAAAGTCCAGAAAAAGTTTTTCTGACGTGTTTCAAAGAGTGGTAATAAGGACAGGAAAGAGAGACCAGGAAGAAAACACAGTGTAGAGGCACAAAGCCAGAAAAAAGAGCAGTTAAAAATCAGCTGCAACTAAAACATAAGGTTTACGTACACACAGGAACAATGGGGGGATGAGGCTAAAAAGGAATGTGGGGAACAGATAGTGAAAGGGGCTTATAAGGCACAATAGTGGGCTCTACCTTTCAGACAATTGAGAAGCCACTAAAGGGCAGAATCAGCACCATTAAATGAAGATAAATAGACTGGAAGAGCTCAGTAACCAGGAAACAATGCTACAAAATGTTTGGAAAGTAAAAGCATCTATCTTTCAAATACGAAAAAAAAACAAGCTGTATATGACAAGTTTGATATTTCCCACCATGAACTGCAAGTAAAGGTTTATGATTGTACTAAATGGAATGGTTAAGAGCAGAGGTGCCAGATTTAGACTGCTAGGGTCAAACCCCATTTGATTACTGTGTGACCCTGGTCTAATTACTTAAGCACTCTGTGCCTTAACTGCCTCTTCTGAAGAATAGGAAACAACAACCTACTGCATAAGGTCATGGTGAAGATTAAATAAATTTGCATGAAAAGCACTTTAAAAAGTGCCAGGCACATGATAGTTAATAAATGTAAGCTGCTATCATTATCCTACTATTAGTAATACTCTAACTTCTGTGACATAATCAATGTTAAGGAGATCACAACTAATGAAGTAATGGAAGAAGATTTAAAGAATCAGCCAAGTGTAATTTGAAACCCTTGCTGTTAAGAAGGTGAGGATAGAAATCAGAAACTCAACTATACACTAAAGTAGAGAAAGAAGCAATTGCTTGAAGTCTAGCTCTACTGGCAGTCATCACATGTGCAGGTAATGACAATGTATTTACTTTAGTGCCTAGACTTCAGGGACTCTAAATTTAGCCAATCAACATTCATAACAGAAAATCTAAGTCAGATAAACAAAGACTTCCTAAATTGAGAAACAAAGGTTGCAACTCAAGATGAGGGTCTGATAAGAGGTGATCTACACCACATAAGAATAGCCAGTTTTAACTTTTAAAAAAATATATTCTCATTTGGAACATTCTGATCACTCTGATTAATAGATGCAGCAGACAAAACTCAGTTTTAGAAGAATCTTAACATATAGATAAAGCCATGTTAACAATTTTTTAAATAAAGAAATATATAATGCAAAAATTAATTAGCAAAAGTGTAACTATTATGGCTACTGATTTGAAAACTTCCACAAATAGCAAGTAACCTATTTGAGGATGCTTGAGACTCCCCCCTCACTGGAGTCTTCCACTTACCTGTTGTGTGCTGAGACTGCAGAGTATGACGTCTCCAGAGGCTGTGGCCACACACACAGACTCCTGATCCAGCAAGTCCTGAACACCAACAATGCGGCCACTTCCATCCTCTGGGAGAAAGCCTTCTGCCACCAAAGAAACTTCATTTTTCACCTTTCACCAAAGTAAACACAAGCAAATTAACCCAGTCTACTTTCAAGAATAATTGATAACATTTCCAGAAATACTTTTTAATGCTTCTTTTATTACATAAAAGCTTTCAAAAATATTTTTTCTAGATGAAAATCCAAACTTTCATTTGAGAAATATCACTACTCTGTCATCTCTAACAAGAAAAATAGGTAATGTGACCTTTTTGCCAAACAAACACAAAAACAAAAACAATAAGCCTGGTCTCTTTAAAATTGTCCACTAAAATATGATGCTAATAGCTATGCTTTTCTAAGATTTCTATAGTATGGGGAAAAGGCACTAAAGGATGTAACTGCCTAAAATGTATTAGTAGAAGAACATAATCAAGGGACCATATCAAAACCAACCCACAGAGGTTTTTAAAGTACATATAGTTAGGAGCCAACACTAAAGATTCTGATTTAGTTGACATGAGATGTGGGCTCAAACTTTTAGAAAGCTCCATGGGCAACTTTCGTGTTCATTCCCAATTAAAAACCACTCTTGGCCGGGCGCTGAGGCAGGCGGATCACGAGGTCAGGAGATCAAGACCATCCTGGCTAACACGGTGAAACCGCACATCTACTAAAAATACAAAAAATTAGCCGGGCGCGGTGGCGGGCGCCTGTAGTCCCAGCTTCTCGGGAGGCTGAGGCAGGAGAATGGTGTGAACCCGGGGAGGCGGAGCTTGCAGTGAGCCACGATCACACCACTGCACTCCAGCCTGGGTGACAGAGCGAGACTCCGTCTCAAAAAAAAAAAAAAAAAAAACCACTCTTATAAACAGAATTTGCATGACAAAGAGGGTAAAAAGTACGGCACACACTCAAAAAGTAAGGTCAGAGTTCTACTGACTTAGGTTAAAATAGCAGCAGAGTTAAAGAAGGATTACGATTTAAGCTATGTCTAACATGGCATATATATGAAGCAAAAGATGTTTATTTGGGAGGATATAAATTCAATAAGATATAAAGAAAGACCATGTGGGGAAAGAAATTTGGAAGAAGAGAAATCAAGGGTCATACCCACATGCTGGCATTCTACATCAGTAACTTACTTCTCTTGAGACAGGGTCTACTTCTATCAGGCCATGTTCTGAACCAATGAGCACCGTCCCCTGTTCAGTTCGGAGAGAGAAGCACTGAGGATTCCCTGGACCTTGAATATCCCTGAACTCCAGGGTCCGAAATAATTTCAGATTTCGCATGATGAAGTGATTCCCACGAGACAAGTACAACTATCCCTTGATGAATCATTAATCTCTAAGAGAAAAATAAATAGCTTAATAGTGATAAATGACCATATTTATTTAAATGAAATGATTCAGGGGGTGAAGAAGTGGTAGTCAGAATCAGAATAACCAAGAAAAGAAAAAACTTACCTCTCTGAGTACACACCCATGTATGGATTATAGCAGCAACCTGACCCACTCTATACAGTTATGGTCTACAAATTAGGAATTCTGAAACCTATTTTATGTTCTTTTTAGGAGAGGCAAGATTCTCAACTTTAGAATGTTTTCTTCAAAAAAGATGTAATATCAGTTATTCCTTTGGGAAAGTTGAAAGAACAAATGAATGGGGAAACATTTTATTTTTGCATATTAGGACATCTTTATAAAATCATGAGGAAAAACAAAAGGGTATCCCACTGATTAGCACTATTTGAAAATCCATTTTTATATACTGGCAGTTGAAGAGAATCTGAAATGACTTTAATATTCACCAGGTCTATTCATTTATAAACTGGTTTTATACATTCATAAAAAAACTGAAATCAAAGATAGAAAAGCATTTACTGTTCTAAAGGGGAAGAGAAAATACTGGGACATGACAACAATTTACTTCAAAATGATGACCAACATTTCAAGGACCCTGATGACCTGACATAACTACTTCCAGTAACTTTGTTCTTCTGGCCAGGCTTTTCCCAGGACAATATAAAACGTGAGAAAAGAGTGCTAAACAAGACATCTACTTTGGTCTGGCAAAATCAGGCTTGCTTAAATGCATAACATTACCTAAGTAGGGGAAAAAAATGTTACTGTGCTAGTTATTTATATTCAGATCCCTTTAAGGCTTATGATTGTAAGTCCCTAACTTATGTTAGGGGTAGCAATTACAAGGACCACACCGGTCTTATTGTCACTTTAATCCAAGGAGACTTCTCTCATCTTGGCACCCCACATATGTATGACATAGAAAGAATAAAGATGAATCAATCCTAATAGTACACAGAAGATAATGTCAAGTGTCATAGGAATTATATAATATATAATGTGGGATAAGAGAAAGGTAAGTTTATATATGATGGAAGTGAGGAAGACAATGATTTTAGTAAGTTTTGGTGACAATTATATTCAAGAACTGCTAGAAATTACTTGAACCTCTAACATATCATGCAGGTTTTTTTGTTTTTTGAGACGGAGTTTCGCTCTTATTGCCCAGGCTGGGGTGCAATGGCGCGATCTCGGCTCACCGCAACATCTGCCTCCCGGGTTCAAGCGATTCTCCTGCCTCAGCCTCCGGAGTAGCTGGGATTACAGGCGCCCGGCACCATGCCCAGTTAATTTTTGTATTTTTAGTAGAGACAGGGTTTCACCATGTTGGCCAGGCTGTTCTTGAACTCCTAACCTCAAGTGATCCACCCGCCTCTGCCTCCCAAAGTGCTGGGATTACAGGCCTGAGCCACCGTGCCTGGCTGCGTTTTTCATCTTTAAACATCATAAAAACGCCTCAAAACTAGTTTCTCTGAAATTTCACACCCATCAGCCTTATTCCCTTATCTTCTCGGAGGAAGACTTCCCTCCACTTCTTTCCAGGCTAGGAAAGGAATATCCTCCATATTGCCACAGGACCTAGGCCTATTAGTACTCTTTCTTGGACATCTGCAACCTCCAACCTTCCTGCCTCCACTGATTCAAACTCTTCGCAGTTCTTAAATGTGCTAAAGATCCCTCCACACCAAAGGTCAATCGTGGATTCTCTCTTAATTTCCTGATAACTGCTTCATTTTCTTCCCTTGCTCCTTCGACTATCCACCTCTTGGCTAGACATCACATGCATGATTACATATACCAGGTAGATCACCAATACGCTGATTAGGCCTAAATGCCTAGCCCTGACTGAATTAGCCCAAACTTACCACTAAACCCACATTTTCAACCTCCTGATAGAATCACAAGCATGTCTCACATGCACATCAAATGCGACCTGGAAAGCAAAGAACTTGCTATTCTTCCCCCAAATGACAGTTCCCACTATTTGGGGACAGACCATTTCTACTCTATGTCCCCAAGCTGAAAAACTGTCTTTGCTGCCTTTTTGCTTACTCTTCATACGGATCTATTCATTGATTAGTTCCGTGGCTGTCAATATACAGTTGAATTCTTTACGATCCGGTTTGTGGCCTACATCCAACACCGACTGAGCACTTGCTAAGTACTGGGATCTGAAGATTACTCAGCCACTGTCTCCACGGAGATCATCGTTAACGGGAGAGAAAGCCACGTAAAACACCACGTTAGATGGAGAAGCACAGAGGACACCACCTCCACGAAAAAGTCTCACACGCGAGAAAGGACCCGCACCACAGCACCCGAGCCTCTATTAACCGCCGCCTTCCATCGTGAATTAATACTCTCGCTTTCAGCGTTATTATCAACCCCCTGCAAGCAATCAAGAGGCTGGGTTAAGTCCGGCTGGAGGGGCAGCAGGCATCCCTGGGCTGTCGCGCCTCCCAGCGCCCCCGATGGAGCAGGTGGCAAGGCTGCAAAAAGAATTTAAGGCTCTAGGAAAGAGGTGGTGCAGCCCGCACTCCAGTCCCCGGCCCGCAGCAGGCAGAGGAGGCTCCGGGTCTCCTTCACCCGGACACCGCCGGCGGAGAGGTCCACTCCCGTGCCCCTACCCTGGATGGATCGCTTACCTGAGGACCCCCAAACAGAGGTGCGTCCGGCCTCGCCTCCCCAGCCACGCGCAGCCGGCTACCCAGAGTCAGCTCCCACAGTCCGCACCCAGAGTCGGCTCCGAATTGCGCACGCGTCTCTGTCCGCGGCTCCCGCTCTCTCTCCGACGGCACTAGGCCTCCAAGGATGGAGGCGCCCTCCAGGGGAAAACGCTGAAGCGCTGCAAAGAAGCCAGCGACTCAATGGGTGCGTCAACTAGGCAGCCGCAGCACTGGGAGTGCGGCGCGGGAGTGACGTCACCAGGCGGAGGGGGCGAGGCCGGGCCCGCTTCTGGTCACTTACGGCGGCCGGCCTTCTTTGTAGGCCTGGCACCGTAGAGGTAGAGGAGCTACATTGGCCGCGTCCCCTGTCCCTCTGCCCTCTTGCCCATCTGCCCAAACTTTTGTATTTGATCTCTGTTTTGATGTCGAACCCCAAAGCACTGTAATTGGGGGGGGCGGGGGGGGGGGTGGAACCTGCGGACCTGAGAGCAGCGCGCGTGCGCACGACACGCGCTGTGCGCCGGAAGAGCACGCCCAGTCCGGGCTGCGCGGAGGAAGCGCTGGGGTCCCGGAGGGCGGGGGTGGCGGCGCCGGAGGTCGCCATGGCTACCGAGCCCGAAGCCGCGGAGCCGGTGGTGCCTTCGCTCGTGGATCGATACTTCACTCGCTGGTACAAACCGGGTAAGTGCGGAGTGATGTTGATCCCTCCTTGGCCGCACTGGCCTAATGCTGTGTAGACTATGTTGACAGATCATAAGCCACGCGCGCTCTCCCTGGCTCTCCGTCCCCACGTCAGAAGGCACTGGACTTCTGTGTTCCGTCTAGCCCCAGGGAATGGCATTTGCAAAGACCTGGTGGCCTGAAATACTTCAGGGCGCATTCTGGGGCCGGCGATTGCAGTGCGAGCTCTAGGGTGTTGCTCGCAGTAAGATGAGTACTCTAAACGGAGGCCCCAAAGGTAGGCGGAGGGCTAGGTTGCAACAGTCCTTAAGTGCCTGGAGGGATTGAGGGGCTCACTCTCACAGGGAGTAGCGATACATAAAATTATTTAAATGATCAGATCGAAACTAAGGTAGAGGCAGTAGGGATGGCGAGAAGAGGGTGGGTTAGATTAGAGACATTTAGAAAGAAGAAGAATCTATACATTTACCTTAAGAGACGCCATCTGCCACTTAGAAGTAGGTATTCTTTTTGTACTGTTTTGTGTAAGCAGAACCAGTGGTGGGAGCATCGTTGGGGACTCTCCTTTCTTCCTTTCATTCAGTGATAATGGTTATACTCAGTTTAAAAAATATATATTGTAGCATATTTTCTGTTGGCCAAACATAGGGTGACCAACCTGTCCTAGTTCACCCATGACTGAGGGGTTTCCCAGAATGTCGGACTTGCACCAACATCAGGACAGTCCTGGAAACCACCAACAAAAAATATATATCATAAAGAACGGGATGCTAATTGCATTTTCCTAGCAAAAATACTACGTGTACTCATTTTGAAGTGAGTGTAAAGTAAGATGGAGCAAGGAGTTAATTACCTTAATGTTGAATAAATTATTCTATCTGGGCCAGATCTCTTTAAATACTTTCTAGGAAACCTTTAGGTATGTCTTTTTGAGTAATGAAGGGATACCCGTGATCAGCATGCAGCATGTATGTGTCCAGTCTTCATTATCAACTATATGACCCAAAGAAAGTACCACATAGTGGTAGTAAATATTGATTTCAGCCACCAACAGACTCATGTATTCTTCTAGATGTCAAAGGAAAATTTTGTGAGGACCACTGTATACTACAGCACTCTAACCGGTAAGCAAATTGGGAATTTTAAATTATCAAAAATTTTTTTTTCCTGGTATTGTAGCCTGGTATGGTCTTGTGGTCTTGGATTGAACAAATGTTCACTAAACAAACATGCATTAATTATCTTCTACTGTGTTGAAATGGTATTATTATAGGAGTTTGTTTGGCAAGAATGAGTATTCCAGTGCCTGGCCACTCTGAACATATAAATTTGATTACTCAAACATCCAAATGGAGGACCACATCATCAGCTGCTACTTGAAGTGGCCAGTCTGTGCCCAACTACTGAACTGTTCAGAGCCCACAGAAAGGGCTACGGTAGAGACATGTATGGTATCTCGTATACACAGGCATGCCTTATTTCTTTGTCTTCTACCCCAGTGCTACCTACCTAAAGACCTCTGGTACTCTTCCCTTTCCTGGGAAAGAAATTCAATCTTGTTTTCTCTTTTATTATTGTATTCTCTATTCTACAGTTATGCCCCAATAGTAGCCAAAGGAAAAAGGGGGAAGATGATAGTTTGACTAAACAAATACCAGTTCATACATTCTTGTTCCAATAGGAGTTATGGGAGGAAAAATTATTCCAAGCAATCACACAGGATCAACTTTTTCTCCTTGTAGAATATGTGTCATCACATTGGCAGAATCTCATCCAGTTCTTCAAAGTGGAAAAACAATTAAAAGCATTTCCTATCAGATCAGTACCAACTGTAGCAGACTTCAGAACAAGGTCTCTGGGAAATTTAAGCGGGTATGTTCCTGTAATTCTGTGATTATCTACTTACATCCTCTATATTCATGGTAATGACAGATCCAATGAACCTTAGAATCCAGTAGCATATGCTTAGCATACTTCTCTAGCAGTTTGAGGTGCTAATTTTAGGTATACTTTCACCTAAAGAAATTCTCAGCTCCC
Source organism: Homo sapiens (assembly GCF_000001405.40). Lineage (NCBI taxonomy): Eukaryota > Metazoa > Chordata > Mammalia > Primates > Hominidae > Homo > Homo sapiens. The sequence goes on from NC_000009.12 coordinate 108,936,603, forward strand.
CCAAATTAGGTATCTCAGGAGGTGTAGTATCTGTTATATTAGGTTCTGTGCTACTATCCCTATAATGCCCAGGATGGAGGAGGGGGAAGGCAGGCCTTTGAAAGGAGAACTCTAATAGCAATATAACAAGATATTTTGTCCCTTCTAGTTGTATTAAACTAGTATGTCGAGTTCTGTAAAATTTAGGTGACTAACTCTTCTTTACCATATATTTCCACATGTAAATTAAACAGAAAAAAAATTCCCAAGGGAGTTAGAAAAAAAAAAAGAAAAACATGGGCCGGTCACAATGGCTCACGCCTATAATCTCAGCATTTTGGGAGACCAAGGTGGGTGGATCATGAGGTCAGGAGTTTGAGACTAGCCTGGCCAACGGGGTGAAAACCCATCTCTATAAAAATACAAAAATTAGCCAGGCACAGTAGTGGGCACCTGTAATCCCAGCCACTCGGGAGGCTGAGGCAGGAGAATGGCTTGAACCTGGGAGGCGGAGGTTGCAGTGAGCTGAGATCGCACCACTGCACTCCAGCCTGAGCGGCAGAGCAAGACCAAGACTCCGTCTCAAAAAAACAAAAACAAAAACATGAATACGAGAAAATATATTTGCTCCTTACTGTTTTTCCATTCCTAAAGCATTGTCAATGTAATACTCATGTACCCACCCCCTGTACCTGCACACAACACTCGGTTATATAGAATGCTATCTCTACCCTCTGTAACTCTAGGCAAAATGGACAGATTATTAAAAGAGTATCATGCCAAGGAGAATTTAGTGACATGTTAAAATGTCTTAACAAACCCACTGGTTGGGAAAGTTTCTGTGGATGATTTAAGTCGTTCATTTACTGAGTTCATACTAAGAGTTTCTGCTAATTGCTCTCACTATTCTAGGAGACCCTTATTCAAACCCCCCTTTGTAGGCCTGAAGTCCCCTAATAATTACTGATTTATTGTGCTTTACAATTACTGATTTTTCCTCACTCAAGAAACTAGTGGACTTAGAAAAGCATGCACCTCTCTTAAACGATAGTCTACAAGTTACAATAACACTTAAGACTTCTGAAGTTTCAATGATAAATCTCTGTCCAAAATAGTAACACTTAAGGCAGGTACAGTTGCTCATGCCTGTAATCCCAGCACTTTGGGAAGCCGAGGCGGGAAGATCACTTGAGGCCAGGAATTTGTGACAAACCTAGGCAACATAACAAGACCTCATTTCTACCAAAAAAAAAAAATTTTTTTTTAATTAGCTGGGCATGGTGGCATGTGCCTATAGTCCCAGTTACCCAGGAGGCTGAGGTAAGAGGATTGCTTGAGCACAGGAGTCAAGGCTGCAGTGAGCCATGATGGCAGCACTGCACTCCAGCCTGGATGACAGAACAAGACCCTGTCTCAAAAAAAAAAAAAAAAAAAAGTAACACTCCTGTTACAAGTGAAGAACAGAGAGGGACCTGCATATTGAACCCACTACAGTAAGTTTTCACTGGATCTCAGAACTGCCAATCATTCTCCCAAAGGAGGTGACAAAAAGGCATCAAAACATTTCTGCTGTTTTGGCACAGACCTAGCTCTTTTGTGTCTGCTCTTTTAACACAAGCCTTCCCCTTCCTTCCAAAAGCAGAAAGTCACAATGACTCTAGTATTTTAAAATGAAGAACCCACGTGCGGAGGAGTGAAGCCAATATAGTAATATCTGAATGCCATCTAAAAATGTTTTGAGTGGTAAATAAAGGGGTCATAAAGAATAGCATCTTAACCTGAAATGCCTATGTCCACTACAGGAAAAATTCATGGGAGAAAAGAGGGCAACACATGAAACATGCCTGCACTGGCTCTCATGAGCCTCCCTGTAGATACTTGTGAGAGCCTCCCCAGGTATATCCATCTAGTGGAGTACATGAAACAATAACCATGCCATGACATTCAAATACATACACATCAAAATGTAGTATTGACTCATGGGTCAATTATTTTTATTTTGCTGCTTAAAACTTTTGTTTTCCACATTTTCCTCAAAGTGCATGTTTTTGTTTTTGTTTTTCTTAACTAGAAAAAATATCCCTTACTAACACACTGGGGAATTACAAAGGGGGGGGGGGGAAAGAACAATATCCCTTCTTCAAAAAGTCTTAGTGATTGACCCTGGTAAATAAGTTCCTTTATCTATTAAGTTCTAATATTAAAATGAGGTAGAAATCTTAATGAAACTAACTTTATACAATATTGCTGTCATACTGTGTCATGTTGAATTTTATATTGTTTCTTGTTGATGGATTTTCCCACACTTTTGAAATCTTTATACCTGGTTATATGTAGCTTTTTCATTTACAGTTGATAAAATATATTATCAGTCTGTAAATTCCCATTTATCATGTGTCTTAGCTTTTTTCCCTAGACCTAGGATGGCACCTGGCACACAGTAGGTACTTATATTCATATAGGTTCTGAAATTAATGAATGGTTTTTATATACTGAAGTAACTGATTTAAAACACCAGTTCCAGGAATACATCCTGTTATACACCTAAGGGCTACTTCTCAAAGGAAAGTGGAAATGTCCATCAACTGATTACTTCTTCCGTCTCATTACACAGGGGGCACAGTTTCTAACAGAGCTTGCACCTCTCTGTAAGATTTACTGCTCAGATGGTGAAGAATATACTGTGTCTAGGTGAGTAACTTTTTAGCCACCATTTAGGAGACCAAAGGGAGGTAATTTTTTTTCTTAGAAACAATTTTTTTTAACTAAGTAAACATGCTGAAATCTTAAATTTTTTTAATAGTTGTGTTAGAGGACGTTTGATGGAAGTGAATGAAAACATCCTCCATAAGCCATCTATTCTTCAAGAAAAGGTAAAAGAGAGAGAAAAAATATGATCTCATCCACATACCTTTTATTGGTTTTTTTTTCATCGTTTGACAGTACTAAATGTTCTTTCCTTTCCAGCCATCTACTGAAGGCTACATTGCAGTTGTGTTACCCAAATTTGAAGAAAGTAAAAGCATAACAGAAGGGTTACTGACACAAAAACAATATGAAGAAGTCATGGTGAAACGCATTAATGCCACAACAGCTACGTCATGAGGATTGACATGGAACAAAAAGCAAAGTGGGATTCTTGTTACCTGGCCTAAACCATCAGGGTACTAAAGGAGAAGAACCAGTATATGTAAAGCATACCTAACAGCCAGCCATATGCAGGGGAGGCCTAGTGCTTCACTTAGTTTTCCCTCTCTGTCTTCATAATGAGCCTTGGTTCCCATTTGTCTACAGCCTGCCAGATCTGGCCTGCCCATGTACTCACACTGTTCTCTTGCATCTCTCTAACAACTGGCATGCAAGGCATGTTTTTCTGATTAAAAACAAACAAAGCTCTTTGAAGAAGATTTAGAAAATACAGAAGAGTTTTAAGTAGCCAAGTAAAAATAATTTACCCATCATCCCATAATCCAGAAGTAAATACATTTGACCCTTGAGCAACATAGGTTTGAACTGCAAGGGTCCACTTATGCATGGACTATTTTCAACTATAAACGAGTCAAAAATATATCATTAACCAAACACGAAACCCACTTATAGAGCAGGTTCATATACTCAGGTTCCAAAGGGCCAACTGCAGGACTTGAGTTCTCACGTATGGATTTGGGTATATGTGGAAGTTCCTGGAACCAATCCCCTATGTAAACCAAGGGATAACTACTACATTTTAACCTACTTCTGTTTGAACATATGGTATGGTTATTGCTTTTGCCTCGTTTTCCTAACAGTTTGAAGTTTAAAAAAACCTAACCCACCTTTCTTACCCAGTCTTCTATAATGTGCCTACCAAAAAGCCTAGTCCTAGCCCATCTGCCTCAACTCCTCTCCCTTTTAGGTTGTAGGGAAGAGGCCGGAGTGTAGAGTATATTATATCTTCTGTCCCCCTTATGCCAACAAGATGGCCTTCCCCTCTGAAACAAAGTAAAACTGCAACACTGTGACTTCTTAAATGAGGGATATGTGAAAAGGCTATGAAAAATACAAAGGCTTTCCTAGGAAATGTGTTATAATGCAGCGGGAAGCTAATTCTTGAAATATGCACATTATAGTTACTCAGTCTCACATACTCTAGTTACTGGCAAAGAAGTTACTGAGAATATGTCATTCAAAGGCATAGGGGCCTTTGAATGGAACAAATGCTTTCACATCATTTAAAGTAAAAAAAAACCTCCAACAACTGTGAATTTATAGTTTAAGAGTGATTTACACTGAATTTCAAATAAAAGGACTATAAAACGTGTTATTTTTCTGTAAGGGCTATAACATACATGTCAATATCACTGTTTTTAAATAAAATATACTTTTATACAGAAGAAATCATTCGATGTATTAATTCCATTGGTTATCTATCCTCTTATGCTGTTGAAGTCATAAGTTACCCCTTCCCAACCCCCACTTGCTCTTTCTTTCACTAGAGAACAGTATTTTTTCAGGTATGCAAAAATATTATCTAATGAAAGTACAAGTGGGGGTTGGAATTTTTAAGTTTTAATTATTTACAAAATAATACTTACTTATTTTGTAAATAAAACAACATTTTGGTTCATAGGAAAAACTTGTAATCTGAGTGCCAGCATGACTATCCCCCTAAATATACCCCCCAGACATGATACATGTAGTAAGTGGATAAACACCTCCACGATGGTGCTATTAGCTGAAAATATAAACAAACCAGCAGATCCTCACTTTAAGTAGCACAATGACTCTTGAAGGCGTCATAAAACTATGACAGTAAACGTAGTAAAAGAATTGTGTATAACATTTTACATGTAACATTACCTCACATCATTCTCCCATTATTTCTATTGTAATTTAAAAGAGTACTTTGGTTTCAGAGAATAAAAATCATGCTTAATGATTTTGACTGTTTAAGGAAAGATTTTAAAAAGGTTATTAACAGAGCTGAGTGCATCACATTTTCTCCCGAAGGACTACAGTGAAAATTTTCCTCAATAAAATATTGACTAGCTGTGGTCAATTGGCATTACTGTGGTTCTTCCGGATCTTTTGTGAATACTGATTGTGGTGGCTGACCCAGATAAAGATCATCAGATAAGCTTATATTATCTACTGCCATTTGATAACTGACATACCCTGTTAGATTTCAAAATGAATGTCAAAGCATTAAGATACAAATACTACGACTGAAGTCTAACACAAAGTTGGCCATACTATATTATAAGGAGAAAACCTATAAACCAGATCCTTCAATCATGACCCCACCCACAAAAACAAGAAAAGCTTTAAACTCCTAAATTAAAAAGACTAAAGAAAGATGTTTTTTGTTTTGTTTTATAGTGAACATTTCAAATGTGTGATATTCAGAATTTAAATAGATTCTTGGCTTCCTTATTCTGTCTTTGTCTTCCATTCCATCAATCAATACTGAGAAAGTTCAAAATATCTTTTAAGTCTATAAGATAGGCTTAGAATCCCAGCTAATATTCAGGGCAGACTGGCCAGCTATGCTAGAACTAGAACCAAAAACCCATCTCATACTCTCCAGGAGTTGTTCCAGGATTCTGTGGAGTTCCATTACCTTACTTTTGGGAGTAGGTGAGGGACATACACAGCACAGCAGACCCACCCTTGCTGTACAAAATGCTTATTAGGGAACAAACTTGCTGCTGGCATGGACAATCTGGGACAGGGTCATCAAGGGGATTTTTGTCACACTTGGTAAACAGAGGGATTGAAGAGTCCACAGGTTTAAGGAAAACCCTGCATTCACCCAGACTACTGTATGTTTGCTGCTGACATTAGTGATCTAGATGATAAAGAAAACAGTTAAGGTAAAATATGCCAAAGCTAAGCACATATTCAAAATAGCTTCTTGTGGATTAAATTGTCCTTGAGACAGTTGGGATATTTGGTTTGACTTTTAAAGAACATTAGTGCAATGTTCTATTTTAAAAATCACACTACAATTAGAATCTAGCAATTACCAAGACATTTATTAGTTGTCAAAAAGCTTTACAATCAGTTTCATGATCAGAAAATAGAGCAAAATTTCAATATTGTTTTCTTTATAAAATTGATGAATTTCTGAAAAGATAAAGGATCATTTGATTTTTAAAAATGTCAGCTTCATCACATGATGTTCCAGAGATCTGACCCCAAAAGCTTCTCAAGTTTTACTATCCATAGTGTCCTTATTTGTAACTGAGACCCATCCGTTATTTTCCATCTGAAGCTGGAAAGAGTTAAGACAATTAGTATCTGGTTTCACTCTGAAAAAAAAATTACAAAATTAAGTAGTAACTATTTTCTTTTAAACCATTTTTTAAAGTATGAGTCTAAAATAGAAAAACTACCTCACCTTCTTCAGCAGTTTATAACAAAGTGAAAGAAGTTGGACTAAGAGAGCCATCATGGATCTTGTCTTCGTAATACACTTGTCAACCTACAATGACAAAAAGCATGCAAATGATATTCTAAAAGTAGTACTTAAAAGACCTTACCATTTATTTAGTTTTAACATGATAAAATTTCTCCATATGGAAATCTAAGGGATCTTGAAAGAGATATGGATTTAGGCACATGAGCTGACTCAAAGCCCCAGGACACAGGTGCAGGGGTAGCTGCCTAGATTTCATGTCTATCTCATGGAACCCCAGCAGAAAGAGTGGGTGGAAAATTAATCATTCTACTGCAGGCTGTTTAGGGGCTTCTCAAAACACTCCAAATAGTGGAATTAAATCCCATCCTTTGCAATTCCTTGCACTCTATTTTGTGGGCACAAACCCATATTCTCTCAGACAAATTATGGGAGACCAGACTCGGAGGCACCTGTGTCCTAGTTGCAGAGGTAATGACTTCAGAATTGAAGGGCAGCTGTTCAGTGCTATGGAATTAATGATGTCCAAAAAACTACTTTATTTGGTGAATCTGCTACTCTCTGGGGTCAGTTATGAGAGTAGATAATAAATGATTCTTGTAGACAAGGCATGAAAAAAGGAAATAAATTGCCCTTCTGTGGGTACTAACAGTTTATTTGAAGAAAAAGGGGCTTTAACCAGATAAAGATAGATGTGTGAAAGTTTTTCATATGTCTCTTTTACCTTTAGAAATACTTTATTCTGCAAAGAAGTCTTAGTTACTGTCTGGAGCTGGTGGCATAGAGGAATTAGCTTGTTTATTTCCAGGAGAAGCATAAGCTTGTCATCGTCTTTCAGCTGAAATGTAATTTAACAAGTTATAACAGCCCGCAACAAAACTCCATCTTTAATACCTTAAACACATTTATACATTGATATTATACCCCCAAAGTAGGTTATACATAATACCACCACCAGCTCCAGGTAGGTAGACATGTGTTACCTGTTTTGAAAAAGCTTGAACACTGGAAGTAAGCTTTAAACCCTCTGCAGCAAAAACCTGGTAGAAAGAGAAAACACCACTATTTTAGACTGATGTCTATGGATAGTTGGTAAGAAATATACTTACTAATAATTTTTACGTAGAATTTTAAAAATAAAGCCTAGATATAAAAAGTCTGTCAGGAACTCCTAAACTTTTTCCAGTACCAGGAATGCACAAGGGTTTAACTGTTTTCAGAAGGAGTTTCCACAGACCAGATGCAGAATCCATCCCTGGAGAGGCTTCTCTACACCAGACCTCCAATTATTCTGGAGGGTCACACAGACCTGTGATATTCAGCCACACAAATTATGTCTAGATTACGCAAGGGACCTAGAGCTCATCTCAAATATGCTCAATTATAAAAGGATGATGAATTTTCAAGCATGAGGTCAAAAGGGTTAGGACCTTCCCAATTCCATCTAGGCAAGACAAAATTTGTCACCCATACATATTCCATAACCAGACATTTGAGAGAACCAATCCAGGTGGTTGGTTTTTGTTGCCACTTTTTTTCAGATTAATTTTCACTATTCACCATGTACCATGAATTCTATAATTTAATGAGATGAACAGGATGATGGAGAAGTAGAGTGAAAAAGAAGGTTGTACAGGTAAGACAGAAGTATTTAGCATATTATGTTAAAATGGTTTGCAGACTATTTTAGAGTGAGATGCCAGGGGAGTAAAGGGAGGAAGGCTTAGTTTTAGGTGGCGTCAGTAATAATGGAGAGAACAGGGAAAATCTGAGAGTGGTTTGTGAATGAAAATAATAGGTCTTCATAATAAATTAAAGAATACTAAGAAGGAGGAGGCAATAATTCCAGGGTTAATTTTTACCCTCTATTCAAAAGGCTTAACACCTTGCTATCACTGGATAAAATGATCTCAAGGTCAAATCGTACTTTGCAACCTTCCCTTTAAAAGGGAAACCAGTAAGCTTTACATCTAGACTCCAACCAAATGAAATGATTCACTTCCCCAAGTGTTCCTTATCACTTCATGTTACCACTTTCTATTCTGCAAATTTTCTCTTTCCTTCTAGCCTGCAAACCCCTTGGGGACAAAATCCATGTCTGTCTCATACAGTATGATGGTTTTAAAACTACCTGAAAGCTGGTAACTCCCAGGTCTCTCTCTCCACTCCTGAACTATCCTGACATCAGTCTTGTACAGTCATCCCTCAGTATCCATGGGAGATTGGTTCCCAGACCTCCCCAAGGATACCAAAATCTGTAGATGCTTAAGTCCCTTAAATAAAACAGTGTAGTATTTGCATATAACCTACACACATCATCCCATAAACTTTAAATCATCTCATCTCTAAATTATAATATCTAAGTTAATGTAAATGCTAAGTAAATCGCAGTTATACTGTATTGTTTTCCCTCCCTTGGAACTCTAACCTTTTAAAATGTATTTTGTTTTTTTTTACTGTTGTTATATTTTATTGGTTTTCTTCCTTTTTTTTTTTTTTTTGAGACAGGGTCTCACTCTGTTGTCCAGAGTGAAGTGAAGTGGTGTGATCACAGCTCACTACAGCCTTGACCTCCCAGGCTCAAGCGATCCTCCTGCCTCAGCTGCCTGAGTAGCTAGGATTACAGGTGTGTGCCACCATGCCCCGCTAGTTTTTTTTTTTTTTGTTTTGTTTTTTTGTAGAGACAAGGTCTCACTATGTTGCCCCAGCTGGTCTCAAACTCCTGGACTCAAGTGATCCTCCCAGCTTGGTCTCCCAAAGTGCTAGGGTTACAGGAGTGAGCCATTGTGCCCAGACTGTTTTTACTGTTTTGAATATTTTCAATCCATAGTTGGTTGAATCTGCAGATGCAAAACCTGCAGATAGGGAGGGCCAAGTGTATATCCTATCTGACCTTTGTACTTAACATGTGCAAAACAAAATGCTCGATTTCCACCCTCTAAATCTAGTGTTCTCCCTCAGTGTTCCCTGTCTCAGAAAATGGCACTACCACTCACTCTGTTGGCCAAGCCAAAAACCTTACTTAAAACATAATAGGATCAGCTGGGCATAGTGGCTCAGGCCTGTAATCCCAGCACTTTGGGAGGCTGAGGCGGGCGAATCACAAGGTCAAGAGATCGAGACCATCCTGGCCAACATGGTGAAACCCTGTCTCTACTAAAAATACAAAAATTAGCTGGGCGTGGTAGCGCACACCTGTAGTCCCAGCTACTCGGGAGGCTGAGGCAGAAGAATCACTTGAACCCGGGAGGCGGAGGCTGTAGTGAGCCGAGATCGTGCCACTGCACTCCAGCCTGACAACAGAGCGAGACTAAGTCTCAAAAAAAAAAAAAAAAAAGTCCTTCCCATGGCCTACAGAGACATCATATTTTACCCCTTTCCTTCTGGCTCACTTCACTCCCATCAATAATTGCCTCCTTACTCTTCTGATACACCCAGCCCTACCCCTGCACCTCGGGGCTTTGCACTTGTTTTGGCTATCTAAAATCCTCTACCCACATTTATCCATCCAACTCTCACTTCATTACTGTCTCTATTCAAACACTGGCTCCTTAGAGAGGTCTTTTCTGACCACCCCTCTATCACCTCTGTATTCTAGTCGTACGTGATTTTATCTCCAAGTACTTACATATGTGCACTGAATGCTTAAATTCTTATTGTCTATATTCTGCCATTAGAACATAAGCTCTATGGGGGCAGGAGCTTTGCTTTGTTCACTTTTCTCCACAGAGCTCTGTTCTCCCAGATCTGACATATAGCACAAGTTCAATAAATATTTGTTGAATGAAGTATGCAATTTTATGTTCATCACAGTTTGGAGACAATTCATTGAACATTGATTTAATGACTAAGCTCACATAGGAAGAAGGTAAGTAGTGGATCTTTTGTAGTAAAACACCCCTACAGGGCGGTATGACAGAATGGACTTGGGCCAAACTGAAAAAAAAAATAAATTCAGAATTTCAACTATCTTAAGGGAAATAGCTCATTTATAGTCTGCTTTACAGAAAAATCCAGAAGACACATTTTCTATAATACTTCTGATTATGTTGACAATCATCCTCTTAAGCTGAAATCCCTTTCCCACAGAATGCCAAATAAAACTATATGAGTGATAAAGTGATAGAAATTTCTTTCTTTTTTTTTTTTTTTTGAGATGGAGTCTTGCTCTGTCACCCAGACTGGAGTGCAGTGGCGTGATCTCAGCTCACTGCAAGCTCCGCCTCCCGGGTTCACGCCACTCTCCTGCCTCAGCCTCCCAAGTAGCTGGGACTACAGGTGCCCGCCACCACACCCAGCGAATTTTGTGTATTTTTAGTGGAGACAGGGTTCCACCGTGTTAGCCAAGATGGTCTCGATCTCCTGACCTCGTGATCCACCCACCTTGGCCTCCCAAAGTGCTGGGATTACAGGCGTGAGCCACCGCGCCTGGCCTAAAGTGATAGAAATTTCAAATCTCAGATGTACATGGGAATGCCAAAGGAGACTATATGAGTGATAAAGTGACAGAAATTTCAAATTTACACACAAGAATGCTCTTGGTTCTAGAGAGGCAAACAGGCTAACATGGGGATCAGGGAAAACATAAAAGGAATTTTGCAACCCACTTGCCAATCTAAAGCCTCTAACTAGAGGGAGTAGAATTACAGATGGGCCTATGTGGAGTCCTGTTAAGACACATGGCACAAGAGTGGATGTTAGCATATCTGTCTCTCCTTTAATGCCCTAAATCATCATGAATACTGAAGGAAAGAAGGAAACTAAGATGTACTTAATACCCTCTAATAGTCTTAAGCATTTTAACAGATACTCTCTCATGTGTTATCTCATTTAATCAATATATTTTATCCAATTCAATAATGAAGAGGCCAAAAATCTTTCTAGAACTCTGGATTTGCATCTGCTTACAGGATATTTTCACCTACTTAGGTAAACCTAAAGCTTATTATTGCATCTATTGACTACCAACAAAGCCCATTCTACTTTATGCTCATAATATTTAAGTTTCTTTCCAATGAGGTCAGGATAGTTTTGCAAAATGTCATTGCAAGCCATCTACCTTTCTACTTTTCTACTGCTCTCTGTAATACACAGGTAGGTACAGATGTAAGCATATACACATGATATAATAAATCATCTGGAAAACATTTATTACCCACTTTTAGCCCGAAATTAAAGTACTAGCATAAAACGGAAACAAGGCATACCTCTAGTTGATGAATTAAATCCTGGGAAGTTTTCAGTGGCCCCTCTCCTCTAAAATAAAATTAATTGTTAAGAAGGTAACAAAAAGTTATTACCTGAAAATTGACTTTATAATATTAAAATTTTAGAGCATTTGTGTATTAACAAATCCTAAATTTTGAAGAATAATATGAATAGACTGATAATATTGTAACTTTATGCTTAAAGCAACTTTAATATTTGACAATTATTTATTAAGATATTTTTCCCCAAGTAAACCTTATGTTAATTTCATAATATAAAAAATTTTAAACAAGTAATATTTAAGTTCCATTTCTCTTTTTAACCTTTTTCATTTTACTTCATAAATTAAATATGTGAGATTTGATAATGTCTTGACCGAAAGCCTTTGTTACGTAATGGAAAGAGGATCAAACCAAAACTCAGGACATTTCACTTCTAATTCTTATTTCAATTCTGGTAGTAACTCAGTTATCTAACCTTGATGAGGCATATCACTGAACATTCTATTTTGAGTGAATAAAGCAATCATAATAATACTTGTGCTACCACTCTCATCAGAAGATTGAGGAACAGCAGATTAAAAACTACCAAGAAGAATTAAGAACTCTAAAAAATGAAAAGTAAATTACAATAAGAATAACCAAATGCATTAAGAAGAGCAATGGACTAGGGATAAGTCAGAAAATCTGGAATCTAGTAGCAACCAGTTCTGCCACTTAGGAGATGTGAACATATCATTCCTGTTCTCCAGTAAACCGTCATGAAAATCAAATGAAATGATGAAGCAAAAACCACATTAAAAACAATAAGGTACTAGTATGTTTGAAATATTGAAAAACTATAAGGCACTAGAAAACCTTAAATATCTAAATTATTAAGAAATATGAATGATTACATGTAAATCATTAAGAAATCATATAAATTATTAAGACAACCTTAAACAGTAACCTGAAGAAGGGCTATAAATCTGCCCAGGAAAACTGCTACAAGGTATTTATCTATTACAGAAAAATCCATTTTCTATTCTGGAATGTCATCACTACTATCCAATAACTATATTCTAGGAAGAAGTCCTATTCCACAGAGCTTCCCCTCGTAGTGCAACCCCTCATGTTTCCCAGTGTCCATGGGATACTCTACAATTCTGACACTGAAACAAAAAATACTGAGCATGCCATCCTGAAATATTCTGAAATAAAACTAATCAAAGGAGATGCTATAATCTTTTTTTAAAAAGTTGGCCAAGCGCGGTGGCTCATGTCTGTAATCCCAGCACTTTGGGAGGCCAAGGTGGGCAGATCACTTGAGGTCAGGAGTTTGAGACCATCCTGGCTAACACAGCGAAACGCTATCTCTACTAAAAATACAAAAATTAGGCCAGGTGTGGTGGCTAACGCCTGTAATCCCAGCACTTTGGGAGGCTGAGGCGGGCAGATCACTTGAAGTCAGGAATTTGAGACCAGCCTGGCCAAAATGGTGAAATCCCATCTCTACTAAAACTACAAAAATTAGCCGGGCGTGGTGGCACACAACTGTAATCCCAGCTACTTGGGAGGCTGAGGCAGGAGAATCACCTGAACCCGGGAGATGGAAATTGCAGTGAGCCGAGATTGCACCACTGCACTCCAGCCTGGGTGACAGAGCAAGACTCCGTCTCAAAAAAAATAAAAAATAAAGAAATACAAAAATTAGCCAGGCGTCATGATGTGTGCCTGTAATCCCAGCTACTCGGGAGGCTAAGGCATGAGAATTGCTTGAACTCAGGAGGCGGAGGTTGCAGTGAGCCGAGATCATGCCACTGCACTCCAGCCTGGGTGACAGAGCAAGGCTACATCTCAAAAAAAAAAAAAAAAAAACCAGGCAAGTCTATTGATGAACCCTTCATTTGGGAATATTTTACATATCAAACTATATTCATTAATAATATATTCCCCCAAGTCTTATTAGTCAAAAACATTTTTTAAAAGCATGATTTTCATCACCATGGAAATAACTAGCTTGATTCCAGCCAAAAGCTGAGATTTTTGTTATTTCAGTTAGTCTGTGCAAATTTATTGTGGGTAAACACAGGAGTTCCATTTTGCATTCTTTTAGAGGCCTGGGCCATCAGATTTTAAAAAGGTATGAACTTAAAAAGGTCAAAATTCATGTTGGGAAGACTCAATCACAGGATAAGCTTGCTAACAACAGTTAAGAACAATGGAAGGAAACCACCAAAGGAATGGTCTCCAATGATGGAAAATATGATAAGGTACTGACAAATGACAGCTAAACAGCAGCAAAATTTCTAACTCCTATCATTTCTGCCTTCTTTTTCCAGAGAATTATCTATCTAGAAAAGGTAGAAGACGTCATCAAGAGGAAAATGATGCCTCTAAGCTTGGGACTGCATCTTCCCCACTCTTAATCCTCCTTCTATAGGAAGGAATCTTCACGAGCACAGGATCCCTCACTTCTGTCTGCTGCCTCACCTATCCCATCCCATAAAAGGAGGTGGATGCTCATCTTTTCAGTCTTTCTGGTGACTTTGCAAAAATAAATTGAACACATTAACCCTTTCTTTTCTCCTTTTTCTCTTGGAAGTGAAGCTGCCTTTGAGATATAACTGGTCTTCCATGTGTTTTATAGAGATACATTGTGTCCCTATGAGGTAAGACTTTGTAATTCTAGGGATCATTTTTCAAAACTTAATTGCCTATGGACATAAAGTACTTTCTCCAATATCAGCTTTATCAATATAAATGTTACCAGCTCCCATCTACCTATTCTTTTGCTTATTTTTCATTTTGTTCAAAACTTGGGTGGGAATAGGGGGTGCTATTTATTTATTTATTTATTTTTGAGATGGAGTCTCACCCTGTCACCCAGGCTGGAGTGCAAGTGGCGCGATCTCAGCTCACTCCAAGCTCCACCTCCCGGTTTCACGCCATTCTCCTGCCTCAGCCTCCCGAGTAGCTGGGATTACAGGCGCCCGCCACCACGCCCGGCTAACTTTTTTTTTTTTTTTTTAAGTAGACACCGGGTTTCAGTGTGTTAACCAGGATGGTCTCGATCTCCTGACCTCGTGATCCGCCCACCTCGGCCTCCCAAAGTGCTGGGATTACAGGCGTGAGCCACCATGCCCGGCAGGGGGTGCTATTTATTGAGTCCCAAATCCCACACAGTTGTAGAGATCCTTCACTACTTTAATTGAGCTTCAGTCTCTAGAATACTGAAGCAACCTGCAGGTGTGTCCCACGGTGGATAACCTTTCCAAAATCAGAATGAGTAGGACAGGAGCCAGAAAACTGGAGATATCAAGTATTTCCCAGGTTTCCAAAAATGAAAAAGATAGATTTCAGAAACTGAGTGAAAAGCTTGAAGTTATTCCTTGAGAAAATTCTAGAAGGGATTTTTGAGCAGATAACTGATTTTAACTAAGCAGAATTACTATACCTTATGTATAAATTACTAAAATGGAAGACTGAAATATGACTAACATTGACATCAACAAGGCATTTGATCAAGAGTCTTGTAATATGATCAAGACAGAGAATATAGGTCAGATAACATTAAAGTTAGGGGAATTCTCTACATAATGAATGGTGACTCACAGAGATTTGGCACGCTATTGACATAGTCCTCATAGCTCTATTCTTTGATCTGTGTCTAATCAATCTTCATCTGTATCTAGTCAATCACTGTATAAAGGCATAAAAGACATGTTTTCTTAACGTACTGATGCTGGCTGGGAGAGGCATTAACAATGCAGGATAACAAAAAAGCAGGATGTAAAATTATTTCAATGATGGAAAGAGTGGGCAGAAACCTAGCAGAAGATCCCTTCTAAATCTAAATCCTAATTAAATACATGTGTCTTGTTGTTGCATTCACTTACGTAAATTGTCATAGTAACTACTTTTAGTCTTTTTACCATATATTTGATACCGACTTTAACCTGTCAATGATTTAACATGGAACTTTTTTCTTTACACCAGATATCATTATACTGATTTAAAAAATAAAAATACAACTACATTTACCTAGTAAATAAATACAGAGAATAGGCCATACTGGACATGTTCCGTCCATATTGAACAATCTCATTCTCCTGATCTTCCCACTTCTCAATTTCGCAGTCAGCGTCAGAGGTGAGCAAACCCAGCTTAAGTCCAAGCTTTGCTATCTTGGCTTGCTCCTATGAAACAGACGTTTTAATCACAACGACTTTATCACTATTCATGTTAAAGGAAGATTAGATGTAGGAATTGGTCTTACCTCAGAGTCAGGCTTGTCTGGCTTTAATGATTTCAGGTTTGCATTATTCTTCTGTGACAATAAAAAGATTAAGATTATCTTAAAAAGCAGTACATTAAACTGTAAGGAAATACAATAGTAATACAAAGCATAACAAAGTACTTGTAACAAAAGTTTAAAATATTCAGTATGTAATGACTGAATATTTTACCAATTGCAAGTACTCTACTAGTAAGTGAGTTCAGCTTTGAATAGGTTGTTAGTTTGAAATCTGGAGCCAGAGAAAGCAAGTCAGTGCCTTCCCTGCTCTGTGGCCTCTGTGCTTACAGCTGCTCTCCTCTTTTCACAAGGGCTTCCAGGGACTCAAGACAACTTCTGCAGTATTCCTGGAGTCCAATTATTATGTCCCCCAAACCTCCCTGGCTTCTCTGTTCAACAAGATTCTTATAATGCTTGAATTATTCTTATGAAATGATATATTAAAATTAGCCACTATATGTAGTTTTCTATACATTCCTTATGTTATGACTCCAGAATTCAATTCCTTTAACTAATTTGCTCTTGGAAGGCTAAATTTCAACTCTCTAGCTTCATAGATATCACAACTGCTAATCTCATATCCCAAGTTATAAAGAGATTATACTTAGGATTCTGAATTTAATATGTGAACCAATGTTCAATGGTTCCCTATTTTTGAAAGAGAAAGTTTGTTTTCATGTAAACTATCTGGAACTCAGAGTGTATTTTCCCTAGAAGGGGAGAAAATATTCCATCCTAGTTAGACCAGGCTAGTCCACTGATGCCTGTATACTTGAAGAATAGAGTACCAGGACAAATCACACCACCACCAATAGCAACATTTCTTTGAAAAATATATTCCGAAGTTCTCTGGAGATGATAGCCCACAGAGGGGATTCCTCCAACTCTGAGATCTGGTGAAAGCTCCCATGGTAGAGGCAGGAGTCCCAGAACAGCTAGGGTTTGTAGAGAAAAGGGGGCCAACTTTTTACAATGGAAACATATATTTAAGTCATACACACTCACAAACACACATTGGGTATGGATTCACATACCTGCACACACAGTATAAATTACAATAAAACAAAACACTCATGTGTACACTTAGCTTAGGAAGGAAAATCATCACTAATACTTTAAGGAAAAAGATCTTCTCATACATATATTTTTATTTCCCTTATTACCATGACTTTTTACTTCTGACCAACTATTCTGTCACCAGTTTCACCACAGAACAAAACAGCCTCGTGGAGTTTAGATCTGCTCATGGAACATAGCCCTTTTGAGATTTTCTAATGATGTTTACTATTAAAGAAACAGGTGAAGTTGAAGGACAGAAAATAAAAATAAAGGAACTCTTGTTACACACACATGCACACACACAGAGAGAAAGAGACAAAGACAGAGAGAGAGAGAATAAACAAATATGACCAATGATCTCTCTGGCTCCTCCTTGAATGGTCACATCATCTTTATCTCCATCCTTGGTCTAGTTGACTATAAGGCAACTGATAAAACATTTAAGAAAGTAAGGAACACCCTCAAGGTTTTTAGGTTTAGTTTTATTCAGAATTTTATACTTTATATTATTCTTTTAAATATAGTTGCATTTTCATGATTTTTATTTTTACTTTTACTAATGATGATGATTATTAAAGTTTAATGACGACTGAAATGGAATTGCCTGAAAAGGTAAATAAACCATCTTAATAATGTAACCAAGCTTGCCATCTAGTGGACACTATTTTGGAATGCAGTCAGATTCATTCGTTTCAGTTATATAAAGCTAAAAGACGTCAGTCCCCTAAATATAAATAGCACCAGACTCCAACTTCACTTCCTAAAAGAGAGAACTATAATTTTCTAGGAATATAATTAGCTATGCTATCCCTCAACTAAGAAAATGGTTCATGACTCTGAAATGATTTGTTACTAAAGATAAAAAATACTATTCAGTTGAATAAAATCTTTGTTCCATTCAACCTGTTAAAAGCTTTGTGATGCCTTTTCTAATTCTCAAAAAATTATTTTGTAGTAGCCCTAAATTATAGCACTTACAAAAACAGTGAGTCTATCCTTACTTGCTTAAACCCAGTAGGATATTAGCTATAAAACCATCTGTTAGGGTTATCTTAAAATAACAAAAATAGACAAATTGCTATTTGTACTTTCAAACTGTTCTGACAATAGCTTAAGGCACAAAAACTGTTTTTTTTAAGTCACAGAATTAATTTGCAGTATCATGATCGCTTTTACACCAGCTACATTCAGTTCCTAATGTTGTATTTCAGTATTAAATGCCAGTCCCTTTTCAAAAAGTACACTAATTAAGTTTGGACCATTTTTTGATTTGGGGATTTGATTTATCATTTGTTCTTCCCCTACACCATCAAGCATTCCCACTATCATTTCTAAAATTCCAGACTTAAGACTTTAATATCTCTCTTCATTGCAAGTTCTCTCTTCTGATACTCACCATCTGTTGTTCTTCACCACACTGTTACTATTGATAATCATCAGTAATTTTATTTTTTTTTTTTTTGAGACAGTCTTACTCTGTTGGCCAGGCTGGAGTGCAGTGGCACGATCTTGGCTCACTGCAACCTCCATCTCCCAGGCTCAAGCAATTCTCCTGACTCACCCTCCCGAGTAGCTGGGATTACAGGCCTCTGCCACCACGCCTGGCTAATTTTTTTTGTTGTTGTTGTTTTGTTTTTGTATTTTTAGTAGAGACACGGTTTCACCATGTTGGCCAGGCTGGTCTCAAACTCTTGACCTCAGGTAATCCACCCACCTCGGCCTCCCAAAGTGCTGGGATTACAGGCATAAGACACCGTGCCCAGCCCACAATTTCCAATATTTTTGTCCCCCAAAAGGGATCTTGGGACCACTACTTGGTTAATATACCACTCTGTATCTCTTTCCCATAAGTATGACATGTGACATGTTTTCATCTAGGTAGAAAGCATATGAAAGTCCTTAGTTTGCTGAAAGTGATTCCAACATGACTTCTCAAAGTAGATCCAAGATTGGAAGAACAAAACAACTTCTGACTTCAGATATGGCTTATTTATTTATTTTTATGATGCTATTACTGGGATATGGCTTTTTATTAATCACAAATTATGTTACCTATTCTCTCAAACCCCCAAACCTAAAACAAATATTCAGAGTGTAAGCCACAACTAGATTGCTACCCAGAATAACAACTCTGAAGTCAACATTAATATCCTAACTTTTTTCTGTCATGTCAATTATTTGTGGTAGAGGGGAGCAGCAACAGGCAACAAGAGCATAATTTGAATTCTGAATAAAAACATTCTGCAATGTACATAATTCTTCTACTTACCATTGGCTTTGGAAGTGAAAGGTAGCCATACTTCTCTCCTACAAATAACACATATAACTTAAAAAATTTTTTCTATTAATATATTTTTCTATTATTCATAGTTAACTTTTAAAGTATTAATTAAACAAACAGGAATGTTAGTACATTAGTTTTGATAACAGTCTATTCATTACATAAAATTCAGAAATAAAATTGTAATTTGGCTGGTGAACATGAAGACTTTCAACAGCTGCATGTCTAAGGTACCTATGCTGGTCAATCTCCACCTCTCCCAACATTAAGGGAGAAAGGCAAATGTCCCACTGACATTTACTGCCACTTGCAATCAGCTTCATTCACAGAGTGCTCCTTTTACAGCAGTTTGCCTCTAATGAAACCTGATTCCTCTTTTATCAGTACCAGTATCAGCGCTTCTTCCATTTCTGCAAGTACCAGACCAAATAATTTACAACTAACCTCATAATGTATTCTCTCAGTCAGGGAAGAAGAAAACCCTCTGTACAAGATAGGAAGATGAAATAAAGCAAATAACAGGAGGTTTTTTGACTGTGAATTGACACGTCACATGAAGCATGATAACGAGGAAAGGAAGGAGACGGGCAATGCCCACATCATCCCTGCCCCATCTATCATCTTTACAACTTCCAGGTCATGTATACAGTCAGATTACAATGAATAATAGACTTTTTATAAATGCTGGTTTGTGACATCTGAGGTAAAAATTCAAGACCTAAGCAGTAATTGCTTCTTGAAGAAAAATTTCTTCTTCAAGGAAAACAAGTATATTCAGCTATAATAGAATAGTTTGAACCATATGAAATTGCTGGTATTCAACCATTTTGAAATTTCATATGGTCCAAACTAATAAAAGTAAACATAATATAAGAGCACTAAATCATACCTTTTCTCATAGAATGACTATTACAGGAAATGGGCAAACCTGTTTGTCTCAGAATGGCTTATACAAATATTTAAAATTTCATCTAGAACTGTACTATTAAATATGAAACCTACTAGCCACATGTGACTACTTAGCACTTGAAATGTGGCTAGTCTGTACTGAGATGTGTACATCTAGTCTGTACTGAGATGTGCTAGTCTGTACTGAGATGTGTAAGTGTATTAAACACTTACAAGTGTTTAATACATAACAGATTTTGAAGATGTAGTACAAAGGGAGAAAAAATATATAAAATATATTAATTTAAAATATTGATTATATACTAAAATATTGATTATATGTTTACATGGTATTTTGGATATTTGGGTTAAAAATTATTAAAACAAATTTCATGTTTCTTTTTAATTTTTCTTGTGCCTGTTAGAATTTTTTTTTTTTTTTTTTTTGAGACAGGGTCTTGCTCTGTCACCCAGGCTGGAGTGTAGTGGTGGAGATCACAGGCTTACTGCAGCCTCAACCTCCTGGGCTCCGGTGGTCCTCCCACCTTCCACCTCCTGAGTAGCTGGGACCACAGGCATGTGACACCAGCTAATTTATTTGTATTTTTTTTAAGAGATGAGGTCTCACTGTGTTGCCCAGGATGGTCTCAAACTCCTTGGGCTCAAGTGATCTTCCCGCCTTGGCCTGCCAAAGTGCTGAAATTACAGGCATGAGCCACTGTGCCTAGCCTAGGAAATTTCAAATTATATATGTGTGTCACGTTCTGTTTCTCTTGGACAGTGCTGATCTAGAAGAAGAACTGTTACTAAGAGTGAGTTAATGGTACTTGGGAATAGCTTTATGATTCAAATCATTTCCTTGTAATGTCAAAATTGTAAGGGAATTTTATTAATTAATGGCTTTCTGATTTCAGAATGGTGAGGGGAAAAAACTTAAAAAGGAAGAGGCTATTTTCATGCCTTGGCTCTAAGCTCTGATGTGAAAAGTGCTCGATTTAGTTGCAATATTAACAGAAGATAGTCTTCCGGTCACTCAGAATTTCAAAATTCACCATCTATCTTAATTCAAAGTCTGAATCCTGTCCATAATATCCTTTAAAAAGTGCTCTTAGCATATTATAAAGGGCACATTAAACAGAAGTAGGAACCCGGGCATGGTGGCTCATGCCTGTAATCTTGGCACTTTGGGAGGCTAAGGCAAGTGGATCACCCAAGGTCAGGAATTCAAGACCAGCCTGGCCAAAATGGTGACACCCCATCTCTACTAAAAATACAAAAATTAGCCAGGCGTAGTGGTGCATGCCTGTAGTCTGTTCTTTTTTCTGTTTTTTGTTTTGTTTTGTTTCAGCCTGGGTGATAGAGCAAGACTGTCTCAAAAAAAAAAAAAAAAAAAAACAAAGTGGGAAAGTACTAAAAATAAATAAATAATAAAGAAAAAAGAATTTTGAATTTTGAAAGGGCACTATCATTACTTAAATGTCATCAGCTACAGGAGTAATCTTGTATTATCTAACTTAGTAATCATCTATAGTGCCCATGGCCCTAAAATGTTCATATTTACTCTCCACAAGTTGGGGCAAAACCAACTGTTTCGGTATCTCTTATATCTCTAAGATACCACAGAGTTAAAGCAAGTAGAATGTATAAATAAATGCATTGAGAAATAAATCCAATGAAAAGAAAGCTTTTATGTAACCTGATTTGCTACTATTTTCATCCACCTAGTAGTATTTATCACTTGATAGTTCTAATCCCTCTGGTCCTCTTACAGATACTTTGTTTTGCTTCCTATTCCCATCCTTTAGTTAGACTCTGCATGATTTATACGAATTTGAGGATAATTGCAAAATTGATCATTTTTTCAGATAGGCCTCCTCCACATACTATGCAGGTAAGATTCTTCCTCTTTCCCCCAGTTCCAACAGAAACCAAACAAGTTGACAATAACACAAGAAAAAGCAATCTAATACTAACAAGAGATCTAAATTATAGTTAATTATAGATGTTATTTCCCAATTTTTTTATAGATGTTATTTCCCACTTCTTTTTTTTTTGAGACAGAGTCTCACTCTGTCACCCAGGCTAAAGTGCAGTGGTGCAATCTCGGCTCACTGCAACCTCCACCTCCTGGGTTCAAGCGATTCTCGTGCCTCAGCCTCCTGAGTAGCTGAGTAGCTGGGACTACAGGTGCACACCACCACGCTCGGCTAATTATAGATGTTATTTCCATGTGAATCTAATTATTGCCGTTGATTCTAAGCAGAAAAAAAAAAAAAAAGAATAAACTGGCTCAGCCAGGCACGGTGGCTCATGTTCATAATCCCAGCACTTTGGGAGGCCAATGCGGGAGGGTTACTTGAGGCCAGGAGTTGAAGACCAGCCTGAGTAGGCTGGGCATGGTGGCTCATGCCTGTAATCCCAGCTCTTTGGGAGGCTGAGGCAGGCAGATTATGAGGTCAGGAGATCGAGACCATCCTGGCTAACACGGTGAAACCCTGTCTCTACTAAAAATACAAAAAAAAAAAATTAGCCGGGTGTGGTGGTGGGCGCCTGTAGTCCCAGTTACTTGGGAGGCTGAGGCAGGAGAATGGCATGAACCCGGGAGGCAGAGCTTGCAGTGAGCTGAGATCACGCCACTGCACTCCAGCCTGGGTGACAGAGCGAGACTCCATATCAAAAAAAAAAAAAAAAAAAAAAAGACCAGCCTGGGTATCACAGCGAGACTCCCATCTCTGGGGGAAAAAAATTAAAAAATCTGGGCATGGTGGCCAGCACCTGTAGTTCTAGATATGTGGGAGGATCCCTTGAACCCAGGAGTTTGAGGCTGCAGTAAGCTATGATCACACCACTGCACACCAGCCTGGGTGACAAAGTGAGACCCTGTCTCCAAAATATAATAATAATAATAAAATAAACTGGCTAAATTATGTTTAGCTGTTATATCAAAGAAGTAGCATAAACAAAACTCTATCATATTATAAACATTAAAAATAGTTGGAAAAACAGGACTATTTGGAGAAAATATACTTAGTACAGATCTGATATATAGAATTGTCTTCAAAGCACTGTCCTCAACGAGGTATTGTATGTTTAATACTCCCTAAATCCTGTTTAGTCAACACTACAATTGTGCCATCTTCTGAGTTTATACCTTCAGATAAATTAAGTTCACAATTAAGTTTAAAGGCCCTCTCATCTTAAGGGAGCACTAAAATTATTTCTTATGAAAACCTAATTGAGAAATGTTCTCAGTTACAATATATAGAGCCTTTCTGTATATCTACAAAATAAATCGAATTCCCCAAGAATGGAAAAGCCTTATCATTTCACTGAAAATGTGCTAAATTATCCCTGATTCACATTTCTTATAATTAGCTATCTTTAGTTCTGGAGGCACTCTATATGGTATGATCAATCAAAAAATTAATGTCCCCAGACCCACTTAAAATGAATCCCTGACCACTAAAGCATAGGCAGCTTATCAGCTAAACTCAGGAGCAGGAATGAGGTATTCTAATCTAAACCCAGCTATCATCCTCCAACTCCTCCCTCTCCCTCACCTCTATATTCAATTGACCAATAAACCCTACCAATATTAGTTTTTAAATTCTTCTTAGTCCCCTTATCTTCATCTTGACTATCATCACCCTAGTATAGACCATCGTCTCTTCTCTGGATAGATCACTCCCTTGTTGCAGGCTCCTACCATCCCCAAACAAACTCATCTTTACCCACGAACATGTTTATCTTCCTGTACCCCCATTTTTAGTGGCATCCAATCTGCCAAACGATAATGTAAATGCAGGGCTATGAAATAGGGCTGCCAGGAAAATGAGAAAAGTAGTTACAGAACTGAAAACCAAATTAAGATTCTTGGCACGATTGTGATCATAACTGCCCTACATAGTTTAGTTAGAGCTGCATCTCTATAAACTGAAGCGTAGTCATATTTACTCTGAAATGATTGAAATAGAACAAAGGGAATTCAGCTTCCTTAAAGGAAGGATAGAGACCGCAAGCTCTGAGATAAGGCTTTTTTCTGACACTTATTATCCAAAATAATCTCAAATTCTAAACTGACACATATTCACCACTAAGGAAAAGTGGAGTCTTTTAGGTGTGGTCCCTTCTAATACAAGGACCACAGCCTCCCTGGAGGTTTGGGTGAGAAGGCAGAATGGGATGAAAGCAGAAGACAGGAAGACAAGTATTGATTTTTACCTTCTTGAAACAATCCCAGGAGGTCCTAGTGTGAAATTTCAGTGTCTGGGGTTAAGGTGGACAATGACCTAGGTCTCAGACTAACTTTTAGCATGTGAACACTAAAGCCTCCCTCCTATTGCTTAGCGTGATGTTTACCACTTAGTTGGATGGTTGAATGATACTTACAAGTATGCCTGGTAGTTTGCCAATCACAGGAGGCAAGTTATGCAGAGCAGAACTAAGGTGGCTAGAATACAGCAAAGGCTTTTCAACAATAGTCATAACAGGAGTCATAACAGCAGCAAAGAGAAATCAGGACCTGAAGAATACACCTTTGTATGGAAAGCAGTGGGCAGGTGCAAGGTAATGAGCAGGTTTGTCACATCAACCATGCATAACAGGAAGAACAACACTGTGGCACTGGATTCAGTTCAGTCAGAATGGTTAACCCAGAGATGGACTTCTTTGAGGAAAAAGCTATGCTCATGAGGTTCATGATAAAAATCAGGACAAATAAAGGCAGTACACACAATCAACCAACTCCATCTCAGTGAAACCTACATAAACCCTTCCTGAACAGAGAGGCACTTTCCCAGTGAAACAATAAGTGTCTCATTGACTGAAGGCTGAGGCGTTTCCCACGTAAGAAGGAATTTCTGTTCAGTCCTTAGGAAGTTTGGGTAATGCTGATTTTTTTTAACATAAGTTAACTGAACCTAAAGAAGAGATTATTTACATAATATCCAGCTTGAAAGTAAAAGAAACCACAGTGCTCACATAGTCTGAAAACAGGCATAGGATGTGCAAGCAGTATTACACATTATTTCATTTACATCCATTGAAATAAAGAAACAAACTCAAAAGGGCAGGTAATGTGCCCAGGATTCCATTACTAACAGATTGTTTTACCTCTTCTGTAATTTAGCTGGCCCCATCCTCAGCCAATAAGTGGACCAACCAAAACAAGAATACAGTCATTACTTGTTCCTTGCCCTGTACTTCCTGGGATCTCTCAGTCATTTCTGAAATAGCTTTGGGAGGGAAAAAAGCAGAACTCAGAGCTGCAGTTGTGAGCATTTTTCACAGAATTGGTTCATTCTCATTAGAAAACTTTAGGATTGGAGTGGAGTTTAACTGCTTGAGTAATAGAGTATGGGTAGTTAATAAAATTTCATCTTTGGCATCATTCAAACCTCAGTAAGGGTCCCAGCTCCTATAGTTTACTCACTGTGGGATACTTCGAGCCTCAGTTTCATCATTCATAAAATGTGGAAATAATACCTGTCTCCAGGGTTACTGAGAGGATTAAATGAGAAAATGGACATCCAGCACTTATGAAAGTACCTGGAACCCAGTACATTCTCAAGAGATGGCAGCTACTATTATTTTTATGGTTATAATAGTCACGGGCCTCTGAAGGATCATGTTTACAATTTTACCCACAAAGACCCTAGTAGCCTGTGGCTTTTACTTTTCCTTAAACTTCCCTAGCTATTTTTTTTAAAGAGCCTAACTTTGGTAGAAGAAAGGCAAATCTCAGAGACAGAAAAGGAGAACACTGAATTAATGTTGCATTAGATGTCCGGTGAGAGGAATCTTTCAGAGGGTGTCAGTTCACCATTGGAGAAGG
Organism: Homo sapiens; assembly: GCF_000001405.40. NCBI lineage: Eukaryota > Metazoa > Chordata > Mammalia > Primates > Hominidae > Homo > Homo sapiens. Next base: position 108,962,523 of record NC_000009.12, read on the forward strand.
GATGAGCTTCATTTGTACAAAGAAGCAAGGAGTTTACCTTTGCTTCTGCAGATCTAGAGGTTTTCTACGGTGGGGCCAGACTGGCTAGTCCTCCCTAGAGTAGGAGAAAGGACATAGGGAGAGATGGATGCCAGAAAGTAGGAGAGATTGAGATTAAGTAAGAGAAATTGGACCTAATGTTTTCTCATAAACTATTTAGTTTTACCACAAGGTAACAGTGGTCATGATGCTGATGCTGATAGAGGTAACACTTGTTGAGAATTTACTGTGAATTAACTTATTTTATTTAATCTTCACACTTACCATATTAGGTAGTTTTGTCATCATTATCCCCATTTTGCAGATGTAAAACTTGAAGCATAGAGAGATTAAGTTAGGAAATAGCAGAGGCAGGATTGGAACCTAGGCAGTCCACTTCAGAACCTGTATTTCAACTTCTACCCAATTCTATCCCTAACATGAGATTAGCACTCAGATCTCAGAGGAAGGAAGAGACCCCTTGATGGAAAATGCAACTTGGGTTTGTTTTCTGTTTTAAGGAAAAAAATTACTTATATTTATAGAAAGAAAACCCCCTTGCCAAGCTTATCAACCTCTAATTGCTACCGTAATTGCTACTCAGAACATCGCCTGGGATTAAGGCAGAGAATAACTGTTAAATGACTGCTATCTTTCTTGAGAGGGGGGAAAAGCCTGTTATAACTCCTCTTCTTATGGAAATAAAAGAGAGAAGAAAATAGACCAAAATGCTGGTAGAACAGCCCGATTTAGAAACTGCGAGCATCTCAAACACAAAGAGGAAGGGGGCTCAGGCCCTTGGTCAAGAAAACTAGAACCATATCCATTTCAGATGATGATGAACTCACTGGCCTAGGGACATGGAAGAAGTACAAGTAATGAAAACTCAGCCATAGCCCATGTTTACAAGAATGAAAACACAAACCTCTTCAGCACTGAAAACACTATAGGAGATACCTGTACTAAGCTCAATGGTGTTCTGGTAAAGAGGAGAATCAGCTGGCCAGGATTGATGCCATATTCTTTCCAGAATGGCTGCAGCTATTAGTAAAGCTTCTCACAGTGCACGTGGAACACGTTTACAAGTACATAAAGTCAGTCACATGCCAGAAAAATAGCCATCCTGTGGCACTCCTCCAGCCTCCCTACTGGGCTGATGTCATGGGCTGATGACAACTGATAAAGCCAGAAGACAATATTCCTCTGGCCTTTAAAGAGAGCCAGCCAGGATAAAGACACAGTGCAGGGTATATTCATGCCCAGAAGTCGAAAGTACACTAACTTCAGGTAGTGCTCACAAAAGACTTTTAGAGCTGACAGGTCACTGAGATCACTGAGCCTAAGACTTTCATTATTGAGTCAAGGACACTTGGGCCCGGAGCAGGGAAAAGCTTGCCTAACACCAGTTTGAGAAAGACCTGGGCCTTACAGATACTCCAGGATAACCCACACCAGGTATCTTATCACAACAGCAAGCCACTTCTCTTCATTTCCCAACAGTCCCTAAGGCTAAGTGACCACTCTTCTTTTTAAAAGTGGATCAATTATATCATTTACCTTTTAATATCCAAAATTTGGCTCATATGAAAATCTATGTAACTATAAATACAAAGCATCAAAATGATTTGCCATTCAGACTATCACAGAAATTTTTAAATGTGGAAGCATGGTAAACATTTATCATACTTTACAAATGATGTTATAGCTATAATTCTATTATGCCCTGATTTTTAAGCAAATTAACATTTATCCTAAATGAGTATTTTTAAAATATGAAATGTTTAAATGGGCATACTCAATAAAAAATATGTAATTTGATATAATTGTAAATGACATTTTATTTAAAAAAATAAGCAAGCTTTGACACTACAGAAGCCATTTGAAGAGAAAAAATATAAACATGTAAATATAAATAACAGGACACACAGTACAATGGAAAATAAACAAAACTTCCACTCGGTATTAAAATAAAGAATAAAAATGATGCCTTCCTATACATTGTATGGCACTATTCTACATGTTGTAGAAATACCAATGAACTTACCCACCACAGGCAATATTCCAAGATTATGTAGTCATCAAGGAAAGAGATTCCATCCAAGTGGAAGGAAAGCAATTCAAAAATCAAATAACTACATTCATTTCATTATGAAGTTAGTAGAATTAAAACATAGAATTACTGCATTATAGAAGAGCTGTTGTATTATAATTAAAAAACAATTCAGAAGAAATTTAAAAATGACTATTTCAATAGGAAAACTAGGATGTTAATATTAATTCAGAGATCTACTATGCTGTTTGTTTTATTTATTTATTTATTTATTTATTTATTTATTTTTTGAGACAGAGTCTTGCTCTGTCGCCCAGGCTGGACTGCAGTGGCGCCATCTCAGCTCACTGCAACCTCCGCCTCCCGGGTTCAAGTGATTCTCGTGCCTCAGCCGTAGTATCTGGGATTACAGGCGCACATCAACACATTCGGCTAATTTTTGTATTTTTAGTAGAGACAGGGTTTCACCATGTTGGCCAGGTTGGGCTCGAACTCCTGGCTTCAAAGTGATCCACCTGCCTTGGCCTCCCAAAGCGCTGGGATTACAGGTGTGAGCCGCCACACCTGGCCTACTACACTGTTGTACAACAAACTTTACTGCTTGGATACTAAAATAAAGGAGGATAAAATAATATTTTTGTAATTTTTTTGTGAACAATATTTTACTACAAAAATAACCCAGCTGGGTTACGACAAGAATTCATTTGCAGTTGAGGTTTGGCATTAAAAAACTAACAAGAGTTACATTAAAATAATAACATATTTCATTATGTGGACAGTTTCTCACCTCGTCTTCCTTCAAACACGTCATTGATTTCTCTCAGCAGTGTTGACATGTCACTAATTTGGGATTCCCAAGCTTCACAAAATACATCTAGGTTTTCTTTAGCAATTTTACTAGATGGATGCAATGTCAATGTTTCAGCAGCAGAAATTATCTAAAGAAACACAATATACACCTGTGTGAATTTCAAAATCTTAGCCCTCAGAATCACTTTGAAGACCAAAGGTAAGTAAGTCTGCTGTTCAATTCAACTCAATAAACAACTATGAAGTAATTTCTATACACAAGCTCCATGTTGGGCAATATGAAGATGCACAGTAGGACAAAATTTGCTGTTTCTTATAATCTGACCTGCAGACAAATAGTATGCATTATTATATACAAACCTGCATTCAGGGAGCAATTCTCTTCACTCAAGTAAAACTCTGTTTGAACAAAGTTGTTCCCATAGAATAATTCAAACAGTTATACTCAGACCACAAAAAGTGTACTGTATACAGAGTAGCAAAGGTAGCAGTAATAGTGGTGGTGGTAGTAGCAGTGGTAATAGTAGGAATGGTAGTGATAATAATAAGTAACATATATACACACCCATGAGTACTTGGTAGATACATGCTTGAGATACTGTTTGGTGTTTGAGATACATTAATACATTAATATCCCCCAAAATATACAAATAAAATACTACTTTTTCCAAATAAGCATTATTCCATTTTTCAGCTGGAAAAGTTGAAGCTCCGAGATACCCAGTAACTTGTGCCAGACCCTATTACGAGTATACACAGAGTTGATATCTAAACTCAGATCTACCTGATCCAAGTTCAGGCTCTTTCCATCACATCACACTGCCACTCACAAAACACTTGTAAAGAGGGCAGAAATCATCCTGGTACTTTTACGTACCACCACATGGGCTAAATAAATGTGTTGAATAAATAAATAAATTGTTGCAGAGACTGCTATGTTTTCATCAAAATCTGTTTGTCTTCCCTCTGGATACATAGGAAGATTACATTTCCCAGCCTCCCTGGTGGAGACATATGGCCACGAGACTGAGTTCTGTCCCCACTTGAATGTGGGTCACCACTTCCATCCTAACTGATCCAAACCTCCCTCGTGCCCCTCAGTGCTCTCTCCCTTCCACATCTGATGGTTCAATGCACAGGCTCCAGTAGGGACTTTGAGGTCCTGAGGGCTAGCGAGGCACAAAATGAAAGGGGACCGGATTGCCAAGAGGGAGAAAGACATACCATTAATCAGGACTTAATACAAGTGAGAAATAAACTGCTATTATATTAAGCCTGAGATTTTGGCATTTGGGGTTTTATTTAGTGTTAGCTACTACATGAATGAATTAATGAATAACTAACATTTTATCTTTCATATAATAATCACTCTCTAACACAAAGGACTTGATGGATGCTAATTGTAATATAGGCAGAAAATGGATGGCTGGGTTGAGTCTTCACACACCTCCTGACCTGACATTCAGTAGAAATTACACTTTAGCTTCTACCTCAAAATAGAAGCCATCGACCAGACCCAACCTACTGAAATTTCCTGATGGCCCATTACATAAAACACACACACACAAAGATCCAGGAGCTAGGAATTCAGAGTTCAGTCTTGATATGTTCACAGCAGATCCTTTCCCTTCTACCACTTTCACCTTCTATTCATGACAACAGGCACTGATTCTGTCTACCTTCTTGTTTCACAGACTGGGGATATTATATCAAATACTCATCTAGTAAGTAGTATTTTAGAGAATCCACTATGTGAAAAAATCATGCTAGGTGCTGGGGATAAGGTGATAAAAAAAGAAGATAAAAGCCCTCTATTATGAAGCTTATACTCTAGTGGAGATTTGGAACTATAAACAAGCACACAATTAAAATACTATAAATTATGATAACTGCTATGAGGGAAATTAATAGGATAATGTGATAGAGATGCCCATTACTAACAAGTGATGTTGTTGTTCCATGGAGTTGATTATATGGGATTATTCACACACACATGTATACAACTAACATGACTATTCATTCACCCACTACATACTAGTAGGCACTGTGCCCACGTTCCAGGTGCTGGGGAAACAGCTGTGAATGAAACAGATAAATGTCCCTGGCTTCATGGGACTCACATTATAACAAGCAGTGGGAGAGACACAATTAAAATAAATTATAAAATATTTTAGAAGGGAATAAAAATATGTATCAAAATAAAGGGTGAGAATGATGGAGGGGATTAGGTGGTCACAGTATTTTAAGTTAGAGAGTCACTGAAAAGGTGAGGGAGCTACAGGAAAATCGAGGGGAAGTCATTTGGGATGGGGCAGAAACACTTCTGGAGTGTTCAAGGAACAGCAAGTAAGCCAGAGGAACAGACTGACATGAGCAAGAGGAAGGTGGCCAGTGGCCATGTAATGGAGAAGCATAGATGGTAAGGACTGGATTTTCTTCTGAGTGAGAAAGTCATTGGGGAACTTACAGAAGATTAATATGATCAGGGCCATGTTAGCTAATATATTAATAGTTGGTACCTTTGAATGAATTACAGGGCCATGTTAGCTAATATATTAATAGTTGGTACCTTTGAATGAATTACAGCTAGCTGTTCCTCCCTCTGGGGTGGGCATAGTGTCACAGGCACAGCACTTGCCAAGCAGATGGCAGTGTTATAAGAACAAGGTTCCCCTCTTCAGGGAAAGCAGGCACATAACTTGCCATGGACTACAGGCTAGATTTTGGCATTGCTCTCCTCTCAACTAGTGTACAAACTGTTCAACTGTTCCCTCAGTATGTCTAACATTTTAAAGGAAGTATAAAAATAACATTGCCAAAGCAGAGATATCCAGAAATAAATTATCCCAGAGGCATGCTCAATGTCCTTAAATTATCCTTTTGTGAGGCAGATGGCAAAGACTAGGAGTGGAAGCTAAGGCTTTGGGAACAGAAAAAGCTTCTCAAGTTATGCAGGTTATTAACAACATGCTCTGCCACTATCCTGGGGAAGAAAATATGGCTATTCCTAATATCTCTGCTGCAATAAAACAATAAACCAAAAATTGCAACCAGATGGCAAGCAGGGCCTGAGGATAGGAGCAACAACTGATTGCATATGGCAGGAGAGTCAAGCCCTCCAGTTCTATTGGAATACTTTTGCAGCCAAGGCAAGAAAAGTGACTCCCATGCCAATATTGAAGACACAGTTTCTCCCAGTAAACAGATCCCTTGGTTGTAATAAAGTGTTCAGCAGATAATCATTGTGGAGGTTCATTCATATAGTTCCTGCTTTCATGATAAGCCTTTGACACTGTTCTCTACAGGAGAGCATGAGATCATCCCTCCAACATCCAACATGATTCTCCTAGAGGGCACACACCATCGTTGAGTCTAGGTCACTTGCACTGTTCTCAGCTATAAATCAAAGATGCAGGGACTCAACCTCTACTGCCCAATATTGCAAGTTAGGAGGAATCCTTTTGGCTGACAGTAAATAAATGAATATAAATAAAGTATAAATTAAAATATAAATAATATTTAAAAAAATAAACAAAAGAACAACTGCAAAACGTTATTTTAGAGCTTAGACTCTAAGAAAGAAGGAAACAGCTGGGTGCAGTGGCTCACGCCTGTAATCCCAGCACTTTGGGAGGCCGAGGCGGGGGGATCATGAGGTCAGGGGTTTCAGACCAGCCTGACCAACATGGTGAAACCCTGTCTCTACTAAAAATAAAAAAATTAGCCAGACGTGGTGGCATATGCCTGTAATCCCAGCTACTCAGGAGGGTGAGGCAGGAGAATCGCTTGAACCTAGGAGGCGGAGGTTGCAGTGAGCCAAGATCGCGCCACTGCACTCCAGCCTGGGCGACAGAGCTAGACTCCGTCTCAAAAAAAAAAAAAGGAGGAAGCTCTGTCTTTAACCATTTTCCTTAGATTAATTTGACAGGAACAGTATTAAATGAGATAATCAGTTTTAAAAAGGCTTTTGAAAATTATAAGGACAAATGAATACCTCTACTATAGAAAATCCAGAAAAAAACCCTAGCTAAACAAGGATATTGTCATATAGGTATTTTCATATGTATATATTCTCTATACATATGAAATTATGGGAATAATTTGTATACATACAAATCTGTACCCTACTTTTTTCATTTAACATTGAACAGAACATTCTTTCAGTGGTTGCTAATTCTGGTTATCATAATTATTATTTTAACACTATAATGTACTATTTGCCTAATTTAAGATAGTTATTTTGCTTCTGATTGGATCTTTTTTTCCCCCAGATATAGACTCTTGCTCTGTCACCCAGCCTGGTGTACAGTGACACAATCATAGCTCACTACAGCTTCAAACTCCTGGACTAAAGCTATCCCCCTGCCTCAGCCTCCTGAGTAGCTAGGACTATAGGTAAGCACCACTGTACATGGGTAATTTTTGTTTGTTTGTTTTTATTTTTTATTTTTTGTAGACAGAGGGTCTTGCTGTGTTGCCCAGGCTAGTCTCAAACTCCTGTACTCAAACGATCCTCCTACATCAGCCTCAGAAAGTGCTGGGTTACAGGTGTTAGCCACCATGCCTGGTCCCAATTGAATCTTGTAAGTAATGTCATAACATTGTTTTGTTTGTGTTTTAGTCTCATGTCCTAATTATTAGCATGAAATGTATTTGAATCTTAGGTTGAAATGTGAATATTACATAACATATGGCTTCTTATGTCATGATAACTTAATCTCCAAACATGTTATAACAAGTGCATTGTAAACAGCTTCCTTTAAAATAGATATAAACTAGAGTATTAATTAAATGAACCAGTCTCCAATTTGGCAGATGACCAGCTCCAATGGAAGGTTAGCCATGTTCTGGCACACTACCAACAGAAATTCCATTATCTTTCTTTCTCTATGTATATTTGGACTCTAGTTATGAAAAACCATTTATACCTTCCATCCACACAACTTGTTATAACACTCAGATAGGACACAATACAGAAGGAGCAATCTGCTATTATCATACCTGTTGGCCAGTCACCTGAAATGTCTCCTCTGCATGTATACAGGTTATTTCCAGAGGTTCTGTCCCAGATATGTGTCGTAACAATCGACAGGTCTACAAGACAATATGTCTACAGTTTAACTTTCACATCCTCATCCTCCACAATACATAGTATCATTTTATAATTAAAAAGAAAATTTTACAAATAAAATTTCTTAAAACCTATTAAAATAAACTTAAACATTACTGAGAAGATTATTATAATATTATATTGGTCACCAACAGATTCTCTGGGAACAAAGCAGATATCAATAAAGGTATAACATTGTTTCTACTTCCTATCCAATCATGGCAAGGTGGTTACAGAATATTAAAACAGAAAGAACCTTTGGAAAGACCTAGTAGTGCCCACATATTTTATATATAAAGAAATTTGGGAAAAAAAAAAGAAATTTGGCTCAGAGAAGTAACTTGCCCAAGGTCTCACAGCTAAACTATGTCAGAGTTACTACAAGCTACATGTTCTATCAACACTGTCTTCCAATGGAGCTAACATTGGATTAGGCAGACTGGTATAATAAGGACAGACCCTATATCAGAGGAAATTACTGAAAATCTTGACGCTTAAAACAGAAAATCAGAGAACATTTTTTTTTTCAATGTTAAAAAGATTTGCTGCAAGATTCCTAAAATAAGCAGTTTCCCTATAGTTATAATATTTGGTTTATAAACATAGCAGCATCAAATTTATTAAATGAAGAAGCTATATCTACAGTCATTTTAAGAATGTTCCCCCAGAAGTTTTTTGGCTCCTATGTAAACAAGTAAAGAAGAGGAAGCCAGTTCAATTAGTCTAAAGGTTCCTTCTAACCATTAGTCTTTGAGATTTGGTGAACAGGGTATGTTAGATTATGTGAAGATAGCTAGATGGTTCATATCTGTGCATTTATACACATGTTGGCTAGCAAATACCTCATACATACAAGCTATACATGGGTTCCGTTTTTTGTTTGGTTGTTGATATGGTTTGGCTGTGTCCCTACCCAAATCTCACCTTGAATTGGTAATAATCCCCGCATGTCAAAGGCGGGACCAGGTGGAAGTAACTGAATCATGGGGGCAGTTTCCTCCATACTGTTCTTGTGATATTGAATAAGTCTCATGGGATCTGATGATTTCATAAATGGGAGTTCCCCCCCTGTACATACTTTCTTGCCTACTGCCATGTAAGATGTGCCTTTGCTCCTCCTTTGCCTTCTGCTTTCATTATGAGGCCTCCTCTGCCATGTGGAACTGTGAGTTCATTAAACCTCTTTTTCTTTATAAATTACCCAGTCTTGGGTATGTCTTTATCAGCAGAGTGAGAACAGACTAATACAGTTGGGTTTTTTTTCTAGTAGATATCTGACATTTTCAATAGGCAGAAGGCTCAGAATATCAATTAATAAGCCTAACTGGAATTATAACACAAGTATCAGGTGAAGCATCAGTAACTCATAATTAAGATTTGGAATCATGTGCCAGATGTCTTCTCATTGTCCCTCCTTAACTGCTCTCCTCCCTTCTCACATCTGCCTTTTGCCCTGGGAGACTGACTTATATTGTCTACACCTATGTTTGGATTATTAGGATTATCCTAATGGGATATCCAATGGGAAGCCCCATCCACAGATGAGCAGGACTGAGGAGAGAATGGGCCTTGACTCCCATGCTCCTCCCGGGAGGGTCACCTTGGGCTGTCTCTGGGCCTAGTCCTAAAATCACAAACCTCTCAAGGCAGTTCTCTGAAAGGCTTCCCCATTCCACATTCCCCTGCTGATGTGGGCCTGGGGTGGTACCAGCCTTGCTACCACTCGCCCCAATTACTGCTCTCTCATGTATGGTTTCCCCCATGCCCTGTCTATGCAATTGTAAACAGCTTCTTTATTAAACTCTCTTCAAATTGTCCTAATTTGAGTGTGTCATCTCCTCCCTGCTGAGACCCTGACAGATTCAAACAGAAACAAGGTCATACGACGTACCTCCATGGCTCTACTCCAAGGTCTAACTTCTCTGAGAGGATAAGGAAAAGAAGATTAAGAAGTTCATTTGTGGGTCTTAGCATTTTTTTTGTTTTGTTTTAGAGGCCAGACTGTTGCAGGAACAGAACAGATACATGGTATGCTTTTAAGATGCCAAAGGAGAGAGAAAATGCTCAGATAAATTAACCCAAAACTGTATTTGTGTTAACATTCCCACATAGTTTAATAAAGCCATTATTAAACTACAATTTCTTTAGCACCTTGTTTACTCACCTCAACAAGCTGCTCTTTCTGTTCAGAGAGTTTACAGGCATATTCAGCCAAAGCTTCTAAATTTCCTTCTACTCCAGTAAGTTTTAATGCTTTTAGAACCACATGATCAGCATGGTATTTTAATAGATCTGCTGCCAGCTGTGTCGCTGTACTATGAAGCTGCAGATGTGTGTGTGGGTGGGGGGGTGGGAGGGTGGAGAAGGAGAAGGGTGATGAAGGAAAGAAAACAAACAATAACATTTTGTGACCAAGCACCACATCAGCACTTTAAAAACTATTAATAAAGAGAAGCCGCAAAGCAGTTCCATGGGTTCCACTGAGGGGAGGGTGTAAAGTTCCCTGTGTAACAGTAGGAGTTGTGTAGCACTGGTGAGCTTACAGTTTCTCTCAAGGGCAGGAGTGATATCTAATTCATCCTTTAACCCCCTGGTGCCAGTGGTAATGCTGTTTCTAGAAGATGAACTGGGTATTCAATGGCTGAATACCCTTGTCCCTTTTTCATTCTGTTATCAACCAGCTCTTTCCCATGTAGCTTTTCCCTTAGGTGAAAAATGCTTCTGCTAATCTTAAAGTTGGTGAGGAATGAAACAGTATTAAGAGTATTAAGAGTGCAATATTTAGAGTACTAAGAAAATTGGCACTTTGTGATCATTAATAAGTTCTTTAGCATACTTTTGAAAAAGTACCAATGTGAGATTCAATAAATTTAATAAATTTTATTAAATACCTATATCATGGCAAGCACTGTAGCACTGTACTAGAGGCTGGGCATACATGACAAGTAGGACACAACCCCTGCCCTCAGGGAGGTTAGAATCTGTCTATAGTTGCCATCCAGATCTTGTACTCTCTGCCTCTATGAACAAATTGGGTCCCAGGAGAAACAATAGATTAAAGGGTAACACGAACCCCATGGTTTTATTGACTTTGTGTGGAATGCCTGGCTCACTCTTACTGGATATCTTTGGACACTATTAACTCCAAAATCTTTTCTTCTTATCTTGCCTTTTTTTTTTTTTTTAATGATGTGACAGGTTATTTTGGGGTTGTCCAGAAATAGATCATTTTTAATAACATTGTTCTCAGAAAAATCTGACTTTGAATTAAATCTATTTGAATGAAGTGATTTCTTTTTTCCTGGAAGTAATCCAATCTCAATTCAAATTAGAGGATTGTCTCCAAAATTAACAATAGGATACCCTCTGCATTCATGCAACTAAGTGAGAATAATTACAGTTAGAAACAAAGAAACTAAAATTCACTTTCCGTGGAAACTAAATGCCACATAAGAACTTAAAAAGATTTTGTTTCACCAGCAGGACCTTAGAGAATATCTAATGCCAGTCATTTATTTTACAGACTACGAAACAGCTCCACAGAGACTGTGTCTTGCCAAGGTCATGTAACTCTTGTCACGTGTAAGAGAGGGAGGCAGGACAAACGCAAAGTTCCTGCTCTATGCAACGTCCTGACAGCAGCCTTATATACATTATCTCCCTTAATCCTTACAAGAATTCTATGAGGTTGACATGGATATACCCATATAAGAGGTAATGAAAATGAAGCCTGTGGAAAGCCACTCAGTTTATCACAAGGAGATCATCTTCTACTGACAGTCAGGATTTTAACAATACTTTGGTTAAAACTGAATAGTCTGGAATGAAATGGGTAGGCTTTTTTCTTTCTTTTTTGTTTTGTTTTGTTTTTTTCCTTGTGTCAAGGGCAGCAGGCTTTTTATAAAGCATAGAAAACCATGTCTTTCTATGTTTAACAGGATGTTTAAATGGAGATTTCAATAGACATATCAGTGCCAAGTAAGATGTGAAACAGATCACCACGTATAAAATTTATATAAGAAACATCCAAAAACCAATTTCAGCCAGGCATGATGGCTTACACCTGTAATCCCAGCCCTTTCGGAGGCCAAGGCAGAAACACTGCTTGAGCCCAGGAGTTCAAGACCAGCCTGAGCTTATAATAGTGAGACCCTATCTCTACAAAAAATTAGCCAGACATGGTGGCATGCACCTGTGGCCCAGCTACATGGGAGGATGAGGCAGGAGGATCACTTGAGACCAGAAGGTCAAGGCTGCAGTGAGCCATGTTCACACCATTGTCTGGGCAAGAAAGTGAGACCCCATCTCAAAAATAAGAAAATTTTTTTAAAATTCTAATTTCATTGTCTTGAGCCCTTGACCGTCTTCAAGAATATAAAGGAATTAAGCCTGGGTGCAGTGGCTCACTTTGGGAGGCCAGGGCAGGTGGATCGTTTGAGGTCAGGAGTTTGAGACCAGCCTGGCCAACATGGTGAAACCCCATCTCTACTAAAAATACAAAAATTAGCTGGGCGTGGTGGCGTGCATCTGTAATCCCAGCTACTCGGGAGGCTGAGGCATGAGAATCGCTTGAACCCCTGAGGTAGAGGTGGCAGTGAGCCAAGATCACGCCACTGCACTCCAGCTTGGGCAACAGAGTGAGACTCTATCTCAAAAAAATAAATAAATAAAAATAAAAGAATTAAGAAAGCACAGCTAAGGGAAATGAGAGGTCTGTGTGAGGAGGGTCTGTCTGGAGAGCTGCTGGGTGCCCACTGTGACTCCCTCCTCCAGGCATGCCTCAAAGCGCAGGGAGCAACAGGATAAAGGGGTTGAGGGGCAGGGGTGGGGGTAGGGGGGGCAACAGGAAAGCCTCTGAAGAACCACTAAGGTATCCATGAGAGTGAGAGTCCACTGTAAATGTCTACCAAGCCCAAAGCCATTTGATAAGGGTGCTGGTCACTAAAAACCTTCTGCCTCTCAACTTTCTCTCTTCTCTCTCTATGCCACAACCTGACAAAAATCAACAACAGCTACGTAACGGAGGGTGAGGAAAGTGAAAAAGGGAGAAGAGACCACATCTTCCCAGCTCTATCTAGTTGGAGCTGGGAAAACAGGGAACAGGGGAGAAGCTCTACAACTAAATGAAGATTTAAATAATGATTAACATTCTAATTTTCAACTGAGATTATGTTTTGTGACTTAAAGCAGGAATTGGTAAACTTTTTCTGTGAAGGGCCAGAGAGTAAATATTTTAGGCCCTATTGTGACTATCCAACTCTGCTGTTGTAGTGAGAAAACAGTAGACAGTAGGTCCACAGATGGGCAGCATTGTGTCCCCATACACTCTACTGACGAAAACGGTCCAGTTGTAGTTTGTGAACACCTGACTTAAAGTGACCATAGGACTTTCAATAACCTGAGAGTGGCCAACTAAGTCATGAGATGACCAATTTTTTATTCAGGGAACAGGGAAACCCTCTCAACCAAAGGAATATCTTTTAAAATTTATTTCAGTGAGATAGAATTGATATAAAACAAAATGTACCCATTTTAAAGATACTGTTCAGTGAGTTTTGATGAACATATACAGCCATGTAATCACAACAACTAATTTTGAACATTTCCATCATGCCAAAAAGTCCTCCCATGCCCTTTTGCAGTAAATATACCCCAACCTCTGACCCAAGATAGCCACTGATCTGATTTATGTCATTATAAATTAGTTTTGCCTTTTCTAGAATTGTTTTTTTCTAAATGGAATTTTATACATATAATCATTTGTGCCTGGCTTCTTTTGCTTAGTATGTCTTAGTGATTCATCCATATTGTTGCATGTATCAATACTGTTCTCTTTTATTACTGAATAGTATTTGGTAGAATTATTCCAAAATTCATTTATCAATTCCTCTGTTGATGGAATTCTAGGTTATTAGTTTTTTATTATTATGAATAAAGTGATGAAAATTCATGTGCAAGCTTTGAGAATGATGGCATTAATAAAATCATGGCTTCAAAATAACTATGTCAAAGGAAAACTTTTTTTTTTTTCTTTTTTTGAGACACAGTCTCACTCTGGCACCCAGGCTGAAGTGCAGTAGCGCGATCATGGCTCACTGCAGCCTTGAGCCCTGGGGATCAGGTGATTCTCCCACTTCAGCCTCCCGAGTAGCTGGGACTACAGGTGCTAACCACCACACCTGGCTAATCTTTTGTGTTTTTTGTAGAGATGGGGTTTTGCCATGTTGCCCAGGCTAATCTCAAACTCCTAGGCTCAAGTGATCCTCCCACCTTGGCCTCCCCACAGTGCTGGAATTACGGGCATGAGCCACCATGCCTGGCCTCAAAGGAAAACTTTTAAAACCATTTTCTAGGCACAGAGACATACTAATAATACTAATGTATTTCATACACCCATACAACATGAAAATCACAAAGAATTAGAAGAGGCTAAATTTCAAACTATACTTACTTCTTTCTTAAGTTCATTAAGACTGTGACTGATTTTCAAAATACTGAGTTCCAGTTCTTCAGCGATGCTTTTTGTTTTCTTGCTTTGCTAAAAATTTTAAAAAGTATACATGTAATGTTACCGCATCTCTTTAATCTGTTAATTACAATTTTGTTTGGACTGTAAATTGTAATAAATTTTAATACTATTCTGTGAACTATAAAAGTAGATTTTCAAAATTTACCTGTTTAAGTTACAGTGGAAAATAAAATTTCAGTTTAGTTATATTTTTCAATGCTAACTACAAATAGATGAACTTCTGTTTTTTTATTTATTTATTTTTCTGTGAACCTATGGATTATATTGAAAGGTGAACTTTTAAAATCTAATTTTCTTTAATAAACTCAAGTCTAAAATTAATCTCTTTTATTTTCTGCCTAGAATGTCCATGCTTTCACTCCTAACCTAGTTAAAAATTAAAATCCTACTCATCTTTAAGATCTTACATAAATGTCTTTTTCTCAGAAAGGCTTTCTCAGATCACTCAATCTAAATCAGACCCTCTTCTTACTCACTGTAATCTTTTTGCTCCATAATCGTCCCAGTTTGCAATTACATATTTATTTTTTCAGTCCAAACCATCTGGAATTTTTTATTTTTTGTTTGTTTAAAGTCTATCTTCCCCACTAGGCCACGAAAGCTGGGTTCACATCTATTTTGCACACCACTAAATCCACAGTACCTGGCATAGCAAATGGTAGGTCGTAGATATTCAATTCTTTGCATGATAAATAAAAATTAAATATCACTACTTCATGAAGACTTCTTGAGCCCCCTCCCTAAATATAAATTTGTCCTCCTTCAAACCCTCTCAATGCATAGTCTACACTTTCTCTTAGGATACTTACAAAGCTATTTGTACTTGTCTCACCCCTTCCCGCAAATTTCTATATTGTAAAATTCTTGCAGACAAAGATTTTAGCTTATTCATCTTTAGATTTATGGTGCTTGGCATATAAAAGGCACCAGTAACAACTGCTGAAAAAAATGAATGAATGAAAAATACACCTAGAATGCAGGATCAGAGATCTGAGTGCTTGTGAAATATGCACGGGTAAATTTGCTAAATTTGTGACATTTGCTAATTGCAAATTTGAGTATTGATAGAATCACATTCCCAACAGAGTATTTCATCACAAGCAACTCTTTATAGTGAGTGTTGGACTTAAAACTGAACACTGAAGCAATCTACACTTCAGATTGTGTATCACACAGATAATTCAAACTAAACACAAAACATTGCTCAAGTCTCTCACACGACTATACTCTAGGGCAAGATTCCCTGTTAATAAGAACATGTGCACTACTGTGATGCCAAGAAAACATCAGAGAAATCTGTGATTCATATCTACTTTCATTCATAAATTAATCTACTTACAAGGAAATCAACTGCTCCTTCTTTCTTCAGTCTCAGCCATATCCACCCTCCTTCATCATCTTTACTGCCAAAGCTTTGTTCATGACTTCCAGATTTGTACTATCACTGCTGTATATTGTAAGCCATGTTAAATACTTTTCTGACAGAGCCTGGGCCTAAGAAATAAATAATGCTAGAGACATGTCCCAGGGCTCTCTGTCTCTCCACTTTGCAATCCACCTGCTATAAGAGATTGTGTACACACACTTCCTGTCTGTCCCACTTCTGTCAGTCTTGGCCATTCTTGCCCAAATAAGCTCCTCTGTTTGAAGCACACCAACAGCCCATTTAAGGCTCACAGAGTGGCCACCCACCAATTTTAGACCAGGAATTTGTGCAAGGGTGAAAAGCTTTTACTTGCCAGCTGGATCTACCCTTGTTTTCATTGAATCTACACCCCAATAAGTTTTCTAAATCATTGTCTCTGTAAATCAGCTGTCCTCAGAGGTAAGAATTGTGTACATGTGAATGGCTCCAGCAGTCAGGCTCAGGTCCCAAGAACCTCTAGGAGGGGGTCTACTCCTCTGTTCTTCACTCTGAAGAAGTATTTTGGGGAGGAATTTTCCAGAGGTGAGTTTGGTGGAAGAGTAGGGACAACAGTGTGAACTAGTGATAGTGACAGAGGCATATAATTGAGACTGGCTAGAATGAGAGTCAACAGGCCTGGAAATAAATGTCAAGTATTGTAAGTGCTAGATGGGAAGGATATTTTGGCCAACTAGGAGGGAAAGAAGGGATGAGATATCCTGTCCCATTCTGGAACAAATTCATACTCCTGGTGATTATGTAACTTCCATATCTTGCAAAACTTTATGGGAAAGCCATTATATAAGATTTACTTTGATTTTAAAAAAAGTTCTTACAGCTTGAATCCACACAGAAATTAACTGCTGCAGTTCCATTCTCGCCTGAGTTGACAGTTCCAAGATGCGTTCTCTGTGCTCATGGCTGGTGTAGGCAGAATCAGTAAAGTCCTCCATACGCTCCAAGATGACTTCCAATGTCACAGAAAGGTTCTCTTTGGACTGAAAATAAAGATTCTCCCGAAGAGCTTCAATATTCATCTGAGAACAAAAAGGACATCTATCCATCCATGTGAGTCAATATTCCCACCTGACCAAAATGGGCTGTAATTTCTAACAGTGCCCAGGAAAACACTAGCATTTCCTTTTCCCAAGCTGAGGGGAAATACAGCCACCAATGATATCTATATTCGCCACTAACCCAGAAGGATACATTGCTCAAAAGCCTTCAATATCCATGCAAAGCACCATTCCTAGAGTAATTAATACAATGACATTGCTATGAGATCAGTGAATACTAAGGCAGAAAGAGCATCATCCTCTAGCAACTGGCAGGAAAAATGAACCAGCCTCCAGGTAAAAGATTTGCATCTGAGAAAATGCCTAGGCAAAGTCCTGGAAGATAAGTTACACCCAAATATGAAATGTGCTGAGCCCAGGGGGAAGGATGGTGTGGAAGATGTGGGGTGTGAGAAGCACTGGGGAAGACATCCATTTTTCCTTTGTTAATTCAGCAAAGACTCTCCTAGTCACCTAACTGGTCTCCCTACATTTTGTTTAAAGTCCCCAACAGCACCTTACTGACCCAAACATCCTCTACCAGAGGGTCTGTATAATCTAAAATGTAAACCATCTGATACTGCCACCTCCCTCTAATAGTTCCTCGCCATCTATAGAGAATCAAGCCCAAACGTCTATGTAGTATAGCACAAAATCCTCTATGGCCTGTCTTTATATACTTCTCTAACAGTCTATCTCACCCCCTGAACCCCCTAACAACCTTTCACTTCAGCCATCCTGTTTGGAGTTCCTTGACTATGTGATGAACACATGCTCATGTGTGCAGTCTTTCTCTCTCAGCTTTCTACGATGCATCATGCCATTTCAACCCTGTAAAACACTACAGTCCATGAAATATGTCACACAGACAACTTGGGCCAAGAGGCAACAAGCGGTAATGATCATGATTATGGTCACAATGAATGTGATAATAAGGATACCTTACATTTGTTTAACACTTCAAAGTCCTTTCACAAATGTTATTTTAATTAATCCTTATGTGTGACCCATTTTAACATCATCCATGAAAATATCAAAGTTTGGGAAAGTCAAGATGCCATAGGAGAGTCCTTGCTTCCCCTCCTGCTCTTGGCCCAAGTTGTGTCAGGTGATCACTCCATCCTAGGTAGACAGAAACTTGTATTTAAGCTAGGAAAGAATACAGATAATAGTAAGGTATGGAATTTACAATGGGGATCTTCTCAGAGAATTAAATTTATTTTATTAATTTAAGAGAATTAAATTTGAGAATTTAAACAGAATTAAAACATAAAAATCAGTTATATTGGTCTCATACCATTTATGTTAAGGTTTTTTATTTTCCCTTTAGAGAGAAAATATACATGTTTTTAGACAGCAACTTAGTGGAGTTTTGTGGGGTTTTTTTAAAGAGGCTATTTACTGATATGGTTTCATAACATTTGTCCATATATTCATGGTACCAAATACAGCAAAGTACCCAGTTTCCCTCCATAGATTATACTCTCCATCAGAAAAAAAGCAAGATGCCAAAGAGATAATCATGGACAGTGAGACTGAGCCTATTTATAACAGCTCTGCCTCCAGCATGCCTGATGGCGAGAGGGCAGCAGCCAGAGCTGTCGGCAGCAGCCACAGGCAGAGCACTGCCCCTCCTTCACCTGCACTAGAAATGCAGCAGCAGGTGGTGAAAGATGTCTCTCACTTGACTTACTTGTTTCCCTAATTATCCTTTGACAACACATCTCCTCCTTCAGCATTTATAAAAAGGGAAGATTAGAAAAATAATCTCTAAGATCTCTTTCAGCAATAAAATTTCTAAGAGAAGGTTTGGTCTGTACAGTTTCTTTCCCCTCAGGAAGACTCAGTGGTAGGACTGGCATCATATAAACAAACCCAGAGGTGTAAAGTGAAAGGTCATGGACTTTGGGATTAGAGAATCCTGGGCCTAAAGAAGGGTTCTACCACTTACTAGCTCTCCTCCTCAAAAAAAAAAGACAAAAAACAAAAAAAAAAAAAACAGTATATAATTATATCCACCTAAAGGGCAGGTAGGGATTAAATAAAATATTTATTAAGAGCAAAAAGAGATATTCTTTCCATTACTGTCTTTTCACCCCATGTTCCTACTTAGACCTTCACACAATTAGAAATCAAAGTCCAGGGCCAGGCGTGGTGGTTCACGCCTGTAATCCCAGCACTTTGGGAGGCCAAGGTGGGCGGATCACCTGAGGTCCGGAGTTCGAGACCAGCCTGGCCAACATGGCAAAACCCCATCTCTATTAAAAGTACAAAAATTAGCCGGCTGTGGTGGTGGGTGCCTGTAATCCAAGCTACTCAGGAGGCTGAGGCAGGACAATTGCTTGAACCCAGGAGGTGGAGGTTGCAGTGAGCCAAGATCGTGCCACCACACTCCAGCCCGAGAAACAAGAGTGAGACTCCATCTCAAAAATAAATAAATAAAATAAATCAAAGTGCAGTAAAATGGAAAGAATGCCATTCTCATCATAGCCCTGTCTGTTAGAGAGGTGGGAACCTTTAGCATTTGGATAACTTCTCAGGGCCTTAGTTTTCTGATCTGTTAAAGGAGGGCATTGTACTAGATGACTTCTTAGGGCCCTCCCAACTCAGACACTGCTCTTACCCAGAAAGCATCTTCACCATGTCTATGACTTCTGATGAGAAGTCAGACTTCCTGGAGTCACACTGCCTAGTTTCAAATCCCAACTCTGGTACTTAGTAGCCAGCAAGTTAATATCCTTTCTGTTTCTCAAGCTCCTCAACAGTGTAATGGAAATAATAGCAATAGTTCTTTGAGGATTATATAAGTTCATATATTTAAAGCACTCAGAAAAGGGCTGGCACAGAATAAGGACTCAATAACTGTTAGTGTGTATTACTGTTGATTTTTAAATTTTAATTATTACTAATACTATTACTATAGTCTCAAAGTACCAACCCTCTAACACAGAGAAAAGCAGGAATTCTAGCAGAAATGATTTGCTGCTCACCATCATCCTATGGATGGTACTGCTCAAAAAGATATGGCACTGCTCAAAAAACAGGAAGGGAACATTCTTTTGAACAGGAGGCTACAGCTAAACCATACAGCTAAACAGAGCCAGAGTAGCTACTATAACCAAAGACCAGTGTTCTTTGTAAATACACCTTTAATGTAAATATTACTGAGCAACAAGTTTGTACAGAGTGGCATTGCTTTAAATAGATACATTTGCTTTTGTGAAGCACTGTTCTAAAACATTACACAAAAATATGGATACTATACATAATGATGCTCCTTTAAAATGGAAAGAAAAGACTGAGTGCAGTGGCTCATGCCTGTGATCCCAGCACTTTGGGAGGCCCAGGCGGGTAGATCACCTGAAGTCAGGAGTTTGAGACCAGCCTGGCCAACATGGTGAAACCCCGTCTCTACCAAAAATATAAAAATTAGCCAGGCATGGTAGCACATGCCTGTAGTACCAGCTACTTGGGAGGATGAAGCACAAGAATCGCTTGAACCCAGGAGGTGGAGGTTGCAGTGAGCCGAGATCACACCACTGCACTCCAGCCTGGGCAACAGAGCGAGACTCCATCTCAAAAAATTAAAATAAAATAAAATAAAATAAGAAGAGAAAAATAAAAATATACTCTCTTTATTCTTACCTTGAATTCCTTAATTCCAGTAAAAATACTGATAGATGAAATGTCAGTCTCTCCATTCGGTTTACAGTCAGTCACAATTTCAATGACCTTATCCAATGCCACTTTCATACGGTCAAATACTCCTTCTTTGTTTTTATGGGCTGATTCGCAGTTAGGATGCCTCAGACATGTCTTCAAAACAATTGAAAATTTTTATTTTAATATTTGATTTATGTCATAATGCACAAAAATCTTACAGAGAACATGTCATGCTAAGAAAAATGGTTCTTTACCAAAATCTCCTGGGTCCCTGGCTCACTCAGCTGCTTCTCCTCACTAAAGTGGAAGCAGGATGAGTAAAAAGCGATAGCAAGGTTAAATAAAAAATGCAGAGTGCAAAACTATACCTTTATACTTCAACAGTAAGTTTACTTAAAAATTTTTTAGGAAAAAATCTCTTTTCATCATGATTAAAACTATTTTAAATGTTGCCTTACACATGCCAGAAATGAAAAAGAATGAAGAAAAATGAGATGATATATGATCATGGATGCATCTTGACTTTTAAAAAATGATGTAAATGAAAAACTCAAGGGCCTAGACAAAATAGAGTCTTCTGAGTGGGTTCCACGAAGTCTGTTTTTGTGGCTTCACTGATTCTAGCATGGGGTAAATACTCTCAGAAGAAAAGGTTATTCCAAACAAACTGCTAAAGAGACATTTTACTCATTCATTCTAGAATTGCACCAATTTGCTGGCCAACTGCTGTTTGGAAATACTCTTGATTGATAATTTTGTTAAAAGTGGAAACAGGAATTAAAGGGTGAATTTACAGAATAAACTAAGTGCTGACTTCTTACTCCACTGTATTTAACAGATCTTAACTTGTCTAGCTTTTTCTAGAGCATATGTGCTGGCTCCTCAATGAGACTGGAAAAACCCTGCAGGCAGCTACCATGTGTGACAGGCCTTAATTCATAGCACCTAATACACCATGTTCTGCTGAGCTGTTCAATCAAAGCTGACTCATAAATTAGTTATTATTTGGAGTTGGGGAAGAAAGTTAGCATTCTTATAAATAATAACTGAGATTTAACTATTCAGGCCTATGTTCTAAGTAATCACTTTGATCTTTTTTAAAATGTAAATTATGTAAGTTAAATGCATTTAGTCGGGTGTTCTAATTATTAATTTATTACACAGTAAAACCAAAATTGTCTTACCTTTGAAGCTGTGAGAAGCATCATTGTACACTTTTCAAGAACTGCCCTAGCTGCTGCCATTTTTGCCTTTTTCTTTTCATCTTTCAAATCCTAAATATGAAATAAAATCACGGAGGAGTCTAAGACCATGTGAACAACCCAATTTCTTAAAAAAGTATTTATTCAACACTAATACTCAAGAATTCACTAACATTGTTAAGTGAAAAAAAAAAAAAAACCAGGATAAAGTTTTACAAACTGTCACTGCTTCAATATAAACACATCAACACAATATGAGTAGAAAGAAAAAGCTACTCTTAGTAAGGGCTAGAGAGCCAGAAACTGAGACACAGGTAGAGGCTGCACATGGCTGACATTCTGGTGTTCTGTCATACCTGACATTCTCACGTCAAATGCACACACTGCGTCCTAACCAGAAACACCCAGCCTATGTCTTACCTAATTAAAAGTAAATTGTCTACTGAGCATCTATTGACTATTATTTCCTTCAAAACAGACACTTAAAAGTCGATTCTTTAAGGAGCCTCGTCTAATTAATCCCATCTAACTGCTATGCATCTCAAATTGGGGTTCGTTTGTCTTAATCTTAATCAATATGCTGCTCTGAAATATTCTTAAGATGTTTCTTGGGTAGATAATTTTCCCCAACAAGATTGAAAAGGAACACCTAAGAAAGCACTGTGTATTGAATTTGTTTTGGTGGGGGGTGACTTCTCCTCACAGAGCCCTCAATAGAATGTGTGCTATTCACATGAGGTAGCCAAAGTTTGCTGATCAAATCTACAACAAAATACTCTGTTAATAATTTGGTTATTATATCTAAATCAGAGGTGGGCAATACTTTCAATTAAAGCCCAGATAAACATTTGAGGCCTTCTGAGCTATATGGTCTCCATCACAGCTACTCAATTCTGTCATTGTAGTGTGAAAGCAAACAGAGACAATACACAAATAAATAAGAACAGCTGTGTTCCAAGAAAACTTTATGTATGGACATTGAAATTTGAATTACATAAAATTTTTCCCTGTCACGTTAGCCTTTTTTATTTGTAAGTTAGGTTAAAGGCCCCTTCTTACAAATAAGTAAAACCTAAAGTTTGAGAATGATTTGCCTTTGAAAGTAAATTTGCTTGAATAAATTAGAATGGATTCAGAAGTTAGTCCTACACAATAATATCACTCTCACTCACTTGCATCCCAATATAGATTTAATAAAAGATAGAGATGGAATTACAAATAGTGTACGACAAAGTGCATATAACCCCAAAGCTAATGCAGATCACATCCCAAAGAACTGTGTCCTATATGTGAGTATCATCCATCATGGGTACCTATCAGATAAAGGCTGAGGTTGCTTATAAAATTTCCACCCATTCCTCTTGTCTTTAACATTTTGGACAGGACTCCTTTCAAAACCACCTGTGGGTCTAGCTGACAATGCATCAAGTGTGTATGCCATACCTGACACTTACAAGCCACATATGACACCATAGGCTGTATGGTGATAACAAGCGACAGAAAAAGATGGCATCTCAACCTGGAAAGGGCTGGTCCACAGGACAAAACAGAGGCGTCCATAAAACCCAGATGGTCCATGAAGCACTAAGCGAAGCATCCCAATACCTCCAGAAGTATTTTCCCAGACTTGGGTAAGGCTGTCACTACTGCCACTTTCTTTTTTTTTTTAATTATTATTATACTTTAAGTTTTAGGGTACATGTGCACAATGTGCATGTTAGTTACATATGTATACATGTGCCATGCTGGTGTGCTGCACCCATTAACTCGTCATTTAGCATTAGGTATATCTCCTAATGCTATCCCTCCCCCCTCCCCGCACCCCACAACAGTCCCCAGAGTGTGATATTCCCCTTCCTGTGTCCATGTGTTCTCATTGTTCAATTCCCATCTATGAGTGAGAACATGCAGTGTTTGGTTTTTTGTCCTTGCGATAGTTTACTGAGAATGATGATTTCCAATTTCATCCATGTCCCTACAAAGGACATGAACTCATCATTTTTTATGGCTGCATAGTATTCCATGGTGTATATGTGCCACATTTTCTTAATCCAGTCTATCATTGTTGGACATTTGGGTTGGTTCCAAGTCTTTGCTATTGTGAATAGTGCCACAATAAACATACGTGTGCATGTGTCTTTACAGCAGCATGATTTATAGTCGTTTGGGTATATACCCAGTAATGGGATGGCTGGGTCAAATGGTATTTCTAGTTCTAGATCCCTGAGGAATCGCCACACTGACTTCCACAATGGTTGAACTAGTTTACAGTCCCACCAACAGTGTAAAAGTGCTCCTATTTCTCCACATCCTCTCCAGCACCTGTTGTTTCCTGACTTTTTAATGATTGCCATTCTAACTGGTGTGAGATGGTATCTCATTGTGGTTTTGATTTGCATTTCTCTGATGGCCAGTGATGATAAGCATTTTTTCATGTGTCTTTTGGCTGCATAAATGTCTTCTTTTGAGAAGTGTCTGTTCATATCCTTTGCCCACTTTTTGATGGGGTTGTTTGTTTTTTTCTTGTAAATTTGTTTGAGTTCATTGTAGATTCTGTATATTAGCCCTTTGTCAGATGAGTAGGTTGCGAAAATTTTCTCCCAATTTGTAGGTTGCCTGTTCACTGTGATGGTAGTTTCTTTTGCTGTGCAGAAGCTCTTTAGTTTAATTAGATCCCATTTGTCAATGTTGGCTTTTGTTGCCATTGCTTTTGGTGTTTTAGACATGAAGTCCTTGCCCATGCCTATGTCCTGAACGGTAATGCCTAGGTTTTCTTCTAGGGTTTTTATGGTTTTAGGTCTAACGTTTAAGTCTTTAATCCGTCTTGAATTAATTTTTGTATAAGGTGTAAGGAAGGGATCCAGTTTCAGCTTTCTACATATGGCTAGCCAGTTTTCCCAGCACCATTTATTAAATAGGGAATCCTTTCCCCATTGCTTGTTTTTCTCAGGTTTGTCAAAGATCAGATAGTTGTAGATATGCAGCATTATTTCTGAGGGCTCTGTTCTGTTCCATTGATCTATATCTCTGTTTTGGCACCAGTACCATACTGTTTTGGTTACTGTAGCCTTGTAGTATAGTTTGAAGTCAGGTATTGTGATGCCTCCAGCTTTGTTCTTTTGGCTTAGGATTGACTTGGCAATGCGGGCTCTTTTTTGGTTCCATATGAACTTTAAAGTAGTTTTTTCCAATTCTGTGAAGAAAGTCATTGGTAGCTTGATGGGGATGGCATTGAATCTATAAATTACCTTGGGCAGTATGGCCATTTTCAAGATATTGATTCTTCCTACCCATGAGCATGGAATGTTCTTCCATTTGTTTGTATCCTCTTTTATTTCATTGAGCAGTGGTTTGTAGTTCTCCTTGAAGAGGTCCTTCACGTCCCTTGTAGTTGGATTCCTAAGTATTTTATTCTCTTTGAAGCAATTGTGAATGGGAGTTCACTCATGATTTGGCTCTCTGTTTGTCTGTTATTGGTGTATAAGAATGCTTGTGATTTTTGCACATTGATTTTGTATCCTGAGGCTTTGCTGAAGTTGCTTATCAGCTTAAGGAGATTTTGGGCTGAGACAGTGGGGTTTTCTAGATATACAATCATGTCATCTGCAAACAGGGACAATTTGACTTCCTCTTTTCCTAATTGAACACCCTTTATTTCCTTCTCCTGCCTAATTGCCCTGGCCAGAACTTCCAACACTATGTTGAATAGGAGTCACCACTGCCACTTTCTTTTCCTTTTGAGACAGTCTCCCTCCCTTGCCCAGGCTGGAGCGCAGTGGCGTGATCTCAGCTCACTGCAGCCTCTGCTTCCCAGGTTCAAGTAATTCTTGTGCCTCAGCCTCCTGAGTAGCTGGGATTACAGGCACATGCCACCACACTCAGCTAATTTCTGTATTTTTAGAAGAGATGGGGTTTCATCATGTTGGCCAGGCTGGTCTCAAACTCCTGACCTCAGGTGATCCACCCACCTCAGCCTCCCAAAGTGCTGGGATTACAGGCATGAGCCACCATGCCCAGCCTCACCACTGCCACTTTCTACCACCTTGGTCCAGGTCACCATCATCTCTCAATAGATTACTGTAATAGCCTCTTGAGTGGTCTCCCTGCCTCTGCCCTTGTCTCCATGCAAACTATTCTCAACATGGCAGCTAGAGTGATACTGTTAAAATGTAAGTCAGAAAACGTCATTCTCCTACTCAAAACCTCCAATGGCTCCCCATTTTACTTAAAGCCAAAGTCCTTACACAGTTTGGCCTGCCCACTACCTCTCTGATTTCATCTTATTACCCTTCCCGTTTGCTCACTTTGATCCATCCATTGGCCTTCGTGTTCTTTGAACACACCATGCATGTTTCTGTTTTATTGTCTATCTCCTCCCACCCCTACTAAAACATAAGCTCCATGAGTGCAGAGGTTTTTGTCACTTTTATTTACTGTTGAATCCTCAACACCTAGTGTAGTATTTGGTTAACAGTAAGCAGCTGATGAATATTTGCTGAGAAAACTGAGAATGCACCTGACCTATAGCTCTTTGCAGGATATTTTGACTATTCTAAAGGAGAAAGCATTTGAACCCTGGATGCATATTCCAAAAAAGTGACCCAGGAGTAGCACTTATCAAACACAGATGATAAAAAGGCTGCCAGTAAGTTTCAGGGGTCCCACATTTAATGAGCTAAATTGCTAAAAATAGATACCACTTCAGCCAGAAGTTTTTAAATGTTGGATCACAATATTACAAGAATTGAGAAAAATAAAATGTTCTCCATGCCAAATTTCTAACTACAAATCAAAATGATGGTGAAAGTTTTTCAGTTATGTCCAGAAGCTGAAGAGGATCCTGTAGGAAGTGTAACTGAAGGATGGTAGCTTTAGAACCTATGACTCATGCCACGCTTGCTCAAGTGATCAAGAAAATGCTAGATTATAAGCTACTATTATTATAAAAATACTCAGGCTAATAATTATCATTGGGGAGAATGAGGAGAAGAAGGAAGATTAAGAGAAAGAGAAGGAAAAGAAAGAAAATTTGTTTTATAAAGAACAATAATGGCAGACAGAAAATGAAACAATAAAGTACCTGCCTATAGAAACACCATTGGTATTACAAACCAATGCCATTATTTAGCCTGCCACTTGCCAGACCAATACCCATTTTTCAACTCCAGCTGCAATTGGGAAAGTTCATATCAAAAACTGAGAGACTAGCCTATGGGACTACACCCAGAACCATCCCAAGAAATGGTCAATTATTATATATATTTAACCTGCCAACAAGACAGACTCCTACACAAATACCCCAACAAGGAAAAGTCAATCCTAGACATAATATGATCTTCCATCTCCCAAAACTGAGGAGCTTACTGTCTGAATTGGGGAACAGACCCATAAGGAACTAATATTGGCTGGGCACGGTGATTCACGCCTGTAATCCCAGCACTTTGGGAGGCTGAGGCGGGCGGATCACCTGAGATTAGGAGTTCGAGACCAGCCTGGCCAACATGGTGAAACCCTGTCTCTACTAAAAATACAAAAAGTTAGCTGGGCGTGGTGGTGCATGCCTGTAGTCCCAGCTACTCGGGAGGCTGAGGCATGAGAATCACTTGAACCCAGGAGGTGGAGGTTGCAGTGAGCCGTGATCACGACACTGCACTCCAGCCTGGGTGACAGAGAGAGACTCCATCTCAGAAAAAATAAAATAAAATAAAATAAAAAACAAATATCATGTTGTAGTTTGAGAACTACAGACTTTAGAATCAGATATAACTGAGTTCGATCTGCTAGCACAGTGACCTTGGGAAAGTTTATCCTTGTCTCAGGTTCAGTTTCCCTATATGTAAAACAGTAGTTAACAATACCTACCTCATAGGGATGTTTTGAAAATTAAATGAGATCATGTATATTAAGTACCTAACACATAGGCAGTGCAAATAAATAATGGCTTGGGTTATTACTATTAATCTAATACGGTAAGAATAACAAATATCTAACAAGATACTATAAGAATACATATGATGACTCAATTTTATGTGCCTGAGCCCTAGTAGAGGAATCAAATGGAAAGCTTCATAAAAGAGAAAGTAACCAAATAAAAGGAAGAAGTACTTGAGTTGAGCCCTGATAGCAAGTATGACCTTTCCCAGTGTGTGAGGTGGGAACAAAATTAACTGTTATAAATGTACAAAAAAAGACATATAGATCTACTTACTTTATCCTGGCTTATCTATGAAAGGCTTTCAAGACCAAGGCTATAGACTTAATAAGCAAAGAAACCAGTCCAAACAATCCTAACGATCATACCTCCATCCAAACTAAAAAGTATGTATTTATCTGAAGATTGTAAAATGTGATGAATACATACATTTTGTCTATCTCCACTCAGATGTGCAAACTCCACCATTTCATTTCCAAATTGACTGAATATTTGGACAAACTCTTGAAAGCTATTCACTTTCTCTAGTCTTTCCATAGTTGCGAGAACCTGCAAAACAGATAATAATTCATTATTTGGTGAGAGCTACTCAAGAGACTGAGATTGTCAAGGCTGAGTAGAGAGAAGAAAAGGAAAATTCTGAATTCTAGGTGAAAGCTGAGGAGGAGGAGCCAGATAGAAGACACACAAGGGGATGCTCAGAGAAGTAGAAGTAGATTCAAGGCACAGAATTATTAGGGGAATGATTTGTTTATATGATGAGATTTTGAGTTACTTGAAAAGGAAAAGGAAAAAGAATAAAAGAAATGACTACATATACAAAGGAAGGGATCATTTATGTAGCCAAGTCTAAAAGGTGGGAATGGGCAGGACCACAGTAATCAAATCTTCAGAGAACTGGGAAGGGGTGAGGATGAAAGTCAGCACACACAAGCTTTAAGGTTCAGTGAACCAGGATGATAGGAACCCTAACATTCTCAGGAAAGCAGAAGGAACCTCATCATCTTCAGAGTATAGAGTCGAAAGGGAAGTGTGGGACTTTAAGGGTGGGAAAATTAGTCTGGCTCAGTCAGGAATGGGCCATCAGGGGTGAATAAAGAGTGTGTGAATCTGGTAGAGCCAGTGACTAAAATGTTATGTGTTTTCTTGATGTAAGAAACAAAGTAAATAGATGTGAAACATATTTTCAAATACTTTTCTTTAAAATAACATTATTAGATTGTTTTAGTCGCAACAAGATAAGTTAAAAAAAAACACAGATATCCTCTGTTTACTTATTTTTCCTGAGAATATGATGAATATTTGGCATGTTAATCTGCCCTGGCAGCTCAGGAAGTTCAGGCGACTAACACTGATAAGGCACGTTGCCACCACTGTGAGAACCTCCATCTTTCAAAGAGGGGAAGGTTGTTTGTATTTCTCCAGCGCTGCCAGATCCACCTCTCCAATTTCTGATTCATTCAACACTTATCAAGTGGTTTTATCCTCAAATCCTCTAGGACAACTCCTTCCCTGGCCAACTGCTCTCCTCTTTGCCTAGGGAATTATCCAAAGCAAGAAGTGATCGTACATACCCTGGATTCCCAGATGATCATGGAGCATGACCATCATCTGAGAGATTAACTTCTGGACTGGAAGAGTTTAAATCTGTTCTGTAAGTTTTGAGATTATTCAGTAACATTTAGGGACTCTGAGTACAGAAATTTTGTAGTTGTGGATAATTATCATTTCCACTGATTTAACTGTGTCTTAAGTTATATATTGTTAGTCTCTGATTTGGGAGGGAAAAAAAGTACAGAAGAATTCAGTATTTTTATCAACTAGGTTTCTGCTACATACATTATCATAGTGCTCACCTTTTCTTTCCAAATGTTGTACACATTTAAAGCTTTTACCAATAAGCCTTAACAAGTGGATAATGATTCTCTAAGAGGAGACATTACTTGCATTCAAAAGTTTAGGCACAGCATACCCATCATTTAAGAATTGCACATATAGAAGAAACACTACTTTTAAACTACAGACAGAGTTATAAACAATTATAATAGACAAGCATTGCCAAATTACTTACAATTAACCTAAAAAGAACTTTTCTTTTTTTTTTTTTTTAAGCAACGCTCAGACATGCATAGCCCCGGGAGGAACCCAGGGCCACAAGTGCATTCAACGTACAGATGATCAGTGTGTCAATGTATCCTGCATTGCACATTAATTCCCACAGCTAGCTGCATTCTTCATCGACACACAAGCCAAGCAATCCACCACTAAGAGTCATAAAAAGCACTTTGA
Source organism: Homo sapiens (assembly GCF_000001405.40). Taxonomy (NCBI): domain Eukaryota; kingdom Metazoa; phylum Chordata; class Mammalia; order Primates; family Hominidae; genus Homo; species Homo sapiens. The sequence continues at coordinate 108,992,586 of NC_000009.12, forward strand.
ACAACACAGAAAGACAAAAATACAGCAACATCAGAAAGGTAAGTACCTTATTTCTTGATGTTATTATCTGTTTAATGACTACTCGGTCTGCCAGCAACAACACTTTTGTCACTGAAGAAAGAAGTAATCTTGCAGCCTTTATCACTCCTGTTTTGTCTGTAAAAATTGTGATCTGCCCATCAGATTCCAGATGGTTCAAGTTGGTTATGTCTGTAAGTGCTGCAATTGTTTCTCCTAACAAGAAAGACGAGGGGAGAAAGTTAAACAGGCATACAAATTAAAATCTAGACTTCTCTCTAACCTTGAAGGTAAGGCACAATGAGGAGAAACTCAGCTTTGGAGTCTTACTTCAGGAACAAGAAACGGTTTCACCTTGACGATTGTAGGGATTATCATACGAAGCTTTCTAACCAGAAAATAATAGCACACTCTTAAGAACTGTGACAAATTTTGCCCTCACCCAGTTTGAAAAACATCATAATTTTTGTTTCCAGTGGTAATGCAAACTACACAATCTAAAAGCCTCCTGCCCTACAAGACAGTAAGAGAAATCCCATGAGTCAAAAACCAAAGAATACCCTAAAACCCGAGCAGTAAGCAGGTGCCAAGGCTTGGGCTGGGGCGAGGCCGGGGAGAAGTCAGGGGTCACTGCCAATCTCCACAAGCTGAACGGCCTTGGGTTTTCACCCTTGGGTTTTCACGGATCCTCAGAGAGAGAAAAAAGACAGGGCTTTAGGCCCCAAGGGATGACATCTTCAATATAATGGGGGCCCGGAAAGAACTGTCAATAGGCAAAAAGAAACAATAAGGAAGTTTGTCTGTCAGTCAGCCTGGACTTTGGGTGGGGAAAGTAAACAAAACAAAAGCCTCCCTCCTGAGAATTCAAACCACAGGCTGGCCCTCATTTAGGCTACAGTTTGAATTTATATAAACTTCTTATGATGCCCAGCATAAACCATTCTATTAATTGAACTCCCAACCCTCTAGAAAAATTATCTTCTTCACTGTTGCTATCAAAACTTTTGATTTCTGTAATGGTAATTATCTACTAATAAAACAATCCAAGTATTCTTGTATTATAATACAAGGCTACAATATTCTTCAAACCTCCATACTGTTAAAAAGATTTTTAAAATAATAAACCTTTAACCAACTTATAGTGTTCAAGATCATTTTTTAAAGTCCTAAATATACCTGTGTGCCTAATGGATTGATTTTCTTACAAAAGCCCTCCTGTCAATTCTATTACATACACACAATAATGTGTCAGCTCATAGGCTAAGGATCTTGAGTAAAAAGTACTGGAATCTTAATGGAGAGGCCACAGGGTGAAGTATAAGTCAAGGTTTGGAAAGATCAGTCTGGCAGGCACAGTGGCTCACACCTGTAATCCTAGCACTTTAGGAGGCCGAGGCGGGTGGATCACCTGAGGTCAGGAGTTCAAGACAAGCCTGGCCAACATGGCGAAACTCGGTCTCTACTAAAAAAATACAAAAATTAGCCAGGTGTGGTGGCAGGGGCCTGTAATCCCAGCTACTCAGGAGGCTGAGGCAGAGAATCGCTTGGACCTGGGAAGCGGAGGTTGCAGTCAGCTGAGATGGCGCCACTGCACTTCAGCCTGGGTGACAGAGTGAGACTTGGTCTCAAAAAAAAAAAAGAAAGATCAGTCTAGTAGGAGTACATAAAATAGAATGGAAAGGAAAGACTTAGAGCCAGGCTATTGTATCAATTGTGGGTGTGAAATAGTAGGGACCTTACTAGTATAGTAGCCATAGGAACATTAAGAAGATGATTTGGGAAACATTAAGAAAACACAAAATTAGTACCTGACCAATGATAAGAAGGAAAGAACGAGTAAAAAAATGGCCTCAAAGTTGTAAACCTAAGTTGCTTAAAGAAAATCGAAGGGCATTGGAAGAGAGATGATAATTTTACTGTCAGACAACAGGAGTTTGAAATAACACAGGAATACACCAAAGATAAGTCGCAAGACATGGACTGGTAATGCAGACTTGGATGTCTTGTGTATAATGACAATAGCTGAAGCTCTACAGATAGAGGAATTCTGTGGTAGCCAGCCTTCAAGATCGCTCCCCATGATCCCCACCTACTGTTATTGACAACCTTGTGCTGTCTGTCCCCTCCCACATCATACCAGGGTTGGTATGGTGGAAGTGGTGGTATGTCACTCCCAAGCTTAGGTTCTAAAATAACTGAGGCAGCTGTCTGGGTTGCTCTCTCTCTCTGAGAGAAGCCAGTTGCCATGTCATAAGCAGCCCTTACTACACAGATAACTACGTGGAGAGGAAGTGAGGCCTCCAGCCAACAGCCAGCAAGGAAGTGAAGCCTGCCAACAACCATGAGAGGGAGGCTGGAAGCAGACCTGCAGTGCACTCAAGCTTCCAGGTAACAGAGGCCTGGTCAACACACTGACCGCTACCTCATGAGACACACTGACCCTGAGCCACCCAGTGAAGCCACTCCCTGATTGGTGCCCTCTCAAAAACTGACATAGTAAATGTTTGTGGTTTTAAGTTGCTAAGTTTGGGTTAATTTGTTACACAGAAATAGGTAGCTAATACAGAGTTTTCATAGCAAAGAACAGAGAACAAAAGTGCTTAGAATTAACCTTAAGGCATACAGAAAGGGCAGGAGGAAAAGTATCAGTTTGCATCCTATCATTAATAGCTAAAAGGATAAAAATGTTTCCTCTGATCCTCTGGAAAATGTTAATTTTTTTCTACACCTCTCAACCACAAAGGATACGACATATAAGCCTGCACATATGGCATTATTCAACCTTTCCTTTTTCTGACTAGACCCCAGGCATTTAACTCATAAGTACGTGGGACAGTAACATTTGGTTGGCTCCACCAACATGGGCAAATGCTTTCTTAACATTATAAAGTTGTTCAAAGTGTAAACTGTTCAGAAATCAGTTCCCTAAAAAAGTAACAAAGCTGTCTTACAGCTTCACAGGTATCATTTTTAATTTATTATATGTCATTACTAGTGCTGTGCCTTAATAGGAAAACCCAAGGTCAATCAAACACAAATATTTGTTGAACTTCCATATAAAACATAAATATAAACCTTGCCTGGTAGCCAAGTAAAAAGCAACAATACAATGTAAGAGTTCAACACAGGGAAGTAAGAATAAAAATTAATTATAATAATAACAACTAATATTTATTGAGCACTTACTATGTGTGAAATGATAGATGCATTATATCAAAACACCTCTATAAACCCTAACAGTCTCATTTTATAGATGAGAACACTGAGGTTTAGAAATGTTTAATAGATTGCCCAATATACCCTGCTTGCAAGTAGAAGCACTAGGATTAAAGTCTAGGCAATCTGACCCTAAGACTTTAGTGTTTTTTTTTTTGAGACAGGGTCTCTCTCTGTCATCTCCCAGGCTGGAGTGCAGTGGCACCATCACTGCTCACTGCAACCTCAACCTCCTTGGGCTCAAAAAATCCTCCCATCTCAGCCTCCCAAGTAGCTGGGACTGGAGGCACGCACCACCACACCTGGCTATTTTTTTTTCTTATGTTTTGTAGAGACAGGGACTCATTATGTTGCCCAGGTTGGTCTCAAACACAGCTCAAGCGATCCACCCGCCTTGGCCTCCAAGTGTTGGGATTACAGGTGTGAGCAACTGCACCCAGCCAGCTCCAGTTTTTTATCTACTACTTTATATTAGTTCCCTCAAATGAACACTGTTGACAAACAAAGAAAATGATTCGTAGGGGTTGAGTGGGCTAGAAACATTACAGGAGTGATTTAATGAAGTCTTAAATTTGTATGTGTTAAGAGAAAAAAAGGCTTCTATATTTTACAACTCCAGAAGGCATCATTCTCATACTCTTACCTGAGTGACACTAGGAGGAAGATGACATGTGGAGCCCATGAAACCTGACAGCTTCCAAAATACTCCGTTTATGGAGCTGCCTGGGCGTATGGTACTCATGTCAGTGTACCACGTCCTCCTCTCTCACCTTACACTGGGCACAATGACATGCTACAAAGCCAACAAGGAGCACAGGACTCAGGTTGTCCTTTTGTTTAAAAATACTGTACTCCTGCTTTAATCAACGGTTGTTAGAAGAAACAGTCATTTTTTTATTTCTTTTTTTTTTTAACCACAAAGCTTTCTTGCAAAATGAAACAGTAATATGAAGACCATCTCTACATTTTCTGTTGAATTGTCCATTATGTAATGTCTGTTTCATAAGCACCCACACAATAATTTAGTGTCAGGAAAAAAAGTCTCTCCTCTTACAAGCTGGTTTGCTTCCTTTCAACAAACAATGAGATTATATAACCCTTTGTTTCCCACATTTTGTCTTGCCTTCCAGGAAGTACAAAGATAAATTTCATGCTTAATTAAAATAATAATGTTTGCCAAAGTTTCTGGTTTATTTATTTTCACATCCTATTTTAATAAGTTTATTGAACATGTCTTTTATTGTAAGTGCTTTCACATCCTTTTCTAAAGTAGGAAAAATATAAATTATGAATAGAATAAGGATATCCCCCCCTGCTTCCCACATAAAACCTATTCTCTGTCCCAGTGAATGGCTAGAAATCCAAAAGTCAACCCAGGGTCTTCCCTTTCCTTTAGTTAACAATCTACTTTTACCTATTCAACCACCTTAATGAGTATTTTGTGCACTCTTCCTGCTCTTTACAGCCCTATTACACTGACTTGGCCTAGCTGGTTTTACCACAAAAGCTTCCCTATTAATCTCCCTGCCTTCAGTCTCAACCTTCTCTCAGGCTGTCCTCATTCGTTCACTTCCTCCACACCATCAGAAAGACTTCTATCTAACATAAAAGATCTGTGAAATGTTCTTGTTTTGAAAAAACAAAACAAAACAAAATAACACAAAACAATATGTCTTTCATCTGGCTCAAAATTTCTCAATGACTCCTAGTATGGAATAATAGTTGAAATCATCCACATAACATACAGGACCGTGTATGATCTTGTCCACCCCTCTACATTTACTTGGTTTTATCGCAATCACTCTCCTCCTGCTGATGACCTGCTCCTCCCTCAGAGTTCCTCATCTCAGTAGATGGCACCACCATTTGCCTAGCTGTTCATATCCCAAATCTTGGAGTTATCCCTGGCTCTTCTATCACATCCAAACCATCAGCCAATCCTATCAGCTCCACCCTGGCAATATATTGAAACAAAGCCACCTTTCACCACCTCAAATGCTATGGTCTAGTCTAAGTCACCATCATCTATCACCTGGACCACTGTGACAACCTCCTAACTGGTTTCTCTGAATTCATCCTCACACCCCCTAAAATGTATTTTCTATACAGGAGCCACCAGTTACCCTTTTAAAAATACAAATGAGAACATGTCACTGCCCAGCACAAAATCTCCCACTAATCCCTCATTCCACTTAGAACATAGTCCAAAATTCCCCCAAGTATCCACATAGCTCAGGCCTTCATTCCATTGCAGTCTCTGCTGTAATGTTCCTTCCTTAGCAGGTCTTCCTAATTCCCTATCCCAGGAGTTCTCAACTGGGGGCCATTTTTACCCCTCACGGGACATTTGGCAATGTCTAGAGCTATTTCTGGTTGTCCCATGGAAGGAGAGGGGACCTTCCAGCATCTAGTAGGTAGAAGCTAGTGATGCTGATAAACATCCTACAATGTACAGGTCAACCTCCCACAACAGAGAAGTATCCAACCCAAGATGTCAGTAGCACCAAAGTTAAAAAACCCTGCCCTCTCTAAAACAGCACCTTCATTGTTCTCCTAACTCTTACCTTGCTTTTTTTTTTTTTTACATGGTAACGATCACCACCTGACATTACATATATATTCATTTATGATCTGTCTCCCTCAGCAGAATGCAAGGCCCAAGATGGCAGATTTTGGACTGATTTGTCCATGCCTATCTCCCTATGGCCTAAAAGAATGCCTGGTATATCACCAGCATTCAGTGAATATTTATTGAAAAAATTAATGGATAAATGATACTTCAACAAAGCTGCAGTCCTCAAAACACTCTAGGTTCTCAAAGGCTTCTGTGCTACCATCTATAGAGAACTGTGAACCATCATGAAGTTTGAAGTCACTATGATTTGTTTGCTGTAGAATACTAATGGATACTAATGCTTATTTCCATTTCCTATGTCATGGAAAGTAGACTAATATGTTCTTAGAGAATAGAGGCCACAGCTCCCACTTCTCTATCTCTCTCACATCTCAATGGCTGATGAGGATGGCCGATCACTAACTCTGACCAGTGAAGGAGTCCTATGTTTCAGATTTAGGACTTGATCCAAGCCAAGTGCAGTATTCGCGGAAGCTAATCCAGGCCTTTAATGTCTGAGGCAGACATAATCAAAGAGCTGTATATCTTTATTCCAAATAAATCAATAATTTTTCATCATAACCAAAGCAATAAAAGTGGTATGAATAGTCTTCAAAATCAATATCCACCTACCTGCTTGTTTAGCTTCAATACAAGCAATATTTATTTCTTCTTTCAAATCCCAGTTTTCATTGGCTATAGCTTCTCCTACTTTAACAAATCTTCCAACTGCCAAGTTGACAGCTTGTCCTACACGCTGAATTGCTTGCAGAGTTTTATCAGACTTTTTGGTATTATCTTTATGATTAATAAGCGTGGTGATCTAAAAATAAAAGATAAAAGCAACTTTTATCTCAATACCTTTTCTTTTTTAAGCTGTATCACAAAGTCAAAGAAAATGAAGCCTGGCATACTGTATAGCTCAATAGACTAAATCAATAGTTAGAGATGCTTCAACAGAGACAACCAGCAAAGTATCCTGCATCATTCCTTAAGACAATGTTTCCATTAATTACAACTCCAAGTTCACCTGAGGGCAGTTATCTGGGGCATGCAGTTTATCTGGGGCATACAGTTCCAGAGGCCCTCCAGATCTTTCAACAAATCTTAAGGAGAAAAGTAGAAGCGGATAGATCATTACATTCAGAAAGCCAAAGTACTTCAGGTCTAGTTTCCTCTACTACGACTTCAGATGCTATGAGAGTAGAAACAGCTCTTCTTCCTCTCCATTCCACTCCGTTGCCTACCATGGAGCACAGGCTGTACAAAATAGTACTTGTGCCATACATGTTTACCAAATTAACTAGATACTTTAGAATGAGCATTGTAATCTATATTTCACATTTTGCTAAGTTTTGTTGCATCCGACTCAAAATAAACGAAATACCGAGAGTTTTAACACTTGATCCCAGGCCCTGAAATAAAATACAAAAGGTGACAACTTCAGCTCACTGAAACAAACATAATTCTTCAAAATATCTTAGGGAACTAGTACATGAACTATGCTGACATCTAAGAATATTTATTAAAGAAATGTTGTATGAAAAACATAGATTCCCAACTATTGCTCAATGTACATGTACTAGTATTAAAAGAAGGGGAAGAGAATTACAAGAAGGGGAAGAGAATCACTTCTACTCTTTGTACAACTACTATGTGCCAAGCACTTTATATGTATGTTTAGGTATTAATATTTTAGAATTAATAGACCTAGGTTTAAGTCTTGGCTCGGCGATTACTTGCTAAGTGGTCTAGGGAAATTTAATATCTAAATTTCCTCAACTACAATATTGCTTTTCATCAAATTTTGAATATCTACTATATGCCAGTTCCTAAGGATGTATCAGTGAATGAGACTAAGACAATCCCACCACCATTAGGTTTACAGTATGGTAGAATAGCAATAATTCAGTTACACAAAATATATTTGTTGCACACTATCATATCCCAAATAAAATTCTAGGCAAACCTGAAATAACAATCAACAAGAAAGAAAAGCCCACGTTCCCATGGGGCTTACATTCTAGTGAAGGAGTGGGGGAGAACTAATAATCACATAAATAGGTAAACAAAAAATAAACTTTAATATAACTGTTATGTACAAAATGTTAGGATAGTGTGATATAAAGTATCTGTGTAGCTACCTGAAATTGACTGGTCTTCCTTCTAAGACAAAGCGATATTTAAGCTGAGATCTAAATGATAGCAAAGCAGTCAGACCAGCAAACATCAAAGGATAAAGAGCATTCTAGGAGAAGAAACAGTGGAGGAAAAAAAAAAAAAAAGCCCTTAGGAATGAGCCTCTCCTGTTCAAGGAATGAGGTGAAGTCGGAAGTGGCTAAAGGATAGTGGGTCGGGGGCAAGTTAAAACCAATATCCAAGAGATGGGATGGGCAGGGACCAGCGTGGAATATAGGGTTCTGGAATTGGAATGAAGAATTTATATTGGCTGGGTGCGGTGGCTCATGCCTGTAATCCCAGCACTTTGGGAGGCAGAGGCAGGCGGATCACAAGGTCAGGAGTTCAAGACCAGCCTGGCCAACATAGTGAAACCCCATCTGTACTAAAAATACAAAAAAAAAAAAAAAATTAGCCGGGTGTGGTGGCACATGCCTGTAATCCCAGCTACTTGGGAGGCTGAGGCAGGAGAATTGCTTGAACCCAGGAGGTGGGTGTTGCAGTGAGCCGAGATTGCACCACTGCACTCCAGCCCGGGTGACAGTATGAGACTCCATCTCCAAAAAAAAAAAAAAAAAAAAAGAACTTATATTTTATTCTATGTATTACAGGAAGATACTTAAGGGTCTTTAAACTAGAAAATACTATAAACTCTGTAGTAATTTGAAGCCATTGAAGGGTTTTTTAAACAGGAAAGTGATATAATCTCCGCAGTGGTTTGAAATCACTGAAGGTTTTTTAAGCAGGAAAGTGATATAATCTCTGTAGTGGTTTTAAAACATGTCCACAAATTCTCCCCTCAAGAGGGAGAGCCTCATTTCTCTCCACATGAGTGTGGACTGGACTTGGTGACTCACTTCTAATAAATGGAATAAAGTGAAAATAATGGAGTGCTTCTAAGAGTAGGTCATAGAACACATAGTGACTTTCATCTTACTCACTCACTCACTCTCTGCAGGATCAATCACAGTGGGAGCAAGCCAACTGCCACATAATGGAAGGCACTCAAGCAACCCTATGGAGAGTCCCACAAGGTAACTGAAGGTTCTGGCCAAAAGATAGTGAAGAACTGAGGCTTCATGTCAACAGCTGAGTGAGTGAACTTGAGAGCAGATTCTCCAGCCCCAGTCAAGCCTTTGGATTACTGCAGGCTTGGTCAATCATCTTTATTTTGATTTTATGAGAGACCTCACTCCTGAACCACCAGGTAAGCCACTCTAGAATTAACCCACAGAAACCATAAGATAATGTTTGTTGTTTTAATGCACTAAATTTCAGTTAAATTGTTCTGCATCAATAGATAACTAATACAGATTTTGGTGCCTGGATCTGGGGTGAGGCTGTAACAAAACTTAAAATGTGAGAGTGGCTGTAAAATCGGGCAGTGAAAATTGAAAGAACTTCGAGCGAATAAAAACTAGAAACGTCAAAGAAACTTTGCAAAAGCATGATGACCTTTGAGGAAGCTGTCTTAGTTAGGGCTCCTATAACAAAATACCTTAAACTGAGTAATTTATAAATAACAGAAATGTCCTGCTTACAGTTCTGGAGGCTGGGAAGTCCAGGATCAAGGCACCAACAGATTTGGTGTCTACTAAGGACCCATTCCTCACAAGTGGTGTCTTCTGTGTCCTCACAAGGCTCCCTGAAGCCTCTTTTATAAGAACACTGATCCCATTCATGAAGGCTCCCTTGTGACCTAATCACCTCCCAAAGGCCCCAACTCTTAATACCATCATTATGAGGATTAAGTTCCAACATATAAATTTTGGGGGAATGCCAACAATCAGGCCATAGCAGAAGCGACGGGTAAAAGCTTAAGGAAAAGTGAGAAAAATCTTACCGGAAACTGGAGAAAAGGGGTTCCTTGTTATGTGGTGACAGAAAGTCACCCTCATTAACATGAAAGGGAGAATATATACCGATGAACTGGGAGATCTAACTAAGGAGACGTCAAAGCAGATTTTGAAGGTGCTACCTGGTTTCTTTTTGCTGCTTACAGTAAAATGTAAGAGAAGAGAAAAATTAAAAGAAACACGGATAAATAAAAACAAGCCAGAACTTGCTGGTTTTAAAAATTCCTTCTCCATGCCGTGCATGGTGGCTTACGCCTATAATCATCAGCACTTTGGGAGGCCGAGGCAGGCAGATCACCTGAGGTTGGGAGTTCGAGACCAGCCTGACCAACATGGAGAAACCCCATCTCCACTAAAAAAAAAAAAAAGAAAAAAGTTAGCCAGGTATGGTGGTGCATGGCTGTAATCCCAGCTTCTCGAGAGGCTGAGGCAAGAGAATCGCTTGAATCTGGGAGGTAGAGATTGCAGTAAGCCAAGATCGTGCCATTGCACTCCAGCCTGGGCAACAAGAGCAAAACTCCATCTCAAAAAAAAAAATCTTCTCCAGATGGCACATCATACTAAAATTAACAATGGCTTCCAGGCAAAAATAAAATCTAGGGCTGTGTCAAGAAAGCATCTAAAGATGAAGCTAAGGGTACGACTATAAAATCTTAAGATCTCAGAAAGGTCCAAGGTGTTGCTTCAGACAACCATTCAGGTAAACAACAGATCTCCCAAGAAGCCTAAAGATATTATTCCTCAGCAGTCCCAGGAGAAGCCCAAGTTAAAGAAGAGCATATATCAAAGAGACTTGTGGGTGTGGGCTTTTGTCTAGTAGAATGAATTCAATATGACTCACAGGAGACCAACAAAATTTTTAAGATAATCGTATTGGCAGAAACACTATCAGCTTGGACTAAAAGGGAATACATCTTTGTATGAAAAGAAGCTTTCATACCAGCCCCTGCTCCAAACTTCCATAAGCAGGGAACAGGCTGAGAAATCTACGCAGCTGCAAACATGAGCTACAATTCATGTAAAATAATGACTTAGAGGGCAGAATCAAGAGCCATGAACTATTCCCAGGACTTGAGTCTTAATCAAGGAACTGGCAACATTTGCCCAGGAGGAGTTCAGAATACCATAAACCAGTGGCTCCTATTTTTTTTCCATTTTTGAACAGGACTGTATAGCAGTTATTCTATACTTTCTATTTTCTCATTTTTTGAACAGAAGAGTCTATAGTAGTCATCCTAAAGCTGAAAGACGTTACACTTAAGGAACTACTACATACAAGAAGTCTCTCCTGGATCATATTTGTAATAGATGCCAACATCATGGATTTCCAGCTGATGTTGTGACTTTGGAGAGGATATGGATGGGAAGAGGTTACTTGCAGGTGAGAATAAGGTAAACAATTTGTGTGCAGAGGTTAGACTGTAGGTAGTTCTAAAATATGTCCACAAATTATTTGCTATTCCTCCCTTAAATAGGTGAAGTCTCATTCCCCTCTCCTTGAGTACAGGCTGAACTTAGCTACTTATTTCTAACTAATAGAATAAAACAGTAGTGACAGTATGCTACTTTTGAGGGCAAGTCATAAAGTCACTGTGGTTTTCATCTTTCTTTCTCTCGGTTCACCCTAGGGAAAGACAATTCCCATGTCATGAAGACACTTCACCGGCCAAGTGGGAAGGCTCACATCATGAGCCTAAGGAAACTGATGCTCAAAGGTGCTTATTTAAGGTCACACAGCTAATAAGTGCTAGAGTTAGGATTCAGAGTCAGACATTTCAATTCTAGAGACCGTACTCCTAAACATTACCCTATAATGTCGTACAACAATCCAGTGAAATAGGTTAATATTAATCATCCTCATTTCCCCAAATTGGAAAATGGGGGTAATAATCATCCCTATTTTACAAATGAGGAAGTTGGACATCAAGAAGTATGGGAGAGTTAGGATTTAAATCCAGATATTCTGACTGCAGAGACTAGCCTCTTAGCCACTTAGCCATATTGCCTTCTCTGACTTATAATGTTAGTAAGAAGAGTTGGCTGGGCGCAGTGGCTCACACTTGTAATCCCAGCACTTTGGGAGGCCAAGGTGGGCGGATCACGAGGTCAGGAATTTGAGACCAGCTTGGCCAACATGGTGAAATCCCATCTCTACTAGAAGTACAAAAATTAGCCGGGCATGGTGGTGTGCACCTATAATCCCAGCTACTCAGGAGGCTGAGGCAGGAGAATTGCTTGAACCTGGGAGGCAGAGGTTGCAGTGAGCTGAAATCATGGCATTGCACTCCAGCCCGGGTGACAGAGCGAGACTCTGTCTTGAAAAAAATAAATAAATAAATAAATAAATAAGAAGAGTTAATAAAATAATGAAAGCATTATGTTTAACATAGTACCATAAACAGTTTATTGTAAGTGTTCAAAGACATACTATAATTAGCTATCTTACTTAATCCTCAGGTATTATTAAAGATTAAAAAACTGAGGCTGAGTAAAATTGCATACTTGGCTCATACAACTAATAAGTAGCCTAGTTTAGAATTTGAACCCAGGTTTAAACTGACACCAAATCCCACCTAATAGTCCTTCTTTTACTGGAGGTTTACAATCTTTCCTATTTTTTTTAATTGAAATGTTACCTAAAAGCTCATTACATAATCATGTGAAAGAGTCACGATAATTTTAATTTGGAGAATGACTGTGGGCCATGCTGCTGGGAAGCACAGAACAAATCCTACTGGCACCAGCTTAATCCTTTTCCACACCTGACAGACTCTAGGGAATTGTTACTATCACATGAAAAAAAAAAGAGAACTTGCTCAGCATTGACTATTCCAAGCTACCATCTTGGAAGAGACTGCAGTGGAAAGGAGTTTAAGTTCTTGCTATAGATTGAATGTTTGTGTCCCATTCCCCCTCCCACTCCCCCTCCACAAATCCTTATGTTAAAATCCTAACCCCCAATGTGATGGTATTAGGAGGTGGGGCCTTTGGGAGACGATTAGTTCATGGGGGAGGAGCTCTCATGAATGGGATTAATGCCTTTTAAAAGAGGCCTCAGAAAGCTCTCTCACTCATTTCCACCCTGAGAGAACAGTGAGAAGACAGCTGTCCATGAACCAGAATGTGGACCCTCACTGGATACTGAATCTGCCTGAACCCTGATCCTAGACTACCCAGCCTACATAACTGTGAGGCATAAATTTCTGTTGTTTAAGGCACCCAGTCTATTTTTTATAGCAATCCGAACAGATTAAGGTGATTCTGTTTATTAAATATTTCATTTACATAAAGTTTTAAAATTTCAATTACAAAGAAAAGATCCTGCAATTAAGCCAAAATATGAACTATTGTTCCGTTCCAAAAGACACATTTTGCTTTCACTAGAAGCGCCTTCCCCAGTGCATAATTAGGTGTGGCTGCCTTCCTTTCACTGGAAAGCAGTCTAGGAAATGTTCAATCCAAATATAGTATGCCTTTAAAATTTTATTTAGAGGAACTAAGTCAATATGTAACATTCTTTATTTAAGGTCTACTTATATTCTAAAATTAGTTTCAAATGTTTTAAAAGGTAGGTTCAAAAGTTATACATGTTTATTGTTTATAAACAGAAATGGAAAATATAGGAGAGCCTCAAGAAATAAAAATTACCCATAATCCTACTAACCTCTGAGAATTCTGGCATAATTCTTTCCAGTCTTGTTTTGTACATATAGATACTTAAATACACAGTTTTACAAAATTGAGATTAAACTTCACTTTCCTTATCATATAAAAAATAAGACTAGCTAACATTTGTTAAGCACAACAGTACCAGGCACTAGCCTATGTGTTTTACATGTATCAATTCTTTTAATGCTTGCTTCTCCAGCATCTAATAGGTACATACTATTATTACCCTAATTTTACAGATACAAAATCTGAAATTTGAAGAAGTTAAGTATTTGCCCGAGGTCACAAAGCCAGGGGAGCTACCTACACTCTTAATCACTACACCGTCTCTCTTACCTTCCAGGATTATGTTAAGGATCAAGGAAAAGACAACTAGCAAGAGTGCTTTGTAAATCATAATATGCCAAATACAATCTTAACTATAGTTCTGCAAAAATAGGAATGATATTAAATTGAGAGTCATAACTTGGAGTTGCCCTGACACCAGAGTCTAGAGAACACCTAAATGAACCAGAGAAGAGGGCAGAAAAGGCATCCCTTGGGGAAGAAAGAAGATCTGGTGTACTAAAGAACTCTGCTGTGGAATAAAAGAATAAGAATTAGGGTTTACTTGATAGCTTCTAACAAAGGGTGTCAAGAAGTGCAAAACACCAAAGAATATCCCAGCAGTTAAGGGCATGGACATCATTCTGCCTGGTTTTGAATTCTGGCTCTGCCATGTGACCATGTGGCAAGCTATCTGACCTTTCTGTGACTCTGTGTTCTCACCTGTGAAAATGGAAATAATAATTGTACCCATCAGCCAGGCGTGGCAGATCACACCTGTAATCCCAGCACTTTGGGAGGCCAAGGCTGGTGGATCACCTGAGGTCAGGAGTTCAAGACCAGCCTGGCCAACATGGTGAAACTCCATCTCTACAAAAAAACAAACAAACAAAAAATTAGCCGGGCTTGATGTAAGGTGCCTGGGTGCCTGTAATCCCAACTACTTGGGAGGCAGAGGTGGGGGAATTGCTTGAACCCAGGAGGTGGAGGTTGCAGTGAGCCGAGATCCCGCCATTGCACTCCAGCCTGGGTGACAGAGCGAGACTCCATCACAAAAAAGAAAAAAAAGAAAAAAAAACACGCATGTATTCACATACACAAATCAGCAAAGAGCAGAGAGGGCGCCTTATCTACTCTCTTCATCGACAACATAACTGCAACAAGAATCCTGAAAAGCTTCCAGAACAATGCAGAGAGTAATGGGAAAATGAGGTAGGCTACCTTAGAAATTTAAGGGGTCTGTACAAATAGTGAATAAAGGAAATCTATCATAGACAGGAAAAGACTAGTGGGCAGTAGAATAATATTCCACACCAGGGTGGAGTTCTGTGGCAGATATCCTTCTTCCCTTCCTTGGATAAAAGCATTATAAGACTTGGAGTGGGAGTTCTGACAGGAAGAATAAAGTGATTATTAAAGGAGGTGGGGAGGTACTCTACATAAAATATGCTTGGTTCTTAGCCCAGGGCTTTTCAAGAAAATGTCTGAATTATAAAATATAAAACATATGAGTATATATAACATATATGTGTGGAGTTTAAAGAAATGAAAGAAAGACCTGTGCAGCCACCACCAAGCTTAAGAGAACAATGTCAGTATCTCTGACAGCCCATGTACTATCTGGCTACTCCTTGTCCATATCACTCTCTTGTCCCAAAAGAAACCATTGTCCCAATTTTGTGTTCACCACTCCTTTATTATAACTATTGTACATACAGTATACCCTAAATGATATCTGGTTTAGTTTTATCTGGTATTGAACCTTTATTTTTTTTCACTCAACATTATGTTTTTGAGATTCATCCCCATTGATAATTATAGCTGTGGTTTATTCATTTCAGTGACAGAGTATATCATTATATGAACATAGCACAATTTATGTAAACATACTACTGTTAAAAGACATTTGGGAAGTTTCCAGTTTTGGGCCATCAGAAGTAAAAATGCTATCCACATTCCAATCCATCTTTCTTTTTTTTTTTTTTTTTTTTTTTTGAGACAGAGTCTCACTCTGTTACCAGGCTGGAGTGCAGTGGCACAATCTCGGCTCACTGCAACCTCTGACTCCCAGGTTCAAGCAATTCTTCTGCCCCAGCCTCCCAAGTAGCTGGAATTACAGGCATGCACCACCACGCCAGCTAACTTTTGTATTTTTAGTAGAGACGGGGTTGGTCAGGCAGGTCTCAAACTCCCGACCTCAGGTGATCCACCCACCTCAGCCTCCCAAAGTGCTGGGATTACAGGCGTGAGCCACCACGCCCAGCCCCAATCCACTTTTCTAATAGGTGTGTAGGAGTTTCTCTAGGGGTACTGACTTAGGAGTGGAATTGCTGGGCCACAGGTAATGCCCACCTTCAATTATAATAGATTACAACAAACCATTTTCAAAATGGTTGTAACACGGATATTGCTACCATCTCCACGTTCCTCACCAACACTTATTCTCACTGTGGATTTTTTAGCTTGTAGTTCATTGAGTTCTAATGAAGTTGAATATCTTTTCCTATATCTTTTAGCTGTTTCCTCTTCTGTGAAATTATTTTTTGACCAATTTTTAATGGCTAATCTTTTTATTTTTTATTCATTGGAGTATTTTATTTATTCTAGGTACTACAAATCATTTGTTGGTTATTTGTGTTGGAATCATATTCTCCCACTTAATGACTTACGTTTTCCTTTTGATGAACAGAGGTTCTTTTTTTTTTTTTTTTTTTTTTTTTTTTTGAGACAGGGTCTCATTCTGTCACTCTGTCACCCAGGCTGAGTGAAGTGTTGTGATCACAGCTCACAGCAGGCTTAACCTCCCCAGCTCAAGCAATCCTCCCACCTCAGCCTCTAGAGTACCTGGGACCACAGGTGCATGCCATCACACCCGACTAATTTTTTGTATTTTTTGTAGAGACGGGGTTTCACCATGTTGCCCAGGCTGGTCTCAAAATCCTGGACTCAAATGATCTACCTACCTCAGCCTCCCAAAGAGCTGGGACTACAGGTGTGAGCCACTGCGCCTGGCCTAGGTTCTTCATTTTAAAGAAGTCGAATTTATCCATTTTTTTCTTAAGGTTTATACTTGTGGTATACTAACAAATCCTTTCCCAGCATAAGGTAATGAAGATACTGCCCTATTTTTTTTTTTCTAAAAGTGTTGTGAGCTTTTACTTTCATATTGTCTTTAATCCATCTGAAGTTGACTTTTTACTGGTATGAGACAGAGATCCAATTTCATAATTTCTATTTAGATATCCAATTGTCCCAGCTTAATTTTTTTTAAGTTCTTCCTTTCCCCACTGACCAGCAATGCCAATTGTCATTTACCGAGTTTCCATATATGTGTGGATCTGTTCTAGGGTTTTCTATTCTGTATCACAGGTCTATGTTTTTCAACCCTGTTCTGATACCCACATTGTCTTAATTACTATAGTTTTATAATGAGTCTTGAAATCTGGCAGAGCAAGTCCATCCACCTTGTTTCTCTTCTGCCTAATCTTGGCCCTTTGTGCTTTCATATAAACTTCAGAATTACTTTTATCAAGTTCTACTGAAAAATCTTGCTGAAATTTTCATGGAAATTGCATTAAATTGACCAATAGGGATAACTGATATGTCTATAATATGTCAACCTAGGCTTGAACACAGTACTTTTCTCCCATTTATTTAGATCCATGTTGGCTTTTGATAAAATTTTTAAATTTTCTCCATGAAGTTTGACCACTTTTGCTGTGTATACATAGAGATAGAGCTCTTTCTCTTTATATACATAGCAAAAGCAACATATTCTTAGGAAGCTCATATTTTGCTGTTACTGTTAATATAACTGGATTTTTTTAATAATTACTTTTTCTATTTTTTTTTATTATTTTTTAAAGACAGGGTCCTTGTTGGCCAGGCTGGAGCACAGTGGCGTGATCACAGCTAACTGCAGCCCTCAGCTGCTGGGCTCAAGCCATCCTCCCATTTTTTAGCCTCCTGAATAGCTGAGACTAGAGTAGCTGGGATTACAGGCACCAGCCAGTGCGCCTGTGCCTTGTTTGTTATCAATGTAGAAAAATGCAATTGATTTTAGTATCCTACACTCAGTGAACTTGCCAACACTCCTAATTTTTATAATTTACTTGTAGACTGTTTTGAGTTTTCTGCATAGGTTATTATATCACACTGAGACTTTTGGTTTTTCCTTTCCTATATTTATTCCTTTTATTTCTTCTCCTTGTCATATTACACTGGCT
Source organism: Homo sapiens (assembly GCF_000001405.40). Taxonomy (NCBI): domain Eukaryota; kingdom Metazoa; phylum Chordata; class Mammalia; order Primates; family Hominidae; genus Homo; species Homo sapiens. The sequence goes on from NC_000009.12 coordinate 109,010,408, forward strand.
AGAATTTCCAGTGCAGTGCTGAGTAGAAGCATAGCAGGCACCCCACTCTGGTTTCTGGCTTTAAAGGAAATGTTTATTTTAAATTTGACTGTTGCTATGATGTTAAGTAAAAGTTTTCTGTAGATACTCTATCAGGTTAAGGACACTTTTTCCTAACACTAGTTCCCTAAGTGCTTCTTATCATTATTAGAAGCTGAATTTAGTTGAATGCTTTTTCTGCATCATTGTTAGGAAAATACATCTTTTATAATCTGTGAATGCAAAAAAAACTATACACATTTTTCTAATATTGATAAAATCTTGCATTCTTAGAATAAGGCCAGTAACCCAGGACTTTTCACTTGGAGAGTCAGAAGAAGCTAGATGATACCAGAATAGAAACTGTCTACTTTAAACCGTATAGTGCCAGTCCTACTTGTTTACCTCAAAACCCTGCCTCCTCCATGACATCACTGCTGACTCATCCATGCCTTCTCTGAGCTTTTAGAGTATGTACCATTGATGATGTTCATTTGACACTTTGCATGTGCTGTTCTATACATGACCTATCTACCAACTAGAATATAAGCCCCTCAAAAAACAGCAACAAATAAGCACACAATAAATCCTTGCTTAAAATGCTTAAAATATCCTTGTGGATGAGATGGTGAAACATGAGTTGGGTAATAATACAGCATTCTCAGAAAATGAGACTTGTGGACATATGAGTTTTCTGGAGAACTGCTGTTTTAATCTCCTAACACTGAAACTTTAAAATCATTCTAAATTGTACTTCCCTGCTTTGTTAACCGAGTATTCTGGCCATGCTTAATACACTTCTTGATTTTAACTTTTTCTTGTTAAGGACAGTCAATTATGAGGAATATCAGTTATGGTGTTGTGGTAGAGATGTAGCTGTAGATACACAATGTGTGGGATGCAAAACCTCAGCTGTGACCCTGAACAAGGCTTTAACTGGAAAAAGAAAAAAAAAAAAAGGCAGGCATTCTTCCCCTTTGGCATTGACCTCTAACTCTCAGCAGTGATTTATACTTTTCTTCCTCTGCTCTCCTACCCTTCTCTGGCTTCTTTTACCCCAGAGTTACACAATGCAGAGCTGTAAGACTGATACATTTTTAGCAGTGGATACTGTGAAAAGTTGCCATTTCTCCAGATTATGACTTTCTAGCTTGTTTTTCCACTATGTACCATCTTTTTCTCTAGATCTCATTACTGCTTCTAATCTCTAGAGAGGACACAGCATAGTGTAGCAAAGAGAACCTTCTGGAGCCAGGGTACCTGGATTCAAATCCCAGTTTGGCACTTATTGAAAGCCCTAACAACAAATTATTTAACCTCAGTATTCCTCAGTTTCCTCTCCCATACCACGAGAATATATACCAACTTCACATGATTGTTATGAGAATTAATGAGTTAATATTTACAAAGTGCTTAGAACCTGGCCTACCACATAGTAAGCATTACATAGGTGTTATTTAAAAAATGGATAAAATACTATCAACTTGAACTCCATCACTCTCTTATCTCTCTGCCTCTTAAAACTGCTCCAGTGTTTCTCGTTTTGGTTGTGTTGTGCTAGTGGAGATAGGCGAGGAGCGGAGGGTCTGACATTACTGAGGGATCCCAGTGCCCCTTCCCACTGGTCAGAGCCTCAATGAGACACAGGAAAAGGGAAGGAGAGTGTCAGATATATTCATCACTGCTCCGTTAGCCATGCGAAGGTGAAGAAAATAGGGATGTTTATTTAACCAGCATAACAGGAATCCAGGGACATGTGTAACTGCTGTTTTCAAATATGCGCAGGGCTGGGCAGGAGAAGAGATAATAGCATTTAGAATTCTATGCAACAGCTACAGGCTCCCCTTCACTGAACATGTTTAAGCAGGGTACTGGTGGCCAGGTGTCAAGGATGCTAAAGAAAGAATTTTTAGTCAGATAATCTTTAAGATTTCTTCTACCTCTAAAATCTTGGTAATCCTAGTATGAGTCACGAAGTGGTTACAACCTAGATGTGAGTCACACATCGCCAACGCGCTCCCGAAGGCACAGAATTCACTCCCCACAGTGCTTGGCATCTTACCACAGACCTAAGTGAGGAATTCTAGCCCTGAAGCTGCATATAACCCAGCTCAGAGAAACAAAAACTTTCCTAAAACTCAGGGCGTCGGTTAGCTGATTGGCAAATACAGTAACGCACACATCCCAAACGGGACTTGGCAAAACGGTGTGCATCTGGATTAACTGTCATACAGTCTCCACGTCACTCTTCCACGAGGCCGGACAGAAGCGGGCAGAAGTGAGCAGCAGCAGGTTCAGGGGAAGGGGTAGGGTGGCCGGGATGAATGGGAGGCCAGCGAACTGACCTACGGCGGGGAGGGACAAAGGATCAGGGAGCGCACGCTGGGCGGGGAGGCCGGGAGGAATACCCCAGGCGGAGGAGCCGGGCTCGGGACCAGGCTGCGAACTGGTGACAAAGTCGGTTATCGTGGAGGGCCCTAAGTACCAGCGAGGGGCCCCGCGGGGGTCCTCTCTGCCTCGGGAGCTGGGCTCAACCACTCGCCCCGCGGAGGGGGCATCGCCCGGCCGGGGGCACCCGGGAGCCGCAGACCCGAGGCAGGTACTGGGGGCAAAGGCCCAGGCCGGCACCCCCGCCCCGCAGCCTCCCCTGCTGCCGAGTCCACTCAACCCTGCCGCCGGAGTTTGGATTATCCAGTCTCTCGCCGCCCGGGCCGAGGCCCGTCCCGGAGCCCCACACAGGCGGTCCGACAAGAACGCCGCAGTGCCGGCGCGGAAAGTGGGGCAGCGGCTGCCTCCCGTCCGGTCGTGCGAGCGGCGGCCGCCATCGCGGGCCGCGGCGGGAAGGAGAAGAGGGGCCGCGCCAGGCGCCACTTTACCTGAGAAACCAGCGGGAGTAGCGTCTGCTCCACCGAGCGAGTTTTGATCTCCAGTCCCGAGTCGAGGGCGAAGCCCGAAGAGCCGGAGCCGTAGACTGCTCCGGCGCCGCCAACGCCGGCGGGTCCGGGAGAGGCGGCCATGGCCCTCGGTCTATCCCGCAGCCGGGACTCCGCGCCGCGGCGAGCCTGCCGCCAGTCAGCCCACCCGCCCGAGGCGGCGGCGACAGGACACTCGCGCCAACCGAGACCCCGCCCCCAGGGGCCCGCCCCCCCAGGGCTCCGCCGCCAACCCTGCGTCCCCGACGCCCGTCACCGTATGTCCCCGCCCACCCCCGGCCTCTGCCCCGCCCGCGCAGTCCAGCCTGGTGTGGGCTCCCTGCAACCCCACCCCCTAAGCCGGGTCCCGCCCCCACATGGCCCCGCCCTTATCTCTTCTCAGACCCCTTCCATGGGTTCCAGGCACCTTCTCGCCAGGGTGGCGAGGAGAAACAAAACACATCTGTCACACAGCCACATGGCCTCCTCTTACTTGGACAGACAAGCGTCCCCAGCAAAGCTTCCCGTCCTCTCGATAGGTGACTCGTCCTAAATCAGCTCTGAATTCCCGCAAAGACTTCTGGAAGCTGTGCTGGGGTTGAAACTGGTAGACCAAAACCAGAATCAAGTCTGTTGGGAGGGGCCTTTCCCCTGGGACGGGAATTCCAGTGGTAATGTCTTCCTGGGGCTTCTCCGGAAGGTCCAATTTCCACTCCACCCTGCTCATTCTTTCACCATGTATTTCTCACAAACACTTTGAGCTGGATTGAAGGGGAAACATTTGATAATGCAATCATTAATGGAGTATCTGGGTATTCGGCAGGAAGTCAGTATATCTTTCACACTACTGTTTAGACTTATTCAAAAGAAATTTAAAAGAAACATGAAAAAGCCTCATCTACTGTTCAACACTACTTCTTAAAACTATTTTTCGAAGTTTTTTCCTAGTGCCAGGCACAGAGCAGTTTCTTCATAACTGTTCATTGCATGAAAACACCAAGTGTGTATTTCTGACAACTCACTTGAGGGGAAGGGTAAGAATCAGTTCTGTAAGCACAACTCTGAGCTCGCACAGAGCCCCACGATGGGGGCGGGGAGCTGAAGACTCCTATTCTAAGGTCTCCAGGAGCAAGGCCAAAAGGAGGTTGTCAGCAGTATGCACGCCGTGAAGGAATTCCAGACTTAAGCAACAGACTGAGAAGCATGAAAAAATGTTTTGTCAACTACCATATCTGCCAGTGAGAACCTGTCAGAGTAAAAAAGAATCTGAGGCTGGCCAGTCCACCCGGACACCTTGGCCTGGATCATTTCTTCTTCCATAACACCAGATTGATGAGCTGGGTACATCAACCTGAGGCATAAGAAAGCTCTTTCCCAAGCACCGTTGAAAGGCGCTTCACAGTGCTTCAACCTGTAGCTTCAGCTTCATCAATCTACCAGTGCTGCACAGCTGTCTTTGGTATTGAAGATAGCCAAGCTTCAGCTTCTTTTTCTTCATTCAAAAAGGACAGGTCCTCAATCCAACTTTTTCTTCCAATTCTTCTCAGCCAACCATCTCACCACTTCCTTACCTATCACAAGGCCACCTTCCCCTGTGCACTGAGGGCCCTTGACCTCTTTAAGGCGCCCAGTGTCCACTTCCTGGACACACCTTCCCTTACGAAGTTGACAGTATCTCCTAAGAATTCAGTGTACACAATGGTGCCGGAGGAAATGGCATAACAGAAGGCCTAAGAGACGGATGGATTCATGAAACTTTGGCTTCACAAAAGATCAAGTTTTTCAACACACAGGAGATTAAGTTTACCACATGATTCATTCAACACTAGTAATTTTATTTCAAAATATAAATATTTCACATTAATAAAGAAGTTACATCAGTAGGTTGTCAAAGCAAGTTAGCTAAGAAACAGCATTTGTGTGAGAACAGAGGGTATTTATTGTATTCGAATATTCTTTTTTACTTTTGAATTGCCTCCTTCACCTGAGAACCCAGGGATGATACATTTTCAAAGAGTTATGTAAGCAATTACAACTCTATATCAAATCTTAGTTCAAAATCAAATTGTACTGGAAATACACTTCAGTTACCTAAATAAGTGGCACTGCAAAGGGCAAAGAAGGGTTTTCTTTGGGATGGCTACAATGAGAGTTACATCTGCTGGGTCTCTGCAATAAAAAATAAATGATATTTGATAATAAGCCAAAATTATCAGGATTTGCTTCCATACTTTTCACTGTAAAATAAAAAGCTAGCAAAAAGCTAGTAAGAAACCAGATGTCTAGTAAAGAACTCTGGACTTGGAGTCAGAAGTTCTGCAACTAAATTCTGGCTCCATCATTTTGTGGTATAAACTTAGGGGAATATCACCAAAAACTTTTCAGAGCCTCCAGAGCCCCCCCATCTGTACAATAAGGATAATATTGTCTGTCTCACAGGGCTGTTACAAAAGGTGTCTGAAAACTATAAAGTGCCATACAAAAGCATTATTAAAATGTAATATCAATATATCACCACTGTATTTGCACATTAGTTGATCCTTGAAAAACCTGCAAAATTAAACACAATACTGATTTTACACACCACAGGTGGAAAAGAATCTCTATACCTTAAGTATAGCTCTAAACAGCAAATATACTTGCTTTCTGGACTTCAAGATTTATTACACACTACATGGTACCACAGTAATAGATCTGCCATTCAGTATTTCCATTAGGGATGTCTTCTCAAAGAGTTGTAAACTTGATCAAGGGCCATGTTTCTCAAAGGACCCTGTAGTCCTTTGAGATGCTCTGAGGAATAAAGAAGGGGAGTGCAGTCTAAGGTCAAACAGTGTTTGTCCCCTTTTATAAATTCACAATGTGTAATAGCATGTTCAAAACTCTTAGAAGTCCTACAGTAAGGAAACAAACTCAGCATTCCTTCATTTTAATTGACCATGCAATCCCCCACCCCCAACACACACACACTTTTTTTCTTACATCTATTAACATCTCTTGGAACTACTGCTATATGGAACACATTTTGCCAAAAGCTGCTCAACCATGAAGAAAAGGAAAGAGAAGTAGAACAACGGACTGACAGAAAAAAAAGAACTCTATTCTATTCTGAATTCTGTTACTAACTGGCTGTATGTGTATGTCAGACAAGCCACTTAAACCTATGAATTTGGGTCTTTCTCTAGAAAGTGACAGGACCACCTAATTTTAGAAGTCCCATTCTAGCACAGAATTTCTGACTCTAGTAGACAGAACAACTTGATTTATAATTCTCTTAAACTATCAAAAATAACCAAACAGTGGCTGCAGACAGCATGTGTGTTTTTTTTTTTTTTTTTTTTTGCAGGTTCCCAATAATCGGTAAGTTAATAAAATGAATATATTTTGATGGCAGAATGTTGAAAGACAAGAAACTAATAAAAAGTACTTGTTTTTAGCTGGAACTAGCATTTGGAAGTAATGCTAGCCAGAGGCTATTTCCACTGTGAAATGCACACTCAAAGTCCTATTGTAATATTATTTTAAGGGTCTTAGGAGGCCCCTCAGAGGAGACTGCAAGGTCAGGGCTAGAGTATGAGAAGTCCTAAGGGTTTTTGTATTTTGTTTTTTTTTCCTATAAACCCTGAGGTTGAAAGCTCTGGATAGCTCACCTAAATTACTTTCCTCTAATCTAACCCCTCACAGCCTGAATTTCTGAGTATTGCTTGACCAGTAGTGACACATTCCTGAGGCACTAATATAACCCAAATGGAAACTACAGGTCCTAGGAAATCCAGATAGGTCACAATGGGTTCATGTGAAGATCAAGGTGAGCCAGAAGATCTCATCTGCAAGCCATTTAGCAGCCCTTTAACTGTAAAAAGCAGTTCCACTTTCAAAGGCTACAGAGTTTGTTTACATACAAGGTCTCCATGTAACATGTTGGATTTCTTCCCACTGTCATGGGCCAACCCACACTAGACTCAGAAGTCAAGGGAAAGCTCTGCCAGCTAAACACTTCTTATCAAAGAGGGTGTGAAGAAACCTTGCAATTTTAACAATAACTAAGACCAGCATGTAAGGTGGTCTTACAGAGATCACTTGCAGGAACAGATATTGATAGGAACTTCAGAACTCAAACAGCACTCACATAACATGGAATTTATGCTGAAAATCCCATGCCTTCTCTCTCAGAAAAGAGAGGAGCATACCTGTGTGGAGAGCTTGTATTTTCTCCCCTCCCATCCATTCGGTTTACAACTGAATAGCGAATGTGAACTTGAAACTAATCTTTAATAAATCTATAAAATGCAAGATATTATGACCAAGTTCTGTACTCCGTTTTTACTGAAATGACTTCTACTTCATCAACGTACGGTCTGTTCCTGAAGAAACTTCCTCTTTCTGGGTCAAATTCTGACTGAGAATGTAAAGGTAGGTTATCTTTGAGACTTGAGCTTAAAACTCCTACCTTTTCATACCACTTGATCTCTGTTGCCCTGTGAAAATTCTGTAAACCTTCCTCATTGCATCTGAGGAATCATGCTGGAATGCTTCTTTCTGGCTCGGAGGGTTCCAAGACCTCCCCAGCTAGTGGACCTTCCTAGTCCTTATGCCGTTGCTGTAGCAATGGGGCAGGTCAAGTTTCCTGATCATAGCTGTGAAGCACTCTGGGGCACCTCTGCTCCTGGTATTTCAGGGTGATATTACATCACTGCTGCTAATTTTGGTAGCTCTAAAGTATTCTCTTAAAGACCTCTAAGAACCTGATATTTATGCTAATAATTACCCAGCAAGAAACATTAGCTGTAGTTTTTTGCAATATCACTTTATACAGCTAAAATCACTTTGTATATGTATAGTAACTCATTGTATATATTTGTCTCTTATGAATATGTGCTAATTACATCTATAAATCAACCAGTATATAATTAACAAAAACAAATGATTTTTTAGCCTTTTAATGCAAAAAATTTAAATTTAGTATTACATATGATCTGGCTAAGAGCAAGAGGCCTTCTTATGAGTGATCTCCATCACCCTGTACAGTGCCTGGCACAGAATCTAGAGTTTAGCCAACTCTCAACAAATGTTTTAGTGAATGAATGAATGATTGACTAAAGAAAAACATGAGTTACTTAGTGACCAAATCTAATACTCAGTGGAATAGCTGATTATAATCGCTAAAATATTCATAATAGAAATAAAGAGATCTGTATGCAGTCTACTCCATATAGTCAAAAGATCTCATGGTAGCCTTTTCTAAATGAAATTTTTCTTAAGTAGTGTAAGAATAAATTTAAACTAATTATAATTATCAGTGACTTCTTAGGGAGATGTTTTAGGAAAAATTATTAATATTTCTACCTTTAAATACTTTCCAAAAAGGAAATCTTCAACGCTTAAGAACTACCCCCCAACACTTTTTTTTTTCCTTGGGACAGTGTCTCACTCTCTCACCCAGGCTGGAGTGCAGTGGCGCCATCTTGGCTCACTGCAGCCTCGACCTCCTGGACTCAGGTGATCCTCATACATCAGCCTCCTGAGTAGCTCAGACTATAGCCACACCACCGTGCCCAGCTAATTTTTTTTTTTTTTTTTTTTTTTTTGTAGAGATGGGGTTTTGCCATGTTGCCTAGGCTGATCTCAAATCCCTGGGCTCAAGCAATCCACCCACCTCAGCCTTCCAAAGTGCTGGGATTACAGATGTGAGCCACCACCTACAGCCTGGCCAAGAACCCTTTTCTCTCCCACATTCCCCTGGGAGCAGAGGATAGGCCTGATGATTGTTTTAAACAGTAGAAAGGGTTCAGCTAAGAACTACAGTCCACTCTCAGCCCTGTCATGTACTATAGGACAAGTCTTCATTCACAACAAATGGATAGCAACACCAATCTCGTAACACTGGGAAAACTGCATACAATATTTAGAAGGAACACTAATACAGCAGAATCTGCACACAACGGAGTCAAAGATCTGAGGCCAAATCCTACTACACTTTACGACTTTGAGTTGGTCACTTTTCTGAACCTTAGCTTCTCCATCAGTGTAAAACTGATGTAAAATAATATAAAGCTATATGAAAGCTGATGTGATGTACTTGTGAAATAGTATGTGCAAAAGGACTTTGTAAAATGTAAAGCACTATGCTGGTTATTGTGATATCTGAGATATTTTTAAAGTTGCAATTCAATTCAACAAGCATTCATTTAGAGTCATGTGCAAGGCACTGTGCTAAGAGATGGGAAAATACTACATAAATACAAAATTCTGCTGAAAACTAACTTATTGGCAGAGTTCCAAATAATGAAACGGATACATTTAACAAATCAGAGTATTGCTACACCTGAGATTTTTCACTTCAACCACCTGGAAGGAGAAAACCTAATAACAGCATGAATTTTATCATACTGTTACCATTCATAGCAGCTTAATAAGTATTTCACTTCAACGTGGTCAGCCAAGTTTTATAATTTGGCAATAGTGTAAAGAAGCGTGAAGAGAAAAGGAAGAGGAGGAAGAGCTTCAGTCTTTGTATCTCCCAGGGTTATAATATAAAACTGAACATCAAATAAGCCACCCCACCCTTATACTTATGATTTATTATTTCTTAAAGAGCGTATAATACATTGTGGGAGAAGGGTAGAAGATTCATTTTTCCTGCTCACTCAACTACACACTCAAAAGTGAAAGCCCTCTTCCTTGAAAAGTGACTGTCTTAGAAAAGTTTAACAATACATTTCTTAAACCAGGAAAAAATTACACCATCTATTCTTTTAACAGCAGGTAGTTTAGAGTTCTTAAAATAACTTTATAAATATATAATATAGTAACATAGATAACCAAAGTGGAAAAATTTCAAGCCAGGGTACCAGTGTATAAAATGAAACTTTTCAAGCCATCTTAACAACAGTTAAGTGAGCAAACCACCAACTCTGAACTCTCAAGCTGTGTTTTAAAATACAAAGCAGCCCGCAGCAAGTTCTCTCTTGTCCAGGCATTCTGTATGTAAGGCCAGGAGGCTTCTGCTTCTTTCCTGGGTTTTGCTTGCTAGGCACAGCTGGAAGGGCAGAGGGCCACAGCTGAGCTGAACTCGCTGTCAAATTTGAACTTCCTAGAAAAATCACTGCAGAGGAAACCACATCAACCTACTGAAGATTTCAGATCTTCAGAAATGTCACGGAAAGTCCTAAAAGAAAAAAAGACGGAATGATTAGTTGATTACCATAAAACAGTATCCTATTTTTACAATCTTTTGGAGCCCTAATGAGATTATATAGTCACTATTTTTTCTTAAGATTTTCATTGAGTATTGTTTCAAAGTCTGCTAGTTGTTGCTCATTCTCATTAACAAGAACTCCATCTTTTTGCTGGATCTATCCAAAGGACTGTTTCCCCAGACTCCCCTGAAACTACACATGACCACGTGACTACGCTTTGGTTAATGAGATTTAAGTAGAAGTGTTGTGCAACTTCTGGGCAGTTCCTTAAAAGAGAAGAGCAATCTTCTTCAGCTCTTCCACCTTGTTACTGGCTGGAAGTGGATATGATGATTGATGTTAAAGAGGAAAAACCACTAAGAGACCAAAGATTAAATGCTAAGTGGATACATTTTATTACAAAATAGAAATCGTAATCCAACAGAGAGTCCAAGCTCTAAGGGATGTGGTTCAGTGCAGGAAAAATGGGTTAGGTCTTTTCATCAAGTGACCTTGTACTTGAACTGTTTCTGACCCACATTAAACAAGCTAAGCGAACAATGTTATTGGCGGGTAATATCTGGGCTGGATGAAGGTGGCTGAGCACCGTGCCTGACTGCTGCATACATGAAGTGTCTATCTCAGTACTGTAGTAGCTAGCTTGCTTTTGCTACATAATTTACATGTCTGAGCTGAGATAAATCACCTGGCTAAATTTACATCTGTGCTGGCAGCCAAATGGCCAGGTCAGAATTTATCAATGAACATGAGCTCAAGCACCCATATTAGACAAAAATGCCTCACACCAAGGCTGGCAGTACATCAGGATGGAGAGAGGCTGGGACCAGATGTTTATGCAACAGTGATACAGATATAAAGCACAGTCTATTACCATTCTTTTAGATAGAAGTTATATTGCTCCTTTACAATAAGTCCACATATTAGAAATACAGAAAAATATTTGACTTTACAGTTGGTTTTTTGTTTGTTTGTTTGTTTTGTTTTGTTTTGTTTTTTGAGACAAGGTCTCACTCTGTTGCCCAGGCTGGAGTATACTGGTGCTATCTCAGCTCACTGCAACCTCTGCCTCCCAGGCTCAAGCCATCCTCCCACCTCAGCCTCCTGAGTAGCTGGGACTACAGGGAACATGACACCACATCCGGCTAATTTTTATACTTTTGGGAGGCTAAGGTGGGAGGATCACCTGAGCCCAAGAGGTTGAGGCTGCAGTGAGCCTAGGTCATGCCACTCCAGGCCAGCCTGGGCAACAAAATGAGACCCTGCACCACCACCACCACCCCCCCAAAAAAAGCAAGGAAGGGAGGGAGGAAGGGAAGGAGGAATAAATTGAAGTACAATATAAAGTAAGTGTTCCAAAACCTAAGGAACAGCTCACAGTAGTAGAAACTAAAGATAACAAAAAGCTTTTATTAGGTACAATCACCTAAAAACTCATAAAATAAACAATCTGAACTTCAAATGTAATTCCACAATCATGCCCCCTCCCTTACTCCTTTTCTCTCCTCTCAATTCATATAAATATTTAGGAGGCCCATAGGCAAGGCAGAGATCAATTAAAGACTAACCTTGCAGCACTCAATGAGGAAAGTACTTCAGTGTCAAGAGGGGAACAGGTAAAATGTCACAGAAAAGAAATTACCTTTAAGGATGTTCAGTTATCTCAAGGCTCTTTCAAGGATGGTGCCCTAAGCCTCTGGATCTCTGAAGCACGCCTCTACTAGCACAGCTCTACTTTGAAAAACTGTTAGTCTCCTGGCTATGGCTCCTGAGGCTTTGAGAGGGTTTATGTGTGACATGAATACACCAACCATTTTTAAAGATGCTGGCTGATCTAATAATTGAAATGAATTTTCTTTCCTTAAAGACTTTTATGTTCTGAAAACAAGTCCAAAGGTGAAGATTTGTATACGCACATGTATGTTTATATGCATTATCTATCTATCTATCTATCTATCTATCTATCTATCTATCTCAAATCAGTGTTTCTCAATCTTGAAATTTTTCTGCATTATAAGATGTTTTGCAGCATCCCCGGCCTCTATTCAACTAGAATGCCAATCAAAATGACTCCAGACATGAGAAATTGTCTGGGGAGAAAAAAATCACCCCCACACTCCTGTCAGAACTAAAGCTCTAGATAGCTATTTTTCACAGTCTCACCCAAGTTTGTGTTTTTACATTTGTCTACAGGCCAAGCTGGCTGCTGTCTCAGACAATATGAATTTCAGGTAGCACTTAATTCTGAAAAGCCCTGGAAAATCTTTGCAAGCAATAGTCAAAAACTGGCTAATACTACAAAGCATTTTCTAATACCCAACGGGGTTCCCTGACATCTTTTCAAATTTCTCAGATACCTGTAATTTTATATCTATTAACTATTCATTTCCTCTAAATTATGAATGAAGATTTCAGCCTCAGGGCAAAGACACATTAAATAAGATTAAGGCTATGGTTAGCCTAGTCACTGCTCTCTGTTGACAAGTGAGCTTAGCTGTAACCTTGAAATTCCTAACTACTATTCAATTTTGTCTCCAGGCCAAGAAAGTCTCCAAAAGGACTCAGGAAAACAAACAAACAAAACAAAGAAAACCAACAACCTGAAGCAAGCTTAGAGATCAGTTACTAAGAGTCTTTCATCTCAATGTTCTCTCTAGGTATGTAGGGTGTTAGGGTGATTGATGGAGGGGGAGGTGTGTGTATCTACAGAACTCTACTGAAGTAACACTGATCTTGAACAAACCTCTAATTATCTCCAGGAAAACAATATCTATAGTCTAGAGATGCAGAAATTATTTGGTTTTTGGCTTATTCCAGAGGCATAGCTCTAACTAATAAGTAAAGCTCATAAAACTATAACTCTCTACGTTAGAAACAAATACTGTATTGACACTATTTTCTGAAAATGTTTAACATCCTACTTAAACCATCTAAATACAGTATTCTTTCTCAAATTATAAGGATTATTATGCTGCAAGGAATCACAGTATAGAATTTCTCGTCTAAGAATAAGCAATGTGGCCAGGCGCGGTGGCTCATGCCTGTAATCCCAGCACTTTGGGAGGCCGAGGCAGGTGGATCACGAGGTCAGGAGATCGAGACCATCCTGGCTAACATGGTGAAACCCCGTCCCCACTAAAAATACAAAGAAAATTAGCCGGGCGTGGTCGCGGGCGCCTGTAGTCCCAGCTACTCGGGAGGCTGAGGCAGGAGAATGGCGTGAACCTGGGAGGTGGAGCTTGCAGTGAGCCCAGATCGCGCCACTGCACTCCAGCCTAGGCGACAGAGTGAGACTCTGTTTCCAAAAAAAAAAAAAAAAAGAATAAGCAATGCAGAATGGGACCACATGTGACTGTGGTCACATGGGACTAGAGGACTGTTAACATTTTACACCTCCTTTCAGAGCAACAGGGATTGTGCAGTGTAGTCTCTCACTGTTCCTTGCTCTTTGAAAATATTTTGGGATCTGCTTGCCCCAAACTTTCAATGAGATCTTTACAAATTCATTTCACCCCCTACCCTCTTCCCTCCATGTAAATATGTAAATCATTTATGATTTAACAACTCAAGACTTGTTGACTTCCAGCCTCCTAGACAGGCAGAGTTAAGTTATGGATGCCTGAAAGTTGTAACTAACTAATTTAACTTACTTAGCTGGCTCCCCAGCACTGAGTGTGTATTTCCTACACCGGCACCAGCATACAATCCTGTGACAGAGCACATGCAACCACTATTATACATACCCCCTCCCTTCCAACAAATTTGGAATAAAGTTCTAAGGCTAGGATTTACTATGTCCCATCGTCTTTTATCAGCCTCAAGGTTGTATTCTGCTTTTGGTTTCACTAATCCACAAATTCACCAAATCTTCACCTAGCACTTACTATGCGCCAAGCACCATGTTAGGAGTGGTAAAACAGTGGTAAAGTTAGATATAGCTCCCACCTTCAAAAAGCTTACCAACTAATGGGAAAAAACAATGAATTAAACACACATCTATAAAACGCGTATTAAGTTCCAACAGAAGTGTAAGATACCACAGGGACACAGCAAGGACTTCTTACCTAGTTCAGAGTTTCAGTAATGTTTCTCACAAAAAGGGTACTTTGAGTATACACCATGATACTGGACTTGGCTAGGAGGGAAGTGGTGTTCTTTACAGAGGGGACAACACTGCAAAGATGACACTGCCTTCTGGTAACTAAAACAAGTTCAATACAGCTGAAAAATAAAATGCAAGGCACACAGCACAGAGATGAATCTGGAGAAGTAGAGAGAAGAAAGGCATGAGAAGTCTGACAGGGCAAATTAATGTGTTAGCTTTATCTTGAAGGCCATGGGAAGCCACTGTGGGAATTTTAAGCAGCAGCAGAATAGAATATTTATGTTTCAGAAAAATCAGAGAAGCTATACTATGAAGAACAGACTAGAGGGAGGCCAGACTGGAGGCAGGAACCAGTAAAGAGGCTGCTGAAGAAATCCTGGCAGTGGGTCACACCACTGGGAGTAAAGAGGATGAGCAGATTCAGGAAATTTTCAAGTAACAGAAAGTAAATCAAATGTACTCCCTTCCCAGCCCCAGTTTACTCTCTTTTCTCAATCTTCTAAAGTGGAATGACAGCAAGTGCACCCCAAGTGAAATTCTTAGGGTTAGTGTAAAGATCTGCAGAAGCGGGGATGGTTTATGGGGAGTATCTTTATACTTCATTTTGCAGAGACCCAGAGATGGGGTTTCACCATGTTGCTCAGGCTGGCCTCGAATTCCTGGACTCAAACGATCGCCTGCCTTGGCCTACCAAAGTGCTGGGATTACAGGCATGAGCCACTGTGCCCAGCGGATACTCATTTTTGATTGTACTTTCGGTATTTAATTATGAAAGATATAAACCTCAGGTTAAGAAAGCGTGTACAAAAACAGCCACAAGTTACTCAATCTTCCCTAGAGAAAGATAAAGCTGAGTTCCTAAAGGACCACATTCCAGTTGTCACCTTCCTCTCAAGGTGTAACAGAGGGCAAAGGAAAACTACAATATGGAGAATAGCATCCCTGAAAGAGTTCCTGGGACATATGCCTTACAGGATTTTCTGGGCTTTAATATTCAGAGACTGCTGCTCAATTTTTAGTAGAAGTGAAAGAAGTCTATCAAAGCAAGTCTGATTATCCTGTCCAAAAATCCAGAAAGTATGCATGACTACAGGGGTGTTTTTGCCTTTCCCTACACATCCCATCTCCCTAAACAAGCCCACTATTAATAGAGAACAGAGGAAGTGAAAGGTTCTGATTATTCAGCAGAGGCCAAAATAGTTGGGAGCCCAAAGCTGTGCTGTATCCACTACATTCTCACTATCAACAGTGAGCAGCAGAGAAGGTCTTCCTTCCTACAATCTTTCCTTAGGGAGAATGGGCATTCATCTGTGTGAAGATAGTAGTCTAACAAGTTTTTTTGCAGTGTGGAATTAAGAGGTATGTCTGCTTAATAAAATGCAACCATCTATTCTCTACTGTCACACTGTAACAATATACAAATTCCTAGAAAAAGCCAAGCCCTTTCAGAGCTCATGCTTCTGTAGATACTATTCCCTCACAGCCCATTCATTCCTTCCACTAGGAATTGAGCATTCTGAGTACAAAATACTGTTGACAGAGGTTGACATCAGTAATTAAAATAGACTTGGTCCTGGCAGTAACAGCAACTATAGTCAAGTTGGGATGGGGGAGAGAGAAAAATAATCAAGTGTATAAATGAAAACTGCACTACAAAAAAAAAAGTACAAGGTGCAAACTATAAACACATTAAACTGGCAAGGAGGCCATAACCTAATCTTGGGGGTAGGAAACGCTTCTCTGATGAACTGACATTTGAACTGAGATCTGAATAGTTAGGAGTTCGTTAAGAAGGAAAAATGGGGGATTATCCAGATGGAGGATTATCCAGATAGAGAAAGCAGCGTGCACAAAGGCCCAGAGTTTCAATGGCACCTGGTGTATCTGAGGCCTGATGGAAAGCCAGTGCGGCTGCACCTCGGACAGCAAAGGCCATGAAAGAAAAAAAAAAGAACTAAGAGGCAAAAGCAACAAATTCTAAGAAGGTGGAAAGCGGGTGGGACTGCTATGACCTGGCATACGTGATAGAGTTTGGCTGTCTGTCCCCTGCAAATCTTATGTTAAAATGTGATCCCTAATGTTGAAGGTGAGGCCTAGTGGGAGGTGTTTGGGCCACAGGAGCAGATCCCTCATGAATGGTTTGGTGCCCTCCCCAACAATGATAAATGAGTTTTTGCTCTATTCCTTCAGGTGAGAGCAGTTTGTTTAGAAGAGCCTGTCATCTCTTGCTTCCTCTCTCTCTCTCCATGTGACACACCTGCTCCCCCTTTGCCTTCCACCATGATTGGAAGTTTCCTGGGGCCTCACCAGAAGCAGGTGCTGGCAGTATACTTCTTGTAGAGTCTGAAGAGCCATGAGCCAAAATAAACCTCTTTTCTTTATATAAATTATCTAGCCTCAGGAATTCCTTTATAGCAATGAAAAACAGACTAACACAAGACCCTAAAAAGCTGGATCTTAAACCAGTAGTGAGAAAGGCCAGGAAACATTCTGATTTATTCAGCGAAATCCCCCATAAGGTTTAGGAACTGGTGACATCAAGTAACTCCGGAAGTAGGGTGGGAGATGGGGGTAAACACAGGACTGCTTTACAGTTTCCTTAAAGAGCAGTAAGACAACACCCTCTGATATCCTCACCCCACCTCCCACCCCAGCCAAGCAGCTGACTCCACCCTCTCCCCTCCTTGGCAGAAAACTAGAGGTTTTTTTCCCCTCTGGAGAAGGTAAAACAAAAAGCGTCTGAACTAGTGCACAACAGGCAGAAATGAGGGTGGGCATCCATCCCAACACTGGGAGATTAAGTGGATGTTTACATCTTGAAGGCTGTCCAGACCTTTTCCTCCTCCTGGCTCCCAGGAGGCTGGCAGCCAGGCTTTTAGTCTCTAGCCAGGAGATTAGAAGCTCTTTCTTTGAGGAATATACAAGCCCAAAAAGGGGACCAAAATCACTGACATTAAGGGCTGGACAAAGCAGTGGCCCTGCCACATCATATTATGGTAACACATATCACAATCCACCACAGCTTCTGAGTGTCTCACTCTTTTTTTTTTGAGACAGAGTCTCGCTCTGTTGCCCAGGCTGCAGTGCAGTGGTGCAATGTGCAATGGTGCAATCTCTGCTCACTGCAACGTCCACCTCCTGGGTTCAAGTGATTCTCCTGCCTCAGTCTCCCGAGTAGCTGGGATTACAGGCTCATGCCACCATGCCTAATTTTTGTATTCTTAGTAGAGACAGTGTTTTACCATGTTGGCCAGGCTGGTCTTGAACTCCTGACCTCAGGTGATCTACCCACCTCGACCTCCCAAAGTGCTGGGATTACAGGCGTGACCCACCGCACCCGGCCATGTCTCATTCTTAACATGAGCCAACAGCCAAACACCTTCAATACCTGATATTGTGGTTCTGTTAATACAGGTTAGTGTCCCTTATCTGAAATGCTTGGGACCAGAAGTGACTCACATCTTTTTTGCACTTTGGAATATTTACATTATACTAACCCCAAATCCAAGAATCTAAAATCCAAAATGCTGGCCGGGCACAGTGGCTCATGCCTGTAATCCCAGCACTTTGGGAGGCTGAGGAGGGCAGATCACCTGAGGTCAGGAGTTCGAGACCAGCCTGGCCAACATGGTGAAATCCCATCTCTACTAAAAATACAAAAATTAGCCGGGCGTAGTGGCATGAACCTACCTGTAATCCCCGCTACTCGGGAAGCTGTGGCGGGAGAATCATTTGAATCCGGGTGGCAGAGGTTGCAGTGAGCCAAGATCATGCCACTGCACTCCAGCCTGGGTGACAAGAGTGACACTCCATCTCAAAAAAAAAAAAAAAATCCAAAATGCTCCAACGAACACTTTCTTTGAGCATCATGTTCCCATTCAAAAAATTTCTGATTCTGGAGAGTTTCCGATTTGGGATTTGGGATGCTCAACATGTATGGCAAAGGTGGATGGATTTTACAGATATAATGAATGTCCCTCATTAGCTGACTTAAAAAAAAAAGAGATTATGCTGGGTGGGCTGGGTCTAATCAGGCGAGCTCTTCTTTTAAAAAGTCTAGGGGTCAGAGACCAAAGTTAGAAAAATACTCTCCCGCTGGCCTTAAAGAAGCAAAAACCCAAATTATCAGCTGCCTATGAAGAGAGGCAGCCTCTAGGAGCCATGAGCCTCAGTTATACAACTACAAGGAAATGAATTATGCCAACAACAGGACTGCTTGAAAGAGAACCCCAATCCACAGATGAAACCCCAACTCTGACTGCAGATTTTCAGGTCCTAAGCAGAGGACCCAACCAAGTTTTGCCTGAACTCCCGACCCACAGAAGCTGTATCGTAAATGTACGTTAAGCTGCTAAATGTGTAATCTGTTACATGTCATACAAAATATAAACCTGTACGCTAAAAAGGTACATTTTACTCTAAGGAAATAATACCTCAATAAAGGAAACTGAAAAAAATGTGCAAGTAGAAATGGAAACCTCTATAGTAAAGCTACAAGATAAAGTTGAAGAAATCACCCAGAAAATGGAGCCAAAAAGACACAAGTGAAAAAAGAGAGAAAGGATGTAAAATGTGAAATGCCCAGTCCATGAGGGTCAAAGTCAAAATAAAATAAATTTCTGAAAGAAGAAAAGGAAATCATGAAACAACTCAAGAAAAATGTCAGAACACCAGAACACAAGTTTTCACTTTTAAAGGTCTTAGCAAGTGCCCATCAGGACAGAAACCGTAGATAAACAAAAAGATCTTATATGTCTTCAAACAGTCAAATTAACAAGAATAAATAATAAAAATTGCTTCAGACTTTTAACAACAATCCTAGAAGCCAGAAAACAATGAAGAAATAAATGTTAAAGAAAAAATTTCAAGCATAGAATTCTCTACATAGGAAAGCTATCGGATTAAGTTTGACATTAGGAAAAGCTTTTTCAGACATGCATCATCCCTCAAAATTTACCTCCTATGCATATTTTCCCGAAAATCTATAAGAGGATGTGCTCCACCAAAAAGGAAGAAATCAAGAAAGAAAATTATATAGGGTATAAGAAATAAGGATTCCAATGCAAGGGAGAGTTGAGGGAATACCCAAGGTGACCGCTGAACAGCAAGCCAAAAGGACAGCACTCCACTGGGGCAGACCAGGGCACTTAGGACAGTCTTCTTTAGAAGACCAACTATGCCTGGTGCGACTGAACATACCAAGTGGAGAGGTGAGTGCCTGGTGCAGAGCTTGAGATGGGATTAGTTATAAGTACATGGAAAGCAAAGCAAATAAAAACCAGTATCTTTATTAATTCAAGAGAAAGCAAAAGTCGTATGGGTAAAGAAATATTAGAATATATGACAAGGCTCAAATATGAATATAATTTAAAGTCATAATAATGTAAAACCTGAATACTGATCTAACCAGTATCACCGTTTGTTTTGGGGGAATGGGTAGTGAAAGCTAACTTCTAACCTTCCAAGTCGGAAGTTATTAGATGATGCCTATATATGACCAAATCAGAAATAAATACGTCACTTCAAGATATGGAGGTAAATATCAAAATAATACAGGGTCAAAAAGTGGTTCCTCTTAGAAAAAGGAAGAAGAGGGAGAAGGCAAAGTCCTTATTGTCCTTATTTTTCACTGAGTTTTGTAGAAATTTGACTCTTTAAACTCATGCATGAGTAACTTTGAAAGACAAAGGCTATATGGGTCCTCACGTTATCTTTTTCTACTCTGCCACGCCACATAAGCATTTTGTACTTTTAGAAGGACAAAGAGTTAAAAAGGTTTATTACCTCTAAAAGAATTCATTTAAGTTGCTTTCATTTCACCTTAAATACTAACTCTTGCTTTAGTAACTTGAAATCATTAAGTTTTTCTCAAAATAACAGCAAAATATTGATCAATTATCTTTTTTCTTTGTGTTTGGTGAGCCCATGGAACAGAGCCTCAAGTTAGCAAGTGCATTCTGTTGATTTCGAGCACCGCTGGCTTCTCAGGTATCTGAGCACTTGTCTTTAAGAGGCAAAGGCAGAAAAGGATATCATAGTGTCACCACCACCAAATTGGGAAGGCCCTTGTCAAAATCACCGAAGCACCTCTCCTTTTATTCTTTTGGAAAAACTGATTTTCCCCTGCCATCAACTAAGGATCACGCATTGGCTAAAATGGCCCCCTAACCAGCTCTAACTCAGAGACTTTACTGCATTTGTTCTGAGTTAAAGGACAATGTCTCTCTTCACAAAATATAACACTAAAAACAAAATTAAGCAGAATCATGTTGTTAAAGAATTTTACATAAAAGTATAAAATATTTTCATTAAATGCATTGTCAGAACCAACTTGTCAGTGACTCCTTGATTACACGAGAATATCCAGTGGCAGGAAAACTAGTGTTTTCCAATTGCAGATAACAAGGAGAATGCCATATAGTTTCCGGAAAGTTCAAAACATTTTACTTTTTATTCTGAGACTGTCCTTCTTTTTTGTTGTTAAAATGTAATTTCTGGCACATAACATAGAAAACTGTTTTTAAGTATCCACCTAAACTTAAAACCAGATGTATAACCAGACATTCCTCTTTTAGGTATATGTCCAACTACAGTAAGTACTGTGCGCATGTCCACCAAAAGACATGTACAAAAACGTTCGTGGCAAAATAAGAAATTTTTTTTAAAAAGTTCATAGCATCTTGAATTAAAACAGACATAAACTGCAAACTACCCAAATATCTATTAGTCCTACAATGATTAAATGAGATTGTAATATATTCATGTAATGGAAGATTAGACAACAATGCAAGAATGAACCATGAACAGAGAAAAACATCCAACAATATGAATGAATCACACAGATACACTGTTGAGCAATGAGGACTGACTCAAGAGTACCTACCTACTATATGATTTCTTTTATATGAAGTTCAAAAACAGGCAAAACTAATGAAAAGTGACTATGGTTAGAGTATCAGCAGGCAGTGGGGTCTGACTGAGAGGAGGCAGGGAGAAGCCTTCCAGAACAACAAAAATATTCTATACCTTGATATGAGTAGTGGTTACATGGGTGTGAGTACATGAAAAAATCAACCTGTCTATTTAGAGGTACATTTGGCTATTTAGATGTACATTTCACCATATATAAATTATACCTAAAGAAATTTAAGAAAATTATAAGACAATTGAGAAAAATTTTCAAACATTATAATTTATTTTATGAAATGCTGGTGACAGCAGATAACAGTACTTTTTATTTTAATATCTGTACTTACAAAATAACATGTTGCAACTCTATATTGGTGTCCCAAATAATTTTTTCCCAACTTTGTATTTTAAAAATGTATAAACCTACACAAAATTGAAATGCCGGTACAATTAACAACCATATGTCTTTCATCTAGATTCAACAATTGTTAACATTTTGCTACAGTCACTTCCTCTCTCCCTCTCCCAGTTCTGGCGGAACTGCTTGCAAATAAGTGGCAGACATCATGACACGTCATCTTTAAAGGACATTCTTCTACAGAACCAAAATATCATTGGTTATGACTGGTTATCATTGTATCATTGGTTATCGAAGTATCATTGTTAAATTGGTTAAACCAAATTTAACATTGATATATTATTTAACATATGGTCCATGTTCAAATTTCCCCAATTGTTTCAGAAATATTCCTCCCATCCCCAATCCAGAAATCTATCCCAGACTCATGCAATGCATTTGGTTGTCCTATTTCTTTTCCTTTTTTTTTTTTTTTTTTTTTTTTTTTTTTTTTTTTGAGACAAGAGTCTCGCTCTGTCACCCAGGCTGGAATCCAATGGCATGATCTCGGATCACTGCAACCTCCACCTCCCAGGTTCAAGCAATTCTCCTGCCTCAGCCTCCCGAGTAGCTGGGATTACAGGCACCTGCCACCACATCTGGCTAATTTTTGGGGTATTTTTAGTAGAGATGGGGTTTTACCATGTTGGCCAGGCTGGTCTCAAACTCCTGACTTCAGGTGATTTGCCCACCTCAGCCTCCCAAACTGCTGGGATTACAGGCATGAGCCACACCACATCTGGCCTGGTTGTCCATTTCTTGAGTCTCTTTCAATCTGGTATACCATGTCCCGCATAGAATTAGATTTTTTAAATTTATTTTTGGCTTTTCAAGACATTAACAATTCTCACCCAATATAGGTCTTTTTTTTTTTTTTTTTTTTATATGCTGTTGCCCAGGCTAGAGTCCAGTGGCACAATCTGGGCTCACTGCAGCCTCCGCCTCCTGGGTTCAAGCAATTCTTCTGCCTCAGCCTCCCAAACAGCTGGGTTCACAGGCGGGTGCCACCACACCTGGCTGATTTTTGTATTTTTAGTAGAGATGGGGTTTCGCCATGTTGGCCAGGCTGGGCTCGAACTCCTGACCTCAGGTGATCCACCTGCCTTGTTCTCCCAAAGTGCTGGGATTATAGGCGTGAGCCACTGCTCCCGGCCCCAATATAGGTTTTAAATTTTCTTGGTATATGAAACCCAAAACTCTGCCAACGATTTGTATTTACTTAGTGTCTTCTGCAACCTTTATCACAGCATTGGTACTCAAATACCTTTATCCTGACAAGTCTGGATGAAGCTACTTATCAAATACAGAGACAGGACAGTTCAATGTATAAATACAGCTTATGATTATTCTGCTTTAACTCACCGCTGAGGCTGAGCAGGCCATGGGGTCTGGTTTGGCGTGGGAACTGAATTCGTGGGACTCACTAGCATGGCACTATAGATATTGGAAGCAACCACAAGTATGCAGAGAAGAATAGGACCGATGATTGCTCCTTCCAGGCCTAGGTAGTATGCTCCACCGGCCACTGCCAAGCCTGTCAGGTAAGGATGGCCACCTCTGGAATAAAGAGCACGACCTTTAACACACAAAAACTGGAAAAAATCTGAAATACATTTCTAATACAATGTGCATTCTTTAATACACTATGCTTTTTAGCATATTATCAGCTTTCTTTAGATCACCTCGATGCATACAACTGAACACTGACTGCAATAATATTGAGATGCAACAATATTGAGATGCAACAATTGTTTTTCCTATGGATGACATCTGCCTCTTTTTATAGCTCCAGGAATGAAAGAATAAAGCCAGCAATGTTAACAGATATTTTATACCCATTACAGGTGCCTGCCTATGATGGGTTAATGTTGGCTTGGGACTGGTTAGGAGTCACCTGTTAAGTTAACCTCCATCAAGGATAATTAAGTGAGCACAATTTAGCATGTAATTCAGTTAATTATGCTTTTATATGACGACAGCAACAATGAGAGCATCCCTGTTACTCATAGGTCAGACTTTTGGCAACCTCCTAAAATATAGTTTTTAACATAGGTGATGATAAAAGGCCTCCTGAGGAAAATATCTGTCACAAAGCCCAAGATTTCTATTTCACAGGAGAATCACAAATGCCCTCCAGCTTATTACAGTATCACTTATGTAAGCGGAATGAAATAAAACAGAACACAGTAGCATAGCACATTGATAATGACAAGAAAGGACCACTGACATCAGAAGGACTGGGAAATAAGTCACATTCTGTTTGTTTCTAGTTTTAAACATAGATGAGAAGAACAATTCAGTGAGGGGCAAATAACTAAATATCCTGGAAGGATGTTCTATATTACAGCTAAATCAAAGTAAGACTTGTGGAGAACCAGTCTTCAGGAAACCAATAAATTATATTCATAATGTGTTTGTCTTTCTCATTCCAAAAAAATGATTTAGGGCAGTATTCCATGTTTGCTAAGTAAACTTCTTCCCTAAACAACACATTCAAGGAAAACTATCAAAAATGCTTAAAGCTTTTTATTCCGCTCCATCACCCAGGCTGGAATGCAGTGCCGCAATCACAGCTTACTGCAGTCTTGACCTCCCAGACTCAAGTGATCTTCCTACCTCAGCCTCCTGAGTAGCTGGGACTACAGGCATGTGCCACCACACCAAACTAATCTTTATATTTTTGTGGAGAACGGGTTTCACCATGTTTCCCCGGCTGGTCTTGAGCTCCTGGGCTCAAGTGATCCACCCACCTCGGCCTCTCAAAGTGGTAGGATTACAGGCTTGAGCCACTATGCTCAGCCTTAAAGCTTTTTTTAAAAAAAATAAAAACGTGTGGGAGTTTATGAATAAAAGCTTAACCTATTAAAAAATAAAACAATTTATGCCAAACCTTTCATTTCCCAATAACAACGTTTAAAGACAGTATTTTAGGCCGGGCATCGTGGCTCATGCCTGTAATCCCAGCAGTTTGGGAGGCCAAGGCAGGCGGATCACTTGAGGTCAGGAGTTCAAGATCAGCCTGATCAACATGGTGAAATCCCATCTCTAGTAAAAATACAAAAATTAGCCGGGTGTGGTGGTGCACGCCTGTAATCCCAGCTACTCAGGAGGCTGAGGCAGGAGAATGGCTTGAACCTGGGAGGCGAAGGTTGCAGTGAGGCGAGATTGCACCACTGCACTCCAGCCTGGGTGATAGAGGGAGACTCTGTCTCAAAAAAAAAAAAAAAAAAAAAAAAAGACAGTGTTTCTTTAATTCCAGCTGTAAACCTTAATATAAAATTTACAGCAAAGTTTAAAGAAATAAAAGCACTTAAGTATTAATCATACTTATTCCTGCTCAAATGTCAACTGTGACACACTAGTTAACCACACTATGATGTTCAGCTTTTTAATTTTCTCTCTCAAGTTTTAATGTGACTGAGAACTGGCTTGATATACTTAATGCAATTTCTAAAAGAGATGTCAAAACCTATAAAAACAGACATTTATTTATTGTATTATATGGCTAAAGTGTTGATTCTGACTTAGATTTAACCTGTATTTATCATAGAACCATTCCAATTATATCTTTAGAGAGCTCTGCTTGCCAGAAATTAACTTGCTGAGATTTGGTTTCACATGGATATCCTCAGACATACAATCTAACAACATTTTCTCCAAAACCAAAGAAGAGATAAAAATAATCATTAACTGTTCACTGTACTTAAAATATTTGATGTACATCTGGTCATAATTCTTTTCTAGGTTAAATGTCACTAAATCAAGAGAAAATTATTCACAATTTGGTTTTAACCCAGGACATCATATATATTATAAATATTACATATGTAATAAGAAAATATTGGCTGGGCATGGTGGTTCATTCCCGTAATCCTAGTGCCTTGGGAAGTTCAAGGCAGGAGGACTGCTTGAGCCTAGGAGTTCAAGGTTCAAGGCTGCCATGAGCCATGACTGCACCCTGCACTCTAGCAGTCTGAGTGAAAGAGATATTGTCTCAAAAAAAAAAAAAAAAAAAAGTTGCTCTGGAACTCTGGGGCAACAACAACCAAAAAAAAAAAAAAAAACCCCAAAATATCATGCCTTGTAAACAATACTATTTTCAATGAAAATTTCATTTGTGGGAACACAAAAGGCTATTTCACTGAAAATTCCTACTACCAGTTCTTTTGTATACCCCCAGGAGAAAAAAATCCTCCTTTAAAAAAAAAAAAACGGAAATGCCTGGATGATTCACTAATAAGAAATTCTGTGGCTTACTTACCCTGATATGTCAGAGTAGATTGCAGTATCTACAAAGTATGTTGGCAAGAGATGAAAAATCAACAGTAAAATGGCCTTGCATCCTAACCCTTGTGTCAGCCACAGGTCAAGAACTGCAGGTACTGCTGCCCAGTATGTCCCCAGGAATGGCACTGCTCCAAGGATTGCTGCTAATGCTGAAAAAAGAGTAAAAGAAAAACAACTTAACATCATCAGCAAAACACTAACAAAGCAAAAGAATCTAAGCAGTAGCTCCTCCTCAACAACTTCCAACAAAACAAGTTAAATACTCACAAACTCAAATATTAGGGAAATGATATGCCCTATCTAACTGAATTTTCTAGCTAAGTAAAGGCTCAATATCTTAAAATGTGATACTAAAAATCTTTCTAAGTGTGTGTCTTATTTATGGATCTCTTCTTAAGCAATAAAATTCAAGGGTTCTGTAGTTGCTACTATCAATCAATAGTTAATATACGGTCCTATAAATACACCTACAGAACATGTGTCAAAACTTGTACTGAGTCCAAAGCCCAATCAGAAATTAGTTTCTAAACCTCAGCATAATAAAAATAAACAGAAAAAATCCTGAGTTGAAGGACCCTGCTTCAAGGTCATTCCCTTCCAGAGCAGTATGTTCAAGCACTCTTCCTCCATCTGGCTTCTCTCCAAGTTAAGAGTAAAGCAAATGTAGTTTCTAGTTCTGGTCCTACCAGAAGCCAGGTACATGACCTTGGAAAACTGGTCTCTCATCTATATGACAAGTCTACCATCCCGCCTCACAGGGTGCTTGCAGGTCAGAGGGTAGGTTTGTGGACATCACAGTAGAGAAGAACGTGAATGAACTTGACAATGTAGAAGGAAGCACAGACAAATAGGGAAAGGGGGGGATGTGGTAGAGGCAAATGTGGAAGGCAGAGATATTTAGGAAAACAAGCAGCCATAGAAATAAAGGAAGGAAAAGTAGAAGAAGCACCACAACAGATCTTAAGAGGTATGGAGGCAGCTTATGTGCCCTCAGAAGCATTCATCTTGCCCTGGGATGTAATCCCTCATGGACAAAGCTATTTTGACAACAAGTTGCTCCCTGCCAATCAGTTCAATTCAAACGTTACTGAGAGCCAATTATGTCCTAGGTGTTATGCTAAGTGCTAGAACATTCATTCATTGAACAAACATGTAGGGCAACTGATACGGGTTTGGATCTGTGTCCCCACCAAAATCCCATGTCAAATTGTAATCCCCAATGTTGGAGGTAAAACCTGGTGAGAGGTGACTGGATCATGGCGGGTGGATTTCACCCCTAGGTGCTGTTCTCATGATAGTGAATGAATGAGTTATCGTGAGATCTGGTTGTTTAAAACTGTGGTAGCACCTCTCCCCTCTCTTCCTCCTGCTCCAGCCATGTAAGACATGCCTGCTTCCCCCTTACTTTCCACCACTATTATAAGTTTCCTGAGGCCTCCCCCAAAGCAGGAGCCACTATGCTTCTTGTACAGCCTGCAGAACCGTGAGCCAATTAAACCTCTTCTTTATAAATTACCTAATCTCAGGTATTTCTTTATAGCAGTGAGAGAACAGACTAATACAGCAATTTTTTCTATGTGCTGGGTATGGTTCCAGCTGCTGGGGATACAGCAATAAACAAACACATTACAAATCATATTTCTGTTCCTAATGTGGACTAGATTCGATCTCAAGCCAAAAAATTTAGTTTTTTAAACTTGAGGAAGTAGACATTTCCTAGATGTATGTAAAATGGCTTAACTTTCCTTAAATAGCGAATAGTGGAAGGTACAATATGGTTGTTACCTGATGGTATGAAGACAATATTGATGCCAAACATAGTATGAGTCAGCCAGGTATACAATCCATAGAAGCCAGCCATTTTGAGGGAAGCATCAAACACCCCTCTGGAATGCCCAAAGATAAAAAGAAAGAGTAAATAAACAGTGTCATATCGTGATTCAGAAAAATCACGTGACCACTTGATTCCAAATCATGTAATAGCTTCAGTTTTTCTGCTGGCCTGAGAATGCTATTTTCATTTTATTTCAAAGAAACATAAACACCTTACTTTAAATACATTTACTAAGTTATTCTTTATGTAATATGAAATATGTTTTATTTGGAAATATGTTTACTATTCCTTAAATTTCTGATGAAAAAATAACTGAAACACCTTAAAATACCCTATTCTCTGAAATAATTCATCAACTTTTCACTCTGAAGCAGATATTTCACCACCAAAACAAATGGAAAGAAAATTAAGCGTGAATAACATGTTTCCAAGAATACAGTTTAAACTCTAAGAAACCCAGGCTGTGGCCAGTCCTCCCCTTTTGGAAAGAGCCAATAAGGGATAGTGTAACTTGTATTTCACCATCTTTCTTTGCCTTAACAAAATCTTCCTATGTTTCTTAAACTATGTAACTAAGCCTACAAAGTAACATCTCTTACAAATGCTATCAAAGAAAGTAGGTCATTGGGAGAGAATTTGTGGGAAAAAAAATATTCCTAACTCCAAAGTAAAATCAGAGAGGAAAATACAAGAGAGATAAAAACAGACACATATATTTGGTGACTAATATAGGAATTCAATACATGAAAATCTGCAATGTCAGGTGCTCTGTGTTTTTCAGTTGGAAGATTAGTAAGGCAGTGCAGCACTATAAGGAGGGGAAATAAGGAACTGTTCAGAGAGCACAAAGGTGGCAACCCGTAAGTAATCTCAAGGCAGCACAAAATCATAAAAACCTGGACTCTATGGGGTGGTGCAGAGGGGTGCAGGGAAAGCACCTTCATATGGTCACTACAGAAGAAAAGCTGTAGTTGAAAAAGAAGACGTTAGCGGCAAACGTGACCTTGTACATGCAAAAAGAAACACCAAGCTTTTCTAAAGCATCCCAAGAGGTATACTGTTAGGAGCAAAGTGAAGCCCTGTAATCTAGTGATTTAGTCATTTAGTAGTGTTCTGGGACATGGATCCAGGGGCAGAGTGGCTCCCCAATTGTAAAACCTGCTTTGTCATCCGGACCAATGGCTTTCACTAGAGAACGTCTTAAAGGAGCCATATGACTCTGCAACAAGAACCCAGAATAAAGTGGTATCAAAAATACCAAAAGGAAGCGAAAGACCCCAAAGAAAATACCAAGGATCTGCTCAACAACTAAACAGAGAGGACAGAGCAAAAAGAAAACAACAGAGCTTCAGGTTTTAAACCTGAAGGGGAAAGAATAGCAGTGTCTCAAAGTCATGGAGAAGGCCAGAATGGAAGAGGCATGCAAGAAAAGGGCAGTTTGTTTAGTATGGGCAACAGGAACTCAAAAAGGATGATGAAAATACCCTAGAGGTAGCTGAAATAAGAGACAAGGCTTAATAGAAAATTCAGAACAAGACATCTGAGACGCACCAGAATAATTATAAAAGAGTACAGGACATCTTAAAAGGGCAAGTGGAGAGAAAATAGGGCAACAGGTTGTGTTTTCATAAAGGACCTAAAGACAAAGAAATACCAGCCAGAGAGGTAATGAAATCATTTCCGTAGTAGGAGGAAAATCACTAGAGTGCAGTATTCCCGGAGACCAAGGGAGAAGGTAGGTTTTGAGGGGGAGGGAATAATGACATAATCGACCACAGAGAAAAAGAAAGGAAAAAAGTATAGAATTTGTCTAGAACTAGGGAGGTCAATGAGGAAAAGATAGAGATGTGATCCTTTCTTTAACCTTATGTTATTTAAAAAATTTAAGCCAAAAATAAGTTGACATCAAAGGTGCAACAGAATACTGCAACTCAATCACCCCTCTGGGTGGCAAGTAACCAAGGCTCAATCCAGTAAGGACCACGTGGAGAAGACAGCAGTCTTCTTTCTTTCACTGCTGAGAATATTGGTTGCTGGTAATGTTCTCAAGGCAACTTTTAAATGCACTGTATATTGTTTGCAGTTACTAAACATATTCATGTAACCTAGTGAGGGATGAAAAGACAATATATTCCCCTCTACCTCATTACTTGTGATCTGGCACACAAGTTTTATAAATAAAACAGCAGAGAAAAATCCTCTTACAATTTACCAGAAAACAGAATTTAACTCCCTCAAATTCCTAGCAACTTTTTCTTCTTTTTTATATCAGCTTTATTAAACTATGATTTACAAATAATAAAACTCACCAATTTGAAGCATTCAATTCAGTAATGTGCACAAATATATACATTCTATAACCATCATTACAATCAAGATGTAGAATATTTCCATCACCCCAAAAAGTTCCCTCATGCCCTTCTATTGTCAAACCCTCCCTAAACTCTGGCCTCTGATGGCCACTAGATATGCTGTCACTATAATTCTGCCTTTTCTAGAATTTCACGTAAACACAACCATACATTATATAGCTTTGTATTAAATTGTGGCAAAATATCCATGGCACAATATTTAGCATCTGAATCATTTTGAGTGTGCAGTTCAATAGTGCTAAGTACATTCACGTTGTCGTGTAGCTTTTGGTGTTTCTTTCACCTAGCATAATGCTTTTGAGCTTCACCAACATTGTTGAGTATATCAGTAGTTGGTTCCTTTTTTACTACTGAGTAGTATTCCATTATGTAGATCTACTACAACTTGCTTATCCATTCACCAGCTGATGGGCATTTGAGGTGTTTCCAGTTTGGGGGTATTATGAATAATGCTGCTATGAACATTTGTGTACAAGTCTTTGTGGACATATGCTTTCATTTCTCGTCTGTAAATACCTAGGAGTGGAGATACTGGGTCATACGGTATCTATTTAACTTTATAACTAATATTAGCTTTAATCTCTCAATTCCGAAAAAACTAATAGTCCACGGACACCAACCCAGAAGCCACTGCCTCCTACCTCACCACATATCTCCTCAAGGTATGAGGTTAAACCTCACAGTTTCATGTGAGTGGATGCTGGCAGGAAGAACAATTCAACCCATGAAAAGCTAAATGACAATGCATCTGAAGCACCTAGTAACTGACCTAGTGCACAGTAGATGCTCAATAAGCAGTGGCTATTAGTAGAAAATGTGGTGTGTGCACAAGGAAATACTATTCAGCCCCCCCAAAAGAAGGAAATCCTGTCATTTGCGACAACGTAGATGATCCTGGAGGACATTATGGTAAGTTAAATAAGCCAGGCACAGCACAGATAGACAAATACTGCATGTGGAATGTAAGAGTTGAACTCATAGAAGTAGAGAGTAGGATGTGGTTGCCATCCTACAAATTTTTTTTTTTTTTTTTTTTTTTTTTTTGAGACTGGGTGTCAATCTGTCACCCAGGCTGGAGTGCAATGGTGCAATCTTGGCTCATTGCAACCTCCACCTCCTGGGCTCAAGTGATCCTCCCACCTCAGCCTCCCAGGGGCTGAGAGATGGTCAAAGGGTACAAAGTTTCAGTTAGGATGCATAAGTTCAGTAGATCTATTGTACAGCATGGTGACTACAGTTAATAATAATGCATTGTATACTTGAAAACTGCTAAGAGTACCTCTTAAATGTTCTCACAACAAAAATGGTACGTGAAGTAATGAATATATTAATTAGCTTGATTTAACCATTTCACAATGTAACATTTTATTACAAACTATAAATATATAGCATTCATTTTTATTTGTTGTCTGGCTGGTTGCGGTAGTTCACACCTGTAATCCTAACGCTGTCAGAGGCCGAAGCAGGTGGATCGCTACAGCCCAGGAGTTCAAGACCAACCTGGGCAACAGGGAAAACCCCGTCTCTACTATAACCACAAAAAATTAGCCAGGCATAGTGCGTGCCATTAGTTATATGCCAGATAAAGTTTTATTTGACTTTGGGAGTAAATTATTCCTAGCAATCTCTGAATTTTAGGTTCCAAAGAACCCTGGAGATAAATGGTAATTATATGCCCAGTATTATAGGTTATTTAACCTTACAATTTAAAATAACCAAACCAAAACTTTCCGGTATGCTACCTGCATGTGCACAGCATATAACTGTACTTGGCATGTAGTGGGTTGTGTTAGTTTCCTGTTGCAGCTGTAATAAATTACCCTAAACTCAATTGGCTTAAAACATACTTTTTATCTTATAATTCAGAAGTCCTAAAACCTGGATGCCACATTCTTTTTGGAGGATTTAAAGGAGAATCTGTTTTCTCTTCTTTTTTAGTAGTTTTTTTTTTAGGCTAGCCAAGTAAAGCAGTGAGAGCAGAGAGGGAACAGAGCAATCTGTAACTGGTTGTGATCATTTAGTTGTAAATACGACCACACTTGGACTAGCCTTTTCCAGTTTTTAAAGGCTGCCTTCATTCCTTGGCTCATGGCCCCATCTTCCATCTTTCAGACTAGTAGTGTGGCATCCTCCAATCTCTCTCCATCTCTGAGCTCTGCTTCTGTCCACATGTCTCCTTCATTCTGACTCTCCTGCCTTTGTTTTCTAATAAAATTTTTTTATTGAGATGAAGCTCATATAACATAAATTCCATCATTTTAATGTATACAATTCAGTGGTTTTTAGTATGCGCACAATTTGTGCAACTATCATCATTAATTCCAGAACTTCCTCCCTCTTATAAGAACTTTTTTTTTAACTTTTCTTCTTTCATTAAAAATAAATAAAGGTATAGCTGACAATTTTTTTTTTTTTTTTTTTTTTTTGAGACTGGGTGTCAATCTGTCGCCCAGGCTAGAGTGCAGTGGTGCAATCCTGGCTCATTGCAACCTCCACCTCCCAGGCTCAAGTGATCCTCCCGCCTCAGCCTCCCAAGTAGCTGGGACTACAGACGCACACACAACCCACTACGTGCCAACCACTGTTATGTGCTGTGCATATGCAAGTTTTGGTTCGGTTACTTTAAATAACCTATAATACTGAGCATATAATTATCACTCGTCTCTAGGGTTCTTTGGAACCTAAAATTCAGAGATTGCTAGGAATAATTTACTCCCAAAGTCAAATAAAACCAGTTAGTCAACATTTTTTGGATAGTCAATTTCAGTAAACACTTCCCTGTCTTACTATCTATGAAAGACATTATGATACAGTTCATCAAATCTCTTGCAAACATCACGATAGACGTGGACTTCTGGCATTCCCTAAAGGTGACCATGTATGACTTGTGCTGTGTGATCCATGGTGCCAATGGTCATTACCCTTCCCTTTGTAACTGCTCACAACCATGTGGTCAAGCACCTACTGCAGAAATTGACAGAACACTTACATCAAGTTTACCAGTCTAATATTTATGGACTATATACGCTTCCTCCACCTTTATGTCTCAAAAAATATCTGCCTTTTCTTGGTTTTCTGGGACCTTTTTCTTCAGTGATTCTTCAAAGATTATTGACAGTTGTTCTTTAATTTTAGTCCAAGCTCTCCTAGCACTCAATAGTTGATGAGAATCAAACTCTGGAGGTTCTTTTCCTCCCTCCTTTTGGTAGCTCAGATGGACGTGATTTAGCTCAATGGAAGAAGAGACTGACACACCAGCCACTGAGCTAGAGGCACGGTTTTCTAACAAGGCCTATTCCCTATTCATAGACCTCCCATTACTACACAGTCTTAGAGATGTTCTCCTGTCCCATACTATATATAGACTATTATAGAGCAGGATTCCTGTCCATTGGAAGGTAGGCCATCGTGCATCCAATCCAGCTATGCCCCACCTAAGCATACCTCTCTGTGGAATAAAAGTTCCAAGAGTTAGTTAGGATCAGCTTTTTCTCAGCTAGGATTTTCCCCTAATAAAGCCTACTGTATATTTATACCGTATGGCACTAAAGGTGTGAATATCCATGCCTCCTTTACACAACTATATTTAATAATAACTCCTCTGCACCAGAAGCTTGAATTGACTTCAAATGATTGTTTACAATGTTAACTCTTCCTAACCAGCTCTTGATCTTCATCCTTTATAAATCCTAGGATGAAACTTACTTTTTCACACGTTTCCTGATACTTAACTTTAGCTCTCAACCCTCTCTTTTCTGACAAACCAGATTGTGCTTGCTACTTTTCTAAACTGAGTAAGAAAAAAATAACAAGACAATTCAGGATTTAATCAGATGACCTGCTTTTAATGGAATGATATTTGAAGCAAGGAGTGGGATGGGGAGAATAACAAACCAGTCCAGAAGCTCTATAAACTCAGTGTACACAGGGCCTTAGACCACAGCTGAGTAAGAATTACCTGTCTAAGGAAGAAGATAAATAATGAAGAAAAGGAGGAGTGAAGAGTCCAAAGTGAAATTCTGCCTCCTCCACATTTCCTTACACTGGTTCCACCCTCTTTTCTAAAGGACTGTCATTCCCCTTCCCAGTATTCTAGCCTCACTGCAATATGGTATGTCTCAAGTAGAAAGTGAGCTGGTGGGAGAGACCAGTCAGCTTTTAGAGACACAGTATATACAATAACCAGTGGGAAAAGTACTCGCCAGCTCCCTTGACTGCTCTCTACATATTTATGGGGTACATAATAATGTTTCAATACATATAATGTATAGTAATCAGATAGGGGTAATTGGCATATCCATCATCTTGATCATTTATCATTTTGGTTTTTTTTTTTTTTTTTGAGATAGAGTCTCACTGTCGCCCAGGCTGCAGTACAGTGGCATGACCACAGCTCACTGCAACCTCCACCACCTGGGTTCAAGAGATTCTCCCACCTGAGCCTCCCGAGTAGCTAGGACTACAGGTGCATGCCACCAAGCCCAGCTAATTTTTGTATTTTTAGTGGAGATGGGGTTTCTCCATGTTGGCCAGGCTGGTCTTGAACTCCTGACCTCAGGTGATCTGCCCGCCTTGGCCTCCCAAAGTGCTGGGATTTGAGGCGTGAGCCACCGTACCTGGCCTCATTTCTTTTGTTGGGAGCATTCTGTATCTTCCTTCTAGCTACTTGAAATGATATAATTTATTGTTGAACTACAGTCATTCTACAGTGCTGTAGAACATTAGAACTTATGCCTTCTAAGTAATTTTTGTATCCTTTAACAAATCTCTCTCTACCCACCCCTTCCCAGCCCCAACCTCCCTTGAGAGGTCACATCTTCCCTTTCTTGATTAATCTGCCCTGGAAACCCAGCTCCACAGGGTGTCATATAGCAACCTGGCTGACATTAGATTTCCAGCATGAGGGGAACGGCCGAGCTGCTGAAGGGCACAGGGGATGAGCTGCTTACGTGGAATTCTTCCATTCTCACCCTCCAAAACAGTGGTGAAACACAGAAACATACAATGACAGCATCACAATAGATCATCTGGAGGCTATGGTAGTAGTAAATATTAATTCAATATTTTCATACAGTAATACATGGTTTTGTGTCCTTGACAATGCCTAGTGATTGTGGATGCTTACTCTAATGCTAACTAAAAAAATAACAAGGGGTTGTTTCAATTACATAGGCAAATAGTAAACGTGTATTTCAAAACTAGTTCCATTATTAGCCCACTAAAATGAATTTAGCAGTTTTCGAAGCATCACAATGAGAAAGTAAAAGACACATTTTTAAGGTAATTTACCTTGGAAACTTAAGTTTATGAGATGAATCTTTCATCAGGTAGGTTAAGCATACCTTTACTGTCTTGATTATTATTTAAGAACTCCAGTTAATTTAATTTCCCCAAATATGCATAAGAGATTTCTGCTTCTCTATTCCAGTGTTGGGAGAGATTTCTTCAAATAAATGAAAATACATTTTCTTACAGCTTTACATTCTTCCTTATACATTTAAATATTGTTTATACTCTTAAATCAATGAGAATTTGTAATAAATATTTCATTTGCTCAAAGTAAAAAATGGAAACACTGATTTACTAAATGATCATTGCTGACTTTTTTTAATCCAAATACTTTTAATTCTCCAAAATTGGAAGGTACCGATGGGAAGCATGTTCACTTTCCAAATGAGAATCGCATGGCATACACACTGTCTTATCTAATTCATCAGGACACCCACCCACTGGCACTGAAAAGCTGTAATCCCAGCAAGCAAGAGCCATACCCGTGTGCATGCACTCATGTGAAAATATCACACACACTAAATTGCATTGAGGCCGTGACAACATGCAACTTAGTAATGTGCAATATCTCCACCAGAGCAAGCAGAATGGGAGCATCAGGGAAGAAGGGTGTGATGTATACATTCAGGAGACAACATGCTGCTGAAGAGAGGAAAATGGTCTGGGGATAAAGGATGCATGCCACTGACTCAAAACTTCATGAAATGAAAACCCAATTGCAAATGTATTCAACTGAGAAGAATACTTATTCAGAATCAAAATAATGAGTAAGGTTCAAAACTTCAATGAGATAGTGATCATAAAGAAACCACATACTTCAGAAGGCAAAGCTTCACGAACAGACACTATCACTGTCTGGTCATGCAATTAACCCCCAATTTCAATTCCATTTTTGACTTATTCACAGATCATATAAATGAATGTAATGATTTCCACTTAGCTGCAACATAGATGATGATTAATGACTGATGCTTATAAAAGTTGGTATCACTGATATTTGTAGGCTAAACTGCACTTTGAGGACATTACAATATTTTCATAGTCATTCATAAATTATAAATAACCACTTATTTTTCCCTCAAAATCTTTTTCCATGAAGAAACATATTGCCTCTTCAACACAAACCTTCAGGATGAAAAATCCAACAGGAGCTCTTAGAAAGAGAACTCACTACCATCTTCTCCACAGGAGAAAGCTCTTCAGAGGAATCTCTGTAAAATCTGTACATTTTAAGTCTTGAATTTGAGCCAGTAAAGAAACAGCCCTAGGAACTTAAACTGCAAAAAAAACACCTTGAATTATAGCCTTAAAATTACATAACTTGATATAGCTTTGGTTAGAAAAATGTCTCAGGCCATAACCCATTCTTTAGTCTGTACCATATTTATCAGACTCATAAAAATCTATCAATTCTGAGAACCATTAGATTATAGTTCTGGTACCAAAGGTTGTTAAAATTTTTTCTGTATTTAAAATAAGGTGATAATAAAACAAATGGTTTTTAAATGCCAGTATACTATGGAACCAAGACATAAGCTACTGTTATAATACATAATTAGTGTATGCACTCCCAAGAAGGGAAGTCGAATCTAATTTGTAAAAGACTGATTTCCTCATATCGCTGTAGATGACAGCACTCTTTGTAATCTCAAATTCTCTCCTGAGCCAAAGACCTGAATTTCTAAATGCCACCCTCTTATGTCCACAAATATAAGTCATGATCTTCCCTAACCAGCTCCTCTTGAAAGAAGGCATCATGGTGTAACAGAGTATGTGCTTTCAATCAGCTGAACCTAGGTGTGACTAACAGCTTTACTTACCACTGACTGGCAAACACAACAGCTAGGAATTAAGTTTAAAACAAAAAAGGTGGCATATTTGGTATGAAAAAAGGTGACAGACATTTAGAGGATGGTCTGCTGTAAGAAAGCAGAACAAGAGAAAATTCAAAAGCTGTGATGTGAAAATAGAAACATTTTTCTAAGAATAAGAGTCAGTAACAATGAAGATTACTTGAGGAAAATGGAAGCATCATCTTTCTTGAAGTTCTTTATGAACAAGGTAGATATTTTTCTGCAAAGCTTGGCTTAAGCCACACTGACTGGAGAATTCCTACCAGCCTTTGATATGGCTGCTACAATAAATAGCTTTACCCCACTGGGAAGATAAAAGATTAGCCTTCCTTTTTGGTAGAGCATTTGCAAAAGCTTTTCTGAGTCAGAAAGATATCACCTAGATAAACAAAAGATTATCTATTGCTAGAATTTTCATCATTTCATTTATTCAGCAAAGATGATAGTCAATGGTCATATAGGACTTAGGAGGGAAGCTATAGCTGGTACTTCCTTCGAAACAGCTTCACCCCAATTGCTGTTACACTGGATAATATACTCCCAAATCTGGAATCTTTATAGATGGCCCCTGTGTGGATACCTGAGGACACTATACAGGTGTTAAGAGCATTTTTTTTAATCCCACTTGACAGCCAATCGCGGAAACAAGGTATTGGTGAAGATCTTACCCAGGCCTTGCTAGTAGGAAAAGGGGAGAGAACTTAGCAAAAGTTCTACAGACATTGTATTTTAGGAGCATGCATCCTGTTTGAATGTAACTGAAGGTTTTCTAACAATCAAATGGGATTCTCCCTAGCTATTACATGAACACAGTGAAAAAATATACCAAGATCAATCAGGTGCAATTATCAGAGAAAAAAAAAAAAATCAAGATTTCTGTGGAAGACTAGTTCCAGACAATATTTATTAAAAGTATGTGGAGACAGAAATGCCAGCCAAAGATTTGCTATTCAAGAGATGCTTAAGACCACCTGGTTAACAACGTATTAGAAAAAGGAGCTCTAATGGACAATAGGAGGGTTTAATTTGAGACGTATTCATAAGAAGTAAAAATGTAGTTGAGTCTTGTTAATGAGGAATGATGACAGGGATTACAGGAGGGGCTGAGACAGGCCTGCTCTGCAAAAGGGTCCTCCCTACCAGAAATGATGAAGAGGAAAAGATAAAGGAAGCCAAGAGCCAACGACCTGGAAAGAGCTTATACAGAGGAAAAGTTGAAGAAGTTCATTCAGAAACAAAGCCTGTAAATACATGGATGCCAGAAGTCATAACGAAAAAGTTTCTGGCCAGAACCTCCAGTGCATACAGAGCCTATAACTTAAGAGATAAACAACGATTCTGCATTTCCAGTATCCAACCTACTCCTTGCAGAGGGCACAGCTTGGCTGTAGGACAGAGGAGAAACAGGAAGTCCACCTACTCTCCTTCTGGAGCAAAGCTAAAACTCCTGACAGCAGAGGGTTCTGAAAGAAGTTGGAGATGGGGGTGGTGGAAGCGGGGGTTCTCTTAAGCAAGTGACATGATGCTAACAGCTAGTCTAAGATCCTGCTGATGGAAAGCTGATGGAGATAGACCATTACATCTTTGTAAATCTCAGGTTTGAGAGAAGGTTATCAAAACTGCTTTGAATTGTTAAATTTTGTTTTGTTTTTGAGATAGGGTCTTACTCTGTTGCCTAGGCTGCAGTGCAGTGGTGTGACCAAGTTCACTGCAGCCTCCATCTTCCAGGCTCAAGCAATCCTACCACCTCAACCTCTTAAGTAGCTGGGACTACAGCTTTCACACCACCATGCCTGGCTAATCTTTTTTATTTTTAGTAGAGACAAGGTCTCGCTATGCTGCCCAGGTTGTGTCAAATTCCTGAGCTCGAACAATCCTCCTGCCTCAGCCTCCCAAAGTGCTGGGATTACAGGTGTGAGCCACCGCGCCCAGTCTGTTTTTTTGTTTTTTAAGAAACAGGGTCTTGGCCGGGCATGGTGGCTTATGCCTGTAATCCCAGTATTTTGGGAGGCCGAGGCAGGCAGATCACTTAAGGTTAGGAGTTTGAGACCAGCCTGGCCAACATGGTAAAACCTCATCTCTACTAAAAATACAAAAATTAACTGGGTGTGGTGGTGCACGCCTGTAATCCCAGCTACTTGGGAGGCTAAAGCAGGAGAATCACTTGAACTCTGGAGGCAGAGACTGCACTAAGCCAAGATCACACCACTGCAATCCATCTCCAAAAAACAAAGAAACAGGATCTTGCTCTGTCACCAAGGCTGGAGCGCAGTGGCGTGATCACAGCTCACTGTAACCTCAAGTTCCTCAAGCAAGCCTCTGGCCTCAGCCTCCCAAGTAGCTGGGGTTACAGGTGCATGCCACCAAGCCCAGATAATTTTTAAAATTTTTTTATAGAGACAGGGTCTCACTATGTTGTCCAGGCTGATCTCAGACTCCTGGCCTCAAGCAATCTTCCTGCCTCAAGCAATCTCAATTGCTGGAATTACAGACATGAGCCACTGTACCTGGCCTGAATCTTTTTCTTATTAACAACTGCACTGTTCATATTTATCCTGTCAAAATGAGATGAAAACCTTGAAAATACCAGAGTCCATCACGAGTTTAGCACTGAATGTTATCAGGATGCTCATGACAAAAAACAGGCTTATCATGGAAAAAAAGTTCTGGGAGAAATAAGAATAGCATAAACCTTATCCCTACCTGATAGCTTCTTCCACAGACTGGCCAATAATATTAGAAGAAGGACCTGGCTGAGATAGTGGAGTCAGGCTTATCACCCACTTCACTGGCTTGTAGTACTCATCACTGGAACTTAATAGATAAAATAGTGTGGTCAGGAAAATTATCTGCAAAACAAAGGACAACATCTCCTAAAAAAATCGTATTTGGAAACTATAGGAAGACAGACATCTGCAATTGCAAATGAAACCAGAAATATGCTTTAACAGGGAAGGAAATATGACGTGTACTTATCTATGTGGACGTACCAGAGAGAGTACAAAATTGAGAAGGGCTGTCCCGCTGTAGAAGAGGATGGTCAAGAGTGTAGTGACAGTGGTGAACAGCAGGCTCACATTCCGGCTCATAACGATCCACAGAGACTCCAAGATCTGACGAGGAAGGAAAGCTGGATATCAGAACCAATCCTCATGAAAAAAGTTTCTAGAGCCATCTAGTGTGCTTTTAATACAGTGTTTTAGTACCATGAACTGAAAAGCTAAGAACTGAGGATTATTTCAAATGAAAATTAAAAAAAAAAAGAAAAATCAACCAAAAACAGTTGTATACTCAATAGTAAAGAAAATAGTAAATCCACACCAAATAATATAGACAGCAATTAAAAACATCACTGTTATAACATGGGAAAATATTTTACAATGAAATGCTAAATTTAAAAAACAGGATTAAAACATTTTATATATAATTGGTGGGGCATGGTGGCTCATGCCTGTAATCCCAGCACTTTGGGAGGCTGAGGCGGGTGGATCACTTGAGGTCAGGAGTTCCAGACCAGCCTGACCAACATAGTAAAACCCTGTCTCTACTAAAAATACAAAATTAGCCAAGTGTGGTGTGGTACATGCTTGTAATCCCAGCTACCTGGGAGGCTGAGGGAGGAGAATCGCTTGAACCCAGGAGGCAGGGGTTGCAGTGAGCCGAGATCCTACCATTGCACTGTAGCCTGGGCAGCAAGAGCAAAACTCTGTCTCAAAACACACACACACACACACACACACACACACACACACACACACACATCATTGTAGATTATGTAAAAATCGCAAGCAGAGAAAAAATATAGTCATGCATCACTTAATTATGGAGATATATTCTGAGAAATGTGTCATTAGGCAATTTCGTCCTGCAAATGTCATAGAGTGTACTGATACAAACCTAAATGGTAAAGCCTAGCACACATATAGGCTGTAAGATACAACCTACTACTCCTAAACTATAAACCTTTGTAGCGTGTTACTGTACTGAATACCACAGGCAACCACAATATAGGTATCTGTATATCTAAACATCTAAAAGGTACAGTAAAAATACAGTATTATAATCTTATGGGACCATGATTGCATTTTGTGGCCCATCATTAACAGAGACATTATTATGTGACACAGGCCATGACTTTACCTCCTGGGGAATATGCTAGAGTACAACCTGTGGTTATATTTATCTTGTAGGATCCTAAGTGCAGGCCATGAAATTCCAGTATTTGCTTTACTGGCTGCCTAGCCCCCACCCTTGCCATTTCCAACTTAGAGCTATCTACAAATATAAAAAGCATCACCTCAATGACTTCATTAAATCACAAGAAAAGCAATCAACAGACAGGGACAAGAGCAGTGCTCTGAGGCCAAAAATCTTTCCTGAGACAGGCAATGACCAGTATATTGACGTCTACTGAGTTCAGCTGATTTGTCACCTACACATTCACTAGAACCAGATATCATGAGGAAGGTTTCTCATAGATGTTAAATATTAATAAAGGAGAGGTACAATATTTATAGCATACCTGCACATTTCATTTACTATCTCAAATCCCCTTATTATATTATCTGTTCTATTCTTCCTAAGTGGACTATCCTTCCTCTTAATGAAAAATACAAAAACAAAATGACCAGAAAAACACCTCCCATTACCATTTCTAAAATGCTTCCATAGACCTCCCAACAATGCTGTGAACGAAGAAATGCAGATGATATTATCTCTATTTTATACATACATAATTTGAAGCTCACAAATTTTTAGAAAACTTGCCCAAAGGCACAAAGCTAGTAAGTGGAACTAGAGCTTAGAGCTTAAATGTTGTGGGGCAGAACTCACAACATCTGATTTTTGTTTTGGTGCCCTTCCCAAAACAGCAGTTCTGGTTTTTGTCATATGTCCATCTGTTCTATGAAAAGTCTTCTCCATTCCTTTCCTACTTCAGATGTACCATTTATAAAGGCATATTTTGTTGCCCTTGGCATTTCTTGCAAACCTCAGCTCAGTTTCATAAGAGAACTCCGGCAGGCTGGTTTCATTTACAAAAACTCCTTACATAAAATCTTGAAAATGCTTCACAATGCCTACAAAAATGTGCAAGATTGACTGTTTGACCTCGTGGGATAAAGAATAAATGAACAATGCCATCAGTTCCAAGAAACAAGCCAACAATGCCTTTACTTGTGATTTGACAAGCATTCTTTTTGCAGCTTCAGTCATTTTGGAATTTTTATTAAAAAAAAAAATTTAAATAGTTTCTGGGTTGCACTGAGAGAAAATATCTTGTGGTAATTCTTAAGAAATTAACTAAATACACTAATTTTAGATTGGTAGTCTCCAACAACAAAAAAGTAACCTTTCCTATTTGAAAGAAAAAAAGAAAGGGAATCAACTGGAGAAAATAGAGGAAGAAACATTTCTAGAATATTAACTAAATCCTTAAAGTAAAGTGGTTTAATTTATATGTCAGGCTTAAAGAGGAGAAACTGGGTAAAGGCAGGCACAATAGCAAGGCCCATGAAACTCTGAAAACAAAACACATTTATGGAGACAAAATGTATCCCAACTCAGGCTGGGTGCGGTGGCTCACACCTGTAATCTCAGCACTTTGGGAGGCCAAGGTGAGCGGATCAGTTGAAGCCAGGAGTTTGAGACCAGCCTGGCCAACATGGTGAAATCCCATGTCTACTAACATACAAAAAAATTAGCTGAATGTGGTGGTGCATGCCTGTAATTCCAACTACTCAGGAGGCTGAGGCACAAAAATTTCTTGAACCCAGGAGGTGGAGGTTGCAGTGAGCTGGGATCGTGCCACTGTACTCCAGACTGGATGACAAAGCGAGACTCTCTCTCTGAGGGGGAAAAAAAAGGATCCTAACTCAGAAGTAGAAAACATGAGCCAGGTTTGGTATCAGTTTAATCAACAATAGCAATGTAAGTACTGGAAGAACATCACAAAGAGTTCATTATGAAACATACAAAAAGCCCAAGAGACTTACTGAACCAACTAAGCAATGTGGTCATGAACGGTGGTCTCTACTGTGGATAAGAACTGACCAACAAGGCCTCACCATCTCCAGTGGCTCTGCAGCCCTTTACTCTGAGTCCACCACTCACCAAACAACCTTTTGATTATTAACTTCGTTTCCCAGTACTTACTAAGAGCCATCAGCCCACCTTCTATGGAGCCGGTGAAGGAGATTCAAACGCAACAGTTTAGAAAAACAAAGGAGGAAGAGGACATTGCAGGAATGCAGAGGTCTAAATAAGGAAAAATGTCTCTCCTGGCAGAACTGAGCCACCTCTGTCTGCCTCAGAGACTTGGGAGGGAGCCTGGAGACAATGGACCACATGAGCTCTGCTATCTTCTCTAGTTCCAATCTTTCTTATCTTTAAAGGAAGGGACATGAGTCACGTGACCTCAAAACGCCATTTCAACACAGCCACTGTATTTCTAAATACAACAATAATTATTGGCTGGGCATGGTGGCTCATGCCTGTAATCCCAGCACTTTGGGAGGCCGAGGTGAAAGAACAGCTTGAGCTCAGGAGCTCAAGACCAGCCCGTGCAACATAGCAAGACCCCATCTCTGCAAAAAATTTAAAAATCAGCTGGGTGTGGTGGTGTATGCCTGTAGTCCCAGCTACTCAGGAGGAAGAAGGAGGAGGATGAAGCAGAAGGATGGCTTGAGCCCAGGAGGTCAAGGATGCAGTAAGCCACAGTCAAACTACTGCACTACAGCCTAATGTGCTTCTCTTAATTAGTTTAATTGAGGACCTAACACCATACTAAATTCTAAGGTAGTGATATATGAGATTCCTTCTACCTCCAAAAACTTACAATCTAGTCCAGAAGATTGGGTACAAACACTAAAGTGTCAAAAATTGAAAAAGAAGGTAAAATATGTTCAGGTATCAAAAGGGTGAAAACAATAAATGCAAAAGGAGTCTGAATGTAGAGAAACCTCAATGTATTCTGAAATACACTGGGAAGATTTCATGAACGAGACTGGCCCTAAGCCACCTATTTACAACAATATCCAAAAAACAAAAAAAAACTGACAAAGCAAATAAAAATATAAAGGTATGAGACTAAGAAATGTTGAGTTCTCTAGAGGATGAAATACAGTTTGAAAGATAATACAACATTATATAAAAAGTCTGGCCTCTGGAGCCAAGGAAAGATGAACTGACTTTGAATATCAACTGTTATTTACCGTGCAAACTATTTAACACCTGTGAGCCTGTTTTTTTGTTATTAAAATGAAGGCAACTATACTACTTTTGCAGAATCACTGGGAGAATTAAATTGGAAATTAGTAAGCACCTAGCACAATATTTGACACAAAACATTTCATACAAAAACTACTAATCATCTGTTCCCTGAACTGTTCATTACTCAATATTTAAATGTGTTTAGGGATACAGAAATTGTACTTTTCTTTTTGAGGGATTACATGGCAAAACTGTTATTTTAGTTTCAAAAACTGCCTCTTCTCTTTCCGTAAGAATTTATAAAATTTAATCATGTTTCTTTATCATCTATCTTAATATGATTCAACACTGTCACTTCATTCATCAATAACAGACACTTTTAAGTTCAACGACTACAGTCACAAAACAAAACAAAACAAAAAGGGATTCAATAACTTTTAGTTAACACACCTGAATTTTTGGGGAAAGCAAACATTCAAAGGTATTATTAGATGATACACTATTTTGTGTATGCACTGGCATTAAAGAGCCAACTGGAAGGTCC
Organism: Homo sapiens; assembly: GCF_000001405.40. Taxonomy (NCBI): domain Eukaryota; kingdom Metazoa; phylum Chordata; class Mammalia; order Primates; family Hominidae; genus Homo; species Homo sapiens. The sequence goes on from NC_000009.12 coordinate 109,055,333, forward strand.
AGGATACTGGGTGGAACCTGCTAATGGGCTTTTCTACAGGCTGACCTGGCAGGGACCTTCCAGCTGCTTTTAGTGTTGCACTCTTAAAAAGGAACACACTGCCAAGGATCACCAGACAGGTAACAAAAGAGAAAGCAAAACAAACTTTAAAGAAACTCAGAGCAAAGAGAGAGCAGAAGTCATTTTAAATATTTTATTAGTAATATTCTCAAATAAGTAAAAAAGGATGGTTCAGAAAAAAGAGCTATTGGATATTGCAAGTATGATAGCAGAAATGAAAATTTCAATCACGGTTTCTTTTTTTCTTTTTTTTTTTTTTAAGATGGAGTTTCGCTCTTGTTACCCAGGCTGGAGCTCAGTGGCGCAATCTCAGCTCACCGCACCCTCCGCCTCCCAGATTCAAGCGATTCTCCTGCCTCAGCCTCCCGAGTATCTGGGATTACAGGCATGCGCCACCATGCCCAGCTAATTTTGTATTTTTAGTAGAGACGGGGTTTCTCCATGTTGGTTAGGCTGATCTCAAACTCCCAACCTCAGGTGATCCACCCGCCTCGGCCTCCCAAAGTGCTGGGATTACAGGCATAAGCCACCACGCCCGGCCTCAATCACTGTTTCAAAGGCAAGTTGAAGCTATTTCTCAGGAGAAAAAGAAAACAAAGAGACAGAAAACAGAAAAGAGGCTTTCAAAATTAAGGAATCCATGTTAAAGGCCCAATATCTGATTAACAGCACTTCATCTTCCACATTAGGAAGCCAAAAGATAACATCTAAAACTGCAAAACAAAGAGAGTAGCATAAACATTATTTTAGAAATTCAGAGGTAAATACCCAGGGAAAGCTAAAAGAATTGGCAGTTGTTTGTAAAGAAAAGATGGGAAATTGGGAGGCATACAGCAGGGCACTGCTGTTTATTAAAATCTTTTAGCGTTGCTGCCTTTTCAGTTATGGTCATGTATTACTTTGATAAAAATTAAATTTAGGCCAGGTGTGATGGCTCATGCCTATAATCCCAGCACTTTGGGAGGCCGAGGCAGGCAGATCACTTGAGGTCAGGAGTTCAAGACCAGCTTGGGCCAACATGGAGAAACCCCATATCTACTAAAAATGCAAAAAAAAAAAAAAAAAAAAAAAAAATTAGCTGGGTGTGGTGGGGCATGCCCGTAATCCCAGCTACTTAGGAGGCTGAGGTAGGAGAATCGCTTGAACCCGGGAGGTGGAAATTGCAGTAAACTGAGATCACACTACTGCACTCCAGCCTAGGCAACAGAATGAACTCCGTCTCAAAAAAAAATTAATTAATTTTAAAAAGTTTAGCACGGCAAACCTCAATTTTTGTTCACTTGATGAAAGTCACAAGTTTATGCACAAGAAAACTGCCCTCTGTGAAATTCTACATGCAAGACACCATACAAAATATGGTATGGAATGAGGAGGAGCAGTAGTTAGCACTTAGGAATGCTGCAGACTGCAGAGGTGATGATGCATGGTAGGAGGTTAGGTGGGAAGGTGACAAGCTAAGCATTCAACACATCCCATCCCTCCAATGTAACTGGAACCATATTTCCATCTGGTCAAGGGTCTTCGCACAACACAAAGGCAGGTGCCTCTCCAGTAGTCCAGCTGGAGACATCCTGGTCATCTCTCAGTTACTCTACAACCACAGGGGAAATACCAAGGGAGTGACACCTGAAGCCTATGGCTTTTGAACATCATCCTAGTGCATTTAGAGTTCTCAAATATGTAAATGTCATGATGTTAAAAACAGGATAGATGAGGCCTCAAAGTGTATGAAGAAAACTTGGAATTACAGTTTGTTTTTATTTTGAACTTCAGCTTAACTATAAATGCTATTTCTTACCGAAAGAAATGTCTCAATGTTCTCGTGAACAAAGGAAACAATATCCTGCCAGTCCAGAATGTCTCCCAGCCAGCTATTCTGACGACTGACATGCAACTTCTGTCCTTTGTGCCTTCCAGAGTGTGTTACATTCTATGGAATAAAACAGTGCAGACATGAAATTCCCATCTTAATCTAAAGAACAGAAAGTATAAATGTCACATTTTGCTTCAGGTCCCCTTCATCACTTCAGTAAGTACTCCAAGGAAAAGAACTTTGCATTATTTAAGAAATCAGCTAAGGCCGGGTGCGGTGGCTCATGTCTGTAATCCCAGCACTTTGGGAGGCCGAGGCAGGTGGATCACAAGGTCAGGAGTTTGAGACCACCCTGACCAACATGGTGAAACCCCATCTCTACTAAAAATACAAAAATTAGCCAGGCGTGGTGGCACGTGCCTGTAATCCCAGCTACTCAGGAGGCTGAGGCAAGAGAATTGCTTGAATCCAGGAGGCGGAGGTTGCAGTGAGCCAAGAATGTACCACGGCACTCCAGCCTGGGTGACAGAGCAAGACTCTGTCTAAAAAAGAAAAAAGAAATCAGCTACGAACTCCATTTAAAGACCTGAAATATAAAATTCTTTTGTTTATATTCTAGGTACCTTGTCTAAGTCTCGCTCCAGTGCTTCCCTCCTAAATACATTTGCAAAGACATCTTATTTCTCAGTATCTACAACACACTAAACAGCATTTACTTTCTTTTTTTTTTTTTTTTTTTAGTTTTTAGGCCCTCCACCTTTCTCTTGATTTCCCATCTTTGCTTTTTCCTCCTTTCCTCATTTTTTTTTTTTTGGGACGGGGTCTTGCTCTATCACCCAGGCTAGAGTGCAGTGGTGCGATTTCGGCTCACTGCAAACTCCGCCTCCCAGGTTCATGCCATTCTCCTGCCTCAGCCTCCCGAGTAGCTGTGACTACGGGCGCCTGCCACAACGCCTGGCTAATTTTTTTTTTGTATTTTTAGTAGAGACGGGGTTTCACTGTGTTAGCCAGGATAGTCTTGATCTCCTGATCTCGTGATCCGCCCGCCTCAGCCTCCCAAAGTGCTAGGATTACAGGCGTGAGCCACCACGCCCAGCCCTCATTTTTCTTTTTAATTTACCATACAAGGTAAGGAAAATGAGGACAGAAGAATATAACAAGCAAACGTAAGGCAGTAAATAGAATTTATCTATCTGGAAGACATTGGCAGAGATATGAGAATAACTAAATTTGAAAGAGATAAGGGCCAGGTAAAATGGCTCTCATCTGTAATCCTACCACTTTGGGAGGCTGAGGCGAGAGGATCACTTGAGCCTAGCCGTTCAAGACCAACCCAGGCAACATAGTGAGATCCTATCTTTATAAAAATTTAAAAATTAGACAAGCATGATGGTAGGAATGTTGTCTTCTTTTTTTAGAGACAGCGTCTTGCTTGCCCTGTCACCAGGCTGCACTGGAGTGCAATGGTGCAGTCATAGCTCACTGCAGCCTCCAATTCCTGAGCTTCAGTGATCCTCCCGCCTCAGTCTCCCCGAGTAGCTAGGACTACAGGCGCACACCACCACACCCAGCTAATTTTTTGTAGAGATGGGGTCTCACTATGTTGCCCAGGCTGGTCTGAAGCTCCCAGCCTCATGTGATCCTCCCACTTCAGCCTCCCAAATAGCCAGGATTACAGACATGAGCCACCAGGCCCAGACAACAAATATGCCAATTTTGTACAAAGAACTGGAGCATCCCTGGATTTTGGTACCAGAGGGGTGTCTTAGGACCGATCACCCATGATACTGGGGGACAATTGTACTTAACCACTTAACAAACCTATGCTTATGAAACACTGACCTTCCTCTACTATAAAATAAAGCTCAGGAGGTGTGAGGGGTAATAAAAGCTATTTGTAAGCAGAAGCCCCAGAGTTAGCAAAAGAAATAGATATACCTTTCTAATTATCTGGTTTTTCAGCAGATGGGATCAAATCTATGATACTCACCTAGATATTCCCTGAATATTTTTTCCCAAGTCTTTGAAATCTATAAAAACTAACAATCTTCCTTCAACTCATCCCAAAGCAAGAGTACATAATCCCAAACAAGTCACTAAGCAACAAATTCAAATTTAAAATCAGCCCTCCTCCCCCTCCACCCTACATTAAGAGACTTACATATATACTTGCTCTCCTTACATGAACTCTGAGAATCATCACCACCAACTCTATCCACTCTATACACAGCACGGCTCCTGCTAGCCCACAGGCCCTGCCAGATCCAGTGTATAGGATGGTCTGGACAACATGGCAAAACCCTGTCTCTACAAAAAATACAAAAAAATTCACCAGGCATGGTGGCATGCACCTGTAATCCCAGCTACTCAGGAGGCTGAGGCAGGAGGATCACTCGAGCCCAAGAGACGGAGTATGTTATAGTAAGCCAAGATCACACCACTGCACTCCAGTCTGGGTGACAGAGCGAGACCCTGTCTCAAAAAATAAATAAATAAATAATAATAAAAAATAAAAGATCTCTAAGCGTTTAGATTCAGTTTCACTTTCTCAAAGAAAAGTTATTAATGCCTACAGTTGTACTGTCTAAAACAGTAGCCAGTAGGAGCTAGCCACATGTGGCTACTGAGCACTTAAAATATGGCTAGCTCAAAAACTGAGATGTGCTGCTGGTATAAAATGCATGCTAGATTTCAAAGACATATGGAAAAAAAATGATATAAAATATCTTATTAAATTTTTTCTAATGATTATATATTAAAATAATAGTATTTGGGGCATATTGGGTTAAATAAAATATCACTAAAAAACTAAAACAGGTAAAATTCGTTTAGTATAAGTATTAGAAAATTTAACATTACCTTATGTGGCTTGCATTACACTTCTCCCGCACAGAGCTAGTCTAGGGGATGAGATGTCCGTGACAACAGACTGAGGATGGAATACTGACGCACCAGAGAGATAGGCAGGTTCTGCCATGGAGACTAACCATCAACTCACACTGACTTTTAGTGACCTGAGGCTTAAGGTTTTGCTGTTTTGAAATTTCCATGAATGAAATCCCACTGTGAATATAATCCTATCTAGTTGATGAGTCAATAAAAGGACTTTATTAGTTTACAACAGGAAACTTTAGCTAAAATAACTTACCTTTACAAACCAAGAGTGATACAGTCTGTCCCAAAGTTCTAGTACTTGCTTTTCAATTACAGCAGTATTGTTCACCTTATCTCCTAGAATTTTATGGAGCTAGAAAAAAACACAGATACGACGTGGTACAATATTTCAGGCAACAACAGAGTAAAATTAATATATGCTGGGTATTTACATTTGTTCCAAAGCAAACAAAAATGTTCCAGACTATTTATCTCTAGCCATATTACGTTCTTTCCTTAAATCTACTCCTGAGTATTCCCAGTAAATTTCCTTTCTCATGTTTTTGCTTCTATTTTCTTTGCTCTATTCTTAGGTCTCTAAGAGAGCTACCTCACGCTATCAGAGAATGGTGCAAATGAAGCCATGATTGCTGACTTATCTGATCTTACCTGTCCAGAGAAAAATCTTTCCCCTGTAATCCCAGTGACCTTCCATTATACATATGTCTCATGTTACATTTATCTCTATTATTAAGAATTACCACAGAATTTTAAGTAAAATTTTAGGATGTTGGCTATAAACACGAATCCTTCCTCTATTTGCATGCTGAGAGATGTCCGGTCTCATTTACAATTGATCAGACTGGCCCCGGGTTTGTGGAAATCAAGTACACTGAGACAACGTAACTTAGAGGAAGGCTATCATTATAAAATGTTGTCCCACTTAGTTATTATTAAAACCATATTATAATATAAAAAACAATTTTCACACTTTCAGAGGCTGAGGTGGGCAGATCGCTTGAACCCAGGAGTTTGAGATCAGCCTGAGCAACATGGCGAAACCCCATCTTTACAAAAATACAAAAAAATTACCAAGTGTGGTGGCGCATGCCTGCAGTCCCAGCTACTCAGGAGACTGAGATGAGAGGATCACCTGAGTCCAGGAGGTTGAGGCTGCAGTGAGCCGTGATCACGCCAACATGCTCCAGCCTGAGTAACAGAGTAAGACCTGGTCTCAGAAAAAAAAACAAAAACCCAAAGAATTTCTAGAAGTTTGTAGGCCCACTTCCTTAATACAATTGTTTCCATTTTTCTATTTCCTCTGCAACTTTCTGCCTATTTACATAGAGACAATTTAGAATTTTTTCTACTTCATTATAAACATTCAATCTTTAGCCTTCATCACTAACCTTCATCTTTAATACTTTTATATTAATTCATTACGTTCTGGTATTAGCTGATCATTACCCACTCTAAGGATATACAATAAATCCTTCTTTTTTTTTGAGATAGAGTCTTGCTCTGTCACCCAGGCTGAAGTGCAGTGGCGCGATCTCGACTCTCATTGCAACCTCTGCCTCCCAGGTTCGAGCAATTCTCCTGTCTCAGCCTCCTGAGTAGCTGGGATTACAGGTGTGCGCCCCCACACCCAGTTAATTTTTGTATTTTTAGTAGAGATGGGGTTTCACCATGTTGGCCAGGCTGGTCTTGAACTCCTAACCTCAAGTGATCTGCCCACCTCAGCCTCCACAAGTGCTGGGATTACAGGCATGAGCCACCACGCCCACCCATGAATCCTAATTTTTAGTGTCATGAGTAACACTGCAATGAACATCCTTTTACATAGTTTTTAAGGATATATATGGATGTTCATTGCAGGGTTACTTGTGACATAAATAAATGTACTGCAACCAAATAAAATGAGTTTTTGTTTTGTTTTTTTTGAGACAGGGTCTCACTCTGTCACCCAGGCCGGAGTGCAGTGGCATGATCATGGCTCACTGAAGCCTGGACCTCCCAGACTCAAGCGATCCTGCCACCTAAGACAGCCAAGTAGCTGGGATCACAGGCGCACTGACACCAGACAGAGCTAATTTTCTTATTTTTTGTAGAGACAAGGTCTCACTATGTTGCCCAAGCTGGTCTGGGCTCAAGTGATCCTCCTGACTCGGCCTCCCAAAGTGCTGGGATTACAGGCATGAGCCACCACACCCAGCCGAAAATGAGCATTTTAATGGCTCTTGCTATGCATTGGTAAACTGACTTCTATAATAAGAAATATACCAATTAATGCTTTCTAAAATTACATAAATGACCCAATTTCCTCAAAGCCTTATGAACTAACTGGAAAATTTTTAGGGAATTTAACAGGTGTGAAATGTAGCCATTATTTATTATTTTCTTCTTTATTAATGAAAGGAGTGACCATTTTCCCACGTTAGTTTACAACATCTATTTCCTTACTCTTTGCCTATTTGATGCTGGCCTTACAGATATGTGAACCAGTTACTAGACATATTCAATGCAAACGTATCTGTTCATATTTGTTCCTTTATATTTGATTTATTCATAAACTGAAAACTAAATATTCAATATAATAAAGCCATTTGGCCAGGCATCGTGGCTCATGCCTTGTAATCATAGCACTTTGGGAGGCCATGGTGGAAGGATTGCGTAAGCACAGGAGTTCGAGACCAGCCTGGGCAACATGGTGAAACCACGTCTCTATAAAAACAGAAAAATTGGCAGGGCATGGTGGTGCATGCCTGTAGTTCCAGCTACTCAGGAGGCTGAAGTGGTAGGATCACTTGAGCCTAGGAGGTGGAAGTTGCAGTGAGCTGAGATCACGCCACTGCACTCCAGCCTGGGCAACAGAGCAAGACTCCCTCTCCACAAAAAGAAAAAAAAAACTACACATCACTGAAACACAAGTACTGTTGGTGGTGCCTGATATGCCTCTGCATATGAGAGGCAACCAAGCATGAAGCATAGTCAGAACATCATTTGAGAGCCATCTAATTTGAGGTAAACAAGCTCATCTAATTTTTTTTTCTTTTTTTTGAGATGGAGTTTCTCCGTCTCTGAGAGTAGAGTGCAGTGGCATGATCTCGGCTCACTGCAACCTCTGCCTCCCGAGTTCAAGTGATTCTCCTGCCTCAGCCTCCTGAGTAGCTCGGATTACAGGCGTGCGCAACCACGCCTGGCTAACTTTTGTATTTTTAGTAGAGACCAGGTTTCACCATGTTGGTCAGGCTGGTCTCGAACTCTTGACCCCATGATCCGCCGCCTGCCTTGGCCTCCCAAAGTGCTTGGATTATAGGCGTGAGCCACCACGGCCAGCCTGATTCCATATATGTGTATACAGCGTATCTTCCATTATATTATTTTTTTAGATTTTGTTTTTGAATTTTCAATATGGAATCACATACTAATATATTTTTCTAGGCACAAGTCTTACTGCAACAAATCCTGTCGATTCTTACATAATCCTAATTATTTCAGTATACTAAAAGTGCAAATTACCTTTATTCCTACAGGCAAAACTAGGGAGGGAAAGAATATCCCAAATCCATATGGTGGAATCTAATCCTTAACTGTGCTGCCTTTCCTCTATCATTCATTTCCCCTTCACAAAGCTCCCTCCACTTCAGTCAAGATCATTTCCTCAAGCACACTCCTGTCTCAGCATCTCAATCATCTCTTCAAGCACACTCCTGTCTCTGCATCTTGGCTCACACAAATACCCTTCTTAAAATCCACTCTTCCTTGATCTGCCATTCCTTCAAGGTTTATCTCAAGTGCCACATCAAAAGCACTTAATCCAGTTCTGGGCACACACTGCGAGCATGCTACAGTAGAAACAAAGGATTTGAAGTTAAGCTTCAGTTTCAAACCAAGCTCTGCAATTTACTACACGACCACTGGGAACTGACTCAGCCTTGCTGAGTCTTGTTTCCTCATCTGCAAAGCAGGCAAAATAATTCATACTGCAGGCTTCTTAGAAACAGTAAAAGAAAAAAAAACAAATATTAAATGAAAATAACTGGAAACTGCCAAAGACAGTTATCAGCAGACAATAAGATTTAATATGCATTAATACCTTTTTCTCTACAAAGCCTTATTTGACTACCCAAACCAAGTGATCATTCTGTCCTAACTCACAAGTAATGAATCACATCTATCTTGAAAAAGTACATGACCAACCTCTCAGATTGTTCAGGGTACTACCCCTATTCAATGTGATCTTTCAAAAGATTTCATTGTATGTTGCTTACCTGTTTATTTAAGCCTATTTACTGCTGTGAATAGCATTTCTACTTATGTTTTATCAAAGCAACAAGCAACCACCAGTAAAGACCCTGAAAAGAGAAAGCCACAAAGAAAGTTTCTTCCCTTACCTTGTGAGTTATCCATTCTCGTCCATACTGATACACGTTGTTAGCCGCAGAATTCAGGGCTCTTTGGACTACCTGAGCCTCAGGAAGCCAACTAATGTAAAACAAAGAAAAAAATGAAAAAAGTACACTTTCTGTGTAGTGTACCAATAATGCTTTGAACTTGATATGCTTAATCCATAACAGACAGACTGTTGATCATTCACCAATACACAGATACCAAAGCATCATGAGCAGGACTTCCAGGCTTAACTGTCCTAAGTCTCTAACATTCAGGATGTCCTTTCAATCTTTCCTTAGCTTTTATTTATTTTATTTTATTTTTGAGATGGAGTTTCACTCTTCTTGCCCAGGCTGGAGTGCAATGGCACGATCTCGGCTCGGTGCAACCCTGCGACTTCCACCTCCTGGGTTCAAGTGATTCTCCTGCCTCAGCCTCCCAAGTAGCTGAGATCATAGGCACGTCACCACGCCTGGCTAATTTTGTATTTTAGTAGAGATAGGGTTTCACCATGTTAGTCAGACTGGTCTCAAACTCCTGATCTCAAGTGATCCACCTGCCTCAGCCTCCCAAAGTTCTGGGATTACAGGCATGAGCCATGGCACCAGGCCTCAATGTTTCCTTAGCTTTTAGACCCACTTTCCCCACAACCTCCCTTTCATTCTACTCTGCCTGGTTTCTCTGTTCACATGTCCTGAGTCACCTGCCTTATTCAGCACCAAAGAAAATGGTTCTGGGAGACTGGGATATTCAACATCTGGGACAGGGTTCTCAAAGTGTGGTCCACAAACCAGCAGCATCAGAACTTTTTGGAAACCTGTTAGAAATGAAAAATTGGGGGCCCAAACCTAGATCTACTGAAAAAGGAACACGACTAGGGCCCAGCAATCTGTACCTTAACAAACCCTGCAGGTGATACTGATGGCATGCTACAGTTTGAGAATCACTAATCTAAGGAAGTGAAGAAATCAGAAAGAATGCAGGAAATGAAGAAGGTGAATCATTATCCTCAAGTTGGTTATCTACTGAAGATCTTTTAAAGATAGAATTCCTGAGCAAAGTTCCAACTATGCAAGGAACTATAGCCCACAGCTTTACTTGTTGTGCAGTGAGAGGTGGCCTCCTCATTCTTCTGTTGACTAAGCAGGCTGTACCATACACCTTAATCAAGAATCCTTTACACAATCCTAATGTTTTCCACAAGAGAAAATATGTTCACGTATTATCTAAATTGTTCCTCTTAATAATATACGCTGGAGATGTTGACATTCACAAATTTAACAGTCCTCATTTCAACTATTCCAGAGTGAAGCCAAAAGGTGAAGGCAAGCAGAAGCTAGTCATTTACTTTCCTGAGGCCCCAAAATGACACATCCTACAAACCTAACACAAAAGGGTCAATTAGGTAAAGTCAAATGTGCAACATCCTCAACTCACAGCAACTTTATGTGCTGTGTATGAGAAAGATGGTCATAAAGAGAAAGTCAGTTGCCACTGACAGCCACAAAGTCATGGTGCCTAGGAAAGTGGTCTTTAACCAGAAAAAAATAAGAGATCTTTTGAATAAATTAAAAAGTAGACTATTAAACCAGTAGTGGGTTGAATCTTAAGTATTAACCAGTTTGTCCCACACTCCAAATAAAGTATCTGTGAAACTTCTTGGCAAATGCCTCAGTCCACTCAAACATTTCTCAGCAAGGCCAGCACGCTGGCTCATGCCTGTAATCCCAGCACTTTGGGAGGCCAAGGCAGGCAGATTACTTGAGGCCAAGAGTTCAAGACCAGCCTGGCCAACAAGGCAAAACCCCGTCTCTACTAAAAAATACAAAAATTAGCTGGGCATGGTTGCACAAAACTGTAGTCCCAGCTACTCAGGAGCCTGAGGCACAGGAATCACTTGAGCCCAGGAGGCAGACGTTGCAATGAGCCAAGATCATACCACTACCCTCCAGCCTGGGCAAAAGAGCAAGACTGTCTCAAAAAAAAAAAAAAAAAAAAAAAAAATTTCTCAGCAAGTAAGACAAAATTTCAAACGTTTAGAGACACAAATATAATAATTTACAGTATAAGCATATAAACAGGAAATCTGGGTCACTAAACTGAAATGTGATTCGGGAGAAATTAAGTAGCTTTTAAATTACTCTTTTATACATTCATCAGTGGCTTGAAGGGACTGCTAAATATTTTCAATTATATGGTAACTTATAATTGATATTATATTGATATATTGGTATTATATTGATATTATATATTATAATGATAACACTCTCCTGTAGTGTTATTCAAAAGTGTGAAGATGGGCAGGGCATGGTGGCTCACGCCTGTAATCCCAGCACTTTGAGAGGCCGAGGCGGGTGGATCACCTGAGGTCAGTAGTTTGTGACCAGCCTGGCCAACATGGTGAAACCCCGTCTCTACTAAAAATGAAAAAATTAGCCAGGTGTGTTGGTGTGCGCCTGTAGTCCCAGCTACTTGGGAGGCTGAGGAAGGACAATTGCTTGAACCCAGGAGGCAGAGGTTGCAGTGAGCCGAGATCATGCCATTGCATTCCAGCCTGGGCGGCAAGGGCAAGACTCCATCTCAAAAAAAAAAAAAAAAAAGTGTGAAGATTCATAGAGGTATCTGGACAGATCCTTAATGATTCACAAATGTCTATTGGGCCTGGGAAAACGTCTTATTGGCCACTATGAAAACACTTTCCCAATGTACTCACACAGGTTTCCTAAGAGCAACAAATGAGAGGAGCTGTTTTGGGGACAAGGTAGAGGTACTGGCTCAGTCCCAGCCTCCCTCAAGAGACATGGGGCCAGAAACACAGGAGCTGCCTTAGCTGGGCTGTACTCCGGCCTTACACCTCTACAGCCCCTGAACTGAGCTCCTTCCTTGGAGATTCACTGCCTCAGCCTATCACTAACTCCCCTACTCACTCAAGAGGGATCCCTCAGCAGAAACCAATGCCCTACAGTTTAGACTGGTCTGCCTTCACCTTCCTGGGTAAAGGTTAATCTCTATCACCTACTACCTACCAAGAGAACAACCCTGATTAAAAACAACTTAGTTTAGCCTACTGGGTTTCTCCCAAGTAAGCGAAGGGATAAGTGCAACTGAGAACCATTTCAGTGCCATCTCCTAATGAGGGTCCTGAGGCACAGGAATCAACAGGCTTGAGACAAGTCAGGAGAAAGCAGAAAATGAGCTCCCGACTAACAACTGCCGAAGACAAGAATCAGTATGTATAACATCATTATTTTCTTTAGAGCTCCACTAAGATGATCCTAATCTGTCTAATTTACCCACCAGCTTACGAGGCACATCCAGCAGAAGTCAAGGGACTACATGGGCCATATAAAACCACACCAAGTTGGAAGAAAGGACATCTGGACTTATTCTTAACTGTATCTTCTCCACTAGGAGTATCTACATGAATCCCCTACAAGGTCAACTGCCCTCCTGCTGACAGAATCCACTGAGTACTGAGAGATGCAGGAAACCATTATCATTATTTCATGCCGACCCCTACTATTTCCAATCCCATCCCCACCTATCTGCTGAAAAAGAATCAGACCTTCTATGAATCACCAAAGTCTAAGCAACTTCAAAAAGCCTTCCTTGGCCGGACGCGGTCACTCAAGTCTGTAATCCCAGCACTTTGGTAGGCCGAGGCAGGTGGATCATGACATCAGGAGATCGAGACCATCCTGGCTAACACGGTGAAACCCTATCTCTACTAAAAATACAAAAAAAAATTAGCCGGGCGTGGTGGCAGGTGCCTGTAGTCCCAGCTACTCGGGAGGCTGAGGCAGGAGAATGGCGTGCACCTGGGAGACGGAGCTTGCATTGAGCCAAGATCGCGCCACTGCACTCCAGCCTGGGCGACAGAGCAAGACACCATCTCAAAAAAAAAAAAAAAAAGGCCTTCCTTTTGGGAGGCCAAAGCGGGTGGATCACTTGAGGTCAGGAGTTCAAAGACCAGCCTGGCCAACATGGTAAAACCCTCTCTTACTAAAAACAAAAAACTTAGCCAGGCATGGTAGTGCGTACATGACTGTAATTCCGGCTACTTGGGAGGCACAGGAATCGCTTGAACCCAGGAGGTGAAGGTTGCACTGAGCCAAGATCACACCACTGCACTCCAGCCTGGGTTAGAGTGAGACTCTGTGTCAAAACAAAAACAAAAACAAAAACCTTCCTAAATGGAACATTAATTGGCAATAAAAAAGAACAAACTTGATACCTACAACATCTTGGATGAGCTTCAAGAGAATTATGCTAAGCAACAAAAAGCCAATCTCAAAAGGCTGCATGCTCCATGACTGGATTTACGTATTATTCTCAAAATGATTTTATAGCTATGGAGAACTGATCAGTGGTTGCTAAGAGTTAGGGAAATATTGAAGGAAAGGGTAGAGGATGGGTGTGGCTGTTAAGGGGTGGCATGAGGAAGCCTGCAATGTAACAGTTATGTACTGAGTGTGTTGATAGCTGACATGAAGCTACATAGAGGATGAAATCTGAAGGTCAGTGTATTATAGCAATGCCAATTTCCTGGTTTTATTGTACTATAGTTATGCAAGATGACAACACTGGAGGGGATGGGGTGAAGAGTATATGGGTCTTCCCTGTATATGTCTTTGCAACTCCCTGTGAATCTATAATTATTACTTCAAAATTTCAAACAAAAGACAAACCTTTCTTCTACTACCTGATCTGGGGCTGCTCAGATTGTGTGCCTTTGATACAGTTGCAGAGAGAATGCTGCTACTATTCAAAACCGGTACAAAAGGGCTCTGCATTGACTTCCAGTACAGAAGAATGACCCAAAGAAAAGGAGCCCTCTGGATGTGAGGGCTGAGGCTGAGCCCTAGAGGACAACATTTGGAAGGTCTATCATCCTATGAAAGGCTCTATCCACTTGCCTAGATCCCAGGTGGCTCCTTCCTAAAATCCCATACCTGATACATGTTGGTTCCTCCTTTTTCCCATTCTCCTTTTAAAATGTATTATATCCAAAGAGCCAGAGGACAGAAGACCTCACTTCTTACTTCAAAGATGTATGGCCCCTAATTTCCCGCCTTCCCCGCTCCACTGAACTCACAGTATTTATATCCATATCCATTCTGACCTGCTTTCCCCAGCTGTTCCATTCGTGCCATGGATTCATCTCATGCTTCATCCTCAGAGAAATGCACTAAGAATTATCTCTCTCCTAATATTTACAACCCCTTCCACTCTACCAGTTCTTTCCCTGGAGCATACAAACAAGGCTTCTCCATCTTAAAAAATTAAACAAAACTGCTCTATACCTCCTTCCCAGCTACGTTCCATAGGCAAACTTGGGAAAGAGCAGTCTATACCTGCTTTCTCTAGTTCCTCGTTCCCAATAATTTCTCATCACACTGCAATCTAATGGGCTTCTGCTACACCAATTAAATGAACTGCTCTTGCAGCTGCTAAACCCAATTTCACTCTTAGAAAATTTCTGCAGCAATTTGACATTGCTGACCACTACTACTGTCTCAAAACGTTCTCTTTCCTTGGTTTTCCTCTTACCTTTCTCATAGCCCATTCTCATTTTCCTTTGTGAACCTATTGTTTTTTGCTCACCCTTAAAGGCTTAAGATATCCACAGGGCGCACCTCCAGACATCCTCTCTGTACCTTACATACATTCTTTATGCTGATGCTTCTCAAAACTCAAGATCCAACCCAGACCTCTCATCTGATTCCTGGACTTACACAGCAACTGCCCATTTTTTAACTTCACCCCATCTCTCCTGAACCGCATACCTACATAGTCAACAGCCTACTGGATGCCTCTACTTACAACAGTCACCTCAAACTCAACAGGTAAACAGGGGAATTAGTTTCCCTACCAAATCTGCTCTTCTATTTCCTGTCTTGGTGAATCCACCATCACTCACTAATTTCCAAAGCTAGAAACATAAGTCATGCTAGATTTCTTCCTCCTATATCCAATTAATCACCAACTAACCCCCTTAAGACCTTATAAATCTGTCCCTCCTGTTCACCTCCACTGAAACTGTCTACAGTTCAGGGCTTTGTCACTTCTCATCTGGTTTACTCTAGAAGCTTTTAATTTGTCTCAAAGGTTTACATCTTGTATACCTTCAATCTTTTCTCCACAAAGCAGCTGAAAAGCCTGTTCTAGAATGAAATATGATGATTCTACTTCTCTACTTATATCCTTAATCAAAATAATAAACATATCTATCACTCCTAAAAATTTCCTTGCACCTATATGTATGTCCTCCCTAGAGCTCCACCCCAATCCACAGGCAACCATTAATCTTACTGTCACTACAGATTAGTCTGCATTTCCTAGAACTTTAAATAAATGAAATCGTACCATTTGGGCTTTTTGTCTGAATTTTTTCACTCAACTTACTTTTTTATTGTTGTTTTTTTGAGACATAGTCTTACCCTATCATCCAGGCCGGAGTGCAGTGGTGCAATCTTGGCTCACTGCAACCTCCGTCTCCCGAGTTCAAGCGATTCATGTGCCTCAGCCTCCCAAGTACCTGGGATTACAGGTGTGTGCCACACACCCAGTTCATTTTTGTATTTTTAGTAGAGATGGGGTTTCACCATATTGGCCAGGCTGGTCTCAAACTCCTGACCTCAGGTGATCCTCCCGCCTCGGCCTCCCAAAGTGCTGGGATTACAGGCGTGAGCCACCCACCGCACCTGGCCAACATACTTATTTTGAGAGTCATCCATGTTGGTACATGTATCATTAGTCCATTTTTTTTAATGCTGTATAATATTCCACTGCATAAATATACCACAATTTATATTTCAAAAGAAATATACTTCTTTTATGAAGATTCAAATAGGCCAGGCACAGTGGCTCATGCCTGTAATCCCAGCACTTCGGGAGGCTGAGGAGGGAAGATCACTTGAGCCCAGGTGTTCAAGACCAGCCTAGGCAACATGGTGAAACTCCTACAAAAAATATAAAAATTAGCCGAGTATAGTGGCTCATGCCTGTAGTCCCAGCTACTCAGGAGACTAAAGTGGGAGGAATGATTGAGCCCAGGAGATCAAGCCTTCAGTGAGACATGATTGTGCCACTTTAATCTAGCCTGGGTGACAGAGCAAGACCCTGTCTCAAAAAAAAAAAAAAAATTTTATTCTAAATCAAGTTCAAGTAATGTCCTAGGCAGGTTTTATATAAAAGAATAAAGTAGAGGCAAAGGAAAAAAATCAACTTAAATCTCAACTTATAAGCCTAAAACTGGCAGAATATTTCCTGACTTATGACTGTCTTGAGGTTAATAAAAGGCAGGTCATACAATGTGTCATCAAGTTGTTAGGTGGATAACACAGCTCTGCTGAACATCCCCCACAAAAACTGAAAACCCTTCTTCCAGAAGCCAAATTACACAGAGATCCTATAAAACAGAAGTTGGCAAATTTTTCTGTAAAGGACTAGAGAGTAAGTATTTTAGGCTCTGCAGAACATATAATCTCTGCCACAGCTACTCAATTCTGTTTGTCCTTGAAGCCCCAAAACAGCCAGAGAAAATATGTCAATGAGTAGACATAGGTATGTTCCACTAAAACTTCATTTACCAAAGTGTTGGGAAAAGGGCTTGTGGGGTGCCTGTATAAACTGGCCACAAAAATATGGGACAATAAGTTGTGGAAAGCCATGAGAGGCCTCTGAGTAGAAAAGTCTCCGAATTGCCATCATGTTCCCATACTCAGAGCAAGACCTGCTCTCTTATCTGTAAACACTGTGTTCAAGGAGAAAGACACTCCCTTGAAACACTGGAATGTGGACAGATGTGCAGGCTCCTAGTTAAGCCCGCTCCCACTAGCTACTCTCCAACAAGTTAAAGATATGCTGTTTGAGCACAAAGGAGATTGATTTAAACCGCTATTGCTATAGATTACACCTATGATGTACTGCCTCCCTTTCAGTGTTTTCACCCTGAACATCTGCTTTTTAGATCTAAGTGATTACACTCAATAAACAGTGTGGAGACCAGAGCTCAGCGCCTTTTGCAGCCTCCATTATGCAACTGGCCCCGACTCCCACCTTCATGAACTCTTAACCTGTACCTGTCTCTTCTCATTCCTTTGTCGCCACCGAACTTCAGGTACCCTACGGGTGGTGTTGAGGCTGGTCCCCAACACAAAAGGAGGTGGCTGAATTTGGCCCTGGGCCATAGTTCACCTATCCTTCCTCAAAAATAATACAATATGGGAATATGTCAATAATTATAAAACTGGGCATGGTGGTGTACACCTGTAGTCTCAGCTACTCCAGAGGCTAAAGCAGGAGAACTGCTTGAGCCCAGGAGTTCAAGATCAGCCTGGACAACATGGTGAGACCTCATTTCTTAAAAATAAATAAATAACATAAATTTAAAAATTATATAGAAAGTTGAGGAGTTACAGTTTCCATGTTATAGTGGAAACTTTCCTTCAGTTGATCAGAAGCAGTGGTTATAAATGACTCTGCCACTGCGGAATTATTATCTCAAGTTCCTTAACCTTTGATCTTGTTTCCTCATGTGTAAAATGGGGATAATTTCTTCAATCTATCTCACACAGTCACTGTGAGGAACAAATGACATAAGACAGATGAAGTGCTTTGTAAATTATAAACATGCTGTAAACCTCAATTATAAAACAAAGTATCATTTACCATGAATTGTACCTAAAATCCTGAGCACTTTCCTCCCACCCTCTGTATTACATGACATTCTTCTTCAAAAATGACAATATTTATCAAAGCTCTGGCAAACCCTATCTTTTATCTTCCAATGCAGCTGCATCAATGAAGGTCATTTCGTGCAAACAGATGCTGAAACTAGGCCATTCATCTCTCTTCTTTTTCAAAACAATATTCTTACTTTGCCCACTCAGGGTGATTTGCTAGAGTTTCATTAATCAAATTACTTGTGACTTCAATCATGTGTACACTCTCTTGATGTACCTGTATTACAGATAAAGAAAGAAAAGAATCTCAGTAAAAAATAAACCCAATTTAACATTTATTTTTCTACTCTATTATTGGAACAATGCTTTGAGAGCCAAATAAATACACATCTTTGCTTTAATTAATTTAGAAACATGCAGCGCAAAGTTACTATACATTATATCTAATGATACGCACTACGGGAAATAAAAAGTACATGCTAGCTCCCTGTTCAACACATTACTTAAGAAAAAAATACATAAATAGATATGTTCAAATACTTGACACGTATATGTACATACATTTCATTTGCATGAATATATCGTATAAATGTGTTTGTGTATCTATGTAAGCAATATCAGCACTTTGTGAGCTAACAGGTTCATCACGCAGTGTGAGACAAACAGGCAAATAAGGAACTAACTTTTTTTTTTTGTTTTTTTTTTTTTTTTTTTAGCCAGGTTCTCGCTCTGTCACCCAGGCTTGCTGGTGTGTAGTGGCGCAATCTCAGCTCGATATAACCTCCACCCCCCACGTTCAAGCGATTCTCGTGCCTCAGTCTCCTGAGTAGCTGGGATTACAGGCACTCACAACCACGCCTGTCTAATTTTGTATTTTTAGTAGAAAAAAGGTTTTGCCATGTTGGCCAGGCTGGTCTTGAACTCCTGACCTCAAGGGATCTATCCACCTTGGCCTCCCAAAGTGCTAGGATTACAGGTGTGAGCCACTGTAAGTAAACTGCAACTAAGTAAGGTTTCTGAGTAAAAAAAGCCAACAGAAGCTGCACCTCTGAATTTACCTTGCCCAATAACCAACAAATTGAGGGAGATAAAATGGGAATTAATCAGTTGAAAAAAAATTTTTTCACCCAGGACATCCAAACAAGGAAAGAAACATAATCTGATACAATTTGGAACTCAGCCATCAGGTAAAGAAACAAAACATTCTGGAGCACAACAGAGAGGCGTAACAGCTCACTCCTAAACTGACCCCATCACCCAGGAGCTACACAGGTGAGCTGACAAATATATTACGATTCACGAGTAACAGGGAGAAAAGAAGCCACATCGTTATCCTTTTCTGATGACAGAGGGAAAGAAAGTGTAATGAGGGAGAAAAGGATAAATCAGAGGAAAGAGATCAAAGTCCCCCACCCACACCCACCCCTCATCTCTGTCCCTTTCTGCAGTGAAAGTTCCATAGTATGCCAGGAATTGAGTGAGACAGTACAAAGACTGACGGTATTTTTCCATGGGCATGGGTATGAGATTAACCAAGTAGCAAAATCACTAGGGCAAGTCACATACCAACCCAGAACAGAACAGAGTCTAGATACCCTAACAAAGATACATAGCCACCTAAGCCATCAAGTGATACCACTTCCAATTCTATCGGGCCCCAGAAAAGTAGGAAGAACACAAAATACAAACTGCACCAAGACGGGGAAAACAAACTGATTTCAGACACAATGAGGGGATAATCAACTCAGGTGCAATGCCTGAAAAACAGCCAGAATGAATAAGGCCTGACACGTTCTTGTGAGGACTTAGGCTAGCATTTTGTGGGATATGGAAAAAGAGAGGGCTGTAAGCTAAGGGACATAATCTTACTTAGATGTTTAAAGTAAGTTTGGACGCTGTGTTGAAAACAGACTAAATGAGGCTAAGGAACAATTCAAGAGAGAACGGGGATAGCTTTGAGCAGGACAGTAGCGGTACTGAGAAAGAAGTGACTGGATTTGAGACCTATCTTACATTAACCAACTGTTGGATGTTAAACGGGTTTTACATTCCCGAAATAAACCTCACATAGATATATTTTCCTTTTTACATACTGCAGGATTTAATCTGTTAATGTTTTGTTAAGGATTTTTGTGTCTATTTATAAGGGATACTGGTCTGCAGTTTCCCTTCTGTGAATGCCTTTGACTTTGGTATCTGGGCAATACTAGCCTCATAAAATGAGCTGACAAGTGTTACTTCTTTGCTAACTGAACAACACTGTGTAGAACAGGCAGTATTTCTTCGCTACATGTTTGATAAAACTCATCAGTGAGATCATCTGGGCCTGAGCGCTTCTTGGTAGGAAGAATTTCAAACACTAATTCAATTTCTTGTCCTCATAGTGGGCTACAATTTTTCTATTTCTTCTTGAGTCTGTTCCACTCCTTCTCTACAAGGAATTTCTCCATTTAATGTTATCAAACTTGATGGCATAAAGTTGTTCACAATATTCCCTTATCCTTTCAAGATCCGTGACATATGCAGAGATGTTTCCTCTTTTGTACTTGATATTGGTAATTTGTATCTTCTTTTTTCTTCATCAGTCTGGCTAAAATTTTGTCAATTTTATTGATGTTTTTCAAAGAAACAGCTTTTGAGTTTATTCATGTTTTCACTATTGTTTCTCCTTTTCAAATTTCCTTGATTTGCACCTGATCCTTATTATTTCCTTCCTTTCATTTACTTTGGATTTAATTTGCTATTATTTGCTAGCTTCTGAAGGTGGAAACTTAAGTCACTGATTTTCCTTTTTCAAATATAAGCATTTAATGACATAAACTTCCAACAAGACACTGCTTCAGCTGCATCCCACAAATTTTGATATGCAGTGGCTTCATTTTCTTCCATTTTAAAATCTTCTAATTTCCTTTGAAATTTATTCGATTCACAGGTTTAGAAGTATGTTGCTTAAAAGACTTAGAACCAACCCAAATGTCCAACAATGATAGACTGGATTAAGAAAATGTGGCACATATACACCATGGAATACTATGCAGCCATAAAAAAATGATGAGTTCATGTCCTTTGTAGGGACATGGATGAAGCTGGAAACCATTCTCAGCAAACTATCGCAAAGACAAAAAACCAAACACCACATGTTCTCACTCATAGATGGGAACTGAACAATGAGAATACATGGACACAGGAAGGGGAACATCACACACCGGGACCCACTGTGGGGTGGGGGGGAGGGGGGAGGGATAGCATTAGGAGATACACCTAATGTAAATGACGAGTTATTGGGTGCAGCACACCAACATGGCACACGTATACATATGTAACAAACCTGCACGTTGTGCACATGTACCCTAAAACTTAAAGTATAATAAAAAAAAAGTTAAAGTTCTTATTTTAAAATTATTAAAGGCTTTAACTAATGTTATATACACCCCTTCCCCGCCAAAAAAAAAGTATGTTGCTTAATTTCTAAATATTTGGACATTCCCTAAATTTCTGTTACTGATTTTTAATTTAATTCTGTGTCAGGAAATGCTTTTTTTGTTTGAGACAGTGATCTCGCTCTGTCACCCAGCCTGGACTGCAGTGGTGCAATCACGGCTCACTACAGTCTCCACCTCCAAGGCTCAAGCAGTCTTCCCACCTCAGCCTCCTAAGTAGCTGGGACTACAGAAATGCATCACAATGCCCAGCTAAATTTTTAAATTGTTTTTGTAAAGCCAGGGTCTCCTTATGTTGCCCAGGCTGGTCTCAAACTCCTGGGCTCAAGCAATCCTCCTGCCTCAGCCTGCCAGGTAGCTGAGATAACAGGTGTGTACCACTGTGCCTTGCCTAACACTTCCAAATTTATTGAACATATTGTTTATTCTGGTGAGTATTCCATGTTTTCTTGAAAAGAATATAATTTTTGTTATAATATTATATATATAATATAAAAGAATATAATTGTTAATTAGGTCAAGTTGACTGACCGCGTTTTTTGGCGTGTTTCGTTTTTGTTTTCTTTTGAGACAAAGTCTTGCTCTGTCACCCAGGCTGACATGCAGTGGCACGATCACAGCTCACTGCAGCCTCAATCTCCCGGGATCAAGCAATCCTCCCACCTCAGCCTCTCAAGTAGCTGGGACTACAGGCTTAAGTCACCATGCCCAACTAATTTTTTCTATTCTTTGTAGAGATGGGGTTTTGTCATGTTGCCTAGGTTGGTCTTAAAACTCCTGGAGTCAAGGGATCCACCTGCCTCATCTTCCCGAAGTCCTGGGATTACAGGCATAAGCCACCACACCCAGCTTTTAAAAGGCTTCTAAATATCCTTATTATTTTCTAACTACTTATTCCCTCAATTACTGCAAGGAGTACTGAATCCTGAACTATAATCATAGATTTGTTTATTTCTCCTTTTAATTCTGAATGTTGGATTTCATGTATTTTAGAGCTCAGCTGTTGGGAGCATATACATTTGTAACTGTTATCTTATGTCAATATTAACTCTTATCCATATGAAAAGTCCTTAATTTGCCTCTAGCAATATTTCTTTTTGACAATCTATTTTGTCTAATATAGAATCAACTGCACATATTTTCTGTGGACAGTTTGCACAGTGTATGTTTTTTAATATTTTTACTATCAACCTTCCTGTGACTGAATTTAAAGTGTGTCTCTAACATACCAAAAGCAAGTTGGAACTTGCTTTTTATATTCAGTCTGACAATGTATGCTTTTTGACTGTTTAGTTGCTTCTCGTGTAACCTAAGTATTGTCATGACCAGGGTTAGGTCTGCCATTTTGCTACTAGCTTTCTATTTGTCCCATCTCTATTGGTCCTCTGTTGTTCCTGCACTGCCTTTTGTGTTCAGCAAATTTTAGTATACCATTTTAGTTCCCCTAATCCTTAGGCTATTTATTGCCTGCTGTTTAACTTATCTAAATCTTATCTCATCTTTTAATTTATCATAATCTACTTCAAGTTAATATTGACTTATATCCAGGAAAATATTTTAAGAACTTCATACCATTACAGTTCTACTTGCCAGCCCTCTTCTTTGTGCTATGGTTTTACATATACATAGCTCATCTATATATGTTATAAAGGCCACAACAGTATTTCTATTTTTCTTTAGTCATATTTGTTTAAATAAATTAAAAGAAGACAGGGGAAAATATAACCCACATATTTTCCAAGTGCTTTCATCCCTTTCTTTGGATCCAGATTATTTCTGGAGTCATTTATCTTCACCCCGAAGGAGCTCTGTTAGCATTCCATATAAGTGCAGGTCTGCTATCAACAAATTCAGTATCTGTTTATCTAGAAATGTTTTCATTTTGCCTTTACTTTGAAAGAACAGTTTCACTGACTATAAAAGTATTGTTTGAGATTTCTCCCTATGACTTTAAATATGTCACTCCAATGTCTTTTAGTCTTTGCTGTTTATTAAGAGAATTAAGTCACTAACTGTATTGTTCCCCTGTTTGTGATGTGTAATTTTTCTCTTGCTTCCTTCCAGATTTTCTTTTTATCTTTGTCTTTCGGCAGTTTGACTATGATGTAGCTAGGCATGGTTTTGTGTTTGTGTATGCTTATTCTACTGAAGGTTTGTTGAACCTCTTGGATCTGTTAATGTTTTTCACCAAACATGGGAAAGTTTTTAGCAGTTATTTCTTCAAATAATTTTTTCTACCTTTTTCTCTTCCTCTTCTCATCTTCTGGGATGCTTATTACATGTCTGCTAGATGTTTGATATTGTCCCACAGGTGTCTGAGGCTCTGCTCATCTCCAATTGGACTTGACACCAAAAGCACAGGCAACAAAGGCAAAAATAGACAAATGAAGCTACATTAAACCTAAACACATCTGTGCACTGAAGAATACTTCCTTCAAGAAAAGCTGCAGGTTTTACTGCCCATGCAAGAATGTCACCTGTTTTTACCTGTAAAGAAAAAGTACCTGTTTTTACCAGCTACAGTAGCAGCTTTTCATCAACGAAAGATCTCCTAGTTGCCTACCTGGTCATTTTCTAATGCTTTTAAATGGTGTTTTTAATAATTTCATGTTGTTTTATTCTTGATTTCTGTGGAAAGGAATTACCTGACTTCCTCACCCTGCTATTATCCCAGGACATATTAGGAAGGTGGAGCCAAAAAGGATTTTCTGGCAAACTGGATGTGGATACAAAACAAAAACAGTAGTCAAAGATGATCCTGAGACTTTCCATTTGAGCAAGCAGAAGAATGGAGTTGTCACTGAAGACTATGAGAAGAACAGACAACTGGAGGAAGGTCTGGAATTCAGTCTCTGACGTTACATTTGAGATGTCCATTAAACATTCAAGTAGATACTGTCATGGATGTTTCAGAGAATGACAGCTGTACTGGCCAGGAGAATGAATTAGATAACCAATAAGGTTCCCTCAAAAGCTCAGTTTGGATGAATTCTACACCCAGAAATAAATGGTTCAGTAATACTTGTTATCAAAGTTCAGAGAAGCAAAAGCTCACTGAAGCAGGGGATGAACAAAGAAAAAGGACTTAAAAGATAAAACTGAGATGGCCAGGCAAAAGATGCTACGCAAAGGGACCAAGAAGGAAAAGTAGAATAGAAGTGTAGAAGAGAGGAGAAAGGAAAAAAAAAGACCATACTAATGAAAGAACTGGAATGTAAGATTGCACAGTAGCAGGTTTAAGCAAAATATGACAAAAAGCCTCTAAATAAGTCTGCACAGTATATATACGTGACTATACAT
Organism: Homo sapiens; assembly: GCF_000001405.40. NCBI lineage: Eukaryota > Metazoa > Chordata > Mammalia > Primates > Hominidae > Homo > Homo sapiens. The sequence continues at coordinate 109,079,902 of NC_000009.12, forward strand.
AATTAATATCCAAAGAACAGATAGGAACTATACAAAGACTGAAACAGAAGTACTAGAAGAGATTTTTAGAAGCAAATAAGATAGCTTGAGGGTGTACTGAAGCTGAGACTAAGAATAGGACTTCCAAGCAGAGATGCCACTGAAGAAATAGTGCAGTTCTTTAGCAAATTGGTTAATTAGATTATCAATTATAGTTACCAACATGTCTCTATGGGAACTAAAGGAATAAAAAAAATTTTGTATCCATGATTTCACATAAGCTTCACCAACTCCTTGAAAAGAACATACCAAAATCTGGGTTGTGGAGTTCAATACGGTTCAGATAAAATAAAGATTAAAATGTACCATAAAAGTGGGGGGGAAATCTTGTCAGACTTGATAAGCCTAAAAAAAATAGTAAGAGATATCACTATAAAGATAACATTTTAGGTGTTCTTTAGAGAATAATTTTCTTTGATGAGATGAAAATGGGGAAAGGAAATGTAAGCTGGAAGGACCTGGAAAGCGAGAAATAAAGGTGCTATGGTATATATCAGCAGAAGGATCAATGAGACAAGGATGGAAGGTGGTAATCAGCAAATTCTGATCTAGTGAAGAATACTAACTAGATTAGAATTCATAAGACCAGATCCTAATTCTCCTATTAAACTAAAAAAAACAAGCGCCACTTGTTCTTCATTATCTCATTTTTTTCATTTGTATTTACTCCCAAGGGTTTCGATAAAATAAAAATGCATGTAAAAGAGGTCTGAAAAGAAAATATACTAGGCAAATTCATGGCAAAATTAGTAATATACAAATCATAAATCCTTTAGCTATTGTACATACTTTTAAATCAAGTTAACATTTTCCATGCCCCTTCTGCTAGCTTTTAATCCAGACTACAATTCTAACAATTAAGGGTTTATTAATGAGAATAATAATCACTGTACTCTACCTTTGCAGTCAGGAGTAGGGCTAAAAGAAGAGTTCCTATCACTAACAAAAATATGATGAAAATGCTAATTATTTTATCTAACATCTTCTCCAACCAGATGATCATCTGCACAAAAACGAAAAAGAGAATTACTTATCTTTAAAGTAGAACTTTAAAAATACATATACTCAATTGTCATAAAGACAAAACAGGATCTCCAGCATGGCAAAGCAAATTATGGCATAATAATTAAAGCAATAAAAGCTTTAAGCAACTTTAAAAACTTCACAGTACTCATTACTGCTGTTGTTATATAGTTTATTACTGTCATAGCTAAGAAAAAGGCAGTCGATTTCAACATAATCCATATCTATGTTCAAATTCTCAAACTATAGGATATCTATGTTTCAAATTGTAATTTATAACCTGGTAAGTATTCTAAACAAAATATTGACAATCCATTAGCTGACCTAAAATCTTATGAAGCTGTATCATCAGTTTAACAAATACACACGACTTTAGCAAAAGTATATACAGATAGTATTTATAATACTTATAATACAGGCATGGACTAAAAAATACAGATAAAATTGGAGCAAATTAAAAGAGGAGTTGCATTCAAAATATTTTTTCCATTTGATATCATTAGAATTACAAAAGCAGTAATAAAAAAATCTAATGTTAAGGCAATGACAAATAACAAAGATAACAGTTGCCCAAGGAGCGAGGGGTTGGGAGGTGAATGCACAATCAAGGAGGGGCACAAAACAGCCTTCAGGTTAATTTGTTTTATTAAGGGGGGAGTCATTGGTAGATAGTCTTTACATCTTTTTATGTTTGAAATATTTCATAATACATAATAAAATGCTTTTTAAAATCTGATATTCTACTTGAAGTTTCTATTCTTCTGAAAACATAAGCTTTATGACATGACTATAATTGATATAATCAATGTAGTAGCTGTTTCTTAATCAGTTATTAAAACTGTGCTTTCCCTAAATGCTATCTGACATTATCTTGCTATAACTTCCTTCATCTTTCACAACCACAAATAATCCTACATTTTAAACAACTTGTGTTTTCAGAATATATACTTGATAGATTGCTAGAATTCCTTTCATGCAAAGCTACCATCTAACATTTCAAAACTACATTTAACTAGATTAATAACTGCTGAAACACCACAATGCACTGCTCAACCCCAAGGTGAGCAACAGCATTGCTAAATAAGTTATTCTTAATTTAGATCTGATTTATGCTCTCCAGTGAATTAAACATCCAAAAGCAAAGAATGTTGGTTAAAAAAACAACATGAGTTCTGCAGCATTTACTTTCACTTGACGTTTATAAGCTTGTGCCCCCCTTATCTGTTTTTCATCAAGGGCACTGTCACTAAGAGATCAATGCTAAAGTGAACTCAAAGATAAAAAGTTAATCTTTAATCTTGACAATTACAGCTTCAAACAGAAGAGTTAATTTTCAGTGCATGCTACCAAGGCATCAAAGACAATGCAGAGACTTAAAAAAAAGGAATAACAGGTTTCTAAGATATGGAAGGTCAGATGTCATATTCTGAAGTTAAATTCTAAAATCAATGAAACTGAAAACTTTCAATCAGAAACCAATTGAAAACTAGTTATCAAGGCAGCTTCCTGGGGAAAGAGCTAGGTTTGTATCACTCCTCTTTGTATCTCCAAAATCTAAGTGCTTAGCACGTGGTAAGCATTCAATTACTATGTGTTTGAATAAGCAAGCATAAATAAAATAATTTCAGAATTAAGACTGTATTTGTATCCACAAATTACAATTTCTGAAAATAATGTAGAGCCTCTATTTTTTTTTTTTCAGAAAAGTCATATCCTGAAATGTATTTTTAAATGTAAATGATATTCTACTTAGAAACATGTTTGAGTATTTTTAACATATAAAACATAGAATATTCAAAAACATATTAGGTACATTAACATTACAATATCCAATTTTTTAGTTTTAAGTTAGGGTAAAATTTTTCTATCACAAGCCATAAAGGTTGAAAAAAATTCAGTCACCTAAATAAAAACGTATATCCAAGGGATGACAGTGAGGGTTGGATGTTTCATTGAAATTTAAAATAAACAAAATTATTTAAGATGCTCAAAAAAGAAGCTAAGAAGTTGTTGTTTTCGTCACATGTGGCCAGTTAAGTTAGCTGAGAACAGGACAAGAAGGGAGACAGTAAGAGAGAGGAAAGAGTGGGAAAGAGAAACAGAGACTAAGATTTATTCAAGAATAAAAGGAAACAGAGAAGGTCAAGCAAAAAAAAAATGGGGGCACGGGGAGTTGATACATAAAACTAAGGACGAAAAGAGGAAAAAAAGTGAAGAGGATAAAAAACTTAGATGGAGGAAAAGATGAACCAACTCCCACAAAGACTGAATAGAAAAAGACTCACAAAGAAACAGCAACTCGGAGAGATAGGAAGAGAAACATAAAGAGAGGAAGCAATGGAGAAGGGGACCAAAGGCCAGACGTGCTATCTCACGAGGCTGATCCTGTCCCACGTTCTGCTTTGGGCAAAGGAACCCAATCCACCTGCCCTCGCATGGAAATTACCAAGTCTCTAAATGTCCCCAATCTTTCCATGCTGAAAGACTGAGAAGTTACTTTAATTTTTAAAGTTTATTTTTCAAAAAAAGAGAAGTAATTTTAAAATGACATTCCGAATGTTTCAAATGTGAATGAAGGGCATGCATTTTTTAAATTTAGAGATGTCAGTAAATTTATAGTTACACCAAAAGATACTCTAAAACTTCTACACTAACTGGCCTATTTATCAAGCTATTAAGAAAGTATTCCACTACTGAGTTTTTCTTCTCTTTCATTATTCTGGGCCTATATATTTTTCATTTTGCTTTGTTTTTAAACAAAATTCCACTTGAGTTTTAGTGCAAATAATCAATACTAAGAAATAAAACAAAGCCAGGTGCAGTGGCTCACACCTATAATCCTAACACTTTAGGAGGCTGAGGCAGGCTGATCACTTGAGCTAAGGAGTTCAAGACCAGCCTGGGCAACATAGCAAAACCCCATCTCTACTAAAAATACAAAAAAAAAAAAAAAAAAAAAAAAAAAACACCAGGCATGGTGGTGCACACCTGTGGTCCCAGCTACTTAGGCGGCTGAGGTGGGAGGATTGCTTGAGCCTGGGAGGTGGAGGTTGTGTAGTGAGTCAAGATCACGTCGCTGCACTCCAGCCTGGGTGACAGAGTGAGATCCTGTCTCAAATTTAAAAAAAAAAAAAGGAAAAGAAATAAAACAAGTAACTCTTGAGAAATGGGTTACATTTCAATTAACCCATGTGTGCTCTCTCACCCTCTCTTCTCTTGAATTGGTTTCCTAATTCACTCCACTTGAAATTTCTACATACCAACATTACCCAGTGCTGCAATTTTCTGACTTTGAGATGTAATGTAATAAAATAGTTCTCAACTTATGTATGTCCTTTCTTGGAATGTACCCGCTCAAAATCTCAAGCAGTTACTCTATCTTTACACCAATGCTTTACTATGTTATATGGAATCATCAAAGGAAAGAAAAAAAGGACTTGATCTTAGAGATCTTTTAAAATTAACTCGATGATTCAGTTATGAAGTAGTCTCATAAATTAGGTAATCTAGCTCATTTAGTCCACTGAAGGTTAAATCAAATTTAATCCAATGAATTTAATTCTCCTTTCCCCCATCTCTTGAGGGCAATTTCATTTCAATATAACACAAATTGAAGAAAAGTACAAAATCATCGCTTGAGCCCAAGTTCACAGTTGCAGTGAGCTTTCATTGTGCCACTGCTCCAGCCTGAGCAACGGAGCAAGACCCTGTCTCTAAAAAACAATTAGAACAAATAAAAATTTTTTAGAAACCACATTCTTTGGTCAAAATTTTAAAACGTGACTTATATTTGCACATCATTTGCCAAGGATTGAACTCACTTACCCATACTAGTTTTATAGGGAATGGAGACATACACAACCATGTGAGAGTGTGGGAGTGTTTATTTTACACAATGCTTCCTTTCAACTCAACTTTAAAACTTTAGGCATTGTCAAGTCTCCCCTCTCCTCTATTTCAACAGAAAAAAATGAAATCCTAACCCATCCAAAAGTCTCATTTTGATCTATTTTCAAGAAGTACTACATCTTTCTTAAGGCCTGATATAATATTTCCACAAAAGACATATATATAGTTTTATTATGTTTAAACACAACATATATAAATGATGTCATCTCTTGCTATCTGTCCTAGAGATTCATTGAAATTATTATTTTTTTAAGAAACAGAGTCTTGCTGTCACCCAGGCTGGAGTGCAATGGTGCAATTATTGCTCACTACAACCTTGAATTCCTGGGCTCAAACAATCCTTCTGCCCTAGCATCCTGGGTAGTTAGGACTACAAGTGTGTGCCACAAGGCCTGGCTATTTAATTCATTAAAATTAATTTAAACATTACGATATGTGGACTATATGTCGAGGTACAACATTCCTAATGTATCTGGATTAGCCTTTATTGAAGTTATTAAAAGTGTGCCTATTATAATGCCATACCAATCATGTGAAGCATTTACCATAGACACAACCTCATACCTTGGAGAAAACACAAAATTCGATGTCACAGGTCATGACTACTATCTGTTTTAAGTTAAAAATAAATTTTGAAATACTAGTTATTTAAAAAAAGACAATATATAAAATTATCTGCCAAGGAAACCATACAAATATTTCACAGATTTGTCTTTTTAAAAAATTCCTGTGTCTTTTATAGAAAAAGTATCAAACAGAGAGTTCTCTCTTGCCCTTACAATAACTATTGCCTAATGTGTTTTCACACATCAAAGGAGACTAGAATATCAGGCTGAGCCACATTTACAGAACTGGATTTACAGGGGACAAAAGGACTATGAGACAGAACTTCTTACAAACACCTGAGCAAGGAGATACCATCCATATCCTAGACAGCCTTTGCTGAGTTTTTACCAAATTATACTGTGATAGTATTCATGCTTCACAACCTTCCATAGCTTATAATTAAAACTTTGAAAACAAAAACTTAGTTTGACACATGGACAGAAACATAGAGTGAAAAAGGCGATACAGGGGCATTACGGAATTCAATAGTAAAAACCAACATCTGGGTGTTCATTTACCTTCTTATTTAGCCAGTGCCAGAGCTTGAGGATAGGGGGTAAGGTGAGAAAGAGAAGATAAGAACAGTGGAGTATCATTAGAGAATGCAACCATAGTATGAAAAGAAAAGGAAAGCATGAGAAGGAAACCATCCCAGACAAAGGAAAAACTAGGGACGGAAAAACTGTAACACATCAAAGTTTTAAAATCAACGGAATGTAGTATTCCTTTAAGATATATAATGATTGAAATGATGATAACCACATCTTTGTTGGGAATCCAACAATTAAAAATACATAAAATAACCTGCATGCTCGTAGGCTTAGTGTCTCCATGCCTTTGCACTGCTCCGTCTGCTTGCCCTTCTGGCCATGTCTACCTAAGAAACTCCCGCCTGTGCTTCAAAACTTGCTCCAGTATCACTTCCTCTGCTAACCTTCCCTTTCTCATGACCCTATGAACAGTGAGTCATTTCTTGCTCAGTGCTGCCACTGTATCCCATACACACTTTTCCTACACAAATTCCTAATACTTACATAGAGCTCACTGTGTACCAGGCAATAATCTAGGGATTTTACATATATTACCTCATTTAACCCTTACCACCATTCTACAAGGTAGGTGCTATTGTACCTATTTTACTGGTATGGAAACCAAGGCACAGAAAGGTTAGGAAACTTCATGGATTCATAGTCCATGCTCTTTAACCACTAAGGCTCTAAATCTAACCGCCATCTCTGAATTTTTATCAACTGCTGTCTTTCCCCAATAAACAAGGCTTCTGTATCTGGTTTTCCATGATTCATCTGATTTTCCGTAGGACTTAATACAGTATCTGACATATGGTAATTACTCCAAAAATATTCACTAAACTGAGCCACTACCTAGCTACATAATTTTAGGCAAGTCGCTTAACCTCTCTGGATTTCAATTTGGTCCTAATATAATGAAGGAATTAAATCAGAAAATCCATTTCTCCCATTTTTATGAGGAAAAAATACTTACACAAGCCTTATTTAAAGTAAACCCATCTTATCCTTGTGTAAACCATAATTTTAAACATTAAACTTTCATCATAGAATTAGATATTACATGTGTTATCAACAGTTACAATATAAACACCATAGAATGGAAAAGTTCAAACCACGAAATATATTAACTCCATTAAGACAGCCCAAGTCCTTAAAATACAATACCTTGCTATCAACTTTTAACAAGAATTTTCCAAGCCCGACAATGGGCCAAGGCGCGAGAGCTCCCTGCCGCTCCTTCAGGAAGCTTTCTATAATGCCCCACCACACATGGTAGCGTTTCTCTAGGAAATCCACAACTCCAAAGTGAATGACAAGCTTTTTGAGTATCCAGACTAAAAAAAGACAAAAAATACATATATAAACAAAATATAGATTAACAAGTTGTAACATGAAAAGGTACCTTAATTTCACAAAACCTTTCTAAAACAACAAAGCTAGTATTAAAAAGAAGATCAATGTTAAAAAGCAGGGTGGGACTCAAAGTACTCCCCACACAGATGGAATTGGACCAAGTAACTTTTCAAACCATCCCCACCTGCCTATATATTATCTTCTTCCTGAAGTCTGAATCCTTGTAGAGTCAGGGATTATTTTACAGCCCACATAAACAAAAGATAATCTCATCGTGAAGATTTCAGTGACTACAATTCTGGCCCCTTGCATATTCCCCCTTCCTGGGTAAATAATACAAACCCCTGACATTTCCTCATCTCCTTGGCTTTTATAGCTGTTCTTGTCAAATATTCTTCTTTTCCTTAGTTGCTCGTTATTTAGTGACCAGAAAAGTATAAGGTATTCCATACGCATCATGATTTTGTACCACTGCAGAGTAATGTTGTTCCTATTTCCCCATTTGATGCTGCTCTCAACATCTGAACAGATGCCAGGGTTCAGTAGAGAAGCAAGCTGAATACTAGCAGGGCTGCTACAAATGGCCCAAGGCTGTGCACGGCAACTTCAGTGGGGACCACTCTCAAACCACACTGTCTCCTCCTGGAGTTGGGCAGTGAAGTGGCTCTTTAAGCAGAGGTTAAGCTTCCTGTTAGAAGCCAATTAAGAAGGTGGTAGGGCCAGAAAGAAGTGTTACTCAACTGTGAGGCTTGCCTTCAAGTTTGGACCCTGTATCTCAATCAGTACATAATTTCCCTAACTCTAGAGATTTGTGTTCTTAGCTCTGGCCTTGCAACCTAAAGGTTCACAATTTGCTGTTTTGAACCATGAGCTCAGTGTTACACACAAGTTCAACAATTCCTTTATTACCATTTTTAAATCCCTACAAAAGCCCTAAAAGAACTCCTATAGTTTCAGTAAGTCCAGGGTAATTACAAGCTGTAGAAAAGCTTTTAGGGGCCACCTTATTCACAGCCTGCTGTCCCAAGATCATGTCAAATTCCTATGATGACTAGAAGGTTAAGCTATAACTAAGAGAAATGAAATTCCTGCTAACAAACTTTAAGGAAAAGAGAGTTGCAACAGCATTTGACACACAGTTTGCCAGCATAATAAAATCATCTGGAAAAAAAAAAGTATGGAACAGGGCCGGGCACAGTGGCTCAACGCCTGTAATCCCAGGCCGAGGCGGGCGGATCACGAGATCAGGAGATCGAGACCATCCTGGCTAACAGTGAAACCCCGTCTCTACTAAAAATACAAAAAATTAGCCAGGCGTTGTGGCAGGCACCTGTAGTCCCAGCTACTCAGGAGGCTGAGGCAGGAGAAAGTGTGAACCCAGGAAGTGAAGCTTGCAATGAGCCGAGATCCCGCCACTGCACTCCAGCCTGGGCAACAGAGCGAGACTACATCTCAAAAAAAAAAAAAAAAAAAAAAGTATGGAACAATCTAGAAGAGCAATTTAAACTGTTCCACTCAGTTTAACAGGAAGCATGGCATGGTATCTGCTCTGTGACTTGCTTAATTAAAGCTGTATCTTGTTCCAACTGCCTAACAGAAGTTCTGTTTGAGGACAGAAGAACCACATATAGGCCGGGGACGGTGACTCACACCTGTATAGTCCCAGCACTTTGGGAAGCCAAGGTGTGAGGTTTGCTTGAGTCCAGGAGTTTGAGACCAGCCTGGGCAACATGGCAAACTACAAAAAATACAAAACAATAGCCAGTGGACGCACCTGTAGTCTCAGCTATCTGAGGGGCTGAGGCAGGAGGATCACTTGAGCCTGAGAGATCGAGGCTGTGGTGAATGGGTGACAAAGTGAGACCTTGTCTCAAAAAAAAAAAAAATACAGATACAAACTTCAACCATTTATATTGCATGCTCCCTGAGGACAGGCACTACTATACCATGCTCTGGTCATAATAAATGTTAAAAAATAATGCCTATTTAATTAACTATCCAATTGAGTGAGGAAAAATAAAAAGAAGTGATGAAAACTAATGGTCTAGAAGGTAAATGGGCTAATAAGTTTAGACTTTTAGACTACAGTGGAGAGCAGCTTCCAAAAATCAGATTACGTTTTAATCAATAGTGAAAAACCTTGACATAGGAAATGAGGAGTAATCAAATGTAGAAGGTACTCAGAAGGCAAAATCCACAGCAGCCACTAAGGACTTAATAAATTTGGCACAAAATATGGCTGCCATAAGAAGAGAGCCCAAATAATCAGGAAAATATTAGGTAAAAGATGTTTCTACAATGCACCTGTCAGAGAAAACTCTCCCTTGCTCTTTCTAGTCTTAGGAGAAAGACAGTTTTAGAGAGAATCAAAACAATAGAGGTGGGCCTTAAATTACCACAGCATTAAGATACAAAGACCTGATTTAATGGATTATGGAAAACTATGATTCCATTTTGATGTAATACATATAATATAGATATACATGTAATTTAATTTTTCTGCCAAATCACAAGACTTTGCATACATGTATTTCTCAAAGCCTACATTTCCTTTGAATTAAAAAGGCAAGGTAAAACGTGCTTCCCTAAGAGTAGCGCTCAAAAATCATTCAATCTCAGCTAGGCGCAGTGGCTCACTCCTGTAATGCCAGCACTTTGGGAGGCGGAGGTGAGCGGATGACTTAAGGTAAGGATTCGAGACCAGCCTGGCCAACATGGTGAAACTCCGTCTCTACTAAAAATACAAAAAATTAGCCAGGGGTGGTGGCGCATGCCTGTAGTCCCAGCAACTCAGGAGGCTGAGGTGGGAGAATTGCTTGAACCCAGGGGGCAAAGGCTGCAGTGAGCTGAGATCGCGCCACTGCAATCCAGCCTGGGTGACAGAGCGAGACTCCGTCTCAAAAAAAAAACAAAAAATCATTCGATCTTCAAATTCCAAAACACAGATATTGTTAACATTCTCCTTCACAGAATCATGGATGGCTAAACAATCAAATCTCTCTATGGAGCTATTAATCTCAAATACTACATGAAATTGTAAGAAGCTAAACACATTTTTTGAGCTTAAAAGTGAAATACTGGCCGGGCGCGGTGGCTCACACCTATAATCCCAGCACTTTGGGAGGCCGAGATGGGCAGATCACGAGGTCAGGAGATCGAGACTATCCTGGCTAACATGGTGAAACGCTGTCTCTACTAAAAATAAAAAAAAAATTAGCCGGGTGTGGTGGTGGGCACCTATAGTCCCAGCTACTCGGGAGGCTGAGGCAGGAGAATGGCATGAACCTGGGAGGTGGAGCTTGCAGTGAGCTGAGATGGTGCCACTGCACTTCCAGCCTGGGCAAGACTCCGTCTCAAAAAAAAAAAAAAAGTGAAATATTAAAGATGTATCAAAGTAATAAATTAACCAAATGGTGTTTGTTTACTATTTAAATGCAAACATAAGATTGTTTTACTTTGCAAGACGGTAAATGTATCTCAAATATTAAAATCCAAAAGTAAAAAAAGAAAAAAATCAATCTTCAAAGACAAGACGAGATCGTACTTAACCAGATAACGACCTGCAATCGGCACTGGCAGCAACTGCACAATCCACAGGTTCAACCAGATCTGCATGACGACAATGGCCCAAACTAGAGACACAAAGTAGATGTCACTAGTTTTCTTCTTTCTAAGAAACGTTCCTATTTCAGGCCTTCGTCTGCCCAGAGTAGGTGAAGGGGAAGTGGGTGAAGGGGAGGAGGGTGAAGGGGAGGTGGACAACGTTGGAGCGGATTCTCCCCTGTCCACTGCTTCTGAAAAGGAAAAGAAAAACACCACACACCGCATTAGTCCACATGAGGAAATGGGAATACAGAGCCACTCATTAGGCTAGCCTGTTTCAGGCCTTCAAAATGTGCTGATATGGTATGATTACATCGGGTTAAAAAAGACAAAAATATTTGGACCTATGTTTGCATATGCACTGAAAAACATGGAGAATTACAATGCCAATAGAGCTTTAATTTAGGAAGACTAAGTTAGTTGGTGATAGAATTGGGAGTCATTAAAACAAAATACATGACAAAGTAGCTGAGAATTATAATTATCCCATAAAACTTATTCAAACTATTTAAAGAAACAAATGCTAACATATACTAGAATTTCTATATTTAAAAATCCCTTTTCTTTCAATAGAACTTTAGATTAGGTGTATTTATATACATTTCTGACACAAGAAGACTTTTCAGTGTTATTTCACCTAAAATGGAACCAACCAATCTTACAAGAACCCAGGGCTTTCAAACAGAATATATAAACATGAATGAGATACAAAAACAATGACAGATTTCTTGGGTGAGGATTTTCAAATAAAGGAAACCATACTGGATTATTTCACATAAGACACTGTTTTCTAACAATGCAACCACCATGTTACATTTTACTATAGGGTGCTATTATTTCTATTTCCTAGTTTTAATAAGATATACCATACACATCAGAAATCATAAAACTCTTAAAGTAGTATTACTCTATATATACTATAATAATGAAAATTATTAAGATCCTAAAACTTGCATTTTGCCTTCCATTAGAAAAAAATGTTAATTACAAAAGTATGTCACGTTGAATGTGTGGATTGTTAATTACAAAAGTATCATACGTCAGAAAAAAAGTCTAGAAAAAAGAGAAAAGAAATAAGAACTCCCATAATCCCAACCTCACATTTTCCCCCTGGTCTTTTACATAGTTGTAGCATGTTCTACTTATCCTTTCTCATTCTTTCTCTTCAGTTGAAAGTCAGCTCCACCAGAGCTAAGACCTTGTCTGTTTTGTTCTCCCTCCACTGAATTCCTGGCACATACAATAGTATCTCATATATAGGAGGTGCTCACTAAATAAGTGAATGAATGACTTCCCTGTTGTTTCATAATTTTCATAAGCAATCATACAGTAGCCCACCAAGTGCTGTATCATAATTTCCTTAAGTGTTTTTAATGTTAAAAGTTCAGCTATGAGTCAATTTTTACTACTGAGATCACTTGCACCCTGGTAAGTCAGCTCACCTCACTAGGACCAACATTCTACCCTTAAAAGTGCAGGGCTAAAGCCCAAGCTAGTTAACAGATGCTTTTGTTTGACTTTGCTCTGAGTTATCTTTCTAATTTGGAAACTTCATGATGGTGGGTGTGACAGATATTTGGAAGAATGAGTCCAAAACCAAAATATCATTTCCTCTCCACTTTGGAAACATAATTCCATGTGCAAGAAAAATAAGTGTTCCTACTACACCAAATTCCTTTATCTTAGCTGACATTTCTAAAGTCAGTTCTTCAAGGAGAATTCACTCTAAATATTCCCTAACTCCAAATACCTCTGGCACTAATGGATCTCTCAGCACAGACTAAGGTGGCCTTTTACATTCTGGAACTCTGCAAGAGTACAGCATGACTCTACAGCTGGTATATCTACCAGCTGGATTCCTCAGGAGCCTGCAATTCCCAAAGCCAGGCCACACAGGACAACGAGTCCAAAACAACCAGAGGGGTCTGTTTGAGGGGTCAATATATTAACACATGAAGCATGCAAACTTTCAGAGAAAGAATGACAGAGAAATGGATGACTGCAAGATGGAAAATAAAAGTCTTCCCCAAAAAAAGGGTTGGGAAAAGGGAACAAAAGAAAGAAAAAACAACAGGAAGAGATAGGGCAAAATAAAATCATGGAGGAGAACTGACAGTTGTAGAAGAAAGAAATGGAAAATAAGAAATCAAGATAAGATATGCGTAAAGTGGAGGGAAATGTGGGAAAGGTAAATGGAGACGGAGAAAAGGAAAATAAGAAAAACAAAAGCAATGAATAACAGAAGAAAAATAAGAAAAGCCTTTTTTAAAAAGGAAAGAACAAAGAACCAAGGTAAGAAACTCAAGAAGTTACATAATTACATGTATTTAAAAAGTGATATATGAGAACAAAGATGAGAGGGAAAAGGGCATAAAAATAGGAACCAAAGAGAATAAATGAAGGATCAGCAGGAGTAAGTAGCATTTTGTGATGCTGGTGTCCTGAATTTTACTTTCTATGTACATTTCATTTTCCAGAATAACCTTGAATGTCACCAGAACATCAGTCACCTGCAGGCTGAGTGGAGGGCTGGTCTTCACTGCTTGATTCATACCCTGTGATAGAGATGGCCAAGTTTGCCAGAGTAGAAGCTGCCATGGAGATAACCTGCCCTGGTAACTCTGCCCCTGTAAAAGAAGCATCCATTTTCAAAACTCTTTAAAGTAGGAAATAATGGCTGCAAATTTAAACACAGTCCAACATTTTCAACAACAACAAAATAAAATGGTTACTACTGACCCACTGAATAAGTGGTTCTTCACCAAGGAAGAACCATTAAGAATTGACATGAAAGTGTGCTAAAAAAGCAAATCCCTTGACTCTCTGTATACCTTCCTCCTTTGGGAACTTAATGCTGGTGGATGTGGCAGACACTACACATGTAAACTTGGAGTCCCACACTTACATTTGTTAACAAGTTGATTTTAATGCATACTTCTATTGAAAAACACTACCACATCAAGTCTGTGAGCTCCCTGATCTGACTGTCTTAGGCTATGTTGTATGACTAGGTCTCATGTTAGTACGAGATAATCCACAATTGGTGGTCATAACAACATTCCACAAATGAGTATGCGAATATATGGCTATTATGCAAAACCATATAGATTTATAAATTACATAACTCAGTACAGGCAAAATCCACCACTTGAAAATCTAAAGGAACATCATGACGTTGTTTCACATTATATATTTCCATGTTAAATTCCTAATAGGTAGTACCAAGCTCAATCATTTGCACTAAATTCAAGTAAAACATTCACTGGCAAAGGAAGTCTGTCAACCTTTAACCTTCTATAGCAGACAAGGAAGAATAGCTCACATAGCATCGGGTTCTAGCACACTTTCTTGCACACTAGACTGGAGAGCTAAAAAAATTGTATTTCTTGGATTCCCCTGCAGCCGAGGTCTCACATGTGACACAGTTTCTACCAAGCAGGTACACCTGTGCAGGACTTGAGAGCCTGAAGTGGCACACTGTAATTTGAAAGCCAGAGCTCTTGTATCAAACACAGTCAGTCAGGAAGGCATATGGTTTTTCCGCAGCAACTTAGCAGAAGTTCTGATGTCTGATCTCTAACTTCACGGCGAGCAGCAGCAGCCGTGGCCCTCTGCCCAAACAGTCCTTCAGTGTCACTGAGCATTTCTCCTGATTGCACTGCTTCCACCTGTGTCAGATTCCAAGATTAATTGTCTGGTCTTTCCAGAAATTCCATGTGCAAAAATTGTAAATGCTAACCAATACCTCCTACTATTTATTTAAACTACCTGGGGTAGATTCTATTGTTCACAACTAAGAACACTAGCAATTCCTAGTCACCAAATCATACACCCACACTCATACAACTGAGACATTACTTTTGGTAGGCCAAGACTCCGTATGGCAACATAGGATTCTGTCACCCCAATGAAAAGAGCCATGATCCTTCAGAAAGCCGATGAATTTCAGCTCCAAGTTAATTAACTCCACATACCCAAATATCCAAAGCTAGCCCTCTCCCAGATAGCAGCAAGCCAGAGCCTGAGGTGGATCTTTGGTAGATTCAGACATCAGGATAAGAGTACTCACCTTGCTCAGTCATACTCTGTCCCTCCTCTAATAAATGCCCCTGTGACCTGAAAGAGTTCATTTTTAGATAGGGTATCGTATCTCTCAATATGAGAGAAATTCAAACTCATGGTCTGAGAGGAAAGCCTAAGTTAGATTTCTGGATTAGGACCTTACTCTCCTGGCCTGTGTATCCAAGGTCCTCCTGAAATGCCAATAAGACAGAAAGGGCTGACAGAGAAAAACAGTGTCTTTCATTTCTTACATGTACTGTGTGCTGGGGATAAAGACACAGACCCTGCCCCCAGGGAGTATAGTAAAGGTATGAATTAAATAACCACACAAATAAACGTGTGTATAGAAATTATGGTTGCTATAAAAAGAAATGCTGGGTATCTTGTGACATCCTAACAATATCTTGGGCAGAAGGAAAGCTGTGAGAAGAACCCGGCATATTAAAGACAGTGAAAGAAGGTCAGTGTGTCTGGAACACAGACAGCTAGTAAGAAACTGGTATCAAATAAACAAGGCTGGAGAGGTAAGCCAGATGATGCAGATCACAGAACACCACATGAAGGACTTTAGTGTTTATTCTAAGAGGAAGAAGAACGCACTGAAGAGTTTCAAACAGGATAGTAGTCTTCTTCTCACTGAAATTTTATTGAGATAAAAGTATACTCATATGCAGTTGCAAGAAATAATCCCAGTGTACCACAATTTGTCCAGTTTCCCCTGACACAAGATACAGAACAGCATCATCACTATAAGGATCTCTCGTGTTGACCTTTTATAACCACACTCAACTGCCTCTCACCCCTCTCACCACCCTGTAAATAAATAATCCATTTGAGATATAAGACCATTCTTGCTTGTCTGGAGAAAAAGAGACTAGAGGGGACCTATAACGTATGGAGAAAAGTTGTTGCAGTACTATAGGCAAGACATGATGCCAGTGTGGTCTACAGCCACAACAGGGGAAACAGGGAAAAGCGGCTGTGTTAAAGAGACGTAGAAGAGTCAAAGCGGACCACACTTGATGAGGAAGCAATGAAGGGAATCAAAGAGACGAAGGTATCCCGGTTTCCAGACTATGGTTAGGTAGAGAATATATAGCAGAGCTGGATGAAGATTCTTGGCATATTAGAGTTATTTTTAGACTTTCAGATAGAAGTTCCACAAACAGGCTGGGTGCAGTGGCTCATGCCTGTAATCCCAGCACTCTGGGAGGCCAAGGCAGACGGATTACCTGAGGCCAGGAGTTCGAGACCAGCATCGCCAACATGCCGAAACCCCGTCTCTACTAAAAACACAAAAATTAGCTGGGCATGGTGGCACACGCCTGTAATCCCAGCTACTCAAGAGGCTGAGGCAGGAGAATCGCTTGAACCCAGGAGGCAGAGGTTGCAGTGAGCCGAGATCGTATTATTGAGCTGAGATCATGCCAATAAGCCAAGATCACACCACTGCACTCTGCCTGGGTGACAGAGTGAGACTTTGTCTCAAAAATAAAAAGTTCCACAAACAAACTGACCTACACCAGAGATGGGGCAAGACTTAGCTTTGCAGCAGTACACCCAGGAGGGATCTCTTAGGCCCCACTCAAGAGCAAAGTTTGGGAACACCTAATGGCCTGGGACAGTACAGTAGAAAAAGGAAAAACAAAAACAAAGACCTTCAGGTCAAAAATTTTAAAAATTAAGAATTCTCTCTTACATAAGATTACAGACTAGTCAAGGGTCTTTAATTACTGAACTGGCCTCTTCAAAAGTAATTTAATTAAATGGTTACTCATCTTGAGACACTGTAAGAAAAGTAAGTCCCTTGATGGTTTTTGCAAAATAACAAGATCATTGGATAGCTCTTCAAATAATGGACTTTCAGTTCAGCTGCATTTTATCTTACATTTCTAAATGCCTACTAAGCATTCATTCACCAAATAGGCGACTAGGCTATATGCTGATATAAGAGACTAAGCCCCTGGTCTCAAATTCAGTCTGATACTTAAGAGCTAATGTAAAGTAAGTGTAAACTGTTAGGGAGCAGCGTGGAAATCAAATCCATGCAGGGAGGTCTGGGAAGGGTTTCCAAAGGAGCTGTCTGACAAGAATATTGAAAGATGCCATCCTTTAAATCCATTTTAACAAAAGTAAGCTAGATAAAGAAGACAGAACAGTTCTATCTTGGAGAGGAAGCTCCTGAGAGACTGGTGTCTTAGAGAGCAGGGGTAGAAAAGTGTTTCAGGAAGACAAAAAAACAAATATGAAGACACAAAGGCAAGAAAAAGCAGAGGTGCCCTCTTCAAAGAACTCTAGGAAGTTCAATAAGACCGGAAGATAGTGTGAATGAGAAGAGCAGAGTGGCGTAAGAATGCAGAGGGAGGTTGGGACCAGGGCATAGAAGGTCTCACATTTGCTATGAGGAAGCAGCACAATTCAGTGGCTGGAAGCACAGGTGAGGAAAGAAGACTCCCCAGGTTCAAATCCCAGGTCTATTCTTACTACTTAGATGGCTATAGGCAAGTTAGTTAACGTCGAGATGTCCCAGTCTCCTCATGTGTAAAAATGAGGCTTACATAAATTCGTATCTCATTTGAGAATGAAGTGAAATAATACATATAAAATGCTGGCTGGGCACAGTGGCTCACACCTGTAATCCCAGCACTTTGGGAGGCTAAGGCAGGTAGACCACCTGAGGCCAGGAGTTCCAGACCTGCCTGGCCAACATGGTGAAACCCCGTCTCTATTAAAAATACAAAAAAATTAGCCAGGTATGGTGGCGCATGCTTGTAATCCCAGCTACTTGGGAGGCTGAGGCAGAAGAATCACTTGAACCCGGGAGGCAGAGGCTTCAGTGAGCCAAGATGGCACCACTGCACTAGCCTGGGCGACAGAGAGAGATTCCGTCTTGAAAAATAAATAAATAAAGTTTAGAACAATGCTGGGTATGTAGGAAGTACTCAATAAATGTTAGCTATCATCATCATCAATATCAATCTGTTGGCTTCGACAGTATAAACTAGAAGCAGAAGCCACTAACCCTTCTGTAGTATTTCTTTGTACCTCTCCTCCCCTTTCTACTTTATAGTATAGCCATCTATCTTCCCTTAGTAGACATTTTTAGATCTCTCCACAGAGCTAAGCAAAATATCTTGTATCTGTAGAGTAGGCACTGAAAGATTCGAGAAAAAGCTAAACCCAATCAATTAAATCTTCAAAACTGTGGCTTAAGGAATAACTCTCCAACTTGCTAATGGCACTAAAATATGCAGTAAATATGCAGTAAAGCTTAGCTACATCAATGGAAACTGCACTATTTTTCTAGTTAATACACAAATGACTCAGCACATTTTTCGAGCACCTCAGACTTCACAAAAGCATGAAAGGAGTAGCACACAGAGAAAATAAACAAAGTATTTGAAAATTATGAATATAAGATTTGGCAAACTGCTTTTATCCAACAGATCTGTATTTTAATGACTTCTGTCTCAATGATACCCTTCAGCACCTCAAAAACCACAAGGAATTGGCCTGGAATCAGAGTCCAAAAAAAAAAACAAAAAACAACAGTCCAGGCAGGGAGATGATAAACTGAACAGAACAATGCCAGGACTGAGAATCTTGGCCAAGTTGTGGTATTAGAATGGTATTGTATTTAAAAGCCACAGCTAAAAATAGGCACATAAACAAGGGAACATAATCTTGGGACTCAAGGACTAAAGAAAAAAAAGGAAAGAACATCCAAGGTTTCAGGTATCAATCTACCCAGAGACAGGGCCAGCATTAAGCAGAAGCCAAATAACAGGGATCTACACAAATCCAAACAAGCATGCTACTGACATTAGCAGCCTAGCACCAGGGGGCAGAAACTCAGAGTCCGGCACACAAGAAAGAGACCACAGGTCAGACAGTGTCTGTTAATACAACAACTCAACGATGAGCAGACTAACTTTTTTAATAAGCATGGGTAAATATACTTTAAATCCAGTCTAAATAAGGAGATACTTCTTGATCCACTCCATTCTTTTTCACAGGGATAGCAGCAGTTACCAGAAATACATCCAAACATGCTTATTGGAAGCAGGCACCGCATACCAAATAACACCTCCCCAGCCTGCAAAGTTCCCTTTGAAGAAGGCTTCTGTTTCCATTACTAATGTGGAAAATACAACTCCCTCTCAATGGCTTCTAGTATCACGTCACAAGGGCCTGGAGATGGACCAGTAGACTTTTCTCTAGGCCTGTTTAACTTGCAGTATCAGAAGTGGGGACTGGGAGGGGAGCAGTAAAACATTTGGTTTGCTCCCTTTTTCCAATTTGGGCTTGACTGAACCAAACTTGTTCACTCATATCTCATGCTATCCCAAAACAAGTAAGGCAACTATCAGGATTCATCTCTGCAAAGACATTTCTAGTCATTTACAAACAATTACCAATGCCAGGAGGAACAGCACTCAGCTGTACTTGCTGGTACTTCTCAGGCTGGGTATCCAGGCTATTATAGATATATCTGATGATTGTTTCACTAACTTTTGAAGAAATTTCTTATACTCAGAGAAAATGGCTCTCTGAGCCTAAGTTTCTTCATTTGTAAAATAAGCATAACACCAATCTCACTAGACTGCTTAAAAAAAACTAAGAGTATTTTTAAAGAGTCTAACACAGCCTTACTTATAGGAGATAACAATGCTAGTGTACCTCTTTCCTCAGACGCCAAGGGAACATACTGAACGTGGATTCCAGGTGCTATGGTTTGAGTGTTTGTGCTCCAAAACTTATGTTAAATTTAATTGCCGTTACCACAGTATTAACAGGTGGGACCTTTAAGAGGTGATTAGGCCATCAGGGCTCAGCCCTCATGGGTAGGATTAATGTCATTATAAAAGGGTGAGTTCAGCCCCAGCCATCTCTTGCTCGCCCTTGTACCACGTGATGATACAGCAAGAAGATCCTCACCAGATGCCAGCACCTTGACATTGGCCTTCTCAGCCTCCAGAACTGTGAGCCAATAAATTTCTGTTCATTGTAAGTTTCCAAGTCTGTGTTACTCTGTCACAGCAGGACAAAACAGACTAAGCCATAAGGTTTCTACTAAGTAAGGTTTCTGGGATCTAGGAGGCAAGGAAGCTAGGTCATGTAGTTGTGTTAAGTCAACAGGACCAATATGGAAAACTGAAGGAGCTGACAACTACAACTGATGCAAGAAGGATGAGTACTCAATACTTTTTCAGGATGACTGACACTTACTCAAAGAGCCTGGGGAGGGGAAAGAACGCTGGGCTTAGGGTCAAGAACCTATGTTTATTTATTTATTATCATTATTATTACTTTTAAGACAGGGTCTCACCTCTGTAGCCCAGGCTGGAGTACAGTGGCATGATTACTACTCACTGCAGCCTTGACCTCCTGGGCTCAAACAATCCTCCATCTTCAACCCTCCCAGTAGCTGGGACTATAGATGCACACTACCACACCCAGCTAATTTTTATTTTATTTTATTTTTATGTATTTATTTATTTTCTGTAGAGACAGGGTCTCACTATCTTGACCAGGCAAGGTTAGTCTTGAACTCCTGGGCTCAAGCAATCCTCCCGCCTTGGCCTCATAAAATGCTGGAATTATAGCATGAGCCATTATGCCTGGCCAAGGACCTAAGTTTAAATCTTAGCTCCACTAGTCACCTGTGTGACTGCAGGCTAGTCAGTTAATCTCTAGAAGTATCTTCATCTGTAAATGAAGATACCATCTATCTTACAAAGATTTATTTGTTTGAGTTCTGTTTTGTTTGCTTGTGGATTTAAAAAGATAGCACATTTAAAAGCACTTGAAAGTTCTTGGCTCATGACAGGCACTTAAATATTTTTCCCTTATTATCTTAAGCTTTTGGGAAATACTATGTTAGAACTTCTCAGGTCTAAGAGAAAACCACTGAGTAAGACCCTTGGGTTCAGAAGCAACCACTGAAACTAACTCAGCAATGATCCACAAGAAGAGTTTTCTGAGGCGGAGGTGGGAGCACTGCTTGAGCCCAGGAGTTAAGCTGCAGTGAGCTATGGTCACACCACCACTGCACTCCAGCCTGGGCAACAGAGCGAGTCTTAGTCTCTAAAAACAAAATAAAATAAGAATAATAAATAAATAGAAGAGTACTCTGGGTCTAGGAACCAAACTCAGGCTTTGAATTCTGATGAAATCCAGGACTAATTCTGTGAGTCTAGTGAACCACAGCACAAAACCTTCAAAGCTCAGAAGACATAGAGAAAGATACCCACACAAGTGACTGGAAAACAAGAGCAAGTGATACAACGGGACACTGGAAATGACAAGGAAAGAGCCGATGCACACACTGTTGTGGCAGTATACTAAAGCATTCCTGTACCTACCTATATTACAGTGACATCTACAGCAGGAAACTGACTGTAAGTACAAGAGAAGGGCTGTCCCATTACACACCAGATGGTTTGAGTTCTGATTCTTAAAAAGAAACGATGTTCTTAGGGGCAAGAAGAAAAAAATACTCAGAAATTTAGGAAAAAGAAACACTTAAAAGATTTATTTTATGATGAGGATTATTTAGACTAGAAGTCCAGAAAGGGATTCTAGATCAATAATCACCTATCTTGACACAGGTTGAAATGAAAGTTAAACAAAATAAATAAAACCAAGATTTCCAAATCTGTACTCAACATTTATTCTGTGTGTCTGTGATTTCCTTCCTTGTCATAGCCTGTAATACAAATAACAGCAATCTGGCTTGCATATCAGCACATCACTACTCTAAGTTTATGGCTAGTATTCATAATCGACCATGGTCTTCTTTTTCCCCTTGCTCAAAAATTGGTCTTAGAAGTCTTATTACCCTTACAGTTTTCTAGGCTGCTGTCATGAGATGACTAGAATTTACACCGTAGAGAAAACCCAACCACAACCTTTGGTTTAGACTTGCATTACTTATATTCTTATAACAATTACTTACTTGGCCCTGGACAAAAGCAGTCAAAAGGGGAAACCATTCTGGCATAAGAGGTAAAGGGTAAGCAGAACTGTCTGAGTCACTTGCCATTAGGTGAAAGAAAACAAAGGAGATAAAACTAACCAGAAAAACAAGTCGAAACTGCCAAGCTTTCTACAGCAGTTGCCAAAACAGGAAATTTACTTCCACTAGTCAGATATATAACCACAGAGTCTAACAGATTATAACCAGGAAGACAGGCTGAACAAAGAAAACTTAGACACCAAAATATAAAATAAAATAAAATAAAATCTTCCCTATTTTCCACTGTCAGAGAGATATATAGTTATGGTTACTTTGTTTCAGGAATTTTAAAATTCTAAATATATATTTACAAATAAAAATATGGCTTACAATTGTTAGATATTACTCATTTATCAAATAAAATAATAAAAAGCAAATTAATTTTTAAAAACTTTTACAAGGTACCTGTACAAATACACCAGAGTACCACAAACAGCCTCATGATGAGAATAAAATGAAGATGTTAAAAATAATGCTCTATAAGTGTATTCATTGACACAGAAAGTTCCTCATGACATAATTAAGTTTAAAATGTGGGTTACAAAACAGAATGTTCACTGTGATCTAGTTTTTTTGTGTTTTTAAAAGCCTAAAGGCAAAACAACTATTAGTTAACATTTTGGTATAATCTGTAGACAGTGAGATTTTGAGTGATTTTTAGTTTCTTCCTTTTGTTTCTCTGTATTTCCTAACTTTACTGCAACACACATATTATCTGAGAAATTAATTCTTTTTAAAACATACTGCAGCTAGTAATCTGCTCTTGGAGTTTATTATCGCCATCAGAAAGAAGCAAGGAGTAAAGTATTGGTCAACTGTAGAAGCTTTGTGTTCAGATTTACCTCTCCAGTCACAGCTGCTTCCACACGGCTGGGTAACCAGAAGTCTGATCTGATGATTTGAGGACCACTACTATATCCTGACAACCTCCCCACTTACAACTCATTAGAGACCTCTACCTTTAACAAACTATTTGCAGATATAGGTCACTCACAGCCAGGGTACCTCAAAATAATCTTTAAAAGCACATGGTCTATTCAACTTTGTACTAGAAATTCCAACCAGAGCAATCAGGCAAGAAAAATAAATTACAGGCATGCAAATTAGAAAGGAAGAAGTCAAACTATCCCTATTGCAGATGACTGAACTTACATATGCAGAATCCTAAAGAATATACCAAAGAAACTACTGAAGCTAATAAATTCAGCAAAGCTGCAGGACACAAGATCAACAAGCAAAAAATCTGTTGTATTTCTACCCAGCAGCAATAAACCATCCAAAAGGAAAATTAAGAAAACAATTCCACATGATAGTATCAAAAAGAATAAGGAATAAATTAAAGGTCTAAGACATATACAAAGAAAACTACAAAACACTGCTGACTCCCATGTTTGTTGCAGCACTGTTCACAATAGCCAAAATTTGGAAGAAACCTAAATGTCCATCAACAGATAAATGGAAAAAGAACATGTGGTACTTATACACAATGGAGTACTATTCCGCCAAAAAAAAAGAATGAGATCCTGTCATTTGCAATAACATGGATGGAACTGCAGGCCATATAAGCTAAGTGAGACAAACTAGGCACAGAAAGACAAACACCTCATGTTCTCACTTATTTGTGGGATCTAAAAATCAAAACAATTGAACTCAGAGATAGAGAGCAGAAGGATGGTTACCAGAGGCTGGGAAGGATAGTGAGAGGGTACGGGGAAGCTGGAAGTGGTTATTAATAGGTACCAAAAAGTTTAAAAAAATGGACAGGGCGTGGTGGCTCATGCCTGTAATCTCAGCACTTTGGGAGGCCAAGGCAGGCGGACCACCAGAGATCAGGAGTTCGAGACCAGCCTGGCCAACATGGTGAAACCCCATCTCTACAACAATACAAATATTAGCCAGGCATGATGGCGGGTGCCTGGAATCCCAGCTACTCGGGAGGCTGGGGCAGAAGAATCACTTGAACCCAGGAGGTGGAGGCTGCAGTGAGCTGAGATCATGCCACTGCACTCCAGCCCGGCCAACAGAACGAGACTCCATCTCAAAAACAGAAAAAAAAAATTAAAAAGAGTAAGACCTAGTATTTGATAGCATAACAGGGTGACTATAGTCAATAATTTAACTGTATATTTTAAAATAACTAAGAGTATAATTGGATTATTTATAACAAAGGATAAATACTTGAGGGGATGGATACCCCATTTTACTTGATGTGATTATTACACATTACATGCCTGTGTCAAAACATTCCATGTACCCCATAAATATATACACCTACTATGTAGCCACAAAAATTAAAATTTAAAATTAAAAAAAACACTAAAAAATTAAAGAGTAACGAAATAAATGGAAATGCATCCCACGCTCATAAATTGTAAGGTTTTTGTGGTTTTGTCTTTTTATATTGTAAAGATGGCAATGCTCCCCCCCGCCCACAAGTGATCTCTAGATTGAATGCAATCCCTATCAAAATCCCAAAAGGCTTTTTTGTAAAAACAGGAAAGCTGATCATAAATATGGAAATGCAAGGGACCCCAAAATAGTCAAAACAATTTTGAAAAGGAAGAACAAAGTTGGAGAACTCACACTTCTCAATTTCAAAACTACAGTAATCAAAAGAATGTGTTAACTGACATTAAGGAGAGACATATAGATCAGTGAAACACAACAGAAAGGGCAGAAATAAACCCATATATATATGGTCAACTGATTTCTGACAAGGGTGCCAAGGCCATCTTCAACAGTGCTGGGAGAACTGAATATACACAGGCAAAAGAATGAGGTTGGATCCTTACCTCACATCATTTACAAAAATTATTTCAAAACGGATCAATGACCTAAATATAAGAGATAAAAATATAAAATTCTTAAAAGGAAACTTAAGGGTAAGTATTTACGACCTTGGATTTGGCAATTGTTTGTCAGATGACATCAAAAACACAAGCAATAAAAGAAAAAGTAGATAAACTGGACTTCATCAAAAAAATTTCTTTGCATCAAAAGAGACTATCAAGAGAGTAAAAATACAACCCACCAATGGAATATTTAAAAATCATATATTTGATAAGGGTCTAGTATCTAGAATATGTAAAGAATTCCTAAAACGCAACAACAAAAAGGCAAACAATTTAATTTTTTTTAAAGGGGAAAGAATTTGAATAGACATTTCTCCAAAGAAGAGAAACAAATGGCCAAAAAGCAAATGAAAAGATGCTCAACATCATTAGTCATTACGGAAATGCAAATGAAAACCATAATGAGATACCACTTCACACCCACTGGACTGGCCATTATCAAAAAGTGGAAAATAATAGGTGTTGGCAAGGATGCAAAGAAATTAGAATCCTCATACACTGCTGGTAGAAATCTGAATGGTACATCTGCTGTGGAAAACAGTTTGGCAGTTCCTTAAAAAATTAAACACAGAATTACCATACGACCCAGTAATTCTACTCATAGGTAAACAAAGAACTGAAAACGTGTATTCAAATAAATACTTGCACACAAGTTCATAGCAGCACTATTCACAATAGACAAATGGTAGAAATAACCCAAATATCCATCAACTGATGAGTAAATAAACAAAATGTGGTGTGCTCTTACCATGGAATATTATTCAGCCATAAAAAGGAATGAAGTACTGATATATGTACAGGGTTTCTTTCTGAGGTAATGAAAATGTCTTGGAACTAGATACAGGTCATGGATGCACAACATTGTGACATATTGTATGCCTGTTTTTTTTTTTGAGACGGAGTCTCGCTCTGTTGCCAGGCTGGAGTGCAGTGGTGCGATCTCGGCTCTCACTGCAACCTCCACCTCCTGGGTTCAAGCAATTCTTCTGCCTCAGCCTCCCGAGTAGCAGGGACTACAGGCACATGCCAACCATGCCCAGCTAATTTTTGTATTTTTAGTAGAGACGGGGTTTCACCATATTGGCCAGGCTGGTCTCGAACTCCTGACCTCGTGATCCGCTTGCCTCAGCCTCCCAAAGTGCTGGGATTACAGACGTGAGCCACTGCGCACGGCCTGTAGGCCATTTTTACGTGATTACTGCACCTGTAGCCCTCGCTACTTGGGAGGATAAGGTTGGAAAACCCCTGAGCCCAGGAGTTCAAGGTTACAGTGAGCTATGATTGTGCCACTGCACTCCAGCCTGGAAACAGAGCAAGACCTTGTCACTAAAAAATAAAATAAAAATATTTTATTTTATAAAAATAAAATATTTTAATAAAATTAAAATACAATGGCTTATGGTTAACTTTAAGTTATACATGCCTCAATAAAATAATACCAAAACAAATCATGGTCTAACAACCTAAAATATTTTAAACAATTTATTTTCCACTCAGAAACCATCATAGGTTTTTAAATAGATTCAAAGCTGTTTCATCATAGCATTTTTTAAAAAGCTACTCTCCAAAATACTTCAAAGAGTAGTATTAATAGAATGCCCTATTTCTTACCAGAAGACTCTTTTCCATTCTGTTTTTCATAGAGGGTACCCACAGACATCAGGAAAACAATAACCAGGAATACTGGAATTCTCCATGAGCCAGCCAGGGATGCTGCAAATTATTAAGAATTAACATTTTTAGTGAAATAAAAACCTAGTACTTGTTTTTACAAAACTCAGTTTTGTAGTTTGACAGAACAATCTGGTATATATATTAGTTACAGAATTACTTATCAGGCAAAAAAAAAAAAATTTAAGTCCATTAGATAAACTTCAAGATTTCTCAAAATTAAGTTCATCCCTGCTCTCAGAGGCCCCTGGTCAAATGGATAGGGTACATGCCTGCCTACCTTTAATGGGGTTCTATTAAAGAGAGTCTATTGTAACGTATACCAAAGGTCTAAAACCATCCCGAACTCAAACCATCTACTTCACCCCAGAATGACCAGAATTAGGCATAGATCTCAAAGCCATAAAGTCTGCCTTGGTTTCTTGAAAATACCACCGGGCGTGAACTTTCTCTCCCAAGAAAGAGAATGGCCCAAAAGAGCACAGCAAAACCATCAATGTCTCCTCCTCAGTGTATAATGCAAAAATGTTTACAAGTTGGCTGGGCGCAGTGGCTCACACCTGTAATCCCAGCACTTTGGGGGGCTGAGGCAGGTGGCTAATTTGAGGTCAGGAGTTCGAGACCAGCCTGGCCAGCATGGTGAAATCCCATCTCCACTAAAAATAAAAATAAAAAAAAAAAATTAGCCAGGCGTGGTGGTACATGCCTGTAATCCCAGCTACTTGGGGGGCTGAGACAGGAGAATTGCTTGAACCCAGGAGGTGGAGGCTGCAGTGAGCCAAGATCACACCACTGCACTCCAGCCTGGGCGATGGAGTGAGACTCTGTCTCAAAAAAAAAAAAAAAAAAAGTTCACAAGTCACCAAGAAACAGGTCCCTACCCATAACCATTTCCCTGAGTCCACCTAGAACCTCATAAAACATCCCTGCCTGCCTGCCTCCCTCCTCTGCCTTCCCTGAGTTCAAAATGAGTCATATCTGACATACGGGTTCTTGCAGATAAATTCCTCTATCATTCCAACTCAACAAAGCTAGAGAATAATGCTTTGTTTGACATCAAACGAAGACAGAGACATAGCTGTTTTTTATTTTATTTTTAACAATAAGTAGTAGCTCTAGAAACTACTTTAAGGCTATCTGCTGCTCTGGGTTACTGAATTGTGTTGTTAAATTAGAACTTAGTGTTTCCATTGGCTCAAACTTGGGAGATGAAAGTCTCAACCATAAGTACCACGCTGAAAAATCAACATCTGAGCAGCCACCCAGCTAACATAACAGGGAACCCATTACTCTGAGCAGCTCTGACATGAATCATCCTTATGTGGAAAAGAGATTTGTCTCTCTGAAGCTAACTCACAACTCTGACATCTCTCCCTCATGGTTACAGAGATCTGTTTAAAGCACTCTTTCACAGGACAGTCCTTCAAATATTAGAAATAGGCTTTCATGTCTTATATCCTCCTTACCTCTATCTCCTTCCCACCCTAGAGCCCCAGTTCCCTCCTCTTATCCAGAGTAAACATCTCTAGTTCCTTTAACTGGTTCTCACACATGTCTCTGAGCACCTCTTATCGTTGACTGCTTATCTATATCTTCCCCTAAGTATGACACTCAGAAATGATATGAGAATCCAAGGGTGCTCTACTTTTTAAGATGTATTGACTTTTAAAAGGACCTTTTGGAAAATGAACATAATTAAAGACATTTTAAAGCACATCATTTTCATTAAAATTTAATGAAAGATTAAAGCATAACATTTTCTAAAGATTAAGAATGTTAAATGCAACATATGACACTACAAAAAATTCACTTTCATTCACACAGTCAGCCTCTGCTGACCTTAGGCTAGACTTAAAAAAAAAAAAAAAAAAAAGAAGGAACCCACCTAAATGAAAAAGCAATATAATCCAGACAGGAATTGAAACTGCTCTCAAGTAGCGTTCAGTGCTTGCATTCCACTTGAATGAAACAGTCAACACATAGCCAACCACCAACGTCCAGATCTTAAATAAATGAAAGACACAGCTGTAAAATCTATACACGTGAAAATGAACATACAATTATACAAAATCTGTAAGTGTCTATACAGCAGGAATGCTCTGGACATAGCACAGAAAAGATGAAGGTTGATGGTGTCAAAGAAACGTACCTAGGTTCTCCTCGTTTGGAGAACCTAAGTTTTGAAATACTAGGCATTTGAAATCTCATGTAGTAATATTAAATAGTTGTTTAACAAAAGATACATAGTTCAAAACCCATCTTATACACAAAAATGCTTGAGATAAAATATTCAAAGCATAAACCATGGATTTAAATTAAGAATCTAATCTTATGGAATTCCTACAGTTTTCTCTGTTGATCAATGTTTAGAAAAGAAACGGAAAGAAAAGAAAAAAACAAGAAAAGGAAAGCTTTCCAAAAAGAATCAGGTTAAAAGATTCTATTTCAGCTTATAAAATATGCTTGTTACTGGGGAAATAACTCTGTAAAAGTAAGAAAGCAGCCAGCTGAAGTGTGACCCTGCTGAAATAATCTAGGCAACAAATGATTAGAACCTAATCCAGAGTTATGATGCACCAGCTGAAGAAGTGTGCCTGAAAAAAATATTATTAGAGGAACAAACAGCAGGACTTCAGAACAGAAGAATCAGCCAGGATACCCTCTTCAGTTCTTCCTACACTAAAGTTAAATGACCCTAGAGCTTAAGACGCATCAAAAGAAACCAGCGTAGCCTACACAGAAACTCATATTTTAATAGAACATTTATAAAACACAGAGGGAATACATAATCCAGAACACATCTGAGCACAAAGACCTTAATTAACATAAGACCAAGAAGCTAAAAGTCAAGTATGACATGAACCTTGCCAAAAAAAAAAGCAAATTAAGACAAAAAGAAACTTCGAGCTATATAATTCAGAGCATGAAGAAAAAAGAACTGATGGGATTACTAAAAAAGACAGAAAAAAACTATCTCCTACGTTATTTTGGTCAAATCTATCAATACAAATAATCTTCGCATCTTAAAAATGTTTATAGCTTCTAACCTCAGAATTCAACTTTCAGACTTTATCCTTACTAAATAATGATAAATTTTGAAAAAGTTTTAAATATAAAGAAGCTCATCAGAGTATGATTCAGAACAGTGAAAAAAGTGATTACCTAAAAGGTCAACAACTGGGAAATGATTACGATTCACTCAATAAAATGTTATGCAACCATTAAAATCACTTCTTAAAAACAAAGACTATATAGTTTAAAAACTCACAATATCATATTAAGTTAGAAGTAAAATACAAAAAATACTTGTGCTGTGATTACATCTACTATATGGTGGGAGGAAAAGAAAATGTACTAAGAAGTTAGTGGCTGTATTTGGGTGGTAAAATTTTGTTTTTCCTTTCACTTTTTTCTGTATTTTCCAGACTGCCTTTAATAAGCACTAATTCTTTTATAATAAAAAGGACATTAAAATATTTCTTCAAGTAACTCTATCAGATGAAATATTAAAGAGCTTTGAAGCTCAAAAATATGAGGACATGGGAAGTGAGACTACAGCTGCTTCAAAAAGTCCAGTCTTGCTGGACCAGACCAATTAACCCTGGGAATTCAAAGAATTTGAGATCTGATTGCAGAGCATAGAAAAAAATCTGAGTACAATAATAGTACACTTATATAACACTCCTATGTGCCAGGCCCTATTCTAATGCTTTATGTATACTAACTCATTTGATCCTCATAACCCCACAAAATAATATTATTATGATCCTCATTTTACACATGAAAGAAACCCAGATTTCAGAGAAGTGACTTGCCCAAGGCCACAGCCAATAAATGACAGAGGCAGGATTAGAACCCAGGAATCTGGCTCCAGAGTGCACTTTTCTAATCTTAAGGAGAAAGAAGCATGGTGCTAGAATACTAAAGATAAGCAAAAGCTGCTCAGATTTTCACAAGGGAAAATAAAAACAGTCAATTTAGACAACTACAACTTGTTGAAATTAAAAAAAAATCCACAGTAAATGGATAGTCTTCAGAGGTACGTCAGTTAGCCCCACCCTATTAAACATTACGTCAGTCACTTAGATGAAAGACTAGAGGCACAATAACAGAAAAAACTGATTTTACACAAATCAGTTATACAAAACTGAGTTGTCAATAAATATTGAGATAATCTATCATGATTCAAAAAGATATCCTGAAGCCAGAACAATGGGCTAATCCAAACAAGATTAAACTATATGAAAAGAAATGCAAAGTTCTGCTTCGAGATTCAAAACTCAACTGTACAAGTATGGAATGGAAAGAGAACATCTGAACCACTTTTCAGTTCAGTATGAGTCAGCCTATGACTAGTAGAAGCACTTATTTCTAAAAGTACAATACTCGTATCAGGGAAAGTGATTGTTTCAATTAATTTTGCGCTACCAAACCACACAACAAAATTCAGCCTGGGAAAGGAAATAGAAATCACAACATGATAATATAAATGTAGCTAGGGGAAAAAGAAAAAAAAAGTTTTGCTCAGAAAAGAGAAGGAAATATCAAGATTTTGTAGCTATCTTCAAATAATTTTTAAAATGTCATCTGGGAGAGGCATAAGACTTGATTTTCTGTGGTTCTGAGAGCAGAAATACGTGGGAATTAGGAAATAACACAGC
Organism: Homo sapiens; assembly: GCF_000001405.40. Lineage (NCBI taxonomy): Eukaryota > Metazoa > Chordata > Mammalia > Primates > Hominidae > Homo > Homo sapiens. The sequence continues at coordinate 109,111,229 of NC_000009.12, forward strand.
TCAGTAAAAGGACAGGTTTTTCCAATAAACTATAGCTATCTACAAATGGAATAATCATTACTAAAAGTGTTTGAGCAAACGTTGAACAGAGATGACAAAGTAAGTACTACCCTTAGTAAGAAGCTGAACTGGAGGTCACAATTTATACAGTACCTCCAAGAAGTTTTTGTTTCTTATCTGTATGCATAAGGAATTAGTATCATTTGCAAGGAGAGAAAAAATAAGAGACTGCATACTTCAGATTTTTTAAGAGAAATTTATTGTCTAACAAGAAGCATGTATTTTCATCTATCAACCTGAAACTCACAGATTACCTCATTCCAGTTTAAAATAACCATTTTAAAATATACTCCCCAATTCTACTTTTAGGAGTGTTTTACAGAAGCACACTGTGCAGACACATATAAAAATATTCACTTGCCATTTACAATATAAAAAATTGAGAACTTAAATATCATTTTATAGTGAACTGTTTAAATAATGCTATCTCCAAAAATTGAGTAATTAGTCAGACTTTCAACAGTATGATGAACATCAATATACAGTGCTACAGTGTCAATTTATTCGTGTGTAAATTTATAATGGTGAAAATATACTCAACAAAAAATGTTTTAAAATATTATCTCTAGATGGCAGATTTCAAGGAGTAATCTGCTTCTTTATGTTTTATTACAGGTGCTCAATTTTCTACTAAGGTTATGTAGTATCTTTATAAACAGAAAAAGAAGTATTTTTAACCTTTAGGAAATTCTTTTGGCTTCTGGATTTTTTCCAGTATTTTGAAGTGTTTCCTCAGAAAAGATTCGCAGAAGTAATATTAGTTCAAGAGGTAAGGCCATTTATAAAAACACTTTAGAGTTTATATTAAGCCCATTATGATTATACAATTACCAATGGTTAAAAATGTTTATCAAAGTATTCTAATACAAATTCAGAGCTAAGAAAATCTGTTGAAAACATTTTCTAAAAGGCATGGTGGGGGAGGGGGAGAAAAAAGATTTATACTGTAGCAGTATTAAAAAGAAAAAAGTGGCCAGGGCAGTGGCTCACACCTGTAATCCTTGCACTTTGGGAGGCTGAGGCGGGCAGATCACATGAAGTCAGGAGTTCGAGACCAGCCTGGCCAATGTGGTGAAACCCCTTCTCTACTAAAAATACAAAAATTAACCAGGTATGGTAGCATGTGCCTGTAATCCCAGCTACTTGGGAGGCTGAGGCAGGAGAATCGCTTGAACCCAGGAGGTGGAGGTTACAGTGAGCCGAGATTGCACCATTGCACTCCAGCCTGGGCAGCAAGAGCAAAACTCCATCTCAAAAAAAAAAAAAAGAAAGACGTATATCTCTAAGTGCTAATAAGGAAAGATGGCCACAGTACAATGATAAATGAAAAGAGCAAGGTACAGAGCTATATGTATGTTATCTCATCTTTGTTTTAAAAAACAAAAAACAAAAACCTTCTACTTTATATGTTCACATGGACAAAGAAATGAATTTAGGAGCCTTTACATCAAGCAGTTAATAGTAACATCTGAATAGTGGGAATAGTGGTAGAGAAAAGGGATAATTCGGCCGGGCGCGGTGGCTCATGCCTGTAATCCCAGCACTTTGGGAGACCAAGATGGGCAGATCATGAGGTCAGGAGTTCAAGACTAGCCTAGCCAACATGGTGAAACCCCGTCTCTACTAAAAATACAAAAATTAGCTGGGCATGGTGGCAGATGCCTGTAGTCCCAGCCACTCGGGAGGCTGAGGCAGGAGAATTGCTTGAACCCGGGAGGCAGAGGTTGCAGTGAGCCAAGATCGAGCCACTGCACTCCAGCCTGAGTGACAGAGCAAGGCTCCATCTCAGCGGGGCCAGGGGCAGGGCGGGGGAAGGAAAGGGATAATTCACTTTTACCATACAAACTTCTGTTCTGCTTATGTTTTTTCAAATGTAACAAGCATATTTTACTTGGGTCAACATTTTGAATCACTAAATATCCTTTAAAATAACAAAAATAAGGATTTGTACATGCATGTTTCACACACAATTTCTAGTCTAGGACCTCTTAGGAGTTTTTTAATTCTTAAATCTTCACTAACACGGAAACATGAGGTTAACAAGTCAACTTTATATATGTTTAGCCTCTGAGCAAACCTATTCAAGTGTGAATTTTATTCCAGGCATTAAATCAATGAGCCACAGTTACAGATAAGAGGGCATATTTTTCCAAACTTATGTTCTCCAAAACAACATGTCCTTTTCAAAATATACATTCCATAGTCGTTTTTATAGCACCAATGTGCTAGACACTACATAAGACTGCATAAAATTTGGCAACATTTACTTAGCACTTCAAGTAAAGGGAACTAATAGGCAATCACATTTTCCTTTCATTTCACACGATTATCCACATATACTTTTCTGGTTAAAAAACATATTAAATGTAGAAAACATTAAGTAGAGACTCTGCCTTTTCAACCATCTTTGTTTCATTTATTGTCATCTGGGTATTAACTGGAAAAACAACTTGGTTGCTTCTGTTACATATTTTTGCAGAACAGTTTCCCAAGCTTTTTTTAGAGAGAATAAAACTACAGGAAGGGTGCAGTGGCTCACACCTATAATCCCAGCACTTTGGGAGGCCAAGGCAGGGGAATCACCTGAGGTTAGGAGTTTGAGACCAGTCTGGCCAACATGGTGGAACCCCGTCTCTACTAAAAACACAAAAAATTAGCCGGGCATGGTGGCAGGCTACTCGGGAGGCTGAGGCAGGAGAATCACTTGAACCCGGGAGGCAGAGGTTGCGGTGAGCCGAGAACGCGCCATTGCACTCCAGCCTGGGCAACAAGAGCGTAAATCCATCCCCAAAACAAAACAAAACAAAAACACCACAACTACAAACCTCCTCCCAAGTTATGGAGCCACAGCCCTAATCATAGCCTCAAGCAGCAACTGCTTCAGGTCCTTAAATTATCCACTTAATTCTAATGTGAAAACCATTCTCTTTGTCATATGGCAACTTAGAGTCAACATTTTTATATTCAAAGTCTTTAACTGAGAAAACTAAGCACTAGAAACTTTCCTCTCCTTGTTTCTTGCTGCCAGGCAAGCAGAAACAAACCTAGAAATGTGTTTAAAAGTAGAACGGTGTCAGCAGTGAATGGCTGACTAACGTCCACTGCTGAAGAGCCTCTTGTGATGTGTAAAATAGAACATCGTGAAATCTTAGAAATTGTTCAAGCCAACCCCTCACTTTATGCAATTGGGACTGAATGTCCCAGAGGAGGGCCCTGGTCTGCCCAAGGTCACAAAGTTAGTTACTGGCAGAGCCAAGTTTAGAACTTCAGGTGTTTTTATCTTTCAGCCACTACTCTCTCCACCTCCTGCTTCTTTAAAAAGATGGGAACAATGGGATCAGAGACCACAGAAAAAACAAATCTATTACTACTGCAAAAAACTAAATGGTCTTCAAATTCTCCACCAAGTCTAAATTAACAGAATGAGGAAGATCAGAATGCCCCCCAACAGAGAGGAATGGTGGAGCAGGGCACGCCATCAGCTTTTTCAAATTTACCTTGCACAGCTCCACCATGGGAAGATGCCAAGAACTGAGTAACATGTGAACCTGGTGCAACAGCTGATTTTTTTTTTAGGTGTTCTGAAATCACTTACTAAGTCAGTGCAATCTCCTAACATATTTGAAACTGCTGAAAAAGAATTACTCATCCCATAAATGATTAGTGTTTCACTTGTAAGAAGCACGGAGTTTTAGGAGACTGAAGAAATCTACAAGTGACATGAAGAGGAACTGAACTGGAAAGAAAAACTAGTGACGAAGAAAAACATAGGTCCAGGCCAGGCGCAGTAGCTCATGCCTGTAATCCCAGCACTTTGGGAGGCCAAGGAAGGTGGATCACCTGAGGTCAGGAGTTCAAGACCAGCCTGGCCAACATGGTGAAACCCCGTCTCTATTAAAAATAACACAAAAATTAGCCGGGCGTGGTGGGTGCCTGTAATCCCAGCTACTTGGGAGGCTGAAGCAGAATTGCTTGAACCGGGGAGGCAGAGCTTGCAGTGAGCTGAGATCACACCATTGCACTCCAGCCTGGGCAACAAGAGCAAAACTCCGTCTCAAAATATAAGAAGAAAAAAGAAAAACATAGGTCCCAAAGACACTAAAAAGGAAAATTGATGGGACCTGGAAAACTGCATAGATATAAAAATAAAAGGGAAGAAAGAAGAGGGACGAATAAGGTTTCTAGATGACTAGAATGCTGATATTTTTCTGATTTTTTCCTAGTAACTGGAATCTTTTTTTTTTTTTTTTTTTTTTTTTTAAGACAGAGTCTCACTCTGTTGCCCAGGCTGGAGTGCAATGGCGCGACCTGGGCTCATTACAACCTCTGCCTCCCGGTTTCAAGCAATTCTCCTGCCTCAGCCTCCAGAGTAGCTGGGATTATGGAGTCGGCCGTCACACCCGGCTAATTTTTGTATTTTTAGTAGAGACGGGGTTTCACCATGTTGGCCAGGCTGGTCTCGAACTCCTGACCTCAGGTGATCTGCCTGCCTCGGCTTCCCAAAGTGCTGGGATTACAGGTGTGAGCAACCGCACCTGGCCTACAATCCACTAAAAATAATTAAACACAATGTATTAGGGAAAACTTTTTAAAAATCCTTATTGAAGGTTACTACAGAGTTTTGATAACAGCAGGACTTCAACTGCTGCTAGGTCTATTGAATGCCATTTACTGACAGCATCAACAGTTCTCTGAATTAGTTTTCTCACATATGAAATCCCTCCCTCCTAGCTCATAAGACATTGAGAGAATGAAATAACACCCATGTAAAAGAACCTAATCTAGTGCCTGGGACATGGCAGATGCTCAAAAGTTGGATCTTAAATGGATGAACTGTCAAGTCATCAAAACAGGGATTCGCTTAAAGGTAACTTTTCTCTCTGCCTCTCTCATCTATACTGCTCTTCAGCAGCAGGCTCATGGTTAAAGTAGCCTAGAAAGCATAAAGACCATGTTCTATAACCAGACAGCCCTGCTTGGGCTCATAAAGCCAAACCGCTGTGAACTGTGGGATGGAAAAGGTCCAGAGTGGGCCTCCTGCCCAGTCACATAACCTACTTTCACTTAATGCCAGGCCTTAATCTGCACTTTCTTTCTTATTTTAAAAGACTGGGGGTGGGGGAGGTCTCACTATGTTGCCCAGGCTGGTCTCAAACTCCTGGGCTCAGACAATCCTCCTCCCTCGGCCTCCCAAAGTGCTGGGGTTACATTAAGCCACTGTGCCTGGCCTTTAATCAGCACTTTTTTTTTTCTTTTTTTTTGAGACAGGGTATTGCTCTGTCACCTAGGCTGGAGTGTACTGGCACAATCTCAACTCACTGCAACCTCCAACTCTTGGGTTCAAGAGATTGCCTCAGCCTCCCGAGTAGCTGGGACCACAGGTGTGCGCCACCATGCCTGGCTAATTTTTTGTATTTTTAGTAGAGACGGGGTTTTACCATGTTGGCCAGGCTGATCTCGAACTCCTGGCCTCAAGTGATTCACCTGTGTGGGCCTCCCAAAGTGCTGGGACTACAGGCGTGGGCAACCCCACCTGGCCTTAATCAGCACTTTTGGATAAGAGCAAGGACTCCTTGTCTTCTCAAGTACACCTCACCCCCATCCAACCATCCATCCTTAAGTGCTGCTTGAGCAGAATGCAATTCCATGCCTTGTTTTTCTTAAACTCAGATTGACCTGAAGGTTCTTTCAAATTTAGCCCTTCTACCACTCCCTACTCACAAATACTTAACTCATACTTTTATGTTGAGTTTGTTTTTTTTTAACCCTCTCTCTTTTTCCTTGCTCCCAACACTTGAGCCAAACAGCTGAATTTCAAGGTTTTTTTGGTTTTTTTTTGAGACGGAATTTCACGCTTGTCACCCAGAATGGAGTGCAGTGGTGCAATCTTGGCTCACTCCAACCTCTGCCTCCCGGGTTCAAGTGATTCTTCTGCCTCAGCCTCCCAAATAGTTGGGATTACAGGTGCCCACCACCACACCCAGCTAATTTTTTTTTTTTTGTATTTTTGGTAGAGACGGGGTTTCACCATGTTGGCCAGGCTGGTCTTGAACTCCTAACCTCAGGTGATCCACCCGCCTCGACCTCCCAAAGTGCTGGGATTACAGGCGTGAGCCACCGCGCCCGGCCAATTTCAAGCTTTTAAAAAATCATTAATTAGTTTGACCTTCTTTCTCCCACTCCCAGGTCTAATCAGTGTTGGCCCCTACTTCTCTTCCACTCATCCACAACCCACAAATGAAATACAAAGATGAGGGTTTATCTTCAGTAAAAAGATACTCAAAGGTATACGCCGAGCTGTGGATGTTTCTTTACAAGTGCTCAACTCTTTCCACTGAGTATCTGAGAGAGACTGGTAGAAATGCCTCATAATCATGCCAAATTACTTAGGTATTCAACTTCTTACTCTAGCATGAAAATATACTATTTACATGTGGCAGGCCTTTCTTTTCTACTTTCCTATAGTTTGATGGATATGCTCCTTGAGCAGTATCAACAGTCAAAAATGTTAGCAGAATCTATAAATGTGTCTTTGACAAAACTGAATTTCTTCAGGAAAATAACCAAGCTTATTTTTCTTAGAACATAGTGTTCTGCCTTCTAGCTAAGAAGCATTCGATCCACTTAACTGAATTGTGAAACTGCAAGATAAAGGATAAAGAGCGCTGAACTGGGCCTCCATAAAAGTGAACCACAGATTTGCTCATGAGCTGTGTGACTTTGGACCAATCACATTCTCTGGGCCTGTGGCCCACAACGGATGAGTCATGAACATTTATCTGTATGTCTGTCATCTCCATTAGAATATGTTCATATAGGATTATATGTACCGTGAAGACGGGACCTGTATCTTAGTCCTTTTTTAAACCTCTCACAAAGCCCAACACCTAACATATGCTCGATCAACTTTAAACATGAACCAAGAGGTGGTATTGAGGGAACAAGAGAAGAAGGGTGTTTTGGGTCATTCATCACTCTGCCAATAACCTCAGGCAAGCCAAAACACCGCTAGACAGATAAGGGGAATTAATATTTTCCAACTTAATGACGTCAAGGTACACTGAACTTTATTTCACTGACAAAAGAAGTGAATCAATTTGTAAATGGTACTGTTTATGAATCAATTGGCATTCTTACGCACTAAATCTCCACTTGTTTTTAACAGTCTCCAGTTAAATATGTGGATAATTAACTAGTCCACAATATAGTCTGAGTTAGGAATTGTGTCACTAGATTACCTTTGAAATCTTTCCAATTCTAAAGCTCCCTGGTTTTGTAAGAGTAAGCTCAGGTTAATCCAAGCATCACAAATCTACGTCTCTCCCCTTCACGCGGTCAGCTGCTTTACTCCAGGCGGGAGGAGGTGTGCTGTGGTACACCAGTCCCTGCACAACAAAAGCAGTTACCTAAAAGTAAAGCGTGGAGAGGAAGAAGCACAGGCAGCTCAGCACCCAGTGCCTTGCACAAATTATACAGGAATCACCTGAACTGAGAGGCAGCACCAGCCAGTGAAGCAAGCTTTGTTTTAGGACTTGTAAGAAATCTAAGACACCCAAACCCCTCTTTGTCCCTAAGTAGCCCTAGCCTGGTAAGAGGTCACCTTTCCTATCTGCAGGATGGCAAGTTGGCCTAGAATCTCTAAGGTCCCTTCCAGCTCTGACATTCAGATGCGCAGAACTGAGGGTGGCCGAAGCACCCCCGCCCTCTCCAACCAGAAGTAAAACCAAGCCCCACTGCCATGCTCTGAGGCCTCTCTCTGCAAAGCGAAATAACGATTCTCAATCCAGGGCACTGTCCCCCTAAGAGGGCCTATTAGGATTGAAACAAGGCGAAAAGCAGGGAGGCTGTTTCAAATCACGCCCGCCCCCTTTTTGGAAGAATGTCCGCCAAATTCCTGAGGTGTGAGAAGGAAAGCGGAGACGGACGGTCACTGCAGCACAGGTGTGGCCCCTCGTCGCCCCTGCACCGGGAGGAACAGCTGCAGGATTGCACCCCAGAGCGCCGGGACCACGGGCGGGGGACGGGGGCGGACTGCCGCTCACTCACCCACAGGCTGCTGAAGTAGTCCAGCCCGCGGCAGATGAGCGTGGCAGCGTGCACCAGCAGCACCTGCACGCCCAAGTAGCTGCCGAGGCAGTAGAGGCCGTACAGGAGCGGGCCGCCGGCGCCGAGCAGCAGGAGCAGGCGGCGGCGGCGCAGCGCCTGCTCGCCCAGGGCCTCGACGCCGTAGTCGACGAAGCAGAGCGGCAGGAGCAGCGCGGCCAGGACGATGGGCGTGTGCGCGCGGTGCAGGCGCTGCAGCCAGTGGCGGCCCAGGCGCGTCAGCGAGCTCTTGAAGGGGTGCAGAAAAGTGCCGCATAGCACGGCCCAGAGCAGCGGCCGCAGGAAGGCCTCCAGGATGAAGTAGACCAGCACCGCGGCGCCGCAGCACAGGCACACGAACAGCACGGCCCCGGTGTTGTAGAAGGCCTGCTTAATGGGCTTGTCGAAGCGCAGCGCCAGCGCCGCGGTCCGCGGGGTCTCCCCGCCACCGCCACTCGGCCCGACCGCGCGCGGGACCCGCGGCGCCGGCCCGGGAGAGCTCCGCAGGCTTGGCGCGTCCTTAGGGCCGCCGCCGTCGGCCATCGTTCCTCCGCCACAGCCGCCCCCGAGGGGCGGTAATGGGAGTCGGGCTAGAAACGCGGGCGGGAGGCAGGGCGGGAGGCGCGCGAGATTGTGGGAGTTGTAGTTCCCCGCTGGTTTACAGACCCACCAAGCGCTTGCAGGAAACTACAACTCCCGAAGGGGAAATGGGGAAAACGCCTCCGCCTCCTTGGTGTCCGCAAGGTCCTGCTAACAAGTTTGCAGGGTCTATATCTTCCTGGAGGGGGGGGGGGGGGGAAGCTCCTTTCACTCATTCGTTAATGTCAATTTCTCGCGAGGCGAGATCCCAAAAGGCGCCACATTCAGATATTAAAACCCAAGCTGCATACTAGAATACCGTGGGGGAGTACTTTTAAAGAACCAATGCCCCGATTCTGTTTTACTGATTTATTTAACAGATATTTTTAAAGTGTTTTCTTTGGTGTATCTGACAGGATTTTAAATAGAGATTACCATATAACAGGCCCTATTCTAAGTGGCTCACTCCTATTAACTCATTTAATCCTTAGAACAACCCTACAAAGAAGGTGTTATTATCCTCATTTTACCAACAGAAAAACTGAGACAGAGCCGTTAAGTACGCAGCCAGAGTCACACAGCTACCAAGTGGCACAGGCAAGATTCAAACTCAGGGATTCTGGCTCCAAAGGCTATACTTTTATCTACCATAGTATTTGGCCTGAGGAAAGAACTCTTGGCATTTTTCAAACGTTCCTCATAAGCCTGTAATTTGCAGCCGCTGTTGACAACTGTTTGTGCAGGTTTCGCTGTGGACGCAATCTAAACTCTTAAAAGAGTCGTAGATCAAAGTCTCAAACTGCCACTGTTTCTTTTTGAGACTTGATGTAATGTCAGTTAAGCCCCCAATCTCAAGTTTTCCTCTGTCACATGGCGATGATAATAATAATAGCTTTTGCTTTAGGGTTATTGTGTGGGGGAAGGGAAACTCTGGGGCGGTACAAGGTGCTTCTGTTCCCCTATTGGAAAAGTGCTGGGATCCAAGCCTGCTACCCATAAAATATCCCAATCAACATTTTGATTTAAAAAAAAAAAGAAAGCCTTGACTGAGTACTCAACATGTGATTGCTTCAAACCTTGCAAGTTGTCCCTTTCCTGTTTCAATAGTATTCCTATTAATTTCTACATAATTTTTGTTTCCCTTCTAAAGCAGACAAGACAGGTAACATAATCCACAGTTTGCAGATAAAGAAACTATTGCTTGATAGATTTGGAGACAAAGGGATTTAGTAAAGGAAGTAAAGGAAAAAGTAATTCCCTATCCATCTCGATTGTAAGTTTTAGGTCTCAGTATTTCAGATGGCCTTTGGAGTTTTATAACCAAAACGCAGGTTTAGTCGCTCACCACTTGCAGATTCCAATTAACAAGAGCAAGGTCTGGTATAAAGAAAGTGATGTATTCCAAAGCTAGCTTAGGGGAAGAAGTACAGGTTTCCTCCCTAAGGCTACTGCTTCAATTGTGGAGCAGAAAGCAGGCACTTTTAAAGCGAAGGAAGCAAGCAGTTGTCGGGGGAGGGGTCTGCATGCCTTATCTACTGGGTGGTCAAGCTGGTGACTGCTGGCACCTTCGTTGGCAGGACTAAGCCAAAAACCCCTCAGATGGAAGAGAGTTTCATATTTCTCAAGGCAGTCTCCCGGTGGGAGGGAGTTTTGTAGAAATTGGATGTTATCTCTTGAGTTCCTTTCTGGAGCTCCTAAGCACATAGTTAGATGAACTTGCCCTGTAGGGACTGTCTGGTGAAGACAACGTAAAAGGCTATATTTACCTTTATTAAATTATTTATTTATTTATGAGACGGAGTCTCGCTCTTGTCACCCAGGCCAGAGTGCAATGGTGCGATCTCGGCTCACTGCAACCTCCATTTCCTGGCTTCAAGAGATTTTCCTGCCTCAGCCTCCCAAATAGCTGGAATTACACGTACCCCCCACCATGCCCGGCTAATTTTTTTTTTTTTACGAGGTTTCACCATGTTGAACAGGCTGGTCTCGAACTCCTGACCTCAGGTGATCCACCCACCTCAGCCTCCCAAAGTGCTGGGATTACAGGCGTGAGCCACCGCACCTGGCCTACATTTGCCTTTTTAAAGGGCTAAGTAGGAAGGGAGAAACTGGGGGAGTGAGAAAAGAAGAGAGAAAGAAAAAATAAACTCTGTCTCAGAAAAAATGAGGGTACTCAGTTACAGTTTGACTCTGTAAATATTTTTCTTTCAGTTGTTCCTACATTGTACTTTGCTTCTTTATTTGTTCAGGCTTTCTGGGATTATGATTACAAAGTATGGTCACATTTGCCTTCAGTCCATGTTACACTGACTTAAGCTCCCATCTACATAATAGCAAAGGCCTCAACCTCCTTCCTAAAAAGTCCTTGGTGATTTCTATGGGGGGGTCCCAAAAGGGGTACCTCACATATACCCAGAGACATGAGTCAGCTGCTACCAACCACCCTGCTGCCCACACAGCTCACTGAGTCTAGTGCCCATCGGAAGATTTCCAGTGCCTGTATCATTATCCCCAAATCCTACATACTCCCAAACTTCTAACCCTCAAGGTACCAAAACAGAGCTGGGTTTAATCCTGATAAGGGGAAGAAGTCTTTCTCCCTCACTTGACAAATATTTTGTCACCCAAGCCCTAAAGCAGGTCAGTGTGCCAATGTTTTAGTTTTTAGTTTTTTGGGTTTTTTTTTTTTTTTTTTTTTTTTTTTGAGATGGAGTCTTGCTCTGTCACCCAGGCTGGAGTGCAGTGATGCAATCTCAGCTCACTGCAACATCCGCCTCCTGGGTTCAAGCGATTCTCCAGCCTCAGCCTCCGGAGTAGCTGGGATTACAGGCACACACGACCACACCTGGCTAATTTTTTGTGTTTTTAGTAGAGACGGGGTTTCACTATGTTGACCAGGCTGGTCTTGAACTCCTGACCTCAAGTGATCCACCTACCCCAGCCTCCCAAAGTACTGGGATTACAGGCATGAGCCACAGTGCCCCGCCAATGCCCAGTGTTTATAACTCCTCTCGTGAATAGTTCCTTCCATGTCTGGACTTCAGTCCTCTAACCACATGGGTTCAAAACCCTTCCAATGGGTCAGTGAGGGAACAAAGACTGAACCCTCCTCTCTGTCCTACTCCAACCAAAGACTCTCTTCCTCTAGTTACAAAATGAGAGCTCCCAAGTTACGCAACAGAAGCATTTATCAGTGGATGCAAGCCGAAACGGGACAGGACATGGGGTGTTAATCCTGCCTAAATTGTGTTGGGCCACAGTTTAGCAACAACTCAGCAAATCAAAAAAATGCCCTGTCATGGTGCTTTGCTTCCAAGTCTCAGTGAAAGTGAAAATTGCTGAACATTTCAAGATTGTTCTAATGGCCAAAGCCGTAGGACTGACAGGTGTCACTCAGCATTTCTAGTCAATGGAACTCTAACAGAAATGAAGGCTGAAGCACTAGAATCTAACTAGACTAGTCTTTATGTGGCCTAGCACAAGGCTGGGTTCACACAGGGTTTCACTCACCCCTCCTGTGATTGTCCTCACCACACTGCAGTCAAAGTTAGTGGTTTCTGTGTCTGTCTCCCTACAGAGCCCCTTGAGAGCAGGGACTGGGCTTTCTTCATTTCCGTGGGCCCAGCACCTGGCACAGCATAGGACGTACTGAGTAGGAGCTAAGTGTTTGCTGAGCAAAAGAATGAATGAGTGGCGTCCTTTCAAAAAAAGCCTGTCTGTGCTTCCTGCGAGAGATGAAATTGAAAGCTGGGGATGTTTCTACTGAGCATCCATGTGGTTGAGAACAGAGAAAAATTAAAATACTGGAACATAGGACCTAAAAACTAAATTTGAGAAAGAAGCCCATTGTCCACTCAAATCTCAAGGTCATATGATTTTAGGTGTCTCCTCCAAAATACGAGGCTACTTGGGTTCTCTCTGTTGACCTTAACATGACAACTCACTCCAACAACCTCAGGGACAAACAGCCTCCATCGGCACGCAGGATACAGTAGAAGTGAAAGACATTCAGAGTCGTGGATCAAGCTGACCCTGGAGACCACACTGCCTCTTGCTTTCCAGTTGCATGAATGAATGAATTTTGTAATCATTTAAGCCAGTTTTGGTTAGGCTTCTATTACTTGAAACAGAAAGCTTCCTGATTTATAAAAATGGTTGCTGTGAAGGTGAAATAAGAAAGTATGTATAAAAGCAGCAGCACAGTGTCTCTGACATGGTGAGAATCTGACAGTGACTCTTGGGGTAACTCTTACTTTTGTCCTAGAAAAGATAAGGGGTATCTCTTAAACAACTGATACTCCCAAGGTATCAAGATAACATCCACCAGAGATATTACAAACACAGGCAGGGAGACGATTCTCCAGCATTGTGTCTGTTTTAGAGCTCTCCAAGTGTATCCACAAACATTTACTAAGGTGTGCTGAGTATCTGCTTTGTACAAAGTCCAGTGCTTACAATGTGGTATGTGCGTTGTGTGTAAGGTAGTATGTACAATGCAGAAGAAGTGATCATGTGAAAATGAAATCAGGGTGACATGCATTCAGATTCCAAATCTGCCACTTATTATCTGTATAATCCTGGACAAGTTACATAGCATCTCTGAGCTCAGTTTCCTCAGCTATAAATGGTGCATGATCCTTGTTCATAAGGTGGCAGTAAAGATTAAATTGGAGAATAACATATATTAAACACCCAGAGGCCAGGCGCGGTGGCTCACACCTGTAATCCCAGCACTTTGGGAGGCCAAGGCAGGCGGATCACCTGAAGTCAGGAGTTCAAGACCAGCCTGGCCAACATGGTGAAGCCCCATCTCTACTAAAAATACAAAAATTAGCCAGGCATGGTAGTGGGCGCCTGTAATCCCAGGTACTCAGGAAGCTGAGGCAGGAGAATCGCTTGATCCTGGGAGATAGAGGTTGCAGTGAGCTGAGATCACACCACTGCACTCCAGCCTGGGCGACAGAGCAAGGCTCTACCCAGGACATTGTGGTATCTCTCCATGGTCCAGGGCCACCACTTTGCGCAATTCCAGGGATACAATTCACATTTGGGGGCACTATTTACATTTGGCATCCCGTACAGATGTGCAACAACTGCCAAGAGCACATTGAGCTCCTTAGACCAACAACCATACATTGGACATCTCTTCTATCTTCATAGGACCAGCCTTCCAGATATATAACTCTCCTCTTGCCTATCTGGATAATTCCCATTCATCTTTCAAGCCTCAGCTCAAAATCATCTCCTTTGTGGAATTTTCCTGATCCAGGGAAACTTAGCAGCTACCTTTACTGTGTAGCACTTACAGCTATCTCTTCTCAAGTACCAACCACATTATATTGTAATCATTTTCACAAATATCTGAATTCCCCATTGGATCAAAAGTCATCGATAAGCTTTTTTGCATTTGCTCCAGTACTTTGCACACTTTTTTTTAATAATTAAAAAAAGTGAGTAGACACCATATTATTGTAGAGGCTGCAGGATGTGCTGGAAAGAACACAAGCTTTTAAGGCAGACAGATTTGGATTATAATCCTGGCTCTACTGCTTTCTTGCTGTATACCCTTGGATAAATTAACTTACTGAGAATGTTTCCTCATTTGTACAAGAGAGATAAGAAATCTACATTGCAGAGCTGTTGTGAGGACTAGAACTAGTTTATGTAAATAACTAATATGGTACTTGGCCACAGAGTAGTCATTACTTACCTTCCCTTGGGCTGCTTTATACACAGCACTTAGCTGCCATGAACTGAACCCAGCTATGATGGTTACTTTACAATAGAAATTCAAACAGTGACTACTGGAATAGTTATAACAAGGTCTTTTATTACAATTACTATAAACCAAGGCTGGCAATTGCATGGCATGTGAATTACTACTTTCCTTTGCTAAGTCCATGGCAAACATTATTAATCTATCACTGAACTATCACTGAATTCTTTCTCTTTTTTTTTTTTTTTTTTGAGACAGAGTGTCACTCTGTCACCCAGGCTGGAGTGCAGTGGCACGATCTCAGCTCACTGCAACCTCCGCCTCCCAGGCTCAAGCAGTCCTCCCACCCCAACCTCCCTAGTAGCTGGAACCACAGGCACATGCCACCACGTTTGGCTAATTTTTTTTGTATTTTTGGTAGAGACAGGTTTTGGCCATGTTGCCCATGTTGGTCTCGAGTTCCTGAGCTCGAGCAATCCGCATGCCTTGGCCTCCAAAAGTGTTGGAATTACAGGCCAAGATTTTTTAAAAATCTCAGTGGCTGAAGGATAAATGGTGCAAGCAAGTCTGATCCCAACAGGCCTTGCCTAACTCCCTACCTACTTCCCCCTCATCCCTCCCACTCCCATAGCTGGACATGTGGCCCCTACTCACAGTGCAGGTCCTGCTAGTTCACCGAGTCAAGGGTAGCCTTTCCTGTCCTTTTGGTCTGTGCCATCCAGCTGCAACTAACCTCCCATACAATGTCGTGCCATGTCAACGATTTACCAGTTAGTGAAATGTTTCAGTGAAAAGCTTATCAAATCAATTCAACCAACCTTGATGAAACTGACGTGCCTGGGAGAGGGCCAGATGAATAAAATGAAGTGTAGAGATACATAATTTTTTTTAAGTCTGCAACAAGACACCTCCTTCGCTTCCTAAGGTGGGAAGAAGGTTGGTGTGAAGGATGGGCATTGCAAGCGGGACTTTGCGACGAACAATTATGCACCGAAAGTCAGAATTCCCTCTCTAGAAAGTGGCTGACCTTGAGTGTCCATCACTGGTCGTTCCCCCTCTTCACAGGAATGGCTCAAGCTTTACCTGGATAGTTGAAGTTTAAGCCTTAGGGCTCAGGATTTGGAATTCTTAGCCCATTGCTTCCTTAGCTCTATTCCCTACGATATACTCACACTAAGGCTGAGGCCAACCAGTGGAATAAACAACCAGCCTTCTGCTGCAAACCTGAGCAAGACTGAAAAACAGGAGATGGTTGATGCATTTCAAATTGCCCAGACTAGGCCAGGCGCAGTGGCTCATGCCTGTAATCCCAGCACTGGGAGGCTGAGGCGGGCAGATCACTTGAGGTCAGGAGTTTGAGACCAGCCCAGCCAACATGGTGAAACCCTGTCTCTACTAAAAATACAAAAAATTAGCTGGGCCTGGTGGCACATGCCTGTAATCCCAGCTACTTGGGAGGCTGAGGCAGGAGAATTGCTTGAACCCAGGAGGCAGAGGTTGCAGTGAACTGAGATCGTGCCATTGCACTCCAGCCTGGGCAACAGAGCAAGATTCTATCTTGAAAAAAAAACTGCCTAATCTTTCTTTTAAACAAAAAATATTTATTTATTTATTTTGAGACCTAATTATGAAAGTGGCTGATTTTTGTATTTTTGGTAGAGATGGGGTTTTGCCATGTTGCCCAGGCTGGTCTCCAACTCCTGGGCTCAAGCAATCCTCCAGCATTGGCCTCCCAAAGTGCTAGGATTACAGGCATGAGCCACCACGCTGGGCCAGACTAATTTTTCTTTATGTGTAAAGAAACCATCTTTATTTGTAGATTAAGTCCTGCTGGTTTTGAATTCTAAGTGCTACATATTTGTACACTCTGCACCACACTGATGTCACTTCTGCCTCTAACTAGTCTTTAAGCTCATCCTCTTGCTCCACTCCAGTCAACATGGAAGCCAGCATGATCCTTCTAAAACACAAGCTAGTCTCTCCCTAAGCCTCCTTATCCCCTGTGAGAAGGTGTCAAAGTTCTTTACTATGATTTGCAAGGTCCTCTGTGAACAGGACCCTGCTCACTCTGCCTCACCTCTCCCCATCCTCACTTCATCCTTTATCCTCTGGCCTTGTGATGCTAGGAATAATGACCCCCAAAGGTAACCAAGTCTTAATTCCTGGAACCTATGAAGCATTACCCTACATTGCAAAAGGCACCTTGCAGGTATAATTAAGGATCTTGAGATAGGGAAATTATCCTGGGTTATTTCAGTGGGCCCTAAATATAATCACAAGTATCTTTATCAGAGGGAGATTAGACTACAGAAGAAAAGAAGGTCATCTGACCAGGGAGACAGAGACTGGAGTGATGAGGCCACAGCCTAAGGAATTTGGTCAGCTACCAGAACCTAAAAGACACAAGGAATGAATTCTATTCCCTGGAGCCTCCAGAAGGAACCAGCCCTGTCAATACCTTACATTTATTTTTTATTTATTTATTTATTTTGAGATGGAGTCTCACTCTGTCACCTGCACTGGAGTGTAGTGGCACGATCTCAGCTCACTGCAAACTCTGCCTCCCAGGTTCAAGCGATTCTCCTGCCTCAGCCTCCCGAGTAGCTGGGATTACAGGTGCCTGCCACCACGCCCAGCTAATTTTTTGTATTTTTAGCAGAGATGGGGTTTTGCCATGTTGGCCAGGCTGGTCTCGAACTCCTGACCTCAACTGATCCACCAACCTCGGCCTCCCAAAGTGTTGGGATTACAGGTGTGAGCCACTGGGCCCCGCCACCAATACCTTAAATTTAGCTGTGTAAGATTCACTTCAGATTTCTGGCCTCCAGAACTGTATGAAAATGTATTTCTGTAGTTTTAAACCACTATGTTTGTGGAAACTGTTTTCAGGAGCAATAGAAAACTAAGATAAGCCTTGTCAGATGACAATGGTTCCAGAATACATCCTGCTGGTCTTTCGTCTGAGGCTGTTGGGTTGTTCTCCCCTTTCTTGGTGATGCCCCTGTACACCCTTTGCCTAACATATTTCTACCCCTTTGTTTTAATCAATTTAGGCTTCTCCCACAAATTACCACAGACGGACTGGTTTCAGCAACAAAAATTTCTTTCTCATGGTTCTGGAGGCTGGGAAGCCTGAGAACAGGCGCCAGCATTGTTGGGTTCTGGTGAGGGCCCTCTTCCTGGTTCAAAGATGGCCAGTTTCTCATTGTGTACTCACATGGTGGAGAGTGGAGAAAAGAAGCAAATTCTCTCCTGTCTCTTCTTATATGGACACTAATGCTATTCATGAGGGCTCTACCCTCACGGCCCAATTACCTACCAAAGGCTCCATCTCCAAATACCACCACATTGGGGATTAGGGTTTCAACATATGAATTTGGGAGGAACAAATGTTCAGTCCACAGCACCCCTTCCTTAAGGTTCACTTCAGTATCACCACCTGCTTTCCTAGTTGCCCCAGGCTGGGTGAGGACCTCCACTCAGGTTTAGCATCAGACCTGAGCTTTTCCTTACCACTGAATTCACCACAAGGTACTGTCATGGTGTGTGTTTGACTCTCCAAACAGGCCCCCAGGGTGAGCCCCAGGGTGGGGGCAGAAATCAAGAACTGTTCTTCCTAGAGTCCTCTCTGTGTAATGTCTAGCACAAGGACGAGCACATAAGAGTCTTCGATAAATATTTATTGTCTGGGTGTAGTGGCTTACACCTGTAATCCCAGCAATTTGGGAGGCTGAGGTGGGAGGATCGCTTGAGCCCAGGAGGTTGAGGCTACAGTAAGCTCTGATCGTGCCACTGCGCTCTGGCCTGGGTGACAAAGACCCTAAAAAAATAATAAATAAATAAATAAATAAATAAATATTGATTGATTGAATGAATGAATGAATGGTTAAAGCTTCTTAACCTCCTGGACGCAGGTGGCTCTCATGTCCATTGCAGTTCCTCTGTCTCTTCTTATAGCTTATCATCTGATCCTTGTACCTGCGACTGAGCCCTAAGAAATCTCCAAGTCAAACATTAGCCAGGATCAGATTTGATAGCTGGGCTGTCCACTCAGGATACTGCAAAATAAATACTACACGGAACAAGCAGAATACTAAACAAAGGACAAAATATTTGAATTTTTTTTTTTTGGTGAAAATTAGAGCTTTGAATGCAGAATGTGGTAATGCCTGATTCTTTTTTAACATGCCATTCCTTGATCTTCTCAAGCTAGCCCCTGTAGTACTGGCAGCTCAACGACCTCCCTGGTGATTCATTATGCTCTACAACTAAACTCTAATTATTCTCAAAATATTATATGGTTTAGTTGCCAATAATGCTGATTATTGAAATTCTTAGAGCTAGCCATGTGCAATTAACCAACTGATACACTTGAAATGGGATTATAGGCCTCCATTCACTACCTAATAAAGTATTAAACCAAAGCTATAAATGTAAGATTATTTTACAGATTGTTTCTCTACGGGAATTTTTACCTGATGACAGCAAAATGATTTTCCTCTTTGTCAGACAAGACAGGCTATCGTCTTCTCCAAGGTCTATAGATTCAGGGAGAAATGAGAGTGACTTTACTGATGAAAGATTTAAAACCAGAAACAGAAAAGAAAAATGCACCAGAGCAAAGCAATAAGGAATTATAAACTAACTTTAATTACATCAACAGGAAGAATTTCAAACTATGTTGTAATTCTTATTTTAAAGTTTAAATCTAATTAATATATTCTGACTAACATAATCATCCAAAGATAAAAGTATTTGTGATGGCAAATGGACAGAACAATCATTTAGGTAGCATCTAGGAATATTGCTACAATTACTTTACATAAATAGAAATCCACGTCTTTATTAGTAATGTGCCACACATCTTAGAGTAAAAATTTACATAAGATAGGCTTATAAATATACATAAATCTCAAAATTAATCACAAACATTAGGTACACAATTGTTATAAAACAAATATAACCTATCAATGTCTATGTAAAGGCATAGTTTTTACAAAATAGTATTTTGTAGACAGTCTCAAAAAAGTATATTAATACTCCTGGAGCCAGATTGTTCCAGCATATCAGCATGTCTGTGGAAATAAGGCATCCGGAGAAGCTGCATTCACTCTTCCCCATGGCCAGGGCCTTCTATGTGATGAAACAGGTAGGATTCTAGTGACCTGGGTGAATGCTACACCCACTGCAGCACCCCATTACCTTAGAGAATCAATTACTCTCCAGAAGAATCCAACCAAATGGCTATCAGCCTAATAGCAAATATCCAGGGGAAAACTGAACACATTAATCAAGCAGCAGTGTGTTTTATGTTAAAAATCCCAAATAGCTTGATGAATCCATTACATTTTGAGTTGCCAGACATACTTAAAATCACACTAGCCTAGCCACTATTTTCATGAAGAGGAACTTATATGCAAGTCTTTTATTAAATATAAAAACAAAGAAATCTACCTTGAAACTAAATAACTGGATACTTGAATAACTGAATAAGGAACCTAATTAAATACAAAACCTGTATAGGTTGCATCAACATGCCAGTTACTCAGCTAACACTAGTCTTGGTTTCTTAACTAACAGTATAGAAAAGTCACATTCAACAGTGGTACTTTATATGTTCTTAACAATTCATATAATGTTGAATGGAGGAGGAAAGGCTTAGTAAAACATCCAGGAATCCTTTCTACAAACTACATTGCTATAAACTCAAGCATAGTTTTGCCTGTAATATGCATAATGTTCTACCTCTTGGGTTTTAAAGTAGGCAAGAGATCAGAAACAGAAACAACCTTGACAAAGACCTTCAAATGCTCATGGTGTGTATATTCAGGCCTTTGTGTATAAACACACACCATCATGTATGTACAAATATACACATGCTCCTCAAGTTACAAGAGGGTTATGTCTCAGTAAACCCATCAATTGTAAGTTGAAAATATCATAAGTCAAAACAATTATGGGACATAACCCCATTGTAAGTTGTAGGAATGTATCAAATGTATATCACTTTCATATCATCGTAAGTTTGAAAACTCTTAAGTTGAACCATCCAAATTCGGGGATCGTCTGTGTATATAAACACATGGAGAACCACCTAACTGTTCACTAAACATAACCAATTCCGTTTAGAGAACAAGGACATACAATTATACACGGCAGCAAAGTATACACATCCCAGCCTTTGGCCTAGTGCAGTGGTTCTCAAACATTTTTCCATTATGGTACATAAGGTAGATGCCACATCACATGTGTAAAACACTCCCATGGTGCAGCAGATTTTGATACAACTTTTATTTTATTTTATTTTATTTTATTTATTTATTTTTTAGACGGAGTCTTGCTCTGTTACCCAGGCTGGAGTGCAGAGGGGCAATCTCGGCTCATTGAAAGCTCCACCTCCCGGGTTCACGCCATTCTCTTGCCTCAGCCTCCTGAGTAGCTGGGACTACAGGCTCCCGCCACCACGCCCAGCTAATTTTTTTTGTATTTTTAGTAGAGATGGGGTTTCACCGTGTCAGCCAGGATGGTCTCGATCTCCTGATCTCGTGATCCGCCCACCTCGGCCTCCCGAAGTGCTGGGATTACAGGCTTGAGCCACCGCGCCCGGCCGATACAACTTTTTAAAACATCTCTAGGTTAATGAATTACTCTGAAACACTGAAATCCTTACCATGAAGAGCAGTTCAGCGCAATGGTTGTCCATGATCACCACAGTTACTTAAGACAAAACTGCTGCTTAGCCGGCTCTGTACTTTACTGCCACCACTTTTGCATCAATTCCAGAAAATATATTAGAATGCAAGAGCATGAGATGCCCTGTGCCATTTATTTATAAAAATAAATCAACAATAATTTATTTTAAAAGCAAATTATTCACTAACTTTGATATTCTTACAACTAACCAGTAATAATATGTTACTGGCAGTATCCTTTACAACTAATCATGATATATTGGTGTGTCCCTATCTAAGAACAAGGGTGGGAAAGCCACAGTCCATAAGCAAACCCCGCCTGCTTCCTGTTTTTGTGCAGCCTGCAAGCTAAGAATGGTCTTTGGATTTTTTTAATGGCTTTCTGAAAAAAATCAAAAGGAAAACATTTGTGACATTTGAAAAGTACATGAAATTCAAAGTTCAGTGTCAATTAAGTTTTATTGGAACATAGCCATGCTCATTCATTTATGTATTGTTTATAGCAGAGCCAAACAGAGACTGAAAAGCCAAAAAACTACTATCTGACCCTTAACAGAGAAAGTTTGCTGACCCCTGGAGTAGAGATAAGAATGACACACAACCTCAGTGGTCACGTCTCTTATGCACAAAATCCTGAATATAGACAGTAAACTTAATTCCAGAAATAGTAGTAAATACCATCTAGGATGGAAATCCATTCCTGAGTTGTCCAAACTTTCTGATTTCTTTAATGACAAAAGCCAACTTAATTAAATACAGCTTCTGCATTCTATCTGAAATCATGTTTATATATTCACCTTTTGACTCAGCGGAGCAATAAAAAAAGCACTGGGCTCCAAGTTAGAAGACCTAGGTTTTAGGCAATTTCTTTTAAATTGTTACATTGTTAAAAATGTATTTAAGTCTTGTTTGATCTGTGTATTAAACCTATTAAAAGAACTAAAATGACTGGTAAAATAAAGAATCAAAATGCTTTTAAGCAGAAAAGAAAGTTGATATAGAGTAAAACATGCTCCTTTCCTCTAAATATAACTATAAAAAGTCCTCCAATTAATTGTAAATTACTAAATGGGGGAAAAAAGGCACCTAGCTAATTGGAGTATGGATAGTGGGTTCCATTTAATAAAAGTTTTAATGGATGTGCACGAAGGTGCATGAATGTGTAGGAAATCATATCACCTCCTTAGGCTTCAGCTGCACCTCTGTAAAATAAGAGCATTGGATTAAATGGTCTCTAAAGTCCTGGCCAGCACTGGTAATTTATGTCAAGTGACCAGCCTCAGTTTTTTCATCTGTAAAATTGGATAAATAATAGAATCTACTTCCTATGGTTGCGGTGAGGATTAAATGAGTTAATTCATGTAAAGTGCTTAGAACAGCACTAAATATATTTCACTAGCATTATTATTAATCTATTCAGGTACTTTACGAAAAACACTGGTTGGGCATCTCCTCTGTGACAAGTAGTATATTAGAAAATGGGAATACAGACATAAAATAGAAGTTGATTCTCTTATATTTAAGTAGGGATGAATGAAACTGAAGTTTTTGGAATTATCACTTCAGCATGTCTATCGACTGCTAGTTCTCTGAGATAATGGTCAAAGGCCATTCTGTATCACTGGTGTGAATTCTTATTTCTGAAAAATGATTACTGTTAGTACTGTTACTAAGGATGTTTCTATTTATGTTTCAAAAGACAAAGTTCAGTGTTTGCTAACATAATTATTTATGGTTTGAGCATAGGAGGAAGAATATAAAAATGTTGGCCAGTCTCCCAATATACATGAAATGCAAGCCTTCTGAACCAAACAAACTTGCCATAGAAGTATAGTTTCACATATAGATTCATTCCACAAATGTTTGCTGAGTACCTGATATGGATAAATATCTGCTACAATGATGAGTAATGGTCTCTGCATTAGGGAGATAACAAGGAGGACAAGCCAGCAATTCTAGAAAAGTATAACGAGCATGTTGATGAGGAAGCCCAATGTGCTATGGGAGCATTTGATGGGGGCCTGGACCTATGTAGTCCAGAGATTTGGAGGAAAAAATATTTAAGTTGTGACCTGATAGGTGAATAGGAGTTCATCAAGCACAAGAGGTGGAGAATATGAACAAAATGAGAGGTGAGATAGAGCAGGTCTGAAGAACTGAGAGCCTCTCAGTCTTGCTAAGACATAGCAAGTGAGGAGGAGTGGCAAAAGATGATATTGCAGGTCACAGAAATGGCTTGCATTTTACCTTAATGGCACTGAGAAGTCATTGAAAGTTCTAAGCATAAATAAGCAAAATCGGTAATCAAATGAGAAATCACTAGTGAAATAATTAGCTTGATTAGAAATGTAAGCGGAAGGAAGCTGCATTCACTTCTTCCTTCCCTGCCTGCTACTAAGCTGAAGTCTCTCTTTTGTTTTAACCTGTTTGTAGCTCAAATATTATACACATAAGAGAGAGAAATATAAAAATATTTGCTTCTTATTTACAACATGGCTGCCTGCATATCAGTATCTTCACTACTAAACAGCCACTAGAGCTGAGAAGATGAGACACAGGCCAGACTTAGCCATGCCCAGAGTGGAGTCAAGGACTTGAACCAGGGGACTTGAGTTTGAATCCTACCCAGTTCCATTATGCACTTGATGTCATTTAATTTCTCCCCATCTGCAATGAACAGAATTTCTCCTCCATCCCTCCTTGGAAGCTTTTGGTAACTGTGTTTGTTGATGTTTTCCTTATTTTGGTTCAACTCCAGGAGAATGTGAAAGCTCTCCCCACAGGCAGACTTTCACCTGTGACATGAATCTGGAGGGTGGTATTAGAAATCACAATCACCAGTGTTGCTCAATCATAAAGCCCACGAAGTTGGAACCAGCTTTAAAGCAACAAGGGCAAGCCAGAGAACTCTAGAATGCCAGAGTGGAAATGTCTCAGCAGCACTAACTATACCTGCAGACTTCTCTCCTCAAAATGGGCAGTTAGCACAGACATTTGGAACAAAGAACAAAGGAGTCCTTTGGGGCGCCTAATGTCAAGGCATTACTATGAATTATGCTGACTACCTGTCTAGTTTATAAGTCTGAACATTTTATTTTACTTATTTTTTTGAGACAGGGTCTCCCTCTGTCACCCAGGCTGGAGTGCAAGTGGCACAATTTTGGCTCACTGCAAGCTCTGCCTCCAAGGTTCAAGTGATTCTCGTGCCTCAGCCTCCCAAGTGGCTGGGATTACAGGCATGTGCCACCACACCCGGCTAATTTTTGTATTTTTAGTGGAGACAAGGTTTTGCCATGTTGGCCAGACTGGTCTCGAACTCCTGACCTCAGGTGATCCGCCTGCCTTGGCCTCCCAAAGTGCTGGGATTACAGGTGTGAGCCACCGCGCTCAGCCACAAGTCTGAACATTTAAATGGATATTCTAGGTGAATTCACTTTATGGGTCATTTTCCCATTTTCAATTATTTTTTAAAAAGCCACCTCATAAAAAAAATTCTACTCAAAATCTCTACAGTCTCAAAAACTGTTGGCTTATTATTAAAATGCCCTAAATTTTTACTAAGATGTTTTGTCTGATATAACACATTTTTAGGCCAGGCACGGTGGCTCACACCTGTAATCCTAGCACTCTGGGAGGCCAAAGCAGGTGGATCACCTGAGGTCAGGAGTTCGAGACCAGCCTGACTAAAATGGTGAAACTCCATCTCTACTAAAAATACAAAAAAATTAGCCAGGCATAGTGGCACATGCCTGTAATCCCATCTACTCAGGAGGCTGAGGCAGGAGAATCACTTGAACCTGGGAGGCGGAGGTTGCAGTGAAGCTGAGATCACACCATTGTACTCCAGCCTGGGCGACAAGAGGGAAAATTCATCGCAAAAAAAAAAAAAAATACATTTTTAATCACACTTAAGGTATGCTGGCTCTGACAAGAGAATTCACTGTAACCACAGATGAATACCTTAGTTTTATAAAATTCAGTGGTAGAAAAGTTCAAATTCTAACTGCTAAGAATTCCCTTTTTTTTTTTTTTTAATATCATTAACACAACTTTACATCTTCAGGAATGCTCACAGTTTGGTCTCCAACCTTTGCAAATAGCAGTAAAAATGTTTTCCCATAGCTGCTCTCTAACTGAGAAGAAATTTCAAATAAATATTATTTATTTAGTTAGTTATTTTTGAGACAGAGTCTGGCTCTGTCACCTAGGCTGGAGTGCACTGGCACAATCTCGGCTCACTGCAACCTCCGCCTCCTGGGTTCCAGCAATTCTCCTGCCTCAGCCTCCCGAATAGCTGGGATTATAGGTGTGCACCACCACGCCTGGCTCATTTTTGTACTTTTTAATAGAGACGGGGGTTTCACCACATTGGCCAGGCTGGTCTCGAACTCCTGACCTCAGGTGACCTGCCCGTCTTGGCCTCCTAAAGTGCTGGGATCACAGGCGTGAGCCACCATGCTCGGCCAAAATTTCAAATAAATATGAACTATTTTCATATCATTGTATTTTCCTCCAATCTCCCCATTGGCTGTGTAAATATCCAAAAGCACTTCTGCTTTACGGAAATTTGAAATTTCTTCTGCCCAAAAGGCTGACTGTGAACTTATGACATTCAGTAAAGTTCTCCCTAGTAATATTCAAAATAACTCTCTGTGCTATAGCACTCATAGTAAAGACTGTTTTGAGACATGATTTCTATACTTAGTTCCTTCTCTGCCTTTCTATTTGTCATTTCTAGCCAAAGTTATATGGTATGTGGATCATAAAAAGGCAGTCTTTTTGGGTCTCAAATCCCATTCAGGAAGATGGCAATCACAATTTTCATCAATCCAACTCAGAGATGTTGTGAAGTTAAATAAGAAAACATATGTGAAAGTGCTTAGAAAAGGTGTAAGTATGTTCCAAAAGTATAGGGTCATTATTAAACAATCTTCTTTGACTACAAAAGAAGCTTGTTCTTTCTTCCAAAAAGCTGAAATTATATGAGGTTTTTTTTCTTAAATAATTGAAGCTAAAATTATACTGGATATTCTTTAAAAAATATATTTATACTAAAGACTTCCCAATCCATGTAATCTGTTGGCCCTGCAGCTGTGGTTAGGGGGTTCCCATCAATAGGTAGAAGGTCAGAGCAACAATCAGAAGCAAACAAAATGGAGATGAGAAGGTTTGATAGGCAGCTGATGGCATAAAAATGTCTTCATACTTGTAAATACTGACAACACGCTCTGAAGCCGGCGGTGAGTCTATATCATGTCGAGTGATAGAGCCTTTAAGAAAAAAAGAGAAGAGCAGGGGCAATTGAAAAAAGAACAGATTTATAATGGTATAGGCAAACAATGGAAAAATCAAAAGTCTATTTAGTGTTGAATACGTAAGCAGTGGTTACAAAGATCTGGATTCAGGTATTTGAGTTATCAGAATTCTCTATCATTGTACATATAATAAAGAACATAGAAATTAGTTAAATTTATCCAAAAAGACTAGTTCTTATTAATCTGCACTCCCCCATCAGAACAATGCTGTTGATCTGTTTCCTGCCATCTCAATTTTAAAACTACTAGTTACATAATTTTGTGTGATTATTGTATGATTGCCTCCTAAAACGGCTCTATGAGTTTTGTCTTATTAATACCCAAATGGGCAAACTATATTTTTATTTCAAACAGCAGAGACTACTAACTTTTTCCCTCAAATCTATCTTGTATATATATGGATCATCAACAACTCCTGACAACACTACTAACGTCTCCCTTACAGATGGAAGCCCTCCTCTACTGTCTGTGGGACACTTAGTAGCCTGCCCAGGCCATGCCAGAGGGAGTGTGGTATACTGGATGTGTGTCTGTGTGTGTCTGTGTGTCTGGCAGATTAGGGTAGAATGGTATAGAAAGTGGGATGATTAAAGTACCAAACTAGTCTTTGGATGGGAAACTTTCTTTTAATTTTGTTACAAGTGGAAAGAAGTACAGACTGTGTGTAAAATATATTTAATAATCTTCAGTTGATTAAAAGTGTCTGACCTCCTGAATAATCCATTTGAAACTTGGGTTAGGGAGACTAAGGCATATACATTCAGTGCAAAGGTCTCCTTAGGAATAGGGCTCAGAGTGAGGGTTTTTAAGGTCCTATCTGCTAGGGAAGCCCTGCCAAACTTGACATGTCAGGTCCCTGCTTAGTGTCCGTGCTGGCCCCAGTTAGCAAAAATCAAACTTCTCAGGTTTGTATGCCTGTAGTTTCAGACACTTGGGAGGCTGAGGTGGGAGGATCACTTAAACCTGGGAGGTGGAGGCTGCAGTGAGCTGTGATTGTTTCACTGCACTCCAGACTGGGTAACAGAGCAGACTTTTCTCTCAATAGATCCCAGTCACCTCTCCTACCTAACCTCAGCTCACTGGTCACCTGCAAGGGCTGCTCAACTTAACTATGCGCCTACAGTTCATGCCTTCTTTGAGTGAAATCCAACCTCATACCCCTTTCAAGCCTTAGTTCAAAGTTTTCCCCCTTACAGGGACCTTAGGAGAATAGGTAGGATATAATCAATTAAAAGGGCATTCAGGAGGCCGGGTGTGGTGGCTCATGCCTGTAATCCCAGCACTTTGGGAGGCTGAGGTGGGCGGATCACAAGATCAGGAGTTTGAGACCAGCCTGGCAAACATGGTGACACAGCGTCTCTACTAAAAATACAAAAGTTATCTGGGTGTGGTGGTGGGCATCTGTAATCCCAGCTACTCGGGAGGCTGAGGCAGGAGAACTGCTTGAACCTGGGAGGCTGAGGTTGCAGTGAGCCAAGATCGCGCCATTGCACTCCAGCCTGGGCGACAGAGTGAGACTCCGTTTAAAAAAAAATAAAAATAAAAACATAAAAAAAATAGAAGGGCATTCAGGAAACAAGAAAAGCAGAAGCCAGTATATGGGGTAGGAATGTGCCTGTTTTGCTTAGAGTTAGTGAGAAGAACAGAAGTTTTGAGAGAGCTTATCAGGTAAAGCAGGACCAGATTTGGAGAAGGCTTTGAACTTTAGGCTAGTCTGCCATATATGTAAAAAGATGACCTTCTGAAAATACAGCTTTTTCCAATTGGTAAAGCAATTTCAAATACTTGTTTTCACTTAATCCTTACAATATTTCCATGGAATAGGAAGTATTATTATCCCCACTTTAGATATAAGGAAATGAAATTCAGAAATTAAATAATAGGCTAAATATTATACAGCTACCAAGGGGCAGAACCAATACTCAAACTCAAATTTTTAGACTTCAAATCCCACTATTTTAGATTACTCCATTTCTCCAGGCTGAGATATAATTTATTTCCCAGGGTACCGAAAGTAATTGAAGTTATAACTGCAGAGCCACTGTTGGTAATCTGGGAAATTAGCAAATGGAAAAGGTGTCACCAATCTGGAGACAGTCAAGTGTCTTCCCAATTGGCAACAGGCAAAATAAAAGGTAGATTATGTCATCTCTGGGCTGATTGGTGGAAACGAATTGAAGGAAAAAAACAACCAGATCAGATTAGGCAGCAAATAGTTGATGAGCACACAGTAAAGAAAGATGCAATTACCAGGAGCCAGAATGAATTCTCAGTGCAAGGACTGCAAACCACACTCACTTCCATTCTTGAGCAGGCCCTTAGGCTAATCAACCAGAAGGAATGCTCAAGACTCAGTGTAACTTGATTTTAGCAGTCTCTAAAAGGTCTCATGATATCCTTGGGTCTTTGCTGGGCAAATGCTGCAGAGACTTGCCACCCAAAATGAGGTCATCAATGAACCAGCATGACCAGGGAGCTTATTAGAAATGCAGAATCTTGCCAGGCATGGTAGCTCACACCTGTAATCCCAGCACTTAGGGAGGCCAAAGCTGGTGGATCGGTTGAGCCCAGGAGTTCAAGACCAGCCTGGGCAATATGGTGAAACCCTGTCTCTACTAAAAATACAAAAAAGTTAGCCAGGCATAGTGGCGCATGACTGTAGTCCCAGCTACTTGGGAGCCTGAGGTGGGAGGGTCACTTAAACCTGGGAGGTGGAGGCTGCAGTGAGCTCTGATTGTTTCATTGCACTCCAGCCTGGGTGACAGAGCAAGACCCTGGGAGAGGAGGGAAGGGGAGGGGAGACCAGTAGAGGGGAGGAGAGAGGGGAAGACCTACAGAAAACTGCACTTTAACAATATAGCCAGGTAATTCCTATACACATAAATATTTAAGGAGTAATGGGTTAAACTATGGGATAATTTGGTAGATTTGTGACTAACAGAATAGTCACAAAGTGGGCCCTAATGAAATGCTTGGTGTCAATCTCTGGAGAAGTCTCCAGAAGCCCTTCCTGTTCAGTACTTTTTATTATTTCTTTCTTCTTCTTTTTTTTTTTTGAATGGAGACAGGGTCTCACTATAGTGCCCAGGCTGGTCTTGAACTCCTGGGCTCAAACCATCCTCCCAAAGTGCTGGGATTACAGGCATGAGCCACCACGTCTGGCCCCCGTTCAGTCTTTTTATATTTACAGCATAGGAGTTAAGAGTATTCATGGGCTTTGGGGTCAGACAGACTTAGGATTGAATTTTAATTCTTCTACTAATTAGTTGTATAGCCTTGACCAAGTTTCTTAATCTCTCTAAAATCAGGACAATAATACCTATACCTCTCAAGGACATGGTGAGGAGTAAATAAGAATGCTGTGAGAATTGAACAGAGCCCTACATACAGCAGATACATGATCTGTTTCATTAAGCACATCACTCATGACATACTATCTTGTACTGCTGTAGCTTTGCATGTGTGTAACTGTTCATTTGTTTGTCCGTATAATAAGTCCATTATAATAAGTCCATTATAACCTTCTGAAGGTAGGAGTCGCATCTCCTTTTCCTTTAAATGATCCAGAGTGCTTATCGCTCTCTTGTGCACACAGTGTGACTTCAATTAACAATGAACACAAGCACAGTGGTGTCTGGCGTTTAATCCAGATGCTGAAATGTAAGCTTACCCTGAATGGCTGGACCCCAAGCAAACAGATAATACCAACTCAAATGCAGATCAACAATTGTTTCATCTCTGGGAACATTCACAGGGCGTTTAAATCTGCAGGTGACGCGATTGTTCTCAAAAACTCCTTCTTCATCTCTGGCAGGGTTTCTCTGAATCTCCTTTGCCCACTGGCCTACATTATAGAAGTGCTGTATGCGGACCCTGCCATTGTCATCATGGACGCAGGCCATGACATCATCACCACCCTAACATGAGAAATGATTGAGAAAAAAAAAAGTCAAAGGTTCATCTTTTGCACACTGGTCACTAGAAATATACATTCCATCATCTCTGCAATTTGAAATCCCACCAAAAAAATTCTTTTAAGTGCCATTAAAAAGTCTCAACCAGGAGACCAAAGTTACCATCACAATAAGTGACATTCAGTGCCTCCTGACTGATGTTTGGAGAAGACATTACCACCTATGTGGTAATCCTGCCCAAAACACAAACCAACCTAATCAAGAAAAAACAATCAGACAAACTCAAACTGAAGGTCATTCTACAAAAAAAATTAAAAAAATACCTAGCCTATAATCTTCAAGGAGTCAGTGTCATAAAAGACCAAAAAAAGAAAAAAAAAAAAAAGGCTAAGAAACTATTTCAAAATATACATGACAACAAAATGCAGTTCTAGGTGTTCCTACATAGAAATTTGGGCTATAAACCCAAAATTTCCCTAAGGACAGTATTGGGACAAGTAGCAACATATGAAAACAAACAATATATTTAATAATACCATCATATCAATGTTAAACTTCCTGAATTTAATAAACTATATAATAAAAGAGAACATTCTTGATTTTAGGAGATAACCTACTTAAGTATTTAGGGTTAAAGGATTATGATATTTGCTATTTAAATGCCAAAATTCCAGAAAATAACAATCAAAAAAATAATAATCAGTAGTAGTAGCAGTAGCAGTAGCAGTAGCAGCAAGCAGTACAGAGAATAAAGCATGTGTGGCTAATGTCATTATTTATGAAAAAGTTCTGGAACTAGGGAGTAGTGATGGTTGCAGAACACTGAATGTGGTTGATACCACTGCATTGACACTTTAAAATCATAAATTTTGGTGCTACTGCACTCCAGCCCGGATGACAGAGTGAGACCCTTTCTCAAAAAAATAAAATAAAATGGTCAATTCTGGCCAGGTGTGGTGACTAGTGCCTGTCATCCCAACAATGTGGGAAGTCAAGACAGGAGGATCATTTGAGCCCAGAAGTTCAAGACCAGTCTAGGCAATACAGTGAGACACTATCTCTACAAAAAATTAAAAAATTAGCTGGGCATGGGGCTCATGCCTGTAGTCCTAGCTACTCAGGAGGCTGAGGTAGGAGGATCGCTGGGGAGGTTGAGGCTGCAGTGAGTCTTGTTTGTGCCACTGCACTGCAGCTTGGGCAATAGGGTGAGACCCTGTCTCAAAAAATAAAAATAAAAAAAAAAATACACAACAACAAAAAATAAAATGGTTAATTTTGTTATGTGCGTTTTACCACAATAAAAAAGTTATTATTTTGTTAATCTAAGTAGCTGTAGTCCCAGCTACTTGGGAGCCTGAGGTGGGAGGGTCACTTAAACCTTTACTATCCTTCCTGCTTGCCTACAGTTTACATTTTTTTCAAAACAAGTTTAAAAAAGTTAAAAGAGTTTGGTCGGGTGTGATGGCTCACGCCTATAATCCCAGCACTGTGGAAAGCTGAGGCAGACCACTTGAGGTCAGGAGTTCAAGACCAGCCTGGCCAACATGGTGAAACCTCGTCTCTACTTAAAATACAAAAATTAGCTAGGTGTGGTGGCAGGTGCCTGTAATCCCAGCTACTTGGGAGGCTGAGGCAGGAGAGTCGCTTGAACCTGAGAGGTGGAGGCTGCAGTGAGCCGAAATAGTGCCACTGAACTCCAAGCCTGGGCAATACAGTAAGACTCCATCACAAAAAAATAAAAAGTTACAAAAAAAAGTGTTAATCAGTTGTAATGCATGTACCATCCTGTGCAGGATGTTGATAATGGGGGAGGCTCCCCAGGGGGTATATGGGAAATCTGTACCTTCGGCTCCATTTCACTGTGAACCTAAAACTGCTGTAAAACGTAAAGTCTAATTAAAACACACACACACGCACACAATAATGCACCTTTTTTTTTTTTTTTTCCCCGACAGAGTCTCACTGTTGCTCAGGCTGGAGTGCAGTGGCGCGATCTCGGCTCACTGCAACCTCCGCCTCTCGGGTTCAAGCAATTCTCCTGCCTCAGCCTCCCGAGTGGCTGGGACTACAGGCACCCGCCACCATGCCCAGCTAATTTTTGTATTTTTAGTAGAGACAGGGCTTCACTATGTTGGCCAGGCTGGTCTCAAACTCCTGACCTCAGGGGATCCGCCTGCCTCGGCCTCCCAAAGTTCTGGGATTGTGAGCCACTGCGCCCGGCTAATAATGTACCATTTTTAAAAAGTTAAACGCTTTTAAAAAGGGGTTCCATTTTGTTTTTCCTATACATTAGGTTCTCAAAAAAAATTAATCTGTGCTTTTTCTTGGAATAATACAAGAAAAAAAGAGACCTCTACTTTCACAGATAATATGACAGTAGATACTTTATAGGCCTTTAGATACCAAAATATCAAACAAAATTTGAATGCTCCTCACTCTGCCTCACTCCCCTAATCTTAACAGCCCTACCACGAGTGCAAATGCATTTAGGACAGGAAGTGGTCACTTTCAATGCAAGCCAGCTTCTGGGTGTGGCATGCCCTGCTGTTTCTCCTGCTGCCTCTAGGGCAGGAGATAAGTAGACTAATATCTATCCATGCAGTCTTACCAGTGGTACCCATTGTCTTACTACTTGGACTGGAACTCATTGAAGGCTATTCTCCTGGTGACCTCTCCAAGAATAAAGCCACCAGACCAGCCACTGCTTAGACTGCTTATCAGTCTTTTCCTACGACACACCTACAACCCATATATCCAATCCACTTGCAAATCCTGTCAGTCAGTGCTACTTTTTTTCTTTTTTTGAGACAGTCTCGCTCTGTTGCTCAGGGTGGAGTGCAATGGCGCCATCTCAGCTCACTGCAACCTCTGCCTCCTAAGCAATTCTCATGCCTCTGCCTTCTGAGTAGCTGGGATTACAGGCACCTGCCACCATACCCGGCTAAGTTTTGTGTTTTTAGTAGAGACAGGGTTTCACCATGTTGGCCAGGCTGGTCTCGAACTCCCGACCTCAAGCAATCCACCTGCTTCAGCCTCCCAAAGTGCTGGGATTATAGGTGTGAGCCACCATGCCCAGCCAGTTAGTGCTATTTTCTTTTTCTTTTTCTTTTTTTTGAGACGGAGTTTCATTCTCGTTGCCCAGGCTGGAGTACAATGGCACGATCTCAGCTCGCTGCAACCTCCGCCTCCTGGGTTCAAGCGATTCTCCCGCCTCAGCCTCTCGAGTAGCTGGGATTACAGGCGCCCGCCACCACACCCAGCTAATTTTTTGTATTTTTAGTAGAGACGGGGTTTCACTATGTTGGCCAGGCTGTTCTCGAACTCCTGACCTCAGGCGATCCACCTGCCTTGGCCTCAGTTAGTGCTACTTTCAAAACATTCAAAATCTGAGCCCTCAGCACTGTCACTGCTGGAACTTTGGTCTGAGCCGCCCTCCTCTCTCCCCTGTAGCCCCACACAAGCCTCAGAATAGGCCAGGTGAAGAGAAGGGCGGGGTGCTCTAGGCAGAAACAGCCACAAGGGCAAAAGCACAGAGGACTGAGAAAGTCTCATAGTTTGGGAACAAGCCTGGCCCAGTGAAGTGGCAAAAGAATGGGGCTCCAGAGGAAAGAGAGAAAAACGCAGCAAGGCACAGGGAAGAGCAGGGGCCAGTGATGACAGCTGCCTGTGCACCTGAGGCCCCGCCTGTGCCTGGCCACAGTCCTGTCTGAGGTCCAGAGGTTTTCTTGCCCCTGGGTACAGAGGAAGATAAAACTGTTGAAACAAATTCGTAACTTCCCTGATGTAATCCAACATGCCTTTTATAATGAAGCCTCCACAAATATTCAAAAAGAGGCCAGGCACGGAAGTGCCTGTAATCCCGGCAATTTGGGAGGCTGGGGTGGGCAGATTGCTTGAGGCCAGGAGTTCGAGACCAGCCTGGCCAACGTGTGAAACCCCATCTCTACTAAAATTACAAAAATTAGCTGGGTGTTTTTTGTATTACAGGTGGGATTACACCTGTAATCTCAGCTATGTTGGGAGCCCGAGGCAGAAAAATCAAACTTGAACCCAGGAGGCAAAGGTTGCAGTGAGCCGACATCATGCCATTGCACTCCAGCCTGGGCAACAGAGCGAGACTCTGTCTAAAAAATAAAAAAAACCCAAAAGGACAGGGTTCGGATGAGCTTCTGGATTGCTGAACAGATGGAGGTGCCTGAAGGGTAGCACACCCAACAGGGTGTTGAAGCTCCTCACTCCCTTCCCCATGCCTTCCCCTAAGTGTCTCTTCCATCTAACTGTTCATCTGTATCCTTCAAAATAGCCTTCATAATAAATGAGTAAAGTAGGTGGGATACGGTGGCTCATGCCTGTAATCCCAGGACTCTGAGAGGTCGAGGTGGGTGGATCATCTGAGGTCAGGAGTTTGAGAACAGCCTGGCCAACACGGTGAAACCTCGTCTCTACTAAAAATACAAAAAATTAGCAGGGCGTGGTGGCAGGTGCCCGTAATCCCAGCTACTTGGGATGCTGAGGCAGGAGAATCGCTTGAACCTGGGAGGTGCAGGCTGCAATGAGCCAAGGTCACACCATTGCACTCCAGCCTGGGCAACAAGAGCGAAACTCTATCTCAACAAACAAACAAACAAACAAATAAATTAAATAAATAAATAAATAAATGAGTAAAGTGTTTCTCTGAGTTCTGTGAGCCACTCCAGGAGATTAACTGAACAGAAGAGGGTGGTGGCACCCCAGATTTATAGCTGGCTGGTCAGAAATACAGGTCACAACCTGGGGCTTGTGACGGGTGTCTGAAATGGGGGCAGTCTTGTGGTTTTGAACCCTTAACCTGTGGGATCTAATGCTATCTCCAGGTAGGTAGTGTCAGAAACAAAGTGAATTAGAGGACACCTAGCTGTCCACTGGAGAAATGCTTGGGGTGTGGGGGAACACCCCCACACATCTGGTCACAGAAGTATTCTTTCTGTAGTGAGAATATGAGTAGAGACGGAAAAAAGTTGTTTTTCCCTCTTATAAGTGGTTCTTTCACTTCTGCCTCTGCCATGAAAAAAATATGCCTTGGATGACTAGTGAAAACACAGAGAAAACCTGAATCCAACTCATGGACAGGCGTCAAGTCCAGATGAACCCCACCTAAAATGAGCTGCACCCCAGTCAATCCATGAACATGTGAGCAAGCAATAAATGCTCATTGTTATAAGCCATATAAGGCTTATAACATGGGGGCCTCTTCTTGCAGCCTTACTGTGGAAACAGCTGATGAAAAGAGGTGCCACAAGACAGCTTGGATTCTGATAGCCAACCCTTTCATTTAAG
Source organism: Homo sapiens (assembly GCF_000001405.40). Lineage (NCBI taxonomy): Eukaryota > Metazoa > Chordata > Mammalia > Primates > Hominidae > Homo > Homo sapiens. The sequence continues at coordinate 109,146,903 of NC_000009.12, forward strand.
CTAGCCTGAATTTTTTTTAACTTGCAATCAGAGAGCCATAACTAATTTGATCATTATACTGCTTTGATCAATTAACTTGCTTCTAAAATCAAAATAGCACAGCCAACTAAAGAGAAAAAATCAGCTTCTATCATGTTTTGCATCTTACCATTTTCTTGTCTGAAGAGAATCCAACTGCTACCCAACCATCTGTGTCTGCACTCAGCTCAAATTCTACATCAGCCCCTATCATCCGGTAGCTGAGGAAATAGTCACAGGTCTCTGCATTACAGCCTGGTTTGCCATATCTAGAAGAGATATCGAAAGAGACTTTACTGCTTCTACTTACACAAAAGACATTAAGAGAGCATCTACCATGTATCATGTGGGATGCTAAGCAATATTATTAAACACATTGGATTTTTGCTACCTGGAATCTTAAAAACACAGTTTCACTCTCTTAGGAGGAACCTTAGAGATGATCTGCCCCACTTTGTACACAAGAACTGCAGTCCTGAGATGGGAAGGGGCTTGCCCGAGGTTGTATAGTGAAGTCAGCGGTTGCAACAGGACTTGAATCTGGGTATCTAAACTCCCAGCCAGTGTTCTCTACATTATATTAGTATTAGAGTCTTTTACATGTTAGTTACTACTGAATTATTTCTGAATCCCTTTTAATGGAAAAAGATTCTCCAAGTTAACCATTTAAATTGTTTCTGTTAATTAAATGTATACCAACTCTTTTTAACTTACAAATTTTCATATAATCAAACTAACACAAATTTACAAATTCAATATAAATTAAACTAATAAACCAGGAACATTGAAATTCACAGCACTCATGCAACAGATAATGGGGCTTTACTGAAAGTAAATTTCTGCTTATGTGCATGTGGTATCCGATTAGATCGTGCAGGGTCTTTGGAGTTGAGAGCATGTTCTTACTACTCTCTATAGCATGATGGCTCAACTCTTCACTTTTATCTGTTTGAACTGCTGCAAAATCCTTATTTATGCGATACACCAAATGAATACCCCCATCTGGTACTCATGAACCATGAATGAATGCAATATTTATTTACAATTTTTTTTTCTTTTTTTTTTTTTGAGACAGTCTCACTCTGTTGCCCAGGCTGGAGTGCAATGGCGGGATCTTGGCTCACTGCAACCTCCACCTCTTGGGTTCAAGCAGTTCTCCTGCCTCAGCCTCCCAAGTAGTTGGGACTACAGGCATGGGTCACCACACCTGGCTAATTTTTGTATTTTTAGTAGAGACGGGATTTCACCTTGTTGGCCAGGCTGATCTTGAACTCCTGACCTCAGGTGATCCACCCACCTCAGCCTCCCAAAGTGCTGGGATTACAGTCAAGCCACTGTGCTTGGCCTTATTTATAAAATTTGCCTTTGTTCTGTTGGGCTACTTGCTGCTAATATAATTACAAATTCAGACACTAAAACATACAACAATATAAGGTGATTATCCAGATAGTGAGATTATGCAGACATTCATGTTTTTTTGAGAGCACCACTGAAATGAAAACACAAATTTAAATTTTCTTACAGAGCACTTGTGGATCCTTTCAGAACTGGCAAGCCCTGGTTTGAGGAACACTGTATTACACCATTTGCAGAATGGTAGAAAGTTGAAGCAATGGGTGGGACAATATACGCGCAGATGGAAGGTATCTAAAGGAACAGGGCACAGGGGTGCTAAGTGTTGAGGAGGGGACAGAAATGTACTACTATGCTGGCAGAAATACCCGAGCAGTCAGGAAGAGATATAATAGGATCAAGGCAACAGGGCACTGGGGTGAAAAAGATGAAAAGGAGCAAGGGAAGTTAAAAAAAGGAGTAAATGGACAAGAAAACAAGTCACTTTGAAGCCAGTAGAGTACTAAAATTCCCTCCCTTCTCAAAATATCCCCCAATCACCAGGTTTATACATTGCTGACCATCTTCCTCAATAAGAACATTTTTGGCTATTTTTATTCATTCCTTAGAAGTGGCCTTGTAATCCAAAGAAAGCTCAAAGCCCCTGTATTCAATTTTTCCTTCTTAGACCTTAAGTACTGAACAACAGCAAAATCAGAACCTTCAGTACAGTGACCATCAAAACTTTGCCCCTGACCATCAAATTATTCAGGGGCAATTTGTTTTAGGAAGTAAAGGGTTCAAAGGAGGAGGCTTTCCCAAAGAAGCTGAGCTGTCTAGATGGGAGGCCCATTGTCCACATGACTGTTTTCTAGCCCAGCCCGTCATGTCGTGATACTACTAATAATCATGTAGAGACTCACCATGCCTGAGATAACAAGCTAGCAACAATGAATGCTTAATGACTAGTTAGAATCATACAGATATCCATAGGTCAGGACTATTTACTAAAAAAGGAATTGGGTACTAAACATGTCTATCATTGCCTGTCCTGCCCACAGCCCCTGCTGAATAAGCACAGACACGTTCTGTGTCACATGAGTCTTCTGCATATCAGCAATTGGTGAGTAGGAGACACCTGGAGCAATGGTGGTACAGCTAGAAAAGAACCATGGAAGAATGGTCCCGGGCCCAGGACATACTAAAGTTAAAAGGCCTTTAAGACTGAAAAGCGGGATGGCCGTTACGAAACTTCATAACCCTGCTGAGGTGATCAAGGAGCTCAGGCCCCCTGATTAGAAGGAACTGCATGCAATTTAAATACTACCCTGAGAAGTAAATCAGTCTTAGCCTTAAAGTTATCCAACCTGCAGTTCCACCAACCTAAAGCATCCCTTAGTTTTTCCACAGTCGTCCACTTTGATTTTGGCAAATGGATCCACAGGAGGAGCAGTAGGGAAGGGGTAACCTGGGCAGTGAGAATAAAGAAGGGTTAGAAAATCCAGTAACAACTGTTCCAATGAGAATTTTTAAAAATGTGTTGACTGTTTTTTCTCACACATATCGAGAAATGTTTGGGGACTCAGAAAATGGCTTTGATGAAGGCTAATCATCCCCTTCATGGGGGAGGGTGTAGGACACACACCTTTGGACCTAATCTTGCATGTGAACTGAGAGTAGGTGTGTCCTTTTCTCACTTTACAGGAGAGGAACCTGGGGCACTGAGAGAGGCACAATTTCATATAACCACGGGCTTACCGCTGTCCCCTGGGAGTTTGAGAATCACACGTTTAATACAATATACATGTTCTAAGAGAAAAAAGTTAACAGTGATACATTTATATACTTGATAGTGGGATTTTTCCATTTATATACTTGATAACAGGATTTTTCCATTCCATTTTCAACTTCCATTTTGCGTTAACCTGTAGGTAACATTTTCTTAGGTCACTAAATTCTTTGTTTTTGTTTTTTGTTGTTTTTGAGACAGAGTCTCCCTCTGTTGCCCAGGTTGGAGTGCAGTGGTGCCATCCTGGCTCACTGCAACCTGTCTCCTAGGTTCAAGGGATTCTCTTGTCTCAGCCTCCCGAGTAGCTGGGATTACAGGCGCCGGCCATCAAACCCGGCTAATTTTTGTATTTTTAGTAGAGACAGGGTTTCACCATATTGCCTAGGCTGGTCTCGAATTCCTGACCTCAAGTGATCCACAGTCCTCAGCCTCCCAAAGTGCTAGGGTTACAGGTATAAGCCACCGCACCCAACTTGTCGCTAAATTCTTTAAACACATAATTTCTAACAGTTGTCTATCTTTCTTATAAGATTACTTACCACCATAATGCATCAAACCATACACCATAATGCATCAAACCATACCATACCCAACTTGTCGCTAAATTCTTTAAACACATAATTTCTAACAGTTGTCTATCTTTCTTATAAGATTACTTACCACCATAATGCATCAAACCATACATTGAAGGGTAAGGCTGCATTATGCCTCCACTTTGTGAGAGAAATCTTTTCTCCTAGGCTGTTTACTCCACGTACACAGGAATCATGTGAGACTTATCTTGTATTCTCTGCCCAGCATAGTGCTTGGCACTGGACACTGAATAAATGATTGTCAAAGGAATAAATAAAATCACCCACAGACATTAGGAAATGTAAATCAGTACAAACTTTTAAAAATCATTCTATTTTATGAGTTTTTTTCTTGTTATTTTTAAGTTTTTTCTTTGGGATTTGTAATGCTACTTTTTTTAAAGTGAGGCTTTGCTAATTTTGTCCATTAGATTTATTATACTTTAAAAAAGCCACCAGGTCACACTTTTCTGGCACACTTCTGTGCACTCTGAATAGTCCATTTTTACTATCCTGGACCTTGATCACATCATAAAGTACAATCCTAACTTTTTACCACCAAAGTAGTTGGATCAAATGCATTACTTTTTCTAGTTTTATGCTTATTTTATGCTAAGTCCTATATCTGCTTCAGTACTAGAGACCAGGGATCCCCAATCCCTGGGCCACTAACCAGTACCAGTCCATGGCCTGTTAGGAACTAAGCCGCACAGCAGGAGGTGAGTGGCAGGCAAGCAAGCGAAGCTTCACCTGTATTTATAGCCACTCCCCATGGCTTGCATAACTGCCTGAGCTCCACCTCCTCTTAGATCAGCAGTGGCATTAGATTCTCATAGGAGTGCAGTCCCTATTGTGAACTGCATATGTGAAGGATGTAGGTTGTACGCTCCTTATGAGAATCTAATGCCTGATGATCTGCCACTGTCTCCCATCACCCCCAAATGAGACCTTCTAGTTGCAGGAAAACAAGCTCAGGGCTCCCACTGATTCTACATTATGGTGAGTTGTATAATTATTTCATTATATATTACAATGTCATAATAATAGAAATAAAGTGCACAATAAATGTAATGTACTTGAATCACCCAAAAACCTTCCCCTTGACCCAGTCCATGGAAAAATCGTCTTCCACTAAACCAGTCCTTGGTATCAAAAAGGCTGGGGTTCACTGCTATAGACTGAGTCCTGACTTGAACGAGTTTTGTTTTTTTCTGAATAGTTATTGAGCCACTACAAACTACTGTATGTTAAGCAGCTTCATATATCTTCTTCCTGTTACTTCTCACTACAGTCCTGAGGCCATTTGTCTCAGAATATTTATCCAGGAATTCAATGATTGTTCACTTACATGTTTTTGAAATTCTAGAGTTCACTGACAAAGACAATCTCTTTTAATGTTGCATCTGACTCAGGTTCCCCATCTTCTTCCATTTTCAAACATATCATCCTCACTACTTCCTGGCATCTAGAATAATACGTTAGCATACAGCAGATTTCCAGCTCAATAAATACCAGTTACTATTACTACTGGATTATTATCACTATTTTTTTTTTGAGACAGAGCCTTGCTCTGTTGCCCAGGCTGGAGTGAAGTGGCATAATCTCAGCTCACTGTAACCTCTGCCTCTTGGGTTCAAGCAATTCTCCTGCCTCAGCCTCCTGAGTAGCTGGGATTACAGGCACCCACGACCACGCCCGGCTAATTTTTGTATTTTTTGTAGAGACGGGGTTTCACCATGTTGGTCAGGCTGGTCTCGAACTGCTGACCTCGTGATCCGCCTGCCTCAGCCTCCCAAAGTGCTGGGATTACAGGCATGAGCCACTGCGCCTGGCCCTATTAAATTTTGTAAACTGGCCTGAGAAGTAATAACCATTGGGTACGATTGTCTCTTTAAGAACAACAAGTTTCAGCTGGGCATGGTGGCTCACACCTGTAATCCCAGCACTTTGGGAGGCCAAGGTGGGCAGATCATGAGGTCAGGAGATCGAGACCATCCTGGCTAACACAGTGAAACCCGTCTCTACTAAAAAATACAAAAAATTAGCTGGGCGTGGTGGTGGGCACCTGTAGTCCCAGCTACTCAGGAGGCTGAGGCAGGAGAATGGCATGAACCCGGGAGGTGGAGCGTGCAGTGAGCCAAGATCGCACCACTGCACTCCAGCCTGGGTGACAGAGAGAGACTCCATCTCAAAAAAAAAAAAAAAAAAAAAAAAAAAAAAAAAAAAAGAACAACAGGTTTCTAAACTCCAAATGAAAGCAAATTTTGGAACAAAGCTAGCTCATAAATGTTCTGAACTAGTTTATTCATGTTGGCAAATGGCTTCTCAGGACTTTTCTAGCACTAATTTTCTATTATCATATATGCTTCTAAAACTTGTAATAGGAACTTGTGTTCTGTCAAATGCACTTGGACATGCCTTTAATAACATTTTCCTCTTATATTGCAAACTGTTGAAAAATAAAGAATTTGGCCTTTGTCCCTGGTTTCTGGGAGACAAACTCTAAAACCTTGGAATTTCCCAAGTAATGGGAGTGTTTTTGTTCTTCATGAGCCCCTTGGATTACACCTGAGTTTATGCTGAGCAACGGGATGACTAAGAATAGAGGCTGGTCACTGGAAAAACCATGTAATTAGAAGGTTGGGGCTTTGTGCTAGACCTACCTATAGGGAGGGTTGTGGGGCTGGAGATTGAGTTTAACCATGTGGCCAAATGATTAAATCAATCATTCCAACATAGTGAGACCCCAATAAAAACTCTGGACACTGCGGCCCAGTGCAGCTTCCTGGTTGAACACATCGATGTGCTGGGAGGGCAATGTGATAATCCCACGAGGAGAAGGCATGGAAACTCTGCCTTTGGGAGCCTCTCAGACCTCACCCTATGTGTCTTTTCATTGACTGTTCCTGAGTTGTATCCTTTATAATAAAACTGTCATAGTAAAAATAGCACTTTTTTTTCCCTGAGTTCTGTGAAACATTCTAGCAAATAATAGAAGCTGAAGTGGGAAGCTTCTTCTATCTTGTGGGAAGACCCCACATTTATAGCCAGTTGGTCTGAGGTGTGGACAATCTTATTGTGAACTGTGCCCTTTCACTTGTGGGATCTGCACTAACTCTGGGTCATTAGTGTAGGAACTGAATTGCAGTACACCAGTCGGGAGTTGATACTGGAATATAAGCAGAGCAGAATTAGATTTTTTTCCTGAAATTAAATGATCTCTATTTGATATAAAATAAGTTTGGACCATGTGCCAATATTTAAGCTCTTGTCTCTCAGCTACAACCCAGCCTTCTATAGGCTGAGTACTCTGCAAACCATTTCTCCTTTGCCAGGTGCTTAGACTCTGCCAATAGCAAGCATTAGAGGAAGGCAGGAGGAGGGAAAGAGGACTGTTCCTTCCTGTGTGATTGCTGTTCCAATAAGCAAGTTCTCAGCAACTCTACTTCATCCTGGCAGTTGGCCTGAGTTCCCAGTTCGGTGCTAGGCTCCCAGAACCAACCTCATCCCATGCTGCTCTGAGGCATCAGCAGCAGCTGAGCACAGCCTCATTCTCAAAGGATGGGTCACAGCTCTGCGAGGTCCTGGTCTGGGACCTTTTTATAATCTCAAGCCCTTCTCTTTGCAACTCCAGCCCCAAGGATGGTAACTTTCCTGAAGTTATTTTCTGCATGCTATCTTGGTACTCCCTTTTTGCTTCTCCAGTCCCGCAACTTCTTGCTTAGACAATTCCCTGGGCTGGTCTTTTGTTTAAACAGCTAGTATGATTTCCATCTTTCTTACTGGAACTTGATTGATGCAGACTAAATGGATTAACCTTTCAATACTGATACAATGTGTTTGCCAAAACTGTAGCTTATTAGTACTTATCCGAAGGCTAGAAAATAAAGACATTCAATAGGATCTATGTTTTACATGCATTAGACAATTCTAATGGGAAATTATTTTAATTGTACAATTCTAAGTACCCTAGGTACACAGAATTAAATTGGTATTTCTTGATTTATGGAACACTCATTATCAGTCTATACAAAGCCAATCTTATATTTTTCCACCAATCCATCACTAACTCCATTTTCTTCCCCACCTTAGACACGAGGTCCAGCATATTTCATGCATAACCTTCTCCCAAGGATGGAAGTTTTAACAAAAAATGAACACTCTGACACATACGTCTTAGAAAAGCAATATTTTACTATGATAAACTGAAAGGACACATTAGCGATAATGGATAACAGACAATTTGGTGGTGGGGTAAGGTTCTCATCTCAGTCCATTCTATGTAGCATGGAATTCTGCCTGTCCAGGGTAAAGTCCTGCCAGGTTGCAAAAAGTTTTTCATATTCCCAAGATTATCATCCTGAAACTCTTGCATGATTACCTTACACGATAATTACCAAACTGCCTTCAGCAGATCCTGGATCTAAGGTTCAGGTTCCAGGCACAATTTCTCACTCTGCCAACAGCACCCCTTGCCATGCTGCCCACAGCTCCACTGCATTAGCCTGTTCATGGCCAGGCACAAAGCCTGGAAATGCCCAAACAGAGCTGACCAGTGAGGGCCCACTGAAACTTACCATTCACCTCTATGTTTATTTTTACATAGGTGTGCTCTTAATATATCACTTGTGTATGTTTTAATTTGCATAAATGACACTGTGCAGTACATCTCATTCTGTTTATTATTTCCCTTTGGAAATCTATCCACATATGTAAGACTGAATATTATTCAGTCATAAAAAATGAAGTACTGATACATGTTACAACATGGACGTACCTTGATTATATAATCTCATTTACATGAAATGTCTAGGATAAGGCTGGGCACAGTGGCTCATGCCTGTAATCCCAGCACTTTAGGAGGCTGAGGCAGGCAGATCACTTGAGGTCAGGAGTTCGAGACCAGCCTGGCCAACATGGTGAAACCCTGTTTCTACTAAAAATACAAAAATAAAAAAAGCACACCTGTAGTCCTAACTACTCAAGAGGCTGAGACAGGAGAATTGCTTGAACCTGGGAGGTGGAGGTTGCAGTGAGCTAAAATTGCACCACTGCACTCCAGCCTGGGCGACAGAGCAAGACTCCATCTCAAAAAAAAAAAAAAAAAGTCCAGGATACACAAATATTGAATCAGAAAGATTCGTGGTTGTCTCGAGCTGGGGTGGGGAGGAGGGAGATGAGGGACTGCAGAGTAGTAGCTAAAGGTATAGGATTTCTTTGGGGGATGATGCAAATGTTCTAAAATTGATTGTGGTGACAGATGCACAACCCTGTGAATATACTAAAACCCACTGCATTGCACATTTTAATTGGGTGAATTGCATGGTATGTGAATTACATCTCAATAAAACTGTTGCAGAAAAAAAATGGATGCTTGCATCCCATTCCCTCCCTTCACATAACCCAGTTCTGACTCCAGTGTCATGTACATGATTCACAGAATCAAAATTGTATCCAGAACTCAGGATTCCCGGTAATAATCTAGCCTCCGGATCAGGGGCCGGCACACTAGAGAGTCTGGGATAGATGCAGAGGGAGTTCATTCACCGTATTTGTCAAATTTCTCCTTTTTAATTTCATACACAGTTTATCTGTATTTTCACTCTTTCCCTTGATTGGTCATGCCAGAAATTTGTGTATCTTATGAGAGTTTTCAAAACAATCCACATTCAGTTTGGGTCATCACTCATTTTCACATGTGTTTTCCATTTCATTTATTTCCACCCAGATCTGTTATTTCCTTCCTTTTTGTTTCCATTTTTAATTGAATGCTTAGCTTACTTTCTTTTTTTTGAGATGGAGTCTCACTCTGTTGCCCAGGCTGGAGTGCAGTGGCACGATCTCGCCTCACTGCAACCTCCACCTCCCGGGTTCAAGCGATTCTCCTGCCTCAGCCTCCCGAGTAGCTGGAACTACAGGGGTGGACCACCACGCCCGGCTAATTTTTTTGTACTTTTAGTAGAGACGGGGTTTCACCATGTTAGCCAGGATGGTCTCAATCCCCTGACCTCGTGATCCGCCCGCCTCGGCCTCCCAAAGTGCTGGGATTACAGGCATGAGCCACTGCACCTGGATGTTTTTTTTTTTTTTTTTGAGACGGGGTCTTGCTGTCTCACCCAGGCTGGAGTGCACTGGCACGATGACTGTAACCTCCACCTCCCCGGCTCAGGTGATCCTCCTACCTCACCCCGGGACTACAGGCATGAGCCACCACACCCAGCAACTTTTTTTAAATTTTTTGTAGAGACAGGGTTTTGCCACGTTGACCAGGCTGCTCTCCAACTCCCAGGCTCAAGCTATCTGCCCCTCTCAGCCTTCCAAAGTGCTTAAATTACAGTTGTAAGCCACCACGCCCAGCGTCTAATCTTTCTTATTTTCTGATAAATGTATTCAAAACTGTAAATTTCCCTCTAAGCTCTCTTTTAGATTCACGCCAGATATTTTGACATGCAGTGCTTTGATGGTCATTATATGCATATCTTAATTTTCTTTATGATTTTTCTCCTTAACATATAGGTTAATATTGTTTTTATTTACAGACATAGGTGATTTTTTCCCCTAAACTTTTGTTAATTTCAAATCTTACAGCATTGTAATCAGAAGACATCTGTATGAGGTAGACTGTTTTGTAATTTGTTGACTTTCTTATATTCTGGTATATGGCTGATTTTAGTGGATCTTATGTGCTCAAAAAGAGTATGATTCTGTATTTGTGGGTTTTACATATCTATTTAATTGAACTTATCATTCATATAATTGAAACTATCTATATATTTTATTTTTATTTTTTGGAGACAGGGCCTCACTGTGTCACCCAGGCTAGAGTGCAGTGGCACAATCATGGCTCATTGCAGCCTCAAATTCCTGGACTCAAGCCATCCTCCTGCCTCAGCACCCTGAGCAGCTGGGACCACAGGCAGGTGCCACCATGCCTGGCTAATTTTTAAATTTTTTTGTAGGGAATATGTTGCCCAGGCTGGTCTCAAACTCCTGGTCTCAAAGCTATCCTCCTGCCTTGGTCTCCCTATATCTTTTATTTTAAAAATGTGTTTGATTTTTCAATACCAAGGGTGGTATGTCCAATTACAAATGTTGGTTTATATTTTGCTGTACACCATTTCCATCAGTTACTGCTTTTATTTGGATACTATACTGTTACAGGTAAACATTCCTGATTAGTTTCTTCTATCGATATACGACATAATTTGCTCCTTATGTTTTATCTTCTATATTTTGTCCGATGTTACTGTCATCTTGGTTTTCTTATGGTTCATCTTTGCCTAAAATATCATTTTCCATTCCTTCAGAAATATTTTGTATAGTACTTATGCATATGTACGTGATCAAAACTCTTCTGTAATGTTCCTTTCTCATTGTGTCCTTGTCTGGTTTTGCTAATAAGGTTATGTTATCCTCATAAACAAGCTGGAAACTATTCCTTCTTTGAGGGTCCTTTGAAATAATGTGTTTAAGGTTAGCATCAGCTGTCACTTGAGTGTCTGGTAGAACTGAGCCTGGAGCTTTCTTGGTTGGAAGATTTTTTTAACTGATTCAATTTCTTTGATGGGTAAAAAATTTTTCAGTTTTTCTAATTTTTCTTGAGTCAGTTTTTGGTAAGTTGCATTTTTTTTCTAGGAATTTGTCCATTTAAATTTTCGAGTGTATTGGCATAAAACTGTTCCTTGTATTTCTTATTAGCTTATCTGCTTTCATTTTTAGTAAGCTCTAATTCACATACCGTAAAATTCACCTTTTTCAAGTATACAGATCAGTGTTTTTTAATATATTCATAAGGTTATGCAACCATCACCACTATCTAATTCACAAACACTTCCATGATTCCAAGAAGAACCCCTGTACCTGTTAGCAGTCACTCCCAATTCCCCCTCCTCTCAGCCCCTGGCAACCATGAATCCACTTTCTACCTCTATGGATTTGCTTATTCTGGACATTTTATATCAATGGAATCATACAACATGTGGTCTTTTGTGTCTGACCTCCTTCACTTAGCATAATATTTTCAAGGTTCATTACATGGTAGCATGTATTGGAACTTCACTCCTTTTTCTGGCTAAATAATATTCCATTGTATGGATCAACCACATGTGTATATCCATTCATCAGTTTGATAGACATTTGGGTTGTTTCCACTTTTTGGCTATTACAAATGCTGCTGCTATGGACAAGTTTTTGTGTGAACATATGTTTCCAATTCCCTTGGAGTAGAAATGCTGCATCATATGGTAATTCTGTGTTTAACTTTTTGAGAAACTGCCAAACTATTTTCCAAAGTAGCTGCACCATTTCACATCCTTACCAACAATGTATGAGAGGTCCAATTTCTTCACCTCCTTGCCAGGACTTGTTATTTTCCTTTTAAAAAAATCAACCATCCTAGTGGGTGTGAAATGGTATCTCTTTATGATTTGGATTTGCATTTCCTTAACAGCCCATGATGTTGGGCATCTTTTCATGAGCTTGTTGGCAATTTGTATGTCTTCTTTGGAAAAATGTCTTTTTAAAGCTTTTTTCTGTTTTTAAATTGGATTATCTTTTTATTAAGTTGTAATAATTACAATTTAATTAGCTTTTTAATCTCTGCTATGTCTAAGGTTCCCCCTTTGTCATTCTTATTTCTTTTTTTCTTGATTAATTTTGCCAGATGGTTAATTTTATATGTCAATTTGGCTGGCCAAAGTGCCCAGATATGTGGTTTAAAGAACCTGAATGTTTCTTTAAGCGTGTTTTAGGAGTGGATTAACATTTAAGTGGGTGGGCCGGGCGTGGTGGCTCACACCTGTAATCCCAGCACTCTGGCCAAGGTGGGTGGATCACGAGGTCAGGGGTTCGAGACCAGCCTGACCAACATGGTGAAACCCTGTCTTTACTAAAAATACAAAAATTTGCCAGGCATGGTGGGACCCACCTGTAATCCCAGCTACTTGGGAAGCTGAGGCAGGAGAATCGCTTGAACCTGGGAAGTGTAGTGAGCCAAGATCGCGCCATTGCATTCCAGCCTGGGTGACAGAGCGAGACTCTGTCTCAACAACAACAACAACCAAAAAAACATTTAAGCAGGTGGCCTTTGAGCAAAGTAGATTGCCCTCCATAATGCAAGTTGGCCTCATCCAATCAGTCAAAGGCCTGAAGAGAACAAAAAGAGTGACCTCCACCAACCAGTGTAGCAGCAGATGGCCTTTGGACCTGACTTGCAAACATCAGCTCATCTCTGGGTCTCCAGCCTGCCGACCCAACCTGCAGACTGTGGAACCTGCCAGCCTGCATAATCATGTGAACCAGTTCCTTAAAATAAATCTGTCTACATAGATACATATCCTATTGCTTTTGTTTCTCTGGAGAACCCTGACTATACACTTATCTGTCTTATTAATATTTTCAAAGAATCACTTTAGGCTTTGTGGATCCCCTTTACTGAATATTTGGTTTCTATTTCATTAATTCTGCTATATCTTTATTATTTTGTTATTTGTTTCCTTCTACTATCTTTAGATTTATTCCCTTCTTTCTGTCACTTCACAGTTTTCGGCCTTTCTTCTTTTCTTCTATCAGTTTAAACCCAACAGCCAACTGCCTCCAGGGGTTTCTCCCTGGATATTCCACAAGCAAATCAATTCCAGATGAGTTCCTCCGCCTCCCAAAAGCTATCGTCCTATGTTTCTTATCTTAGTGGATAATCCCACTAGCCACCTACAGTCTCACAATCCTGAAACCTCAGTCCTAAGTTTCTCCCTTTCCCCAACCTGGCACATTTACTCAGCCATCACTTCCTGCTATTCCTTTTATTTATTTATTTTGAGACAGGGTCTCACTCTGTCACCCAGACTGGAGCACAGCCTCGACCTCCTAGGCTCAAGTGATCCTCCTGCCTCAGCCTCTCGTGTAGCTGGGACCACAGCTGTGTGCCACCATGACTGGCTAACTTTTTTATCTTTTTGTAGAGATGGGGTATCACTTTCTTGCCCAAGCTGATCTCAAACTCCTGGGCTCCTCTCAAAGTGCTGGGATTACAGGCATGAGCCACTGCACCTGACCACTTCTTGTTATTCCTACCTCAGAAACCAGAGCCTGACTTTTGGCTGTAGTTCTGTCTCTTATCTGGTTCTCTGGCTTCTCTCTCACTCCTTCTGCCCTGCCGCCATCTTTCTGAGAAAGAAATCTTTTTTTTTTTTTTTTTTTTAGACAGAGTCTCGCTCTGTCGCCCAAGCTGGAGTGCAATGGCATGATCTTGGCTCACTGCAAGCTCCGCCTGCCAGGTTCAAGTGGTTCTCCTGCCTCAGCCTCCCGAGTAGCTGGGATTACAGGCACCCGCCATCATGCCCGGCTAATTTTTGTATTTTTGTAGAGACAGGTTTCACCATGTTGGCCAGGTTGGTCTTGAACTCCTGACCTCAGGTGATCTGCCGCCTCGGCTTCCCAACGTGCTGGGATTACAGGCCGCCTCACCCGGCCTGAAGCAGAAATCTAATTCTGTCATCCCACTGCTCCTGACACTACTCCCCAGCATTCCATCTCCCCTACACCTACCTGTCCTCCTTAGTCTTGAGACATATGTGTTGAACCACCCAGACACAACCAGCTTTTCCCTCTTCCCTTCGCTCTGTCCGTTCCCCCATTTTTCATCACTTAAATTGTTTTGGCTTGTTCCTTTCTCTCCATTTTCCATTTTGATGCTATTTTTTTCCCTCTAAAATAAGAACCTGAATGAGACTACATTAATATTGGCTTGGGGGTTTTTTAAAAAAGGGTGTATCAATTCTTCTCCTTCCTTTTCTTTCCTTCTGCTGACATGGACTCTATAAGCTCTTTCAGTAAATTCTGTTTTGGAGAACAATTCGAGCCATTTTTTTCTCTCCCTCCTTTCCTCTCTATTATTTTATAATCCCTTCATTTATTGCTGAACCATGAAAGGTGCTTATTTTCTTGGTTGATTTTTTAGGTTCTCAATTGGGCTTTGTGGTTTCCATTCTTGTCTAATTCAAGAAACTATCTGTTCCTTTTTTGCAATCCCTTTTACCACACTCTACTGGGTGGTTAATGGCTTCTGGTTTGCTATTTATTGCTTCTAATTAATGGCTTGGCTCACAGCCTTTAGCTATTAATTTAGTACTTGATTCCTTGAAGTTTAAGTTTTAATTGTCTGGCCACACCATTCAGTTTCATCTGAGAACTACTGCATCAGTCTCTTTCCCGACGGCCTCAATTTTTGTTCCTTCTCTTTTCAGGGTCGTATTATGAAGTAAAAGTATCGAGGGGTTTTATAAGGTGTAAAGTTCCACACAGAAGCAAACTCAGCCTTCATGGTGGCACTCCACTGCTTAGGAAACTGTAGTCCCTAACTGTCTACCATATCAGTTCCAAACTCTTCCTCTCAAGTTCACTCACAAAAATACCCAACTCTAGGCCAGACATGGTGGCTCACGCATGTAATTCCAGCACTTTGGGGGGCCAAGGCAGGCAGATCTCTTGAGGTCAGGAGTTCAAGATCAGCCCGGTCAACAGGGTGAAACCCTGTCTCTACTAAAAATACAAAAATTAGCCAGGTGTGGTGGCTCATGCCTGTAATCCCAGCTACTTGGGAGGCTGAGGCATGAGCATCATTTGAACCTAGGAGGTGGAGGTTGCAGTGAGCTGAGATCGCACTACTGCACTCCAGCCTGGATGACAGAGCGAGATTCTGTCTCAAAAACAAAAACGAAAAAGCAATTCTACCTGTCCAATCCATTTCCTAGTGCAAGTCAACAGGGACCCTCCATTCCAGATGGGCAGGACACCTTCTACCACTTTATCCATTAAGTCCATCAACAAATCCACACAGTTCTCTGCTACTTTCTAGCTGTGTGACTTTAGCTAAAATAGTCAAACTTTCTGTGGGTCAGTTTCTTTATCTCTACAGTAGCAATAATAGTAGTATTTAACTCACAGTGTTGCTATAAGGATTAACATTCATATGGACAAGGTACCCTAAAGCGGGGCCTGCTGCGTAGTAAGCACATACTAAGAGTTGCTCTAATTGGTATTATGATCAGGCTAGATTCATGAAGGATACAAAGATAAATTAGATGTAAATTGTTACCCTTAAAGGACTTCCAGATTAGTAGAGTGGTAAGTTATATATCCACATACCGTCCAAGGTAGATGGGGGAAGGATATAGGAAGATGACTAAACTTCTGCCCTTTGCCCCATGTTCTGTCCTTCTTTCTACCTCTCTGGCTCTTTCCCAAGAAAAATTGTGATCAGAACTCAATGGTCAGAAAATCCTTGATTGAGCCACATTTTACGAGTAGTCAGATGACTATGCCTTAAAGATAAGTGACCATAAATGATGTTCTGTCTTTTCCTTCTTAGGCAGGGTATGGCTCCAAGGGTCAGGCGGTTAACATCATCCATGTAGCTGGCTGGATTAAGACTGAGGGTCTGCTTCCCAAACCTGGCCATCTTAGCAGCAGGGAGAAGCAAGCTTCATTTGGGACTTAACCCTTAGCCAACATCCAACTCAGTTTTGTTTGTTTTTCCCCAAAGAACCCTCAGAAGTGAGCATTTGCCCATAATCAAATGGTAATCTGTTTCACATTCTATCATTGCTCTGAATATATAGACTCTGGGTTAAGAACCTCAAGGGAAAGAAGTATGAGTGGTAGGATTCAAGCACTAAGATCCTATCTGAACTCCTGACCATAGACAGCAAAGAGGGTCACGGCAGACTGTGTGCTGTGGAAGAATATCTTCTGTGGGAGAAGGAGAAAATCAGGGAAGGCTTCCTGAAAGAGGTGACATTTGAGCTGAGACTGTAAGCATGAGTAGTATAGGCTTAGACAGTGGGACCCTCAAAGAATTCTGAACACTAGCATAACTTAAGTTTTTAAAAATGACCATGTTAGGGGGTGATCATTTTCTTGAGACAGCAAATTAGCCAGCATCCTGCCTCTGGATTTGAGGGTTTTGGGCAATCTGGATACTGGGGAAATAGTCTCTGGGTAGGGTAGGTAATGGTCAGTAGGCTCTCTCTCAGTTTCAGTGGATTTCCATTCCCACCTCCACTATTCAAATTCCTTTTTTTCTGATTTTTGAACTCAGTTTCATGACTATTTGAGACATAAGAAGGGGGTACCCTGCACAGAGGGAACAAGTAGCCTAGTCACTAGAAATGGACAACCTCAAGTGTATTGATAGAATAAGTCAAAGGCATTACCGGCACTTCTTCACTTGCCACGTCCTCCAAGGTCAGTCAGGTTCCCTCCTTCCTTCTCCACTGAATCTGTCCTAGGAGAGTTCCACCCATAACCTCTCATCTCCTGAAACCATCGATAATTTTGAGCCTTCATGCTATCAGGCCACACCTTGGTAGGAAACAGGCTCTTTTCCTTTGCCTTCTGGGACACCCCTCTCTCCTGGTTCTTCTTCCCTCTCTCTGGCAACCCCTCCTCAGCCCCCGCTTTTAAGGCAATGTCACTGTTTATTTCTAAGCGTCTTGGGAAAGTCTCTATTCAGGACCCACAGGGATGAAGCCTAGGCCCAGGGTAATCTAGCAGAGGCACTGCCTCTGATAGCCCCACGCCACTTACATCTCAACTAGCACCCACCGGATGGTGGTAGAATCTGTATGCAAAGAGGAAATGAAACTGTCAGAGAGAAGAGGGTAGGAGAAGAATGGAGAGTAAAAGCTCAGGGTGAGGGAAGGGGAGATATGGTTGTAAAAGGAAGTTGAGCCAGGGAGGACATTTCAGATAAAGCAGTTGAATATTCATTCAGGGAGCAGGTTGATTTTTTTTTTTTTTTTTTGAGACCGAGTCTCACTCTGTTGTCCAGGATGGAGTGCAATGATGCAATCTCAGCTCACTGCAACCTCCCCACCTCCTGGGTTCAAGCAATTCTCCTGCCTCAGCCTCCTGAGTAGCTGGGATTACAGGCGTGCACCACCACGCCCGGCTAATTTTGTATTTTTAGTAGAGACGGGGTTTCACCATGTTGGCCAGGCTAGTCTCGAACTCCTGACCTCCTGATCCACCCACCTCAGCCTCCCAAAGTGCTGGGATTACAGTCGTGAAGCACCACGCCCGGCCCCATCACAGACTTTTGAGTGCAATGCCAACAGGTTAGAGGCAGACTTCAGGAGGGTTAAACCAGTTTTATGTGCAGAATGGTGGGGGCGCGAAGCAGACACACTAGGGATCGGTACAAAGCCCTGCTGCCTGCTATGTGATCACCTCACCTAAATGCCTTCCCTCTTCTGTGTCACTGAAGTCTTTCCTACTTCATGGCTTGACTCTATAAAAGCTGTCCTTGATGGCTGTGGCCCACCTGATGTCCACATTCATAAAACTTTCTGGACTATACAATGAACATATCATTCTCTCTGCAGAGAGACTCAAAGGACGTACAGAATCTGAGCTTATCCTTCATTTGTTAGATGCATGAGCCCAATCAGAATACAAGTTCTCACATACCACATTTAAGTCACCTGGCAGCACTAGGCTGTGTACAGTGTAAAGATACATTAGATGCTTTCAGAAACAGACGGGCTTCGGAATATTTATTCTTTTCCAGAGTGACAGATTCCGCCACATGGCTCTCCAGCTAGAAGACTACATTTCTTAGTCTCCCTTGAAGCTAGGTCATTGTAACTATGTTTTTGCCAAAGGAATGTGAACAGCAGTAATGTGGGCAGCCAGCCTAAAAGGTAACTACTTGCCCTGAACTTCTCTTTTTCTTTCCCTCAATCTTGAACAAGGACATGCAACCTGGCTTCTACTGTACTGATGAGGACAAAGCCTCAGGGGGATGGCAGAGCAACAAGATGGAAAGAACCCGGGTCCCTGAATGACCTTGCGGAACAGAGTCATCCCACCAGCCCCAGACCAACCAGACTCTTATCAGAGAGAAAAATAAACTAGCTTATTTAAACCACTATATGTTAAAATCTCTAATTCAGCAGTTAAGCCTCTACTTAATACATTTCCCCAAATCCATTCTCTCCATCTTCTTTAATACAATAATTCTGATTTTTGAACTGGGCATATTATGTCTCAGCTAATAGGCTCTATTTTACATCCTCCTTTGTACCTATGTGCAACCATATGATTAAGTTGTGGCCAAAGAAGTATAAAAATTGTTATATGAAACTTCCGAGTAATCCCTTTATAAAGTAGTCAGTGACCTTCTTCCTGCTTCATTTTTCCCACTGTCTAGAATGTGAACATAATGGCTGTAGCTCAAGCAGTTATTTTGAACCATGAAGTTACATGCTAAGAATTGTGAAGAAACAGAAGGGCAGGATCCAGAGACACTGGTGACCAAGGAGCCTCCAGACCAGTTCTGGATTACCTATTTCTAGTTTTCTTTCTGTAAGAGAGAAACTTCTATCTTGTTGAAGCTATTAATGTTTGCTTGTTGTATACAGCTGAACTTAATCCTAACAACAGACACATCCACTAACAGATATGAGCTCCTGGGACTCAACACTTCAAACCCCAGCTTGATGGTTGGATATCCCTCTTAGCAGAAGAAAAGGAAAGTCACTACTTCCCAAAGTTGCTTAAAGAGGCCAGTTTCCATTCCTTCTGACCACCATCCGCTTGGCTTTTGTGCTCGTTGAAGCAGCTCTACAGGGAGGCCCTTGGCTGACAAACTCCCAGTCTGCGGGCCCAGCAGGCCACAACAATGGTGGCTCGCACTAGGGGACCATAACATATGTGGCGTCATAAAAGAGGAGGGATGGGAGTGGGGAGGCTGATGTGACCCAGCTCTGACGGGTCAGTGAGCAGGAACAGAATGCTACGAGGTGGGCGCTGGTCACTGCAAATTTAAGTCAATACAGACAGGGAGGAAATAAGGCAACCTCTCTCTTTAGGTTGGGGTTTTTCTGCTTCCCCCTAGCTGCCCTGGCCAGATGGCGGCCTCCTCCCCTATAACCCAACCCCAGGCGGCAAAGGTGGAAGCCAGATCTAAGAACTGGGGGAGCTTAGACTCAGCACCCACCCCTATCCACAGCCTTGCAGAACTTGGATGACCCCTCCCTCTCCCAGCCTCACTCTCCCCATCTGTAAAGCGGGCGGCAGGCATTGACAGCTCTTTGGGCCTTTCCTCCAGGCCGGCGGAGGCCTGGGCACTGCGCTCCCCATCCTGGCCTCGCCTCTGCAAGAGCTGCCTCCACGGACATCTTTTCCGACCCCCTCCCCCTCCCTCGCCCCCTCTCCTCGTTCCCCCGATCCTCGGTCCCCCACCCCCGGTCTCCCCTCCCGCAACCCCTCGCCCTCCCGCAGCCTCACCCTCCTCCGACAGGTAGCGCAGGTCGTAGAACTCCCCCGCGAAGGTGCCGTAGGAGGAGTCGTGGCGCGGCACCGCCTCGTCGGCGCCCGTGTCCCCCCGCGCGCGTCCCCGGGGTCCCCGGCCCCCCGGGCCCGCACCGTCGTCCGCGGGGCTGGCTGCGCAGGCGGCGGGCCCCGTCAGTAGCAGCAGGAGCAGCGACGCCCAGACCCCCGGGTGCTGCCGGGGCGGCCGCGCCATCCGTGCGCACAGATCCCGCAGCCAGGCCGCTCGGGCCGCAGCGGGGGCGCCGCGGGCGCGGGCCGGGACTGAGCCTCCGCCGAGGCCACCAGCACGCGCCCGCGCAGCCGCGGAGCCTCCCGCACCCCCGCCTCCCTGCCTCGGTCTGCGCATCCTCGCTCCAGCACCGCAGCCTCCCCCTTCTTCTTGGAACCCCCCTCCTCCCCGCACCGATCTCTCCTTCCTAGCAGCTTCCCTTCTACCGTCCTTCTTTCCATTCTCCCCATCTCCCCGACTTCCCTCCACGCAGGCAGATTTGGCCCTTCTGGCCCCTTGCTACTCCGGAGTGTGGTCCGCGGACCGGCAGCATCAGCATCACCTGGAAGCTTGTTAGCATCGCTGAGGCCCCACTCCAGACCCATGAAGCGGGATGTTCATTTCATCAAAATTCCCAGGAGATCCCAATGCACGTTCAATTTATGAAACGCTCCTCTAGAGAGTTTACCCTGGACACACCTGGTCAGTGCTGCCTCCTCAACCTTGTGCCGGCACTTTTTGGTTTACATAAAGCACTTGCTAGACCTATTATTTCTTGGATCATCACAGAAGGAACTTGAAATTGCAAGACCCCCACAATAGAGCTAGGTAAACTGAGGTGTTTAGAGACAGAGAAAACTGGATTCACCTGCTTCCTCTCCAGGCTCTTGCGGTGTGTAATCAACAGAGGCTGGTGCCAGTAGGTAACCTGTTCCCCTTCAAAACTAGGCTTCTGGTTTACTCTCTTTCCCTGCAGCAAGCACGCGCAGGCCTTGGAAGGCCCACACCGTATCTGAGGGCCATGCTGAATTGTTGATTTTTCTCAAATCCATTCCTGCTGCTTGCAGTTCACTTTTGGCTATTTACTCAGCCATCCATTGATTCACACCAAGCATTTGCTTTATGGCAGGTCCCAGGGTTCTCTTTTGATGATGGTTGTTGGGGTGATATATTCGAATTGCTAAGCTGTTTTCCATCAGAGAGGCGGACGCAATTCCTTTCAGGCTGGTGTTGCAGAGCCAGCATTTTAACCTGCTTTTCCTATTTTATTATTTTATTTTATTGCATAAACAAAATAATTATGGAGGCAGAAAAGCATAGAGGTCCCAAATGCAGACCTAGAAGTCAGACTGCCTGATCTCTCATGATTAGTCATTGACATGATGCAATGAAGATTAGGGAAGATCATAGAGGTAAGGATCAATAGGGTTCAGTGCTGTAAGTGGCATGCACACATGTACACAATATTGTGAAATGTTAATATTCAAAAGGAAACTAGTGATCTTAACCCTTTATGGCCTGATTGGCTGAGAGATAAGGGTAGTGCTGTTGAAACAGGGGAGACATGATGGGGGACTTAGAAGTCAGGTATTTTCTATTAGGTATCAGCTAACAGTGGGCTGTCCAACTGGAATTTAAACATATTAATCCTGATGGCTGAATTGAGGTGTAATTCATGAAAACCTTGGGCTTCACTAGGTCCCCCAACATAGCAGTTGTCACAAAAAATAGATCAGATTATTTGAAAAAGGTAAGATGAACTATGATTACTTTAAAAACTCAAGAGACTTCTTCCCAAAAAGCATAGCGTGGCAATGCATAACATTCTAAAAAAGCTGATCCAACAGATTGAAAATCTGTTAAAGTGTAGTCCTTCAAAAAAAAAAAAAAAAACAAAAACAAAAACAAAAACCTTAAACCTTTCTTAAAAATTAAAATTTCTTTATTTTCTTTTCTTCTCTTTCTGTTCACCAGGGAAGGTATGGTCAACTTAGAATGGACCAAAGTTTAGCCAAAAAAATAAAGCATTAGACTTTTGATTTCAGTGTAGATTCTCTGGTTTGGGAATACAAGCTTTTACCTCTTACTTTCCTTTTTATTCCCTTCATTTTGGTTACTGAAATTAACAATAACGGTGCCCAAATAGAAGGCAAATGAAAACCAGGCCATTCTTCTCCGAGTAAATTAATCTGATATAAAAACACGTGGGCAGCCGGGCACGGTGGCTCACGCCTGTAACTCCAGCACTTTGGGAGGCCGAGGCGGGCGGATCACAAGGTCAGAAGATCGACACCATCCTGGCCAACACGGTGAAATCCCGTCTCTACTGAAAATACAAAAAATTAGCCGGGCATGGTGTCGGGCGCCTGAAGTCCCAGCTACTCGGGAAGCTAAGGCAGGAGAATGGCGTGAACCTGGGAGGCGGAGCTTGCAGTGAGTCGAGATCAGGCCACTGCACTCTAGCCTGGGCGACAGAGCAAGACTCCATCTCAAAAAACAAACAAAAAACAAACAAAAAAACAAAACAAAACAAAAAAAACCACCACCACGTGGGCTTTCTATATTGTTTTTATGGGGGTATTTGGGTATTTTGGGGACGGTTTACAACTACAGCCTAAAATGAAGTTTGCAGGTAAACTGTGGATTTCAATTCTCTCTCTAC
Source organism: Homo sapiens (assembly GCF_000001405.40). Taxonomy (NCBI): domain Eukaryota; kingdom Metazoa; phylum Chordata; class Mammalia; order Primates; family Hominidae; genus Homo; species Homo sapiens. Next base: position 109,169,597 of record NC_000009.12, read on the forward strand.
TCATGTAGACTCACAGGGGGCCACAGATAGGCTTCAGGGGTGATATGAGGACCTTATGAAAGTGCTGGAATAATGTTGTGATGTATGGGTTTTTCTAGGGAGAAAACCCATAGCTTTTTTTATGAATTATTTTTTCCATGTTCAACTTTTTTTTTAATTTACTTTAAGTTCTGGGATACATGTGCAAAATGTACAGGTTTGTTACATAGGTATACATGTGCCATGGTGGTTTGCTGTACCCATCAACCCGTCATCTAGGTTTTAAGCCTGCATGCGTTAGGTATTTGTCCTAATGCTCTCCCTCCCCTTGCCTCACCCCCCACAACATGCCTCGGTGTGTGATGTTCCCCTCCCTGTGTCCATGTGTTCTCACTGTTCAACTCCCACTTATGAGTGAGAACATGCAGTGTTTGGGAAAACCTATAGCTTTTATGGGTCACTCAAGCCTTATGCCTTTTCAGGGCCCAGCAACCTATTCGGCTCCTTCCATTTCATGAGATTCTCTCCCATCCACTCAAATTGCCTTTGGGGATTTTCTTTCTCTTCATGTTTTCTGACACGATTTAAGTCCTGGAAAGAGTGGAGGCAGACCTATTCCAACCTTAAGCACATGCTCCCCTCTTAGTTACATCCTAGGTTTGCAGAGACCCTCTGTTCCCCACCAATGTGACTCTACAGAACAGCTAAGAAATATTGTAGTTTCCTCTACTGTGCAAATTTTCTGGGGAGGAACTTTGCCTGAACATTCTGAGACCACTGGCTGTACAAGAGCTGGCCACTCAAACAAAAACTTAGAGATGAACCAGATTTAAATTCATTTTCATTTTAAAAAGAAAGACAGTACCTTTATTTTCTCTCCACCTCAAAGCAATTTCTCTGACACAACCTTTTTTGCGATTAAAAACTCCCAAAATCATTGCTGCATCTTGGTATCTGATGAGTAACCGATTTGCCCAGGCTTCTGACTGTCTAGTATATATAATTTTTCACTTTGGATTTTGTAAGAAATAAAAGCTGTGATTGTGGCAGTTCCTTAGAAAGTTAAACATGGAGTTTCCATTTGACCCAGCAATTCCAAGAGAATTTAAAACAGATGTTCACACAAAAACTTGTACACAAATGTTCATAACAATATTATTATTATTATTTTCTAAGACGGAGTTTCACTCTTGTTGCCCAGGCTGGAGTGCAACGGTGTAATCTTGGCTCACCGCAACCTCTGCCTCCCGGGTTCAAGTGATTCTCCTGCCTCAGCCTCCCTAGTAGCTGGGATTACAGGCATGCACCACCATGCCCAGGTAATTTTGTATAGTAGAGATGGGGTTTCTCCATGTTGGTCAGGCTGGCCTCGAACTCCTGACCTCAGGTGATCTGCCCACCTCGACCTCCCAAAGTGCTGGGATTACAGGTGTGAACCACCGCGCCCAGCCTAGCAGTATTATTCATAATAGCCAAAAAGCAGAAGCAACCCAAATATCTATCAACTGACGCAACTGATGACTGGATAAGCCAAATATGGTATATCCATATAATAACACATTATTAAGCCATAAAAAGGAGTGCAGTTCTGATACATGCTACAACATGGATGAACCTTGAAAACACTATGTTAAGTGAAAGAAGCCAGTCACAAAAGACTACATATTGTATGATTTTGTTCATATGAAATTTCCAGAATAAGCAAATCCATAGACGGAAAGTAGATTAGTGGTCGCCAGGTGATGCCAGGGGTCAGAATCAGTAGTGACTGCTAACAGACATGGGGTTTCCTTTTGGCATGATGTAAATGTTCTGGAATTAGATAGTGGTATTGTCTGCACAACATTGTGAATGCATTAGAAACCACTGAATTGTACGCTTTAAAATGGTTATAGTGATGAATTTTATTTGAGTTTTTAAAACTGTAATTTTTGAGATGGTGAAAGATAAATATGATACCAGAATATTCCTCTGCTATATTCCTGGGGAATATAAAATTCTGGGTGCATGCAAGTGGGATCTTCTGAATGCCCTAGGATCTCAAACTCTTCAAACATAGAATTTCCTATGCAGTTTACAATCCATAAAGCTGTGGGTTGCAGGTTTCCCAGACCCCTTGCAATAACCTTCCATGCCTACTGGGAATCTGCATCCTACAGTTTGGAGCCCTAGCTCTGGAATGACTATGTCAGTAAGCTGATTGTTTCCCCCGGACATAAGGTGTGTGTTGTGTGCCCATATAGTGCTGTTGTTTGGGTTTAAAATATATAAAAAATGTGAAACAATTGCGCCAATTCATTTTCATCCCTATGAATCCATCCAGCACAATTTCATCTTCTCAGTCACAATGCCAAGCACCCATCATTCACTTAAATAGGCAAATAACCAGGACAACTGCTGAAACCATGGAATCCTCTTATTTTACTGGTTAGAGGTGAGCTGCCAAAGGTACTGGGTTTCAAATACAGTAACAGCCAACTTGTTTGTGGTCAGACTTCCAGTGACGTCAACCTTCAGAAACTTCAACATCTGTGAACTCTGGGGGAAGCGGGGAAGAAGCAGGAAGCCCAGAGCCTCCTGGAAACACTGGCCAAAAAGCCCATGCATCCCTTCTTGGAAGCCAAGCAGATCTGACACATAGGAAATACTGGCTTTCCTGGCTTCCCCAAGAAACCTTCAGCTTTGCCCTGGAGGTTTCCATCAGCGAGCAGGAGGTGAAGAGCAGAAGCCTCAGAAAGCAGGTTAGAAGAGGAAGAGGGTGCTGGGTTGGCAAGAAGTGACAGCCCCATATTGTACGGGAACATATTTTGTATCATGTGCACAAGATAAAGAACAGCTAAAGCTGTTTTAAAAGTATAGCCGGGGGACATAGGGGTAAAAGGACCCAAACGCTACAATTGCCCCGGATAGCTCCACTGACAGAGCAGAGAGCAGTAAAAAACCATCAGTGAGAACAGCATAATATCCTATAAAAGGCCAAGCCAAGCCCTACACATATTGATAGCTCTTAATGATATCACTGCACCGTACCAAGGTATAAAAGGGGCTGATGTTTATAATCATGACCATGACTCATCAAGAAAAGGTTAAATACTCTCCAGTATACTCTGTTTACTAAGGCAGGGAAGTGCGTAATACATTTTAGAAAGATTTCCCTCAAAAAAAAATATATTAAAATTTTAAAGATTCAGCACTTAAAGGGTTAATCCTCGGTTATCTGAATATTCACATACATTCCTCATTTTACAACAATACTAGTAAATGAGGCATTACCTTTTTTTGTAGTCATTAGTATCAAATTATTGGCACCATTCAGTTTTAAGGAGAGGGGCAGGAGAGCAAACTATACAATATAACATAAAAATACAGTTCTGATACAAATATATGAGATCAGTTCCTCTTAACAAGTGGTCATAAGAAATGAATGAACATTTTACACACAAGGAAATACAACTAGTAAATCATCACATGGAAAAGTGCTCAGCCTTGCTAGCAATTAATGAAATAAAACAACTCTTCAAGAACAACTATACATACCTATTAAACTAGCAAAAATAAATAAAAATGGCAAAACCCAATACTGGCAGAGCTATTGGTAAACAGAAATGCTTATACATTGCTGGTGGCATCATAAATTGTCGAGGGGATTCAAGCATTCAGAGGGGGTGGGGAGGCTAAACTAGATGACCTTTAAGGTCCTTCCAACCCAAAGATTGGATCTTTCTAGAAAGCAATCTGGCAATATAAAACAAGAGCTATAAAATACTTCATGCTCTTTGACCTTGTAATCCCTCTTTGGAGATATTCCTAAGGGAATAATCCAAAAGAAGGAGCAGTTTTTTTTTTTTACAGACATTCATAGCAGCACTATTTATAAGAGTGAAAAATTAGATATAACTCAAATATCTAATAATGGGGTGAAGTGAGGTTACCCATGTTACATGGATATAAAGACATTTAAATTGGTGAGAGTAGAATCTGTGTTGACAAGAGGAGACAAGTGTTAGGCCGAGAAGTAAAACAAAGGAGAATGTACACAACGATCATAGCTATGTAAAAATATGTGTGTATTCATTGAGAAAGCTAGGGAACTAATTTAGAGGGATATTTTGTGGTTAGGGGGTTGCTTTATTCCTGCAAAGTTGTTCAAGTGCATTAATAAAAATTTAAAAACACATTTCTTGAAACTATATAAAAAGAGCAAAATTTCTTCTGGTCAAGATTCTATCAATACGACATGAATCGATCAACTTTAGAAATAATTTTCTGAATCTTCTTGATATTGAATCATCTTAACCTTGTAAGGATTTTTAGACAATGTAAGCTATCATTTCCTACTTTGGGTTCAATGATAAATTCTGTTTATTCCAAATAATATCATATCCAAGGAGTTCACAAGTTAAATTATATTTCAGATTAAGCTGAAGTACCTTCAGTCATAGTGATATGTAACTTTCTTTTTTTAGTTCTTCTACTCACATCTGAATACAAATGAATGTTAAAGACTTTATAAGATCTGTGTATTTATCAGTGTAAATGAAAAACCAGCAATAAAGAATTATTCTTTCATTAAAAATGACTCTTTAACAAACAGTCAAAGCTCGGTGCAAGTTTCAATCATACAAAATCAAATGGTTGAAATTGATAGTAAAAGATCCTACATCATATTAACCCCTGTGGTTATTAACAGATACACACAGGTACTTCTGAAAAGGAATCCCGTTTTCCCATCTTTCTTTTCCTAGACTTATCAAATCCTGTCTCAACTACATAGAGTAATAGAAAAACTCTAATGCTTAGGAGACATAAAATAACTTTTCCCATAAAAGTCAAGCCAGAAATTGGCTTCAACTAACCATGGAGACCTGGGCGAACAGAGCACACACTTGTATGCTGTGCTAGAGTGAGCACACAAAGCCCGAAGAAAGAAGACGGACAGAAGGCACCATGCCATCTTCCAGGTGACAAGGGGAGAATTTCACAGTTCGGTCATCAACAGTCTTTTCATCATCTTCTCTCTCTCCAGTTCCTGCCGGAGTGTCTCTGCACTAAAAAAAAGTATGTGACAAAATAGTGAGACAATCCCTCAAAAATTGCAGAAGCAGACAGCTTAAGTATCATCTCCCAGGTTCTTTCCTGATCTCAGTGTTGGACTTTCTTTTTTAGACTCCTTGAGGACTATCTACATTTGCTAGCATTTCAGTGATCTGAAATTGGCTACTTACTGGTTTCTCAGTCCCACCATGCTGAGAGTTCCTGGCTGACTATATGTCATTCATCTCTAAACCTCCAGAGCCTTGCGCAGTATCTGGTGCATGGCAGCCACTCAGTAAAGTGTTTTTTTTTTTTTTTTTTTTTTGAGATGGAGTCTCACTCTGTCACCCAGGCTGGAGTACAGTGGCGTGATCTTGGCTCACTGCAACCTCCACCTCCCAGGTTCAAGCGATTCTTCTGTCTCAGCCTCCAGCATAGCTGGGATTACAGGCACGTGCCACCATGCCAAGCTAATTTTTTGTATTTTAGTAGAGACGGGGTTTCACCGTGTTGCCCAGGCTGGTCTCGAACTCCTGAGCTCAGGCAATCCACTTGCCTCGACCTCCCAAAGTGCTAGGATTACAGGCATGAGCCACCAAGCCCGGCCCTCAGTAAAGACTTTTGAATGAAGATGTCCAGGGGTTAGATTTATTTAAATCATGCTTTAAATTGGTTTCATGTGCATTTTCTCCCAGGCTTTCATTTGATGAATATCTGAGGGAATGTTGTAACAAATAATTAATTATATTTTAATGAATCAAATTGAATGAAGTAAAATTGGCTGTTTTGAGAAGTTGCCTCTGACTTTTTGGACCTCAGGTCCAGTTGCATATCTATGTAACCTGTCTCCACTGTTTAAACACACACACACACACACACACACACACACACACACACACACACAGAGTAAATACACATCTTTTCATTGTTTTTAGTTAGAGATGGGGCCTTGCTATGTTGCCCAGGCTGGACTTGAACTCCTGAACTCCTGGCCTCAACTGATCCTCCCACCTCTGCCTCCTGAGTAGCTGGGATGACAGGCACGAGCCACCATGCCTGGCAAAATACACATCTTTAAAGGCACTAACCAAGTTTAATAATTTCATTCAGGGTAGAAAACAAAGTTTCTACTGTAGCCAACAAGGCCCTACGCAGTCTGGCCTTAACCCACAACTTCACAGGCCTCCTCTATTGTCATTCACTCTGCTCTGGCCACGCTGGCCCCTTAAACTTCCGTAACCATGTCAGGCACATGCTTCCTCAGGAGCCTTAGCACTGGCTGGTTGCTCTGCGCAGTACTCCTCCCAGGTATCTGCAGCTTTCTCTATAGCCCTTTTCAGGGCTCTGCTTAAATGCCACCTCATTGAGGCCATCCCAGGATACCTTATTGCCATTCACAATTTCATTTTCCTCCCTATCCCTTGTCAATATCACACACACGCACACACACACACACACACACACACACACACACACACACTCATTTGTTGTCTATCTCCTCTAACAGCCTACCCTTGTAAACATTTTTTTTTTTTTGAGGCAAAGTCTCACTCTGTTGCCCAGGCTGGAGTGCAGTGGTGCAATCTCAGCTCACTGAAACCTCCACCTACTGGGTTCAAGTGATTCTCCTGCCTCAGCCTCCCAAGTAGCTGGAATTACAGGTGTGCACCACCACGCCTGGCTAATTTTAGTAGAGATGGGGTTTCACCATGTTAGCCAGGCTGGTCTTGAACTCCTGACTTCAAGGGATCCTCCCTTGTGCTGGGATTACAGATGAGAGCCACCGCACCTGGCCCCTTTATAGACATTTCAATAAATACTTACAGAATAAATGAAAGAATGTAGGAAAGGCCTGTACGTGTCACAAACACAATGAACCTAGAGTCTCCCTGGTTTCCCTGTCACCAGAATTACCTGTCGGAACCTGCTGACCTGACCTACCTGGCTGCCAGAGAAACAGGTTTCCGGGTGGTGTAAATGGTCTGCACTGTGGAGACGGTCTCTGTCAAAGGCCTCAGGGTCGCTGCTGGGATCAGCGGGGAAGTCGGGCCAGGACAGCACTGTAATTTACTGTCTCTGAAGTCTGCCTGGAGAAGAAACAGGAAAGAGGAGATCAATCTCAATTTGGGTTCCATTTTCACACTGTCAGTTGCTCCCTAAGCCTTACTCTACAGTTCCTGTTCCTTTTCACTACCAGCTAAAATCGATTGTCATTTTAAGTGATTTTACTTTGTGCCAGACACCATGCTAAGTACTTGACACATATTAACTCTTGACAACCCTTTAAGGTAGCGATTATATTTCCTCACATCTTAGGCACCATCAGTTGTAAGATGCACCATTTTTGCATTTGCCAATCAGAAAGAAACATGTAGCCATTTAAACTTTGTCATGCCCACTATCAAACTTTGTCATGCCCAGTAGTAAACATTCTGATATCGGGAAATGTTAAAAGGTGAAAACAAATGTATATTTTAAAACTGATTTTATGGGGGAAAGTGAGGCTCAGAGAGGTTAAGTAATCTGCCCAAGGTCACACAGTTAGTAAGTGTTAAGAACAGTACTGAGAACCAGGGCTAGCTGACACCATAACTGGGGTTTTTCATTACTGTAGCAGTGGTTCCCAAAGTATGGGCCCCAGACTAGCAGCATCAGCATTATCTTAAAACTTGGTAAAAATGCAAATTCTCAGGCCTCACCCAAGACCACTGGGACCCAAGAATGCCTGGGGATGAAGTCCAACAATACGTGTTTCAACAAGACCTCCAGGTGATTCTTCTGGAGGAATTACAATAAAGCTTCAGAACTACTGGTCTAGAGTATACTGTCTCATTTGGAGAGGATAATATATTCTTGTCATTTTCATTATATAGCAAACTATTCTGTTTACTTGTATATAGAAAGCTTAGAAGATATATAAAAGTAGATCAGGCCGGGCACGGTGGCTCACACCTGTAATCCCAACACTTTGGGAGGTCGAGGTGGGTGGATCACCTGAGGTCAGGAGCTCAAGACCAGCCTGGCCAACATGGCAAAACCCCATCTCTACTAAAAATACAAAAAATCAGCCGGGCACGCTGGCGCACGCCTGTAATCCCAGCTACTCAGGAGGCTGAGGCAGGAGAATCGCTTGAACCTGGGGGCGGAGTTTGCAATGAGCCGAGGTTGCGCCACTGCACTCCAGCCTGGGCACAGAGCGAGACTCTGTCTCAAAAAAAAAAAAAAGTAGATCAATGAAGAAATTCCATAATTCCTTACTGTTGCCATCAGTATATTTCCTCACAGGTTCTCTCTCTCTTCCTCTCTTTCTCTCTCTCTTTCTTTCTTTCGACAGAGTCTCACTCTGTTGCCCAGGCTGGAGTGCAGTTGGCACAATGAGAGCTCGCTGCAGCCTCAACCTCCTGGGCTCAGGTGATCCTTCTGCCTAAGATTCTCAAGTAGCTGTCACTACAGGTGCGTGCCATGCCTGGATAATTTTTTTAATCTTTCGTGGAAACAGTCTCACTATGTTGCCCAGGCTGGTCTCAAACTCCTGGTTTCAAGTGATCCTCCCACTTTAGCCTCCCAAAGTGCTGGGATTATAGGTGTGAGCCACCATGCTTGGCCATTTAGTATTTTTTCAATGCATAGTTTTTGTTTGTTTTATATTTTTGATAATACCAGCTATATATTTTATAACTAGATTTTTCATGCTAGTTCTTGGCCCTGACCTTGGAGAAACTTATTACATGAGTTTCTAAAGAAGACACTCTGATCATCAAATGAGCAGTATCTTCTTTTTTTTTTTTTTGAGTTGGAGTTTTGCTCTGTTGCCCAGGCTGGAGGCCACAATCTTAGCTCACTGCAACCTCTGCCTCCCAGGTTCAAGTGATTCTCCTGCCTCAGCCTCCTGAGTAGCTGGGGTTACAGGTGCCTGCCACCGCACTCAGCTAATTTTTGTATTAGTAAGTGTAAGTGTTAAGAACAGTATTCAGAACAAGGGCTAGCTGACACCATAACTGGGGTTTTTTTTAGTAGAGATGGGGTTTCACCATGTTGGCCAGGCTGGTCTCGAACTCCTGATCTCAGGTAATCCACCTACCTTGGCTTCCCAAAGTGCTGGGATTACAGGCATGAGCTACTGCACCCAGCCTTTGATGCCATTTTTTATTCTTTCTGAAAAAAGAGGAAAATTTGCACTGATGGTGCAAAGGTGATAGTAAGTAAATGGGGCAGGGCCTTGGCATGAATTGAGGTAGTGGCACCAAACTGTACTAGTAGTCATTGTGTTCTTGATTGCCATATACTTCAAGTAAAAAAAAAAAAAAAAAGCCAGTTTCACTAAAGAATGACCTTGAAGAAGCAGTAAAAATTACATTATTAAATCTCAACCCTAAGTATCTGTTTTTTAATATTTGTTGAATGAGGAAATGAATGAGTGAATGAATGAACAAGCTTCCACTGGAACAAAGCAGGTAACAGAAGGACAGAGCCAGATTAGAAAGAAGCATGTAGAGCAGAAATCTGGCCAGAGCCAGGCAGGGCTCCCCACCCTAGATGGACCAACATACTCGGCTGAGTATGAGCAGAGACCCAGTTAATACACCTGAATACAAAGTAGAAACTGGTTTTGGGATCAAGCAAGAGCCCAGCTGTTGAAACCCAGCTCCATCAATGCTAGATCGACTGCCAGACCAACTTTGTGCAGAGCTTCCCAGCGCTGCTAAACAACCCCTGTCACTGTCGCCAGGATAGGTCTGGAGGCCTGTGGAGAGGCCAAACCTGCAGAAAGTTCAAGTGTCATGATCTTGGCAGGAAGGAGATGAGAACACTACACACAGGGGTGAGAAAATTGAGAAGCTGAAGCCCATGAGCTTGGCTTCTGTTACCATCTACCTGTCACTGCCTCCCTAGTCATTGTTTCCAGTCTAGTCCACTCTCTTGAGTTACAGACTTGGATTTCCAACTGCCCATTCATTGTGTCCACCTGGATGTTTCAAAGGCATTTCTAATCCATCATGGCCAAAGGCAAACTCATCTCTCCCAACCAAGTCTTTTTCCAAGTTTCTTTATCTCAGTGAATGGACCCACTGTCCATCCACATTCTGCAAATCAGAAATATGGGAACCATTTCTGACCCTCTCTCTGCCTCATCTAATCCTGAATCTTACCAGCCTCCTAAATATCTTCCCTATCTGTGCACTTCTGTCCACCTCCACCAGCAAAACCACTGTGGGTCAAGCTTTCTGCTCTCTCTCCCTTAAGCCACTGTCCTGCGTTTCCAGGCTACTGTCCTGAATCCACTCTGCCTGGATGCCACTGTCCTCCCACTGTGATCACAGGGATCCCTTCCAAGTGCATCTGCCCTGTCACTGCCCTGCTCAAAGTCCCTCAAAGATTTCCTGTTGCTCGTAGGATGGAGATCAGAATCCCTACTGTGGCCTACAAGGCCAACATGGTTGTGCCCCTCCAGTTTTATCACCACCTACATCCCCTTCCTCCTCTCTCACCCAGCCCTGCTTGCTTTCCGCATCCCAGTCCCACTGGCCTGTTTTTCAGTCCCTTGAATGTGTGATGACCCCGCCCGCCCTGGGGGTCTGGCTCATGCTGTTCCCTCTGCTGCTCCAGCTGTCTTCGAGCCACTCTTGCTCAGTTCTTAAAAGTCCCAGCATGGTTTCTGCCATTGGCTTCCTGCTCCATCTTGGCCCCCAGCTTTCGGGAAGGGCTTCCCTGAGTGTCTCACAGCACTGCCAAGGCTGGGCAGAAGGCCAGAGTGCCCCACTATGGCCAACCAAGGGAGGTGGAGCCGGAGCTTCCAGCTGGGGAGCTGTGTCCAGCAAGACTGCAGGGAGCCAGGACGAGTGTCAGGGAAAGAGCATCTAACATTCTGGCAGAGCCCCATGTCTCTGCCCTCTCATTCTTAAAAGGCAGATGCTGGAAGCAGCTCATGACCCTAGAAATGGACTGTTCTAGGAACCTGTTTTTCCCTCCGCCTGCCCTGCTGGACACCTTCCCACCTCTGCTCATCCTCTGAAACTTGAATCAGCCACTGCTCTCTCCCTCCCTGTGTGGCTGAAGCCATGTTGGGTAGTGGCCATCATCCATCTCGTAAGACTGCACTTAGAGCTACCTTTAGCCACCCACAGCCCACCTCACAGATCCTCCAGATGGCACAAAAACCCTTCGGAAGGAGCTTCAGGGATCATAGAAATTGCAAGCTCTGGTTCCCGGGAGGAGGACAGAGTGAGAGGAAGGAGGTGTGGACCCCAGATTCCTCACTTCTGCTCCATCTAATTGCTCATTATACAGTGAGCTTCTGCAGAAGCTTTCATTTAAAGAATGAGTTGAGCCCTGAAAAGAAGCATGAACATTATCAAACTCTCTCTTTGTAGATGAGGAAACTACAGGATTTAAACATTTGGCAGAATTTTTTAAAAAATCAAGACAGGGTCTCACTCTGTTGCCCAGGCTGGAATCCAGTGGTGCAGTCATAGATCACTGCAGCGTCAGCCTCCTGGGCTCCAGAGATCCTCCCGCCTCAGCCTCCTGGGTAACTGGGACTACAGGCAGCTAATTTATTATTATTATTATTTTGTAGGGACAGGGTCTCTCTATGTTGCCCAGGTTGATCTCGAACTTCTGGTCTCAAGCGATCCTCCCACCTCAGCCTCCTAAAGTGCTGGGATTACAGGCATGAGCCACTGTGCCTAGCCTTGGCAGAATAAATAAGCTGCCCAGTGACACCCAGAGAGGTGGTGACAAGAAGTCTGTTGTCAGGGTGACTGGTTCTTGTTCATCACAGCACCCTGCCTCTCCAGCCTTGAGAAACAACAATCATAACTGACAGGTGTGGGATGTTTTGTGGTTGGTAAAACACTTTCAAATTCTTGGTCCCTTTTGATCCTTGCCCCAACAGGATATGAGGAGGATATTCTTACTACTACTTTCACCTTAAGTAAGAAGAGGGGGCAGGCATGGTGGCTCATGCCTGTAATCTCAGCACATTGGGAGGCCAAGGTATGAGGATCACTTGAGCCCAGGAGTTCGAGACCAGCCTAGGCAACATAGTGAGACCTCATCTCTAAAAGCAAAAAAGAAAAAGCTGCTGGTGGTCAGGGTAGTAAAGTGACCTACCTAAGACCACACCATTATCAAGATCCAACCCAAAAGAATTGAAAACAGGTGTTCAAACAGATACATGTACACACATATGCATAGCAGCACTATTCACAATAGCCAAAAGGTGAAAACAATCCCAAAACCCCCAATAAATGAGTGGATAAACAAATTGCAGTATATAGATACAATGGAATAATATTCCATCATAAAAAGAAATGAGGCTGGGCATGGTGGCTCACGCCTGTAATCCCAACACTTTGGGAGGCTGAGGCAGGTGGATCACCTGAGGTCAGGAGTTGGAGACCAGCCTGGCGAACGTAATGAAACCCCACCTCTACTAAAAATACAAAAATTAGCCAGGCGTGGTGGCAAGCAGCTGTAATCCTAGCTACTCAGGAGGCCGACGCAGGAGAAACACTTGAACCTGGGAGGTGGAGGTTGAAGTGAGCCGAGATCGTGCCACTGCACTCCAGCCTTGGCAGTAGAACAGATCTCAATCCGTCTCAAAAACAAACAAACAAACAAAAAAAGAAATGAAGTATTGATACATGCGTGGATGAACCTCAAATACATTATGCTAAGTGAAAGAGGCCAGTCACAAAAGGTCACATATGATACAATTGATTTATATGAGATATCCAGACTAGGTAAATCCACAGACACAGAATGCAGACTGGTGGTTGCCAGCAGGTAGGAACAAAGGGAAAATGAGGAGGAACTGCTTAATGGGTGTGAGGTTTTTGGAGGACGCAATAAAAATGTATTGGAACTGATAGAAGTGGTCACTGCACAACACTGTGAATGTACTGTCACTGAATTGTCACTTTAAAATGGTTAATTTTATGTCAATGTCACATCAATAAAATAGAGGCAGACTGCAAATCCAAGTTTCTTCCCAACCTCACAGAGTTCAACGGTGATCAAAAGAAGCGGTTGACCTTGCTGTCTGGCATCCCGCAGAAAAGCACACCGCATGGGAACAAGGGTTTAAAATGCACATCTGTTTTCTGGATCTACTTACAGTAAACTGTGGCCCTGTGGTGAAAGTATCAGGAAACGGGTTCATTGTATCAACCGGGAATGTTTTTATCTTCAAAAGAGAGAAAGACAAGGGGGTTACCTTCAGATTAGAAAACAAAGTTTTGCAATCTTTGGCAGCGCACCTTTAAAATGGAACCAAAGGATTCAGGGGTGCCCCCGCAGAGCCTTCATCACTCGTGTAAGGGCACATACAAAGGGTCCCTCAGGAGTGTGAGCTGGTGGTTGTATCTGTGCCTGGAGTTGGACTGCAGGACGGGCCTCAGCAGGGATGACAGCCTGGAGTCTCGTGTTCCTAGAGCGCCCCCACACTTGCCTCCCCCTGGAGCTGCCTTCAGCGGGATCTGCTTGGCTTTCCAGGCCTGACTCATAAAAAGCCACAATCAAGGTGGATAATGAGGGAGTCAGAGTTGCCTGAGGTGGCTTCTGATGACTTCTCCATAGCTGTGGGAATGGCCTAGAGGCTGCTGAGAGGTCACATCCTGGGACACGGTCTCTTACAGCAGGCAGGGTACAAGGCGGCTGGGCTAATTAAGCTAGAAAGTATTCCCTGTCTAATCACTTCAGTTACTGGACTCCCTGTACGCTTTGGCCAGTAGAGGGAGACCTCAGGGAAACCCGTGGAAGCATGGGAGAATCCTGCCCCCACGGCCTTTGGGAACAGATGGCTTGATGCACAAAGATGCCCAGTGCTGGGAGTACCTGTAGTACTGAGCTAGTCTGAAAAAGGCCAGACGAACAGCTGATCAGGTAGTGGTGGTGAAAAAGACTCTTGACTTCCATGTCTTTCTCTTTGGTCATTTTGTCTTTGGCCTCCTGGAGAACTTGGGAAATGGAAGGGCTTATTTTTTCAAGCTGGCCTAGGGTACGTCATCAGGCCCAGGAACCAGATGACTCTGACACCAGCTTTGTGCACATTCCTGGGGGACAGAAACTGTCTGCACACCTGCTGGTGAATGCATACCATACCACCCGCCAGCAGAGGGCTGCAGGCAAGACACCAAGGCCACCACTGCCCAGGGGCAGCAGGCTTTGTGTGTCTCGAGGTCTTGCCTGTGGACACTGGGATAGCTACTCAATGCTCTTCAGTGGCTCCAATGGGAGGGTGAGGCAGGGATGAGTAAGAACACATTAGCTCAGACCCAAATCAGCCAAGCTTTCCCAAATGGGTAAAGCAAGTCTCCCCCATGTGGGGATGACAATATCCTTGCCACGTGTACTGAGATGTCCAGCCCAAGCCTGCTCCCCTTCCCCCAAATTTCTTTGGTCTCTTTACACATCTCAAAATTGCCAGAATAGGCCTGAAATTGCCTTTTTGACTCAGGTGAGAGAAGGACCCTTGGGGTGAAGTCTTGGGGTACATTCTCCTCTTGTTGCCTATTGAGTCAGCATGGTGCTCTGAGACCAATATCCTAGCAGAAAGTAACAGACAGATAAGACTCTCAGATCATCATGAAGCAGAAAGGGAAAGTGGTTTATTTATTTATTTTTTGAGACGGAGTCTCACTCTGTCACCCAGGCTGGAGTGCAGTGGCGCAATCTCAGCTCACTGCAACCTCCGCCCCCCAGGTTCAAATGATTCTCTTGCCTCAGCCTTCTGAGTAGCTGGGATTACAGGCACGTGCCACGATGCCCAGCTAACTTTTGTATTTTTAATAGAGTTGGGGTTTTACATGTTGGCCAGGCTGGACTCAAACTCCTGACCTCAGGTGATCTGCCTGCCTCAGCCTCCCAAAGTGCTGGGATTACAGGCGTGAGCCACTGTGCCCTGCCAGAAAGTGGTTTATTATTGCTATGAAAGAAAGGTGAAAGTTAGCAATCTCAAAGAATTATTTTATACCTGCTGTAAATTAGAAAAATAGATTTCAACAATTACACTCTGTGTTGCTAAGGCTGTGGAGAAAAGCAAAGTCACTCTCTTCTGATGGCACTATCTGTTAGCACAACCACTTTAGAAAGGGGGCAAAAGCCAAAGTCACCATGTTTAATCCAGCAGGGTATAGCCTAAGAAAATAAAATTCCTGATGCAAAAAGCTATATGTGTTCTCCCAAATAATGACAAACTGCGAACAAAGCGCACATCCTGTAGTAAAGAATGTGTTAGATAAATGGTAGACCATTCACTTGATGAAATACAAATAGTCATATAATGTGGTAACAAGAACAAGCTAGAAACAACATAGCAGCATTAAGTGAAAAGAGGAAAACAGGAGAGAATATGGTTACTATGATTTAACTATGTAAAATTATGAATGATATGAATAAATAGAAGGAAATATGTAAAAATGACAAAAAATCATGCTAAATTGGGATGACAGGTAATTTTGTTCACATTGTCAGGTAGCACTCCTATTACATCATTAGCTTGATAAATAGCAGAAGAAGACAAGTTTAAAGAAGTTTTATTTTCAATAGAAATGCAACATAAGAGTCCGTCTGGTGAGTACCAAAGCATATATTTCTCTCTGGGGAAAGCATCTATGCTCATCAAAATTCTAGGAAAACAAACTCTTCTTGATTCTTGAGACCTAGAGGCGAAGTGGGCTCCATAGCTGCATGTTCCAAACTGACCAGGGCCAGCTGGACTCCAAATCCTCCATCCATCTGGAGTGAGGGCACCTGTCGATGGGCTCTGCCCGAGATCTGGGGCTTCTGCACGCCCACCCAGGCTTCCACCTCGCCTGGTGGCTCCTGCCCACCTCACCTCTCCTGGCCAGGCCCCTCTCCCTGCCAGGGTACCTACCAGCCTCGTTTTGATTGGAGGGTACATGCAAACTCCAGTGGTCTCTTCCTTCATGGGGAGAGAGAGTGGAGGAGAACAGCGAGAGTGGGCACAGTGGGGGTTGCTGGCGGGCTCTGCCTGCTCACGAGGAGAGGAGAGAAGGGGAGGAGGAGGTGGCAAGAGAAGGGGAGGAGGAAGAGGAGGTAGGGGAAGGGAAAGGAGAGAAAGACAGCACAGTGCAAGACAGATCTGGCAACTCCAGACTGTTCTCAAGCCAGCCTCACCCACAGCCTACTTCCAGGCTCTGGCCAACTGGCTTCTGGTCCCACCCCCCACCCTCTCTCTCAGCCTTCTTTTCTCCTTTCTGTCTTTCATCTGTTGTCTCCATCATCTGAGCAGATGACATACCAAGACCCCATTCCCAGGCCTGGTAGGTAGAGGCTATCTCCTGTGCCAACTGCACAGGACAGGTAGTGGCTTCTTGGCACGCGGTTGAGGGTTCTGAAGCATTGCCCAGGCCAAGCCAGAAAGATAGCCAGGATGACTTAGTGATGTGAGCCATGGAGGAAGTGAGGAGTGGCCACACACTTGAAGCATTTGCCTTCCATGCTCAGTGCCCTCCTGCACTCTGCTGAACAAGGGCACACACTGTGGTATGTCAGTGAGTGGATATCAACAGAGGGCACCAGGAAAGAAATATATCATGGGGAGAAACATATCGTTTCATTTCCCTTTTTTTTTTTTGAGACTCGCTCTGTCACCCAGGTTGGAGTGCAGTGTCATGATCTCAGCTCACTGCAACCTTTGCCTCTCAGGTTCAAGTGATTCTCCTGCCTCAGCCCCCAAAGTAGCTGGGACTACAGGTATGCACCACCATGCCCAGCTAATTTTGTAATTTTAATGGAGACAGGGTTTCACCATGTTGGCCAGGCTGGTCTCAAACTCCTGACCTCAAGTGATCCACCCGCCTCGGCCTCCCAAAGTGTTGGGATTACAAGTGTGAGCTACCATGCCATATTTTTTAAGAGACAGGGTCTTGCTCTGTCACCCAGGCTGGAGTGCAGTCGTGTGATCACAGCTCATGGCAGCCTTAAAATCCTGGGCTCAAGCAATCCTCCTGCCTCAGCCTCCTGAGTAGCTGGGACTACAGATATGTGCCACCATGCCTGGCTAATATTTTAATTTTTCTTTTTTATAGAGGCGAGGTCCCACTATGTTGCCCAGGCTGGTCTTGAACTCCCAGCCTCAAGAGATTCCCCACCTCCTCGGCCTCCCAAAGTACTGGGATTACAGGCATGATCCATTGTGCCCAGCTGTAACATATAGTTGAGGATTTCATATGTCTTGGCTCTTTGTTATCTGTGTTCAGAAAACAAACTGACCCTGACCCATGACGAGATGCATGGGCCCAGCCGTGGCATCTCGTTTGACACTGGGACACCCTGCTACTTAGCTGGAAAATACCAAACATTGTGAAAAAAGTGCCACATCCTTTGGGATACGCAGGGTTCTCCACCTTATCCTTGAATAGCACCATGCGCCCAGCAGAGGTCCAACAGCTTGTACTGGTGAGGATGAGGTTGGAGGACAGAGGATGCTTGATGTTAGGAGAGGGAACCACGGACAGGGTTATTTTGGGTTTCAGGGAGGGACCATTTGCTCCAGAGAACAAATATACACGTCTTTTATCTCAAGAGAGTTTCCTTAAATAGTTGATATCATCCTGCTGTGAAGAATAAAACACAGCCCCTGGGTAAGTTTCATAGAAAAATGATCAAGAAAATTGCCAGCCTCTTTTCCGTCTCCAAAGTGATCTATCTCTGTCCTCTTTACAATTGTGCAGTCCTGGACAATTTCCAAAGGGCTTTTTACAACTATTATCTCACAATGGTCTTCACGATGGCCTGTTTTACTATTCAAATTTGGGAGATGTAGAAATTGCATTTGCAAAGTCTTAGTCCATGGTTCATTTTGTTGACTGTTTCTAAATCTAGTTTTTAGTCAAGTGAATCCATCTGAGTCACCTGCAGTTAACTTTTACCAGACTACTTAAAACCCTCCTGCTGCTCTCTATGGACCTCAGGGTATATCCTGCAGAAATATGTCTCCCTGCTACCCTCAGGAACAGTTCCCACTACTGCCCCAGGGCATCCATACTCCAACCAGAAACAACTACAACAGGGGACCCAGGCCACTGGGTCTTTTCTTCTCTGATGATAGCAGGCACGCAATGGGTATTTTTTGAAGAAAATAAAAGCTGGCACAAATGACCAAGAAACATGGCCACACTGCCTAGAAGCCAAAATGTGTCCTGGCCACCAACTGAAGAACATAATGAGCGCCTTAAGGGATGGTCCAGCATTTGACTTTCGTGGTAAAGAAGTGTTGATCCACCGCACAAGCCTTTCTGACCTTTCTCAATATACATCTGATTGGATTGAAACAAAAGAACATCCTGGGGCTCCCACGCTCCAGACTGTTGTTACGTGAGAAGGAAATAAGATAACACATGGAATCAAAGGCTATTTTGGAATACCACTTAATTTTTTTCTCCTAGTATTTCCTTTCTTCCTTGGGTCTTTTCTGCAGGCAAGCAGCTACATTCATCTGTACATGCTTGGCTTTTGAGTTCAAAATCTGACTCTCGGGGAAACAGAAAGATTCTCTGCATAGATACATGATGATGAAAATGTGTAAGGCTTCTTCATCATCCAGATAGGAAAAGAGATGGCTAGTTTGACCATTGGAGAGAAAAGTCAGAGGGAAAGGGAGGAGGAGTAGACTTTAGTGAGTACCGAGCAAAGGGGCCCTGTGCAACTTTCTCCAGACACTGAGGCTGGGAAGCAGGGACTGAAGAGCAGCAAGAACCAGCCCTGCCAACCCCCTCAGGTAGAGCTGAGGAGATGGCAGGCCCCAGGACAGGGTGGCCTCCAAACAGAATGTTGTCCAACAGGTAGAGAGTCACACATCCTGGCAGGAGAGTGATCTCCACCCACCCAAAACAGCCACGAAAGAACCAAAGAGAGGCCTAGATGTATCAGTGAACAGATGACATCATGGACTAAATAGATTTCTCTCCACCTCCCTGTGCCCTAGGGAACACAGCCAAAATCACAGAAGGGGTACCCTAATTTAATTTGAGATTCAGCTTCAGCCCTGCTGGTATAATTAAGTTCAAAATAAAAGTAAGTTATTGCACCAGATGGAAACTCCCTTCTAACACCTAACCCAGGGCCTGTTCCAATGCCCTACACAGCCTTCCTCTGGCCAGGGCCCTGTCCTTCCAGACACATGAACTTTTGACTAACATGTCATGGCCCAGAAGGGATCTGGGTGTTAATTGGCTCTGCTTTGCAGTTGGGTAAGTGGTTCATGAAGCATGGGGATCAGAGAGGGACGAGCCCCAAAGAGAAAGCGTAAAGAACACAGAAAGCACAGGTATTCATGGTCTGTGTTACCTGGGGAGGGAAGCTAGCACGGTAGACTTGGAGTAGCGTGCAGGACTCCGCATTCTAGGGTGAACATCACTAATGCATCAATGTACCCTCCCCCAACTCCCCTCGCTCAGTCAACGCCAATGCCCCCAAGCACCTGCTCACATTCACATCCTAAAGAAAATACCAACTGGAGAGCAGGTGCTGTCTTGACTCACTTGCCTCCTTCCCTTCTCACCCACGTATTCCACCTCTTGCAACCCAGGCAGAAATTCAGATCTGATTACGAACTCTGATACAGAATCGGAAATGGAAAGACGTGAAGCTGCAAAAGTTCTAAAGCTTAAGATTGCTAAATTGAGCTACCTAATAAAAGAGTTGGGGATTAGAGAGGAAAAGGTTTGGGAAAAGGAGGGGGAAGAAACCTACAAAAGCGAAGTTGGAAAGAGTGTTTCTTTGTGGAGAGTTTGGGAATGAAAGTCCCTGGAGTCAAGCAGGAATGTAAGAGAATAAAAGAAAAGGCAAAAAGAGATCAAGATGTGTTACAGGAGGTGTTAATGTAATATTCTTTAATGATTTTTTGAGAGATGCCTGTTCCAGATTGAAACTTTTTATTAATCTGGGCTCTTTGGACTGTGCTTCTTTGAAAACCACTCTACACAGAGACCGGCCACAAGTATCAAGAGTGATAAAAGTGAAAGGCTTATGCTAGTTCTTTTTCTTTTTATTTATTTATTTTTTTTGGAGACGGAGTTTCACTCTTGTTGCCCAGGCTGGAATGCAATGGCGCGATCTCGGCTCACTGCAACCTCTGCCTCTGGGGGTCAAGCGATTCTCCTGCCTCAGCCTCCCAAGTAGCTGGGACTACAGATGTGTGCCACCATGCCCAGCTAATTTTTGTATTATTAGCAGAGATGGGGTTTCACCATGTTGGCCAGGCTGGTCTTGAACTCCTGACCTCAGGTGATCCACCCGCCTTGGCCTTCCAGAGTGCTGGGATTACAGGAATAATACCACCATGCCCAGCTTTTTCTTTTCTTTTCTTTTCTTTTGAGATGGACTCTCGCTTTGTTGCCCAGGCTGGAATGCAGTGGCGTGACCCTGGCTCACTGCAACCTCCGCCTCCTGGGTTCAAATGATTCTCTTGCCTTAGCCTTCTGTGTAGCTGGGATTACAGGCACATACTACCACGCTCGGCTAGGTTACGCTGGTTCTGATAGTGTCTTGGTGGAACGTTGCTGAATGAAGGCAAGATCTCCAGTTCCCTGTTGGTCCAGCACTGGGCCTAGGGACCAGGATAGTGGTGGGGCCTCAGGAGTCTCATCCAGTAGGAGGCAGGGGGCTAGAGATAGGCTGTAAGCTTGGGAAATGACTACATGGAAAAAGTATTCACCAAGGAGGGGTAATTCACTGCCTGTGTGATGAGTAGCACATGGGAAGTTCTGACATTCATGCCCGTAAAGGGCTGCTTCCTCTTCAGCAGGAAATGCTGATGGGAAGGCCCAGAGAGAGCAGCCACAGGCAAAGGGCACAGGGCTGGTGGCAAAATAACCATAGCTCATCCAGGCTGAGTCTCCTAGACCAAGGTACCTGAGCACTTCCCTTCCTCATGCTCCACTCAGCAACTCTGAGGACCAAACCTGGGCTGACAGCTTGGAGATGGTCCCAGGGCTGTCCCACAGCCCAGACTGAGACCAGGGCATCTGACCCGCTTTGAGGGAGGGTACTGGCTAACAGGGAAAGACACAGACACATCCTGGATTGGGCCATCTGCCACTGGAATGGCAGCCCAGAGTCTAGGTTCTAGAACTGGCTTTGATACACACTTGCTATGTGACTTGGGACAAGTGTCTGCCCCTGTCTGGGCCTTGGTTTTCCCATCTATATGTGAAGGACTGGATGAGATGGTCCCAAGGCATTGTTCCACCTGATAGGCTGGGGCCAGTTAGTTGAGGAAGCCCTGGTCACAAGTCAGGCACGGGGGTCACCCTTGCCTCCCTCTACTTCTGGCTCCTTCCTCCCATGGATAAGGAAGCCCCTCTGCAGCCCTCATCAGCAGCATCCAGGACACTGACTTGCGGAGGCAGGCCTGGTCCCCTGAGATAGAGACCTGTCCATCACCCTACCAACAGGTAGGAGGGCTGCTGCTTGCATTTCTGATGCTGGGGGAAGCAGATGGAGGGAGGAGGACCAAAGGGAGAAGCAGATGGCTGGAGTCCCCTCTTCCCTTCTAGGACCCTTTGGCGCTCATGGAAATAGGATTCTGGAACAAAGTGAGGTCAAGGCCCATGGTACCAAGGAAAGCCCAAAATGGAGGAAGCTCTTGCCAAAAAGCTAGATGCCCAGGATACCTTCTCCCTGAGGCCTGCATACATGCACTCATGCCTCAAAGGATGCTTTATCCTGAGGACACACATTCACTGCAAACTTCAGCTGTGAAGTGGTGGCTGTGTCTCAGTGCAGTGCAAGGACCTCAGTTGTCCCATGCCTGAGCAGTGAAACAGGCCCATACCCATTTCATAGCTTAGTTGGAGATACCCTGAGATGTGAGCAGCGTGTCTTGGGGAGAGAGAATGAGCTTCCTATTACTGAAGGGGTGCAAGCAGAGGCTGGACAGTCATTTGGCAGGCATTGCCCCTCAGATCACGGCATCTCCAATTCCCTACCAGATGCTGCTTCCTTTCTCATCTCAGCCTGTTCAGTTCAAACAAAGAAAAGACCATTTAAATCTATAAGTAATTAAATCTACAAGCTGGACCTGCAACACAATGATCTCTAAGGGAATCTCATCACTCTTGTCAAAGCCACCATGTTTTTTTTTTGGAAATTGACCCTAATTCTCAGACCCACCAGGCCCTTTACTTGTTCCCTGAAAAGGGTTTCTCACCTGCAGGAGTCCCACAAGGGCTGCCATCCCTAAGGGGAGACCTGTATGCAGAGGATGGAAGATGGCAGGAGGTGCGAGGGGCCTGGAAAGCTGGGGTGTGGCCTTGAGCCAGTGCTTCAGACCAGATGGATCGTCGGAAGCAACAGCAAGAGATTCCCCACGGGTGGGCATGCAGGGCGCAGTCCAGGAAGCCAAGAAGCCGAGAACAAAACACCGAGGAGCCCTATAACACTCGAAGTGCAGTAGACAGGCATGGGCAGGACCCCCACAACTACCCTCGGAGCAAAGGAGCACCCCTTCCTCCCTCAAGGGCTCTAGAGGTGGAGGGACCCACAGTGCCTGACCCCTGGATGAAAGCTGATCCCTGAGCCTCCAGGACAAGAGGAAGAGGCTCCTCAACAGCAATGCCCACCTCTGTCCATCCGTCCCACTGCCAAGATGTTTCTATGGTCTGTGACTTTTCTGGTTTTAGCAAAATAGGAAGTTTACCAGAGGAGTGGCTTCTGTGAAATCCATCAGAAGATCACCCGGCTCCAGGGTAAAGGCACCTCCTCGGTCAGAGGGGCTCTAGGGAGACAGACAAACACCCCTGGTTAGAGACGGCACTGCATTGATGATAAAGTTCACCAGAAAAGACAGGCAGAGGTTCCCAGCCTCTCCTCTACACTGATCTCATTAGCAATGACAATCCCCTTGTATTTCCCTCACCAAGTAGTGTACAAAATGTTGAGACTTGAACCCCAATTTTTTCATAGGTAGAAGTAGGCATGGTGCAGAGAGCTGTCCCTTTCAGAGCTGCGGGCCGCTTTTCTTAAGTGCTCTTAGTGCTTTTCTACTGGTCTTTTGGGGAAAAAACACTTGAAAGAGTCCTCTGAATGTATAAAGAGAGAGCAAAGACCTTGTCCTAGATTAAGAGGATCAAATCCAGGGTCCTCCAGGAGCTAAACTGATCTGCACACTAAGAGCAATGATCTTCATGGCAGGTGATGGCATGTGGATTATGTTGCTTGCTTTTGGAAAATGTTTTGCCCTCCTGCTCTGGGGTCTTAGCTGCATGGATGGCCTCGAGGTCTTTTAAGGGAGAAAAAAGAAGTCCCATCAACGTGGTTCAAGCAAGGCCCCAAGGAGAGAGATGGCCAGGAGAGGGAGCCCTGTGGCCTTTGGTGGGATGCCACTTGCATCCCCTCCACGCCACCCCAACCCCCTTCTGTTTCGTAAATGTTTCGTTCAGCCTGGTTTTAACCACAGTGTGGGATATGTGATAGGAGCCTGGGTCCACACCTGAGACAAAGTTGTACAGGGGGCTCCACACAGTGGAGGATAATCCAGGCTGAGATGCCAATAGGTGGAGGTGATCTATAGAGAAGCAGAGAACCTCGATCTTGGCCAGTCGCTGGCTGAGCACTCCAGGCAGGTTTCTGTGCAGAACACTAAGCAGAGATATTTCCAGAGACACCCAGGGAAGGCACCAGGTGAAAGACTGGCCTTGGTAATGCAGGAGGTGGCCCTGGACCATTATTCTTCAGCTGTCACCAGGAATTGTGATCCCTGAAGCTGCAAAAGCCTCAGGCATCCAGTTTGCATGAGCACTTTAACCTCCACTGAACCTGACGCCAGCCAGGGCAAGATAGCAGATCTTATTCCCATTTTTAAGAGGAAGAAATTGAGGCTCGAAGAAATAAAGGTTTTGGAAGTGAGTGCTGTGGCTTATGAATGGAAGAGCTGGGAACAGCCTCTGAAGCTCCGGTCTTGCCTTCAGGGCACCTGCCTCCTGCACGCACCTTTTCTCTGTGTAGTCACATGAACCACTGCAACCTCTGACTTGAATCCACTTGGACAGCAATAGGTTCAATTGTATTTGGACCAATTGCCAAAGAGTAATCGTAGCTAGAGGTCTCTCAAAGAAAACCAAGAGAAACATCTTGTGTAAAGCCTTTGTCATAGCCCATTCACATCTCAGGCAATTTCCTGAAATTTCAAACCAGCAAATGGAATAATATTTCCTATTTTCAAACTACTAACACCGGCTATATGACATAAGGGAAGGGATGGGGACACTTCTATGTTTTTGCTCCTCCAAACTGTTCACTATGGTTGGGGGGGAATCATTTCTCTCTTTCTATCTTTACAGTGGACTAATAGCTTATTATAGAGATGAGATTCTAAATGAAAACTGCCCTCAAAAATCTCTTACATTGCAATTAAAGTACAATGAACCTGATTTTATATTTCACTCATTGTCTCACAAATGGTTGGCTTGTATTTTGGGGTCAAGTTATATAAAAACATGTTCTGGTTGTTGCTGTTGTTTTATGAGTATACACAATTGATTATGCAAAATTTAAATACATGCACCAGATGCTACTCAGTAAATTGATACTGAATTCCCAGCAAGTGTGGCTGCTCGCCAGGGCTTTCCACCCCCCAATACCTTGGCCCCAGGGGACAGCAGGCCTTTGCCTTCTGACTTGTGAGGCGAGCTGACATTCTGGACCTTGGGGGACGGCAGCGGCACGGAGACTTGTGTGGCGGCCGTTGTGGTGTTTGTGGTTGTAGATGTGGTCACTCCCACTGCCTCGGCCAGGTCTGGAGGGAGGTCGTCTTCATCACTGCGGTTACTAAAAGCACATGAAGCTCTGCTCATTACAATAATAAACAGGCTGTGAGGAGTGGACGGAGGATGGGCAGGGGTGGGAAGACCAGGGATGGGGATTGGGGGTTCCCAAACAGATGTCCACCAGATGTCCAGCTTGCAGGATCCAATACTCTGACTTTTTTGCCAAAACAAATTGGGGTGAATTTTCTGTCATTTGCCAGGGTGTTGTTTTGTTTTGTTGGTAAAATATATACAATATAATATTTATCATTTTAACTGCTTATAAATATACAATTCAGTGGCATTAAATGCATTCACAATATTGTGCAACCATTGCCACTATCTGTCCCCAAAACTTTTTCATCAGTGACAACAGAAACTCTGTATTGATATTGAACGATAACTCCCCAAGCCCCTCCCTGCAGCCTCTGGTAACATCAATTCCACTTTCTGTCCCAATGAATTTGCCTATTCTAGGAACGTCACATAAGTGGAATCACACACTCTATGTTCCTCTGTGTCTGGCTTATTTTAGTCACCATAATATTTTTAAGGTCCATCCACATTGTAGCATACATCAAAATTTCATTTATTTTTATAATATAAAAATTCCATTATATGGATATACCACATTCTGTTTATCCATTCATCTGTTGATGGACACTTGGCTTGTTCCCACTCTTTTGGCTATTATAAATCATGCTGCCATGAACATGGGTGTACAAACATCTGTCTGACTCTCTGCTTTAAGGGTGGTGCTGGGGACTCCAGGCACATTGTCCCTAAGGATCTGCCATGTAGAGCTTCTGGAGCCACCCTTGCATAGGGGTTGTGATTTAGAATGATGGCTGAGCTCAAGAGTGTAGATACAAGACCCATGACAGGTAGGCACCAGTGCAGCCTGTGCAGATCACTGGTAAGGCCTCAGCCCAGCACGGGGCCACGTGGGAACATGAGGCCGTGAGACAAAGCTGCAGTGCGGATGGGATTGACTGAGGGGTCCCTGAGAGGTTTTAGATTATTCTGTGTATGGAGAAGCCTCAAGGGAAGGACTTAGGGCTCATTACTAAAAAGGGGGAAAGGTGAGAATTGAATAAGTACATGGAAAAATTAATAATACACCAAGTATTTGGATCCACATAGATGACATAGGTCAGATGGGTTACACGTTCATTCACCCACTTAATTTTCACACCGACCCTATTACCATCTCCATTTTTCAGAGAATCAGATGATATTTAGCAGCTGATTGTGAAATTATTTGTTCAAGTTCGCAAAGCTAGTTAAGTGGAGGAGCGGGGTTAAAATTTCTTTTTACCTCATTTAAAAAATTATCACCTCAATAGCATAGTTATTATTATTTAGTTTTATATAAAAGGCCATTTAAAAACCATAGCTCATTTTTCACAGAAGGGAGTCAACTGACACTGCCTAAAATTGAAAAAGACTCCAAATTCATCATGGTTTTTATCTTTTGTCTTAGTTTAGATCTTATGGCCAAGAAGCATATCTAAAATTCAGCAAGTCTTCCAATTTTACCTGTTTCTAAGGTAAATTCATGATAAAGTCATAAAACAACAGTTTCATAAGTAAAATTTTACATACAGAATGATTTTTTGCTTTGAAGTTGTTTCTATTTTAACAATATATAAGCATAGAAACTTGTCTAATGTAACAGTCGTCAACTATGAACCCTGGTTATTTTTGATTCTGGGAAATTGGCTACTTTTCTCTTCTGTCTTGCCTATTTACTTTTTTTTCTTTTCTTTAAATATTTTAATTAACTTATAAATATTTTATTATTTAATTAAAAATTTAAAATATGAAACGCTTCACAAATTTGCATGTCCACCTTGCGCAGGGGGACCATGCTAATCTTCTCTGTATGAGTCCAATTTTAGTATATGTGATGCCAAAGTGAGCACTATTGAATTTTTTTTAGACTTTTACACTATGTTTAAATAAACAGTGAAGTTATATTTCTGGAAAAAAATAAAATAGCTCATGATTTTCTAAACATACTAGCTGGTATCAATAAAAAATGACACTTTTGGCTGGGCACAGAGGCTAATGCCTGTAATCCCGGCACTCTGGGGGGCCAAGGCAGGCGATTGCTTGAGCACAGGAGTCCGAGACCAGCCTGGGCAACATGGTCTGGTCTTGTCTCTACAAAAAATACAAAAATTAGCCAGATGTGGTGGCACACACCTGTAGTCTCAGCTTCTCAGAAGGCTGAGGTGGGAGGATCACCTGAGCTGAATCACCTGAGGCTGCAGTGGGCTGTGATCGACCACTGCACTCCAGCTTGGGCAACAGAGTGAGGCCTTGTCTCCGAAAAAAAAAAAAAAAAAAAAGACCTTTTCGCCTGCCTTAAACTCTCTGTAGAGACCCTCTACTTCTCCATTCTCACTGCATGTAGCAGCCACATTTTCCCTCCTTGTCATATTTCCAGGAAATAATGTGGCTGAGATTTTTGTCTGTATCTTTAAAAGCAGTGGTTTGAAGACTTGTTCACAGCACCTGAATGTTACAATGCTTTTGGTGGAGCAACCTAAAATCTGACTACACCTTATTCCAGCCTAGGAACTAGAAATATTACAACAGCCAAAAGGGCGATGTGTGCACACAAATCTGTATCTCAAAAATGATGATGTAAAAAATATTTTCCAGAAAATCAGAGATCTGAGTTTTCCCATTTATATTCCTTGATCACGTGCCAACTTTATCAATATCAAAGAGTTAAAGAGATGGGCAAAGGCCAGGTGTGGTGGCTCATGCCTGTAATCCCAGCACTTTGGGAGGCTGAAGCGGGCGGATCACCTGAGGTCAGGAGTTCGAGACCAACCTGGCCAACATGGGGAAACCCTGTCTCTACTAAAAACACAAAAATTAGCTGGGCGTGGTGGCACACGCCTGTAATCCCAGCTACTCGGCAGGCTGAGGCAGGAGAATCACTTGAACCTAGGGGGCGGAGGCTGCAGTGAGCTAAGACTGAGCCATTGCACTCCAGCCTGGGTGACAGAGTGAGACTCCACCTCAAAAAAATAAAATAATAATAATAATAAAAAGATGGGCAAATGAGCGGTAGCCAGCGTCAAGGATTCGAGAACTCTTTATGGGACAATAACACTGGGAAAATCTCATCCATGGATGTTGCTATTTTCTACTAATGGGGAAAATGCTGCTATTGTTTGATTTTCAAAGCAGAATACTTTGGGGCAGCTTAAGAAATACACATGTAAAGTTCAAGGTTTGAAAAAGAGTGTCCTTAAAAGAGCCAGTTTGATTAGCCGGGCATGGTGTCATGTGCCTGTAGTCCCAGCTACTTGGGAGGCTGAGGCCGGAGAATCGCTTGAACCCAGGAGGCGAAGGTTGCAGTGAGCCGAGATTGTGCCACTGCACTCCAGCCTGGGCGACAGAGTGAGACTCTGTATCAAAAAAAAAAAAAAACAAAAAAAAGAGTGAGTTTGGTGAGTTAGTGAAATTTCCTTTCCTTCCAGGTTATATATCAGCCAGTCATTGTTTCAAACATGATTACATCTCTCAAATGAGTGATAGTAACATTTTGAGTTTCAAAATGTAAAAGGAATGGCAAGTTCTGCCAGTCTTATCCTCGAGGGAAGCAAACTGTCATGGCTTAATTGTCCCCCAGAGATCATTAGGACTGTTAATTATTTGAACTTTACTCGTTTTGGCTTTCCTAGGAAATGCAGCTGACCAGAAGTTTCTATGAAGGATATGAGGTGGGATATATCTCCCTTAATATCCCCCATACATGCCTCTTTTCCTTTTCACAGGTACAAATGGCAGACCTGAGATGGCTGTTAGAGAATTGCATCCAGAATCCCGTGTCCTGTCCTACATTTTGCACTCTGGGTACCCCCTAAACTCCATCTTTCCTCAGAAGCTTCCAGGTCCTAGAGAAGAAAGAAAGGGGACCTCATCCTATGGCCAGGGTATTGGGGCTTTACCCACATTCTCTCATGTTAAGCCCCACAAAACTCCTCAGAGGCAGGTATTATCTCATCCATTTTACAGAGGAAGGAAGAGAGGATCAAACAGTCACTTTTCCAAGAGCTTACAGCTGTAAACTAGCCAGGGGCCTGACAGAAGCCTTTCCAACTCCAAAGCCCCCATCCTTTTCATTCGTCCAGAGATCCCCCTGCAGTTACTCTCTGACCAATGACACATCTGGGCACAGTACCCATGCCATAGCTAAGGTCAAGAAATGGGAACTACAAGCCGGGCACGGTGGCTCATGCCTGTAATCCTAGCACTTTGGGAGGCCAAGGTGGGGTGGATCACTTGAGGTCAGGAGTTCGAAACCAGCCTGGCCAACATGGTGAAACCCTGTCTCTACTAAAAATACAAAAAAATTAGCTGGGTGTGGTGGCGGGCACCTGTAATCCCAACTACTTGGGAGGCTGAGACAGGAGAATTGCTTGAATCCGGGAGGTGGAGATTGCAGTGAGCTAAGATTGTGCCACTGCACTCCAGCCTGGGTGACAGAGTGACAGAGTGACAGAGCAAGGCTCTGTCTCAAAAAAAAAAAAAAAAAGGGAAATACCATTGTGATCAGTACTACAACTATTACTAGTACTCACCACCCTGATTACAGCAATTATCTTTCTGCTTTGGATTATAATTATTTGTGACTCTTGTCTTTCCCTCCAGTAAAGTGTGAGTCTTTGGATGGGAATTGTCAAAGTCACTTTACTATTCCCTAACGATGCCTAGAACAGTCAGGTGCACATGTGCCCTGGTGATTCTGGGACATTTTGGGAAATGGCTCCTCCTACAGGTGTCAAAGCTCAGTGATTAGCTTTGGTTCTGTTGACAGACGGGGCTGCCTTTTCATGGATATGCCGTGGAAAGCAGCTTCTGATGTGGGTTGCAATGATCCCCGTCCTAGTATTCATGCCCCTGTGTAATCTCTCCCCTTGAGTGTGGGCTGGACATAGGGATTTGCTTCTCATGAACAGAATATGGCAAAAGTGATGGGGGCCAGGTGCGGTGGCTCACACCTGCAGTCCCAGCACTTTGGGAGGTCGAGGCAGGCAGATTACTTGAGGTCAGGAGTTCTAGACCAGCCTGGCCAACATGGTGAAACCCCGTCTCTACCAAAAATACAAAAATCAGCCAGGCTTATTGGCTTATACCTGTAATCCCAACTACTTGGGAGGCTGAGGCAGGGGAATTGCTTGAACCTGGGAGGCGGATTGCAGTGAGCCAAGATCACACCACTGCACTCCAGCCTGAGCGACAGAGCAAGACTTTGTCTCAAAAAGAAAAAAAGTGATGGGATGTCAGTTCTGTGCGTAGGTTACAAAAGACTGTGCCTTTGCCTTGCTGTCACTCTCTCTGGCTCTTCTTATGTGCTTTCTCTGATGGAGAAGGCTGGAGAGACCTATGTGACTACAGGCTGAGGGCATCCTCTGTCCAAGAGTCCTTGAGGACCTGATCCCTGTCAGCAACCGTAAAAACAAGCCTGCAGATGAGACCGCAGCCCTGACACCTTGAATGCAGCCTTGTAAGAGCCCCGGATACAGAAGACCCAGCTAAGCCATGCCCCGACCCCCACTCCACAGGAACTGTGAGGTGATAAAGGTGGATTGTTCTAAGACACTAAGTTTGGGAGTAATTTATTACACAGTAGTCAATAATGAATCCTTATGCTAACTATGTAAGGTTTTCAGGGAGAAAGGGCTAGTCTCATTATTACCTAAATTGGAAATAAATGGAATTTGGGGGCTGCTCCCTGGGACTAGTCAGAAGGGCTAAGAAGCATTTGTATCTAAACAATTAGTCATCATAGTTGTTTTAATTGAAAAAGTTGCAGTACAGAACTCACAAACTATACTGTCTTGTTAACTTCCTCACTCGGGGAGGCTTGATTTCCGGCTTTTCCACAGCTGGCTGGGCAGTTTCCACACGAATAGGAATAGGACTTCTAGAGACACACCGAAAAACAGAACAATACCATCAAAAAAGGTTTATGGTCTCGTTTTAGCCATAGGGACTGCTTTCTCAGTTAATGTACACCTTAATAACATTGATAGTCAAGAAATCCATTTTTTTTGCCTTTCTACCGTACTTAGTTCATAATTATAATTATATTTTAAAACCATAGAAAATCCAAACAGTAAGAAAAAAATCATAGGGAAGAAAATATAGCAAATGGGGCAACTAAACATAATTGAGGTACAAAATAAAATTTCTCTGCTCCGTAACAGCCACCCCTGCCCCCCAATATGAGGGGTGAACCAGAATGAGGGTTTGGCTCATAACCAGGTTTTGCCAGTAAAATGAAGAGAAACCTATGGATAACCTGTTTTTAATTCCAAGTAATCTGGTAGCTATTCTATTTTAAACATAGCACAGACTATATTTTTTTTTTAAAAAAAGATAAGAACCATACTATACTTTGTGTGAAAAATGCATAATCAGAAGACCTTTAGGACTTGCTGTAACACATTTTAATTCCATGTATGTGTGAAAATGCTAAAAATTAAGCGTCACTTTTATCTTTACTCAAGAATTTATTTCAGGTAACCAATGGACCCTACTCAAAATAGTAATTTTAAGGAAAATTTTTAATGCATTTTTGTAGTGGTCATGACTAATTTCATTTTTAAAAAATCAGTTCATTACCTCCTAGGACCAACAAGGCATCAAAACAAGTTGAGGTCCTTGAAAGGGACACCTGGCAAGTCAACTGACACTTTTGGGTCAGTGCTCAATATGGTGATAAGTATGTGGCCGGGGCCTAACAAATGCATGTTGAGGCCGGGTGCAGTGGCTCACGCCTGTAATCCCAGCACTTTAGGAGGCTGAGGTGGGCAGATGACTTGAGGTCAGGAGTTTGAGACCAGCCTGGGCAACATGATAATACCCGTTTCTACAAAAAAATACAAAATTAGCCAGGTATGGTGGCGCATGTTTGTAGTCCCAGCTACTCAAGAGGCTGAGGTGGGAGGATCACCTGAGCCCAGGAGGTCGAGGCTGCAATGAGCAATGATTATGCTACTCCACTGCAGCCTGGGTGCTGGAGTGAGACCCTGTCTCAAAAAAAAAAAAAAAAGAAAAAAAAAGTATGTTGAATAAACACATGAATGAGAAAATAGAGGATTTGAGTCAATGCATTCTATACTCATGGTTTCCTCAAGCTGCGACTCCACAGTAAAGGGAACATGGTCCCTGAAGAACGTATAGTCTATTGAGGGAGCACATGAATTTGCTTGGGTGGAACGGTCAGCATCGGGGAAAGCTACGTGGAGGAGTTTCCTCTTTCCAGATGGAGCGAAGACCACAAAGATGAGAGGCAGAGTGGAGACCTGGCTGAACGCAGGGCACTAGAACTACCATCCGGTGAGGTCTCAGTGGAAGAGCAGAGGGTTTTAACTGGAGGGAAAGTCGAGGCCGGGTCATATGGGGCCTCAGGCTGAGGAGTCTACACTGAAGGCAATGGACCTCAACTCTCTAAAGGTTTTAGGCAAAGGAGTGGCATAGTCAGATTTACATTACAGAAAGGTCCTTAGAACAATGAAGAGGACCAGGTGAAAGGGAGGACAGAAGCATCTTAGAGGACTGTGGGCAGCAGTAGGCCCGGAAGACAATGAGGGCTCAAGGTATAGACAAGAGGAAAAGAGGATGGATGTGGAAGGTAAAATGAAAGTCAAATTGCCAGGACTTGGTGACCAATTAGATGAGGGAATAAGGTAGGAGAAAAGCAAGGACTCCCAGGTTTCAGGCCTGGGTGAGGGGTAGGTAATAATACCATTGACTAAGAATGGAATCCAGGTGAAGGTTAGTGGGGTGGAGTGGGAAGAGATGAATTAAGTTTTTGAAAAGCCCTGGAGGCAGCTGGGTATGTATCTCAGGAGTAAGACAAATTTATACCAAGCACACAGATTGGGAATCATAAGGTGATACAGAGAAATGTTAGCTTTGATTTTTGGCATCGAGTATAATAGTTCCCCAGAGCAGTGGTTCTAGATCACCTAGGTGCCCGCTAACATGATGATTCTTGTCTCTACTGGCACCCACCAAACACCCACCACACACATTCACACAAAGGATCCAAAAGGTCTGGAGTAGGACCCAGGAGTTTGTGTTTTTAAGAAGAGACTCTGATGCAGTGGTCCTTGGACCCATTTTGGGAAACTACCCTAAGGAGACCCTGCTGGTGTTAGTAAACCACCAGGTGGCAATGAGGCCACCACCACCATGCCAAGAAGGAAAGAGTTCCTGTTCTCTGTGAGATCAGGGGAGGAAGGACTTCCTCTGGGTTTGGGGTGGTGGTGGCCTGGAAGCTTTAAAGAACATGTGTAGGGGATGGGAGGAGAGTGGATGATGAGAAATTACTTAATGGGCACAATGTACATTATTTGAGTGATGGATATTCTAAAAGCCCTGACTTCACTACCGTGCAATCTATGCACAGATCCAAGTTACACTTGTACCCCATAAATTTATACAAAGAAAAAGTAGGCTAGGTGTGGTGGCTCACACCTGTAATCTCAGCACTTTGGGAGGCCGGGGTGGGTGGATCACTTAAGTCAGGAGTTCAAGACCAGCCTGGCCAACATAGTGAAGCCCTGTCTCTACTACAATTACAAAAATTAGCTGGCACAGTGGCGTGCACCTGTAATCCCAGTTACTCAGGAGGCTGAGGCACAAGAATTGCTTGAATCTGGGAGGCAGATGTTGCAGTGAGCCGAGATCGCACCACTGCACTCCAGCCTGGGCAACAGAGGAAGACTCTGTCTTAAAAAATAATAATTAAATAAATACATTTTTAAAAGGAACATATGTGGCTCCAGCACTAACAAGAAGCTCAGCAGGCAGGGCACATCAATGGGCCAAGGGAAGCTGGCCCAAGTCCAAGCTGGAGTTGTGAGCAGAGGCCAGGTCTTGAAGGGCCTGGCCTCCTGCACTCTGTTAAGGAGTTGGGATTCCATTCTGAGTGTAAACAGAGCCTTTAAAGGGCTTTAAGCAGGGGGATGGCAATGTGAAGCCCACTTGCTTGAGTGACAACCCCAAGTGATTGATTTCTTTGTTAATGCAGCAGGCAGAGATATTAAAACTGAGAATAAGCAACATTTTTGAGGCTTGCGGAAAGTTAGTTAAGCCAGTCTTTTTCCATCTCTTTGGGCTCCTATTCTCTGTTTTATTTGTCCTCTGATTTTATCAGCTAATGCCCTCGTGAGCAATGTTTCAAGGATAATGTTGATGATACAGAGAATATCATTTCCCCATTCAGACAAGGAGCAACAGACCTTACACTAGCGTCCTGAAGACTGGATTTCTTATTGATATTTACAAACGGTGATTCCTCCTTTCCACCCTGTTAAAGAAAGCATTCAGGTTAGTCAAAACTGAATATGTTGGCATGCAAAAAATGTTTTCAAGTCTCTTACATTCAAAAGATTATAGAAATTGGCAAGTGGACCAAAGAGGTAGTTCACCAAGTACTCAATCAATAGAGAATCTTGCACTGGTGTTTATATATGTTAACAAAAAATGTTTTCTTGAGTAATAGGATTAAGACAATCATTCAGATGCAATCAATTCTTGCATTCATGCTTTTATTGAACACCTGCTACGTGCCAGCTCATGCTTGAATTAGAAAGGGATAGTGTGGGAAAAGCCAAACCCGCAGTTTAATCCTTCACCTCACAGTTTGGGTCAGGAATAATAATCAGCTCTATGTTCACATAGCACTTACAGTTTACAAAGGAATTTGGAATCTGTCCTTTCACATCAGCATAACAACCATAACAGCCTGGCAGGAATCACGTCATATGATTTTGAGAGAAACCTTGTCCTCCTCCCTCTGATGAGTCCCACAAAGAATAGTGGGGGAAGAAGAGACACCCACTCAGCCAGCCAGGCCAGCTGACCACACACTAGTGGTCAATAGAACATGCAGAGGCCTGCAGCCCTCACGACCATCACAACATACAGAGCTTGGCCTCTGTTCTAAATACATATTGAGCAAAGATTTCAAGCCTGCTGGCTTGGAGGACATGGCATTATTAGCCTGTCAAGATTGCCCACATATAGATCCAGTCTTACATCCTAATCAAAGCCTTTTTAATTTTTGTTTTTGATTTCTTTATTTCTTGAGAGAGGGTCTGTTCTGTTGCCCAGGCTGGAGTGCAGCAGCACGATCATGGCTCACTGCGGCCTTGACTTCCTGGGCTCAATCAATCCTCCTGCCTCAACCTCCAGATTAGCTGGGACTACAGGCTCAAACCACAACACGCAGCTAATTTGTTTCATATTTTTTTTGTAGAGACGAGGTTTTGCCATGTTGCCCAGGCTGGTCTTGAACTCCTGGGCTCAAGCGATCTGCCCACCTTGGCCTCCCAAAATTCTGGGATTACAGGCATGAGCCACCACACCCAGCCAAAGCCTTTTTTAGAGTTAGCAACAGATAGTACCATTGGTCTGTTTGACTTCTGCTTCCTTTCCTTATACTCTCACTATGCACTGATGCCAATAGGGGATTAACATTTAAACCCCTAGCAGTATACTTGGCTGTGCATCAACCTCCTCTCCCTCCATCACAACCCCTCAAAACCCTCTAAACCATGGATTCCCAAAGCATGCTTCTGTGTTCCTATGAATTTCAGTTCTACAGATAACAGTAGGAGCTACTTATGGCCAGTTAGGTGTGAAAGAAAGTAAAACAGGCTTCTTTCCTGCAGGACTTTTCAGAGACTATAAGAAGCTGATGTGTACTGGGACTGTCCCATGGGATTTCATGTGCAGCATTTCCAGAATTATCAGGGAGAATCCTGTGGGGCTTGTGTTCCTTATAACATCTTGGGAAACGCTAATGTCAAATTACTGACTTCACACTCCCCTGCTTTTTTCCTGCTTTCATGCCCTTCCACTGTGTCCTTTTGGCTAGGAAATGTGTTCTTACCTATTTGTCATCTCTTCCCTATACTTTACAAAATAGAATATTTTCAAGATACTGCACTTCTCCAATGGAGCAGAAATATGGGTCCTCCACAGATAATACCTGCAGCATGGGGTTATTGGGAACATGTTACAACTTTCTAATGTAGATAATTACAGCTTTGTAAATTGCAAAATATGTGTCAGTTTTGTTTGTTCTGTGATAGTATAAAAATGGCATACCTGAAATCAATGAAGGTAGACTGAAAATAAAGAATTTGTGACTATAACCTTGACATTCCTGAGTTTGTGATGGGAAATAAACCTGACCATCCTCTAAAAAGGGCTACTACTGTTATCTGTAAGCAATCAGTGCCCCCAGCAATTTCATCACGCCACAACTGTGACCACTGTTGTCAATACCTCTGCAGTGGTGGAGCAAGGCATTGCACCAGGTACTCTGCATAGATAATCTCATGTAATCTTCACAATAACCTGACAGATGTTGTTATCTCCATTTTCATAGGAGAGAACTAAGGCTCAGAGAGGTTGACAAACAAGCTTAAGGTGACATTCCTGATCAATCACAGATCAAGGTTCAAAGCCAGACCATCTGACTTTGAAACTTGTGTTCTACATCTTACTGCCTCCTGTTTATATCACAACCCCCAAATAAAAGACATTTTGTAAGCTTTCTCTTGACTTTCATGGTATGTTCTGGAAGGACCTAAATTATTCAGATTGCTACATATATAAATGGAAATAATAATAGAAGAGATTACTGAGTATTTACTTTACCCTTGGCAACATAAGCATATACATTAGGTTTATAAGGAATGAAGGAGATAGTTTTTAAAATTTATTTCTTATTTTTTACTTTATTTAATTATTTATTTGTTTATTTTTTGTGAGACGGAGTCTCGCTGTGTTGCCCAGGCTACAGTGCAGTGGAGCAATCTCTGCTCACTGTAGCCTCTGCCTCCTGGGTTCAAACAATTCTCCTGCCTCAGCCTCCCGAGTAGTAGGATTATAGGCATGCACCACCACACCTGGCTAAGTTTCATATTTTTAGTAGAGACAGGGTTTCGCCATGTTGACCAGGCTACTCTCAAACTCCTGGCCTCAAGTGATCCACCCGCCTTGGCCTTCCAATGTGCTGAGGCTACAGGCATGAGCCACTGTGCCCAGGGTGAAGAAGATAGTTATATATTTTTCTAATGAAATCACGGACTGCAGCTTTTTATAATATTTCCAGGACAAGGATGACAAGTGGGCTTCCACCTGAGTGCCAACTCTGATCAACAGGTGGTACCTCCTTGGAATGCCCACCATGTAGAAAGTGATTCTGAGGCTGCATTTAGGGTCACAGGGAAAGAGTCATGGTCCACCAGGGATACCTGTTATGAGTTCAAGTGGGAGAATTTATGGCAGCTATTAAACTAGCAACTTTTATCTCCAAGTCCACCTTTCAAACATCTATTTTATGGAGCTGGCCCAGGGGCCTGCAAACCTCATGTCTGCTTTGCCAGGTGGCTCCATGATAGGTTCTGTCCACATGGGGCGCTCCTTGTCTGCTTCCTGCTCCTGCG
The DNA here is from genome assembly GCF_000001405.40 of Homo sapiens. Classification (NCBI taxonomy): domain Eukaryota; kingdom Metazoa; phylum Chordata; class Mammalia; order Primates; family Hominidae; genus Homo; species Homo sapiens. The sequence goes on from NC_000009.12 coordinate 109,206,882, forward strand.
AGTCACCCCAGCCTTGCTGCTTCTTGTGGGCAGCAGCAGGTCCTCCTGCAGTCACAGCTGAATACAATTTGCAGTTTTCCAACACTGGCAGATCCAGCTGCATGGTATCCACCTCAGACATATCAGCACCAGCCAGCTGATGTCCCCTCCTCAGTCTGAGTCCAGGACCCACAGGCATGTCTTAAGAGCTCAGAAATGCCAGCGCCAGGCACAGTGGCCCCTGCTTAGAAGTCTGAGTTTAGTCTCCACAGGGCTTCTCCTCCAAATATCTAAATTTTAATGTTGACAGCATCTCTGTTCCCTCAGCTATAGGGATGGAAAGTGTGGCCTGCAGTTGCTACCTCTGGTACCTTAGAGTTGTGTGGCCCAAAATGTGGTCCTGTGGGCTTGTTAGAAATGCATATTCAGGCTGGCACAATGGCTCATGCCTGTAATCCCAGTACTTTAGGAGGCTGAGGCGCGAGGATTGCTTGAGTCCAGGAGTTCGAGACCAGCCTGGCCAAGATAGGAAAACCCTGTCTCTATAAAAAAAATACAAAAATTAGCCAGGTGTGATGGTGCATGCCTGTAGTCCCAGCTACTCGGGAGGCTGAGGCAGGAGGATTGATTGAGGCTGTGAGGTTGAGGCTGCAGTGAGCCATGATCCCACCACTGCAGCCCAGCCTTTGCAACAGAGTGAGACAAGAAAGAAAGAAAGAAAAAGAAAGAGAGAGAGAAAGGAGAGGAGAGGAGAGGAATATTCATGAGCCCCCACCCCAATTTACCAAATCTCTGGGGACAGGGCCCAGTTTTCCAGGTGACTTATGCACAATAACATTTGAGAACTGCTGCCTTCAAGTTCTCTTTTCACCCTTTCATGTACCTAATCCTTTTAAATTAAAATCATGGTTCACATATCAGGTATGGTTCACATGCCCGGTTCTCATCTCCTGACTGGACCCTGACTGACACAGCATCTCAGTCCTACGGTGCCTCTTTCTTCTCTGTGGCATCGAGGAAATCCTATAACATGAAATCAAAGGAATGTATGCATTCTGCGCACCTGGATGTTCACTCGGGAAGCATTTTCCAACTGGGCTTTCAGAATGTTACACTTCACATGATCCGCAACAGGGGAAGGCAAAAGTGGAGTCTGAAGAGTTTTCTCCGAGACTTTCTTTTCTTCAGCCTGAGACAAACCAAAATACAAACAGCAGATTGTAAACAAAGAGAGAACCATGTGCATTAACTTTTCCCAATAATCATAACTGCATATAACACAGACCTACATACATAGACAGGGGTGTCACCAACTCCTTATATTTTTATCTGTGCTTTACTATTTGCAAAGGGTTCTCAGGCACAGCATGTCATTCCCTCGTGAAATAGGGTGAGGACCTACCAGAAGCCAGGGTAAAGGTTTAAAGAGAAGAAAAGGCTTTTCCAGCATCATGGGGCAAGAGCCAGTGGCAGAAGAGGACATCTCCTGGTTCAAGTCTCCTAACCTCAGTCCAGTGTTATTTTCCCCATAACTGCCATCTCTTACATAGAAAAATTCAATTCTGTGACTTGTTGGGTCCAGGGGAAGGGTACAAAATATTCATTGGTAGTTTGACAACAAATCTTGCAGAAAATTGTGATTTTCAACAAGAAATTTATATTTGTTAGCTTATTGTAGAGTGTCTTGTACTTCAGTAATTTGCATGACCTTTATAATTTTTGCCATATCTCATGTATTCACTGAACATGTATCTATAATTCATGTGATCCAGTTAAGGTGAATTACCCTGGGACCACCTATTTGAACTGTGTCCAAAGCAATAATATCTTTGAAATTATAGGCTTTGTGACTATTATATTTATTATAATAAACATGATGATATTTAAATCACTATTAAAATAAAAAGTACTCATCCATGTGTACAACCTGAAATCACCTTTGATGGTATACACACTACATTTTGGGAAATAATGTCTTATTGTTAACCATGCCTATTGTGGTCATTTCATATCCCAATGCTAATATGGTACCCGGCACATAGTAGATGTCCAATAAATACCTACTAAAGAAGATTATGATAATATACAGTCATTATTAGAAGAGACGTGTTTAATAAGGAAGACAGGACCGTGTGATTGCTAGAGGTCAGTTCAGTAATATTAGGACTAAATGTGACATATCAGCCACCATGCACCAGAGCAAGAATCAAATGTCCCAAAGCTCTCAAGTTCTTCAAGTTCCAACATTAATCTTATTCACTAATTAAGAAGTCCTACTGAGCATGTTGGTACACACTAAGTGCTATGAAAGCTAGAGGAAGTATAGAGCAACTGGCCAGCTAATATCGTTTAATAAAGAAATGAGGTAGAGTTTCCCAGGGGGACCTCCAAACATATGGAGAAGCATTTGGTAGACCAAGCAGAACTTTCCAATTTTATGTAATAGCAAGACGGCAGAGACAGATTTGAATCTCAGCTCTTTCACTTACTTGGACCATTAAAAAAAAAAAGGATCATGGGCTGGGCACGGTGGCTCACACTTGTAATCCCAGCGCTTTGGGAGGCCGGGGCGGGTGGATCACTTGAGCCCAGGAGTTGGAGACCAGCCTGGGAAACACAGCGAAACCCCATCTCTACTAAAAATAGAAAAATTAAGAGGGCGTGGTGGCCCTCACCTATAATTCCAGCTACTCGGGAGAATCACCTGAGCTCAGGGGTGGAGGTTGCAGTGAGCCAAGACTGCACCACTGCACTCCAGCATGGGCAACAGAGCAAAACCCTGTCTCAAAAAAAAAAAAAAGATGCTGTTTATAAAAAGAAAAAGAGTGCCAGTGGCTAACATATACTGAGAGCTTATTATGGGTTAGCCACTGACTATGCATTTCATACGCATGTCTCACCAAGTCCCCTCATGCAACCATCTCATTTCAAGATAACTACTATCATTATCCCCAGTTTATAGATACAAAAAACAAAGCAGATAGATGGTAAGTCACTTGTCCATAGTCACACAGGAAGTAAGCAGAGGAGCCAAGATTGACAGCCAGAAATGGTGATGTTGGTTACTCCAAAGCCAGAGCTCCTGACTAGTCAATCGTACTGCTTCCCCTTCAATTCTCTGAATCTGTTTCTTTCTTCATAGGATTGTTATGGTGCTCAAGTGAGAAAAACAGATATAAATGGCACTTTCAGGTTAGATTCTTTAGTTAGCAAATATATATAACCAAAAAAAAAAGAGCATTGGATGTGAGAACACTAATGATCGATCCTGAGCTATCAATCGTTCCTGAGCCATCAAGCTGAATCTGAAGAAAGCTGGCTCATTTGACTGGATTCATTATCCTGAGGGCCTCCACATTCTCCTTCAGGCAAATAAGTAACATTTATTTTGAAAGGTGAGGTTTACAGTATACCCTTAAGATAATTTATCTTGTGTTTGTAAATCCTGTTACATCAAGATAATTGAATGGATATTTCACTGGTGCATGAAGAGATAGTTTTAAAATTAGATTTAATTTTTCAGAATGGTATACTGGCATACAGGAGTCAAATTGGTTATAAAGCCCATTTGAGGCTTTTGACAATTGCTTAAGGGGAAGTAGTTATACTGGCAGTAATGACCGAAGACCCACTTCAAAAAATAGAATGCTGCTAAAATAAGAACGAAAAGTTAGCACTGATTTTCCCCTTGAATTTACTAATTCTAAACTGCTTTTTTGGACATAAAATTCAAGCTGGCTTGTTCTTGTTCATTCTGGACAATGCAAGACCTGTAATATTCTGCTATATGAACTGACGCAGGTGAAGGCCAATATACATTTTGGGAAATTTGTGCGTCGTCATATGAATTTGTATAAAAGATATCTCTGTGGCAGATAAGCATCTGGGTTCCAAGACCGTATCATTCCTTCCTGGAGGATGGCTTCAAGAATGTTGTGCTTTCTCCTTTCCTGTGACTGTATTTTGTATTTTATGTTCAGTCAATTTGAATTGTGGAAAGATACTTTGTTGTTCAATATGGGATTACAGATTTCAAAACATAGACATGAATGACAATTAGGCTTTGATATTATTATAGTTGGAAATAGTCCGTCTGTTTGGGGATATCATTTGGGGATAAAGAAATGATCAGATGTATATTTGAATTGTTTATACAAATTGTTTACACATCTAAAATCTGATGAGAATTAAATTCTTGTGTTAATTTTGGGCACAAACTTTGGAACTGGACAGTGAAAATGACATCTCACCATTCAATCAAGAAGCGAAAGTTATCCAAACCTTAGAAGAATCAGAGGATTCTTGATCCTTGAGGCTGGAAAAAACCTTAAAAGCCATCCAAGCCAGTGGCTCCCAATTTTGGTGTCATGATCAGAAGTGAGAAGGGAGATCTGTTGCAAGGAATGTTTCATGGATGATAACAACAACAACAACAACAACAAATTAAAGTGTGGCCAGGCATGGTGGCTCATGCCTGTAATCCCAGCCATTTGGGAGGCTGCGGAGTGTGGATCACTTGAGGCCAGGAGTTCAAGACCAGCCTGACCAACATGGTGAAATCCCATGTCTACTAAAAATATAAAAATTAGCCAGGTGTGGTGGTGCGTGCCTGTAATCTCAGCTACTTGGGAGGCTGAGGCAGAGGAATTGCTTGAACCCGGGAGGTGGAGGTTGCAGTGAGCCGAGATCATGCCACTGCACTCCAGCCTGGGAGACAGAGTGAGACGCCATCTCAAAAAAAAAAAAAAATCAAAGTGTGAAGTAATATATTTTGTGTGTGTGTGTGTCGGGACAAAGTCAAAATTATCTGTATAATCACATCACTCTAGCTTACTTGATTACTAATGTATTTCTTTTCTTTTTTTTTTTTTTTGAGAGGGAGTCTCGCTCTGTCACCTAGGCTGCAGTGCAGTGGCAGGATCTCAGCTCACTGCAACCTCTGTCTCGTGGGTTCAAGCGATTCTTCTGCCTCAGCCTCCCTAGTAGCTGGGATTACAGGTGCCCGCCACCACAACTTGCTAATTTTTGTACTTATAGTAGAGATGGGGGGGGTCTCGCCATGTTGCCCAGGCTGGTCTTGAACTCCTGACCTCAAGAGATCCACCCGCCTTAGCCTCCCAAAGTGCTGGGATTACAGGCATGAACCACCATGCCAGGCCAATTTCTTTGAGTGGAGGAGATAGGAAGGGAGTTGTAACTTGACCTCCAGGGAAATGCTCGATAACCCACAGGTGTCTCAGGTAGGCCTTCACCCAGAGCAAACTGCTGTTGTCAACGCTCCACCAATAGTCATGGCAATTGCAAATCACTATAGAGCTTGTGAGTTCTGTGCTACACTATATGCTGTATTTCCTTGCAAAATATTTTTGGATTTTGCCAAAGTCTGGATAAGCCCCCATTAAAACCATTTATTGTGTACACTGCAGAAGAAAAGTTGAAAACCAGGCGACTAAGAAAAAGAAGACCAATCAGGGGGCACACGGTGCATTGGGTTGAATCCCTAGCAGCTAGGGCAAGCCTGCTCAATAAAGATCTGTTGATTGAATGGCTATCAGAGCCATCCTGCAGGAGGAATTCTCTCTAGCTGGCAATCATGGAGGGAGGTATAGAAAAAAAAAGTGAATGAGCAGGGCTTTTTGAAGGTTAAACCTGCAGTTGGGGTCCATTAGTAATCAGAGGAACTTTAGGCCGCCCTGCTGAGGGATTATGGGAAAGGTCAGGGACGGGAAGGGCAGGAGGTGTAACCTTCCCATGCTGCACAGAGCAGTTCTTCCAAATTCTTCCTATTCCCTCTCATAAAGGGACAAAGCTAAGCATTAAAGAGGAAGAAAGGAACCATGAATGAAAAAGATTCTTCCTTAGGGGATTTAAAAAATTAAAATGTATGTACAACAGTGGTTCTCAACTAGGGAGATTTTGCCCTTCTGAGAACATTTGGCAATGTCTGGAGACATTTTTGGTTGTCACAACTGGATGGGGGTCCCTAGTGGCATTTAGTGCATTGTGGCTGCAAAACATTTTACAATGCACAGGACAGCCACTGCAAAAAAGAGTCATCAGGCCAAAATGTTGCTAGTGCCAAAGTTGAGAAACGCTGGCAAAGAAAACGAGGAAGCATGTTGGAGTGCCAAGGACACTGGATCGAGAGTCAAGGGCTTTGCAACCTTGTGAAGGGCCGTGTGACCTTGAGAAAGTCATTTCTCTTCTTCTGGTCTGAGACATTGAGAAGGTTGTCAAGGGCTGTGCAACCTTGAGAAAGTCATTTCCCTTCCTCTGGTCTGAGACATTGAGAAGGTTGAACTAAATGGCAGACTGAATCCAGCAGTGGTATGTATCGTTCTAAGATAAAATTTGACTTTTATAAGGCTGCCTCTTTGGATGTAAGAATAGGTCTAGTCAAAAGGGGGCCTGGCTTCTGCCCTGTCTCCTTCTCCTTCTGTATCTTAATCCCTCCCTTCCTTCCATCTGCAAATGGTTACTGAACATCTACAATGTGCCAGGCATTGTCAGAGGGAGATAGAGGGCTAGAAATGCAAAGCGGTAAATGTGGATGCTCCCTCTGGAGCTTTCGGTCTAGTAGGAGGGAGAGACAACTAACAAACAGATCTAGCCTGTCAGGCAAAACACTGGGAACGACGCCTAATGCTATAATTCACCCAAAAGGAAGGTAAGTAAATATTTGCTCCTAAAAGACAGCCTGAACAGAAATGTCAGGAAAGATGGAATAGAGATCCCTCCAAGGCAAAGGCACTTGGTTTAGCAGGCAGGCTAGGGTAGTAATCAGAGGTTTGATGTCAGCACCAAGTCCATGGTCATGGCAGAGCCCCGGCCCTTGGCACCTTGTTTATGTTGATGTGCAGAGGAGGCCAGGGTCCAGCAGCCTTCACAGTTTCCAGTTCCAGCTTCTTTAGATGGGCAGCGGCTTCACTGAACAAGGCAGGTGTTCCTGGACTCAGTTCTACAAAGCAGCCAGGAGAAATAAATAAGGAAAGGTTGAAAGGACAGATAGATACAGGGGAAAAGGGACACTTGCCAGCGCCCGATTCCCAGCACCCTTTCTGCCGGCCTCCTCCTCCAGCAGCTCTCATGCCTTCAGTATGCATCAGCTGATAGGGTGTGAGAATATCTGAGGTCAAGGTTTCAAGGCTTAACTGTCCCACACATGAGCTGGACGCCCCTGGGTACGTTGTTTTGCCTCTCTGACCCTCTGAGCCATTTAAAAATGAAAATAAAATTACTTACCTTGCAGGGTTGCTGTGAATATCCAATGAAGTCATTTATGTATAAATGCTTTAAAAATGGAAAAGCATTATGCAAATTGGAAAGATTAGTGTTCAGGCAAACAGGCATATAACGTGCCCTTAAAAGCCATGTTATGTTCCTAAAATCAAATCCATTGATTTTTATTTCTGTGCTACTTTGGATTCATTTGCCACTACTTCTCCTTCCAGCTTGAATTTACTCATTAATACATTAAATATTCATTAAATATTAAATATTCATTACATATTAAAACTTGTGCCAAGTATCGTTAGCAACTGGGATCTGGGAGCTGAAAGAAAGAGGTGAATGAGACAAAATTTTAATCTAATGGGGATGACGGACACATGTGGAGATATTCCGAAGAAGACTGAGAAAAGGTTTATTTAATTGCTAAAGGAGCAGGACGGAACTGAGGATGGGTGTTAGAGAACATTTCACTGACAAGCGAACATTTGAATGGGCTGCTAAGGGATGTGTAGGAGTTCAACAAGGTGGGGAAAAGTATTCCAGGCAAAGGGAACAGCAGGTGCAAAGGACAGAGTTGAGACCCAGTAGAGTATTTTGTAAGAAGAGAGTAGTTCTGTGTAGCTAGAGTATGGTGAGGAGTGGAGGGAAGAATGAAGACCTTGGCAGGGGTCAGGATACGCAAGGTCTGTGTATGGCCCTGCTCAGAAGCGAGGACTTTATCCCAGACAGTGAAGAGCTAATGAAAGGTCTTATGGCATGTGGTCAGAGTTATGTGGTGAGAACTATGACTTTGGCAGCTACTATTTGGAGATTGTCCTGGAGCGGGTGCCCCTTAGGAGGCTGTTATGGTTATTTAGATATACAAAGATGAGGCAGGGACTAGGGCATGGGCAGTGTGGATAGTGATGAGGGACAGAGTTCGGATTCTTCAATACCAAGTGGGTGTCGAGTTTCCATTTCCAGCTCAGCTGACACAGAGTTGTTCCCTGTGGCCCCAAGGTGAAGGTTGGATGGCCCATCCTGTCTCAACAGCTCACAGACTCACACAATATCAGAGCTGGAAGATTCCTTGGTCATCATCTCAATACCCTCTACCCTATTTCATGGATGAGAAAATAGAAGATCAAAGAGGGAACTCAGTTCAAGGGTAAGAGCTAGAATCGAAGCCTCCACTTCAGTACTTTTCTTTTCTTTTCTTTTCTTTTTTGAGACAGAGTCTCACTCTGTCGCCCAGGCTGGAGTGCGGTGGCACCATCTCGGCTCACTGCAACCTCCACCTCCCAGGTTCAAGTGATTCTCGTGCCTCGGCCTCCCAAGTAGCCAGGATTATAGGTGCACGCCACCAGGCCCAGCTAATTTTTGTATTTTCAGTAGAGACAGGGTTTCACCACGTTGGCCAGGTTGGTCTCGAACTCTTGACCTAGGCGATCCACCCATCTCGGCCTCCCAAAGTGCTGGGATTACAAGCATAATTACAACCTCTGCCTCCAAGTTTCAAGCGATTCTCCTGCCTCAACCTCCTGAGTAGCTGAGATTATAGGCACGTACCACTGCGTCCAGCCCTCAGTACTTTTCAAACCACATTTGATAAACAACAGGTTCTTTTCATACCAAAGATGAATTCTTTGGTAACGTATAATAAAAGTGAGTTTCTAGAAAAATAAAATAACGGACATGCCGAATCAAAGCCCATATTTTTATTAGATTTAAAAGATATAAACTCATTCTATCATATTGCTAACAATATTTCTGGGCTGGGTATGGTGGCTCATGCCTATAATCCCAGAACTTTGGGAGGCTGAAGCAGGAGTGTTGCTTAAGCCCAAGAGTTCAAGACCATCCTGGGCAACATGGCAAGACCCTGTCATAAAATAAAATAATAAAATTTCTAATTGCTCACTCTCTATTTTTGTAACTTCTCTTTCTGGGACCCATAACAGTAGACAGATTGGATCTACCTGACACCACTTTGCTCTCCCAAGTGGAATGTCAAAAATGGGATAGAATGAGTTTTTCTATGATGAAGAAAGTAGAAAGTCCAGCCATCACTCCCCTCCCCTCTTTCTCTTTTCCATTGCTCAAGCCAGTGCTGGGTACCACAGAGGCAGAGAACTGTTAAGAAAGGAGGTGGAGGCGGGGCACTGTGGCTCACGCCTGTAATCCCAGCACTTTGGGATTTTTTTCGTCCAGCTCTTTTGTAAGGCACTAATCTATTCATAAGAGTGGAACTCTCATGACTTAATCACTTTTCAAAAGCCTTCACTTCTTGACCGGGCATGGTGGCTCACGCCTGTAATCCTAGCACTTTGGGAGGCCGAGATGTGTGGATCACCTGAAGTCAGGAGTTTGAGACCAGCCTGGCCAACATAGTCAAAATCTGTCTCTACTAAAAATACAAAAATTAGTTGGGTGTGGTGGCACATGCCTATAATCTCAGCTACTCGGGAGGCTGAGGCAGGAGAATTGCTCGGACCTGGGAGGGGGAGGGTGCAATGAGCCGAGATCATGCCACTGCACTCCAGCCTGGGTGACAGAGCCAGACTCCAGACTCCATCTCAAAAAAAAAAAAAAAGAAAAGAAAAAAAGAAAGGAGGTGGAGAACTGTGACCCTATAATGAAATTAGAGTTTACTGGTAAACCATAATCCCTAAAGTGCTTCTGCTCAAATGCATAAGGCTCTTGTCTACTCTGGCCCAAACCCGGTAGCCCAGCATAACATGACAACCATTGTGTGCTGCACCGCAAGGGTCTGTCTTAAGAATCTAGGGAACTCTCGTGCCCTGCAGCATTGCTCCCCCTTCTCCTGCCTTGCCCCCTCCACCCCTACTCACTTGTAAGGGACTTGCTGCTGGAGTTTGGGGACCTCAGAGGCCCCTCTTTGTTCTCCAGGGTCAGTGAGAGGCTGTAGTTTGAGTGGTGCTGGTGCTGATGCTGATGCTGGTGCTGGTGGTGATGCCTTCCTGAAGCTGCGGTGAGGAACGGTGTGCCCCCATTCTCCTCAATGCCAAAAGGCAACCGGTCCGAGCTGCTAAGCACTGGGGAAGGGAGCGGGTAGCTGTGGAGGGTGACACAGTCAGGATTTAGAAAAGCAGAATGCCTTGCAAGCCCTCTGTGTACTTTCAAAGACGTTTTCTAGGCATTAAACACTGAAAGAAATAAACTCAAAAACTAGATCTGTAGTTATTATAAAGTATATACAATGGTAATATTATACTTAAGAAAAAGAGCAAAGTGGAAGTTTGTATATATCAGAGACTTTAAGTCTTGTAACTTAAAGAAGTATTTGAAATTAAATGAAATAATATTTATTTCTTTTTTTTAAAGGCATTCTCTAAATGAGAGGAAGAGGTAAAAACAATAATAAAAAATCATTTGTAAATAATCCTATGACAAGATCATAATGCAAACTAGAAGTCTTGGGGTCAGTTTCTCTTCCTCTCTGTCACCCACAACATGCAGAAAGCTCCAGTTAACATCAGTGCTGCAACATCTTTTTCTTGAGACAGGGTCTTGCTGTGTTGCCCAGGCTGGAGTGCAGTGGTGCAAACACAGCTCACTGTGGCCTCAAGCTCCCAGGCTCAAGTGATTCTCCCACCTCAGCCTCCCAGGCAACTGGGGCCACAGGGATATGACACCATGCCTGGCTAATTTTTAAAATTTTTTGTAGAGACAGGATCTCGCTATGTTGCCTGGGCTGGTCTCAAACTCCTGGGCTCAAGTGGTCCACCCTCCTGGGCTTCCCAAAATGCTGGGATTACAGGTGTAAGCCACTGTGCCCAGCTTACAACATCTTTTAATTCCAGTGGACCACCTCCTTTTAAAAAAAAAACAAAAAACAACTAGGATTGCCCCATTTGAAGGCCGTGTCATCTCCCACCTAGACTCTTGTAACAGATTCCTGCTGGCTCTCCCCGTCTCTGCTCGTTCCTTTAGTCCATCCTCCACAGAGTAATTGCCAGAGTGCTATTCTAATTACATTCCAGACCATGCTCTCCTTCTTCAAGGAGCTTGAATATATCTCTAATACTAATAATTCTTTTTTTTTTTTTTTTTTTGGCAGTGTCTCACTCTGTTGCCCAGGTTGGAATACAGTGGCACTATCTCAGCTCACTGCAACCTCCACCTCCCAGGCTCAAGCAATTCTCATGCCTCAGCCTCCTGAGTAGCTGGGATTACAGGTGCACACCACCATGCCTGGCTAGTTTTTGTATTTTTAGTAGAGATGGGGTTTCACCATGTTGGCCAAGCTGGTTTCAAACCCCTGACCTCAAGTGACCTGCCTGCCTCAGCCTCCGAAAGTGCTGGGATTACAGGCATGAACCACCGCACCCAGCCTAACACTAATAATTCTTAACCACTTTAAGACAGAAACCCCTTTGAAAATCTGGTGAATACCACGAACCTTCCCTGTACCAACAAACAACATTCTACACACAATATCAGGCCCTCTAGAGCCTCTCCATGGACCCAGGTGAAGAGCCCTGGCTTGAAGGATAAAAGCCACAATCCTTTATGTGGCACTGACAGCACCTCCCCCCGCCCCCAGTCTTGGCCCTTTCTCTTTTCAGCCTCATCTCCTGCTACATCCTTCTACTTCCCACCCTAACTCCTTCCCATCCCGATGCCTCTTACTTCTTGGTGCCTCCTGAAGTCCTTCCTCATCTGTCAACCCAGTGAAAATACCCCTTCTTCCAGGAAGACTTCCAGCCTTTAAGACCCAGATAAAGATCCCTTCCTCTTATTCCCTGGCAGGGCTAACCCCTTTTTCTGCTCATTCCCATGGTTCAGATCTCTACTGCCCACTCTTTCACTCTGTCTTCAAGGAACTCACACTCCAGAGTAGGAAGCTCTGTGATTCAGTCACTTACAATCATACTAGAACAAACTGCTAAGAAAATGCAGAAGTGGAAGCAATCAGTTCTCCTGGGGGAAGGTGTTTGTAAGGGAAAGAGCATTCGGGGGAAGACAGTTAGGTTTTGCTGGACAGTTCTTGAAACAGAATCTTCTTTCTTATAGGAAACCCCATTCCTTGTGTTTGTATGGGATTGACATTTCCTCCTCAGGGGTGGGCCTGAGACTTGAGCCTGGCCAATCAGAGTCCTGCATCCTTCTAATGAGAGTGTTCTGGAATGTCATCCAATTAGGGACAATCAGAGTTTTTCCTAAGATTTAACACATGAAAACTGAAAGGAAGGCTCTCTCTTTCTTTGTAACAGGCAAGCAGGGCCTTATTGTGCCTTTTTGTGCCACAAGCACTTTTGCCTTTGTCCATTTTCTTTCCTTTTTTTGAGATGGAGTCTCGCTCTGTCGCCCAGGCTAGAGTGCAGTGGCGCGATCTCAGCTCACTGCAAACTCCGCCTCCCGGGTTCACGCCATTCTCCTGCTTCAGCCTCCTGAGTAGCTGGGACTACATGCACCTGCCACCACTCCTGGCTATTGGTTTGTATTTTTAATAGAGATGGGGTTTCACCGTGTTAGCCAGGACGGTCTCGATCTCCTGACCTTGTGATCCACCCGCCTCCCAAAGTGCTGGGATTACAGGCGTGAGCCACCGTGCCTGGCCACCTTTGTCCATTTTCTATAAAAATTAACTAAAAATTAAATTTCACAACTGCATAAAAGTAAATATGTTAATAACATATACTAAAACATTTTCTTCAACGGAAAATCCATTTTTTTCTTATTTTAAAAAATATTTAAAACCTTTTCGTGGGCCCCTGAAAGTATTGTGAGTCTAAGTATTGTGTGCCTACTGTGTGTAATGGGTAAGCTGGCTCCGGCTGTAAGGATGATGGAAGTTAGGGCTCTTTGTGAACATCTTTTTTGGACACAGAGAAGTAGTCCCTGTGAGACTGAGGCCAATGCACAAAGAAAGACAAGATGAGCAGAGGTTAGAGGTAGTCAGAGAGAGAAGAAACTTAATGGTATCATTTTAGCTCCTGGTTCCAGCCACACCTGAAGCTGGCATTACCACTGAACTTTTCCATTATAAGCTCCAGTAAATGCCTTTATTTATTTATTGCTTGAAGTACTTGGGTTTTTCCAATTAATAACCCACATGCTTGAAATCAGAGGAGGTGTGTTATTTTGTCATTTGTGTGTGTAGAATTTCTTTTCAGTGGAAAAGGTAGAAACAGCTGTTCCAGGCCTAAGGAATAGCATGAGCAAAGGAACGGTGGTTGAAAGAGCAGGATGTCTGGAGAAGTGAGGAGGAAAGTAGCAGGAAGGGAGACTAAGACAGGCTGGGGCTAGTTATGAAGGGCTTAGAGTGCCTGGTTATCAAGGAAAGGGCTTAAGCAAGGGAGTTAGATTTTGGAGAGTTTGTTTTGAGCGCTGTGTGGAGGAGACTGGTTGGGGAGAGACTCCAGTATCTCTCTGTTAGGAGACTGCCGCAGGGCGGGATCTAGACTAACCTGGTGGATGGAGTGAGGTGAACTGCCTTCTGGGATATTTTGAAGCTGTGTAAGCAGGGCTTGCAGACCTGTCACTTGGGGACATTGGGAGGAGGTGTCATTGAGGACTGTGTTGCAGATGCAGGAGACAGTCCAGAAGAAATGGCACTATTTGTCCCCTACATTGCCCCATGAGCTGCATCTCTGACCCATCTTGGCTGCCTCCTGGAGACTTTGCTCAAGGACGGTTCTGTGTGTGTGCGTGTGTGCACGTGCGTGTGTTGGTGTGTGTGAGCATATGTGTGTGTGCGTGTGTGTGTGTAAGAATGTGGAAGAAGGCACGATTTTGGCTTCTGGGAAACACCATCCCTCCTCGCCTCTCCAACCTGAAACATAACCAGAGTATCCACCCTCTTCATGCCCCATGGAGGCAGCAAAAAGTGCCCTGAGTTGGAGTGGAAAAACCTGGGCTCAAGTCTTAGTTCCGCCCCTACTTTGCAGGAGAAGCTTGGGCAGTCACTCTGAGCCTCCATTCCCTCAGCTGTAACGTGAGTTGGGTTAAGCGATTTCTGGGCAAATTTAGGTATCTGAGAATCATCCTTTCCCCCAACTATTTATCCAGTACTTGCTGTATGTCTCAGATACTGTGCTAGCTATTTTACAGAAAAGATTCCCTTTTAAAAACATGGAGACCTTTACCTGTTATATAGCAGGTGTTCCATAAATATTTGATGGAAGGAAGAAGGGAGGGGAGGGAGGGGGAGGAAGGAAGAATGAAAGGAAGGATGGATTAATGAAGTTGTGCAGCTAGGATTTGACGACAGGTCTGTGGACCCCAAAGCCTGTTAATATTTTTCCTGTCTTGCAAATATGTTGAAAATAATATCTGTCCTAAGGAGCTGCAGAGACTGGGAGCTCATAACAGAGAAAATTCCCCTTTGCTTGGAAGGCCTGGAGAGGGCTTCCCAACTGAGGGGCTCGTCTTCCACCCTGCCCTTCTTCCTTGCTGCCGCCAGCTTATTAAAGGTCTGACACCATCATTGTCTAGGTGGGAGGGACAAATCAGAGAAACATCAAAAGGAAAAGATAGGGATACTAGCTGGATTTGAGAAAGGGAGAATGTGGAGATATGGAAGGGTCAGAAAACTCCAATTATTTTTTAGCCTAGAGGACCAGGCAAATGGCATGTCATTAATAGAAAAAAAGAGGTGGCAAATGAGAGCTGCTTTGAGCAGAGAAAATTATGATCGACCATCACGTGGGTAACAAAGAGTGTGAGAATGAACACCCAAAGGGAAAGATGTCTTGTAGCAGAGATCTGGCGTACATTCAGGGCTGGAGGTGGAGTTGGAAAGCTTTGAGTAAGAGTTCCTGAGGGATGGCAAATAGATATCATCTGTCATGCCAACTCCAATTGATTTGCACTCTCTGCTTGGAGTGCAAGATTCAGAAGGAGTCTGAGGTTGTGCCCAACTCAGGGGGAAAGAGTGCTGTGATTGATTATTGATGTCTGCCATGGACTTGGAAGAGCACAGTGGTATCATGCATTTGTCTTTCCAAGTTAAAAGTGAGTGGTATTTAAAACTTTTTTATTTCAAGGAAACCCAGAGTAAAGAGTTAAACAGTAAAAAGATATATATGCAGGGAGTGAGAAAGTGCATTTCATAACACGTCAAATAAAATATGCATGTGTGACCTTCATCTTATAGCTACTTTGGAGAGAGGCAGAGAAAGAAACAAATGAAAAGAGAAATAGATGAGGGTCAGAGAAGCTGCCTGAAGCCGCCTGAATCTGCTCAGGTGAAAGGTCTTTCGCAGAGCAAAGGTTCCTAAGCAAGCAGTAGAATGACTCGGGTGCTTTCTCAGCTCACACGCCTGGGGGATCATCCTGAAGATTCTAACATGGAGAAGTTTTGTGGGGTTGCTCATGGCTTCATGGATTGTGCCCTGCGGAACTCCTGGAGATGCCACTCACCGACTACAATGTAAATGACATTCACTAGGTTGCGCATCTTCCCTCTTCATAGAGACCTCAGAGGTCAAGCCCACCCTAGAAGGTCCAGCAGTACTCAGAGACCTTGGCTAAGGCCCAGGAGATGAGGCCTGCTGCACACTCAACATCACCAGAGACTGAGGTTCATGAGACTCCTGGCATTCTGGAAAGGAGGTCCCACATCCTGGTTTTCAGGGTGGGTGACAGAGGACAGATGTAGGCTTCAGTCTCTGCCTTCATGAGCTGGCAGTTGAAAAGAAATCTAGTGTGGAAGAAGGGGCTGCTATGTGCCTAGCACTGTGCTAGGCACTTTAATGGTTAATTTTCAGTTTTCCTGCAAGGAAGCTGCTGGTGCCCCCTTAGACACTGGGGCTTAGTGAAAGGGAGTAATGTGCCCTGTTAGTAAATGCAGAGTGAGAACTGACCCTGATCTCATTTCTTCTCTTCCCTTTTCTCAGGGGAAGACCCAGTTCCCATTTGGCCTCCAACTCCAGAAAAGCTAGTGTTCCTACTGGGGCCTAGCCATAAGAGACTTTATTGCTTGCAGAACAAGTGATGTTACAGGGGCTCTTCCAGCCCTGCCTAATCCCACATGTACCCCCAACCAGAGCATCTCCTCTCCCTGACCCTGGACTGCCAGACAACCAAACATGTGGTGCTCAGTCAAAATTGTTGCATGCTAGGCCGGGCGCAATGGTTCACACCTGTACTTCCAGCATTTTGGGAGGCCAAGGCAGGAGGATTGCTTGGGCCTAGGAGTTCGAGACCGGGCAACATGGGGTGATCCCATTTCCACAACAACAACAAAAAATTAACCCGGTATGGTGGCACATACTGTGGTCCTAGCTACTCAGGAGGCTTAGATGGAGAATTGCTTGAGCCTGGGAGGTCCAGGCTGCAGTGTGATCCAAGATCGAGCCACTGTTCTCCAGCTTAGGCAAGGAGCAAGACCCTGTCTCAAAAAAAAAAAAAAAAAATTGTTGCATATTGCATAATGGTATCCTCTGGAATCCACCACCAGAATTGTGACCAGTGCTGGGCATGGCTTTCTCTCAACAACAAGGCTGAGTGATCAATGCCCCAAAAAGCCAATCACAGACTCTACAGCTCAGCCCAGCTCTGAGTGACATGGGCTTTTCAGGGGAGCCCTGGGGATCTAATCCTGGATAAGAAATCACAGAATTTTAGAAATGGAGCCCCTCAGATATCATCCAGTTCGGTGGTTTGAAAACCTGGATAAATATTAAAGTGCCTAGGGGGAGGCCGGGCACGGTGGGTCACACCTGTAATCCCACCACTTTGGGAGGCCGAGGCAGGTGGATCACTTGAGGTCAGGAGTTTGAGACCAGCTTGGCCAACATGGCGAAGCTCTGTCTCTACTAAAAATACAAAAATTAGCCAGGTGTGGTGGTGGGCACCTGTAATCCCAGCTACTCTGGAGGCTGAAGCACGAGAATTACTTGAACCCAGGAAGTGAAGGTTGCAGTGAGCCGAGATTGTGCCACTGCACTCCAGCCTGGGTGACAGAAGGAGCCTTTATCTCAAAAATAAAATAAAATAAAAATAAAATAAAATAAAATAAAATAAACCAGGGGAAACTCCTATACACTGCTGGAGAAAATGCAAAATAGTGCAGCCAGTTTGAAAAACAGCTTGGCAGTTCCTCAAAGAGTTGAACATTAGTTACCATATGACTGAGCAAGCCCACTTCTAGTATATGCCCAAGAGAAATGAAAACAGGTCCATGCAAAAACTTACATGTGAATGTTCATAGCAGCATTATTCATAAGAGCCAACAGGTAGAAACACCCCAAATATCCATCAACTGATGAATGGATAGACAGAACATGGTCTATCCATACAAAAGAACATTATTCAGCCACAAAAGGGAATGAAATATTGAGCAGGCCATGATGTGGATAAACTTTGAAAACATGATATACTACATGAAAGAAGCCAGACACAAAAAGGACAAGTATTATATTATTCCATTTATATAAAACATCTAGAATAGGCAAATCCATAGAGGTAGAAAGTGGATTACCGGCTACCTAGGACTAGGGAGGATGGTGGACGGGGGGAAGGGGGAGTGACTGCTAATGGGTGTGGAGTTTCTTCTAGGGGTGATGAAAATGTTCTAAAATTATATTGCAGCGATGGTTGCACAACTTGGTGAAAATACTAAAAAACATTAAGTTGTACAATTGATGTGTATCTTAAAGCTGATAAAAATATCACAAGAAGAGGTTTTGAAAAGTATCAATGCCCAGGCCCTTCCCCAGACTAATTACATCATAATCTATCTCTAAATCCAATGTGTGGCCAGGGCTGAGAACCATTGCTGTAGTAGTCCAACCTCCTCATTTTGCACATGGGGGGATGGGGGCTCGCTATGGGGAGGGAGGTGACCAGGTCACACAGCAGGTACCTGCCTGATCCTGGGACACAGTCCAGACTCCTGCCTCTCTGCTCGCTGCCTCAAGTGCTGCCCATCTGCTGCCTCTTTCCATCTGTCTTGGCTTCTATTTAAGGCAGCAAGTGCACTCATCAGGAAAATCCAAGTCCTCCTCAGAACCCCCTGGCTAAGACATCCTTGTGTATGTATCTTGTCCTCCCAGCCATACAGTTAACTCTGTAGGAACAGAGACTGTCACATCACATGTTTTCGTGTCCTCCACTGTGCTAAGAAAAGTACTAAGCACATAGCAGGTGCTCAACTAATACTGGTTAGACGGAGAACAAAATGAAATATCAGTGCATTTGGTACATATTTGAAGGCCAGCTCTTGTGCCTGGTACTGTGCCATGCACAAGGATAAAGACAAATGAGATGTTATCTTTGCCCTGTATTAGTCCGTTTTCACACTGCTGGTAAAGACATACCCGAGACTGGGCAATTTACAAAAGAAAGAGGTTTGATAAATTCACAGTTCCACGTGGCTGGAGAGGCCTCATAATCATAGTGGAAGGTGAAAGGTACATCTCACATGGCGGTAGACAAGAGAGAATGAGAGCCAAGTGAAAGGGGAAACTCTTATAAAACCATCGAATCTCATGAGACTTATTCACTACCACAGTAGGGGGGAAACTTCCCCGATTCAATTATCTCCCACCAGGTCCTTTCCACAACACTTGGGGATTGTGGGAGCTACAATTTGAGATGAGATTTGGGCGAGGACACAGCCAAACCATATCAGCCTTCAAGGAGCTCACTGCTACCTTGATACATGGGGTAGGGGTGCCCAACCCAAGTGGAACCAACAAGGAAGACTTCCTGGGGTAGTGATGCTTGAAGCAGGTCCTGGCTCCTGAAGGATGATGGCAGTGGCTGGGGGAGGGACTGCATAGGGTGCTCTGGGTAGAGGGCACTGCATGTGCTAAGGCCTGGAGTTGGCAATGCATGCTAACTGGAGAGGGGACTTGCCTGAGCTCCATGTTGGCATGAGAGTGAACTTCCAGCTTTTATTTTTCACAATTCGATTATGAACTCATCAGGAGTTTATGTGTATATTGTGAAGTAAAGTCCTAACTTTTTCTGAAATGGAGAGCCAATTGTTCTAAGATCACCCAAAGAATCATTCACCCTTGCCCCATGAACTTGTGATGCCATCTTCATATGTGTCTGCCACTTTCCTGAGTGCTCTCAGATCCTTTCTCTGCTCCCCTGCAACTTACACTGTTTACAGGAAACTTTACTTCTCAGGCTCCCTGTCCTCTGGCTTTTACATAGGTTTGGTCAATGGGAGGCACTGACATGGACTGGAGGGTGAATACAGGAGACAAGTCAGGGTATTTCTCCTTCATTTCTTCATGCCTCCAGTGATGTTTCCAAAAGCAGCCATGAGTTCTCTGTGGCTCCAGCTCCCTCTAGACTGTCTTCCTGCTACCTTAGCTCCTGGGTGCTATAACACTGCCACTTCCCCTTGTCCCTCCAGCTCTAGGAGTGATAAGCAGGTTCTGTTTGTTGCTAATTTATAGGTTACCTCACTGTCCAATTAAGTTTCTTAGTTTTTTCAGCCCTTGTATAACCAATTCCCTGAATTAAATTCCCTCTGTAAGAAATGCCTAGAGTAGTTTCAGTTTTCGGATTGCCCATGACTTATATACAATCAAAACCTCTCTTTGGATTTTTCATATATATATATATATATATATGAAGAATATATATATATATGAAGAATATATATATGAAGAATATATATATATGAAGAATATATATATGAATATATATATGAAGAATATATATATGAAGTATATATATGAAGAATATATATATGAAGAATATATATATATGAATATATATATGAAGAATATATATGAAGAATATATATATGAAGAACATATATATATGAAGAATATATATATATATATTTGTTTTTTACAGACAGGGTTTCCCTCTGTTGCCCAGGCAAGAGTGCAGTGGCACAATCATAGCTCACTTGCAGCCTTGAATTCCTGGGCTCAAGCAATCTTCTTCTCTCAGCCTCCCGAGTACCTACAACTACAGGTGTGCACTACCACACCTGGCTAATTTTTCATTTTTTTTATAGAGACAGGGTCTCATCATGTTGCCCAGGCTGGTCTCAGATCCTGGTCTTAAGCGGTCCTCCCACTTCTCATCCTAAAGCACTGGTATTACAGGCATGAGCCTCTGTGCCTGGCCTCTTCATACTTTTATTGTTCTACTAATCTAATCCTATATCAGACTGTCTTAATTACTTTTGTTTTAATATATACATGCATATGTGACATTATAAATCTTATTCCCTTTCTCACATCATTCTTTTTCTTTTTTTTCTTAGCTGTTATCATGTGCCTAGTCTTCTAGATTCCTTTTGTGATAGTAACTTGAATTCTTGAATTCCAGAATTCAAGTTACTTCCAAAAAATCCCACTGGAGTTCTGATTTAAAGCATTACATATTATGGATTAATTTGAAAGAATATATTCGTAAGGAACATATTTCTCTCCATTTACTCAGATCTTTTAAAATGTCCTTCAGTTAGAATTTTTAAACTTTTTCATTAAGGTACAAAACATTAACTTTATTCCTAGGTATTTTTCAATTTTGTCACAATTGAAAATGAGATCTTATTAATTATTACATATCCCCCCCTTTTTTTTTTGAGACGGAGTCTTGCTCTGTCATCAGGCTGGGGTGCAGTGGCGTGATCTCGGCTCACTGCAACCTCCGCCTCCTGGATTCAAGCGATTCTCCTGCCTCAGCCTCTTGAGTAGCTTGGACTACAGGCGTGCATCACCATGCCCAGCTAATTTTTGTATTTTTAGTAGAGACAGGGTTTCACCATGTTGGCCAGGATGGTCTCGATCTCTTGACCTCGTGATCTGCCCACCTCGACCTCCCCAAGTGCTGGGATTACAGGTGTGAGCCACAACGCCTGGCCCCTATTGTCTAATTTTTTAATGACTAGATGGATATACAAAGCTGCTGACTTTAGGATATTTCTGCCTCTGACCACTTTGCACAACTCTTACCAGTTGGAATTCACTTGGATTTTAAGAAGAGAATCACGTGAATTTTGTTTCTTCCTTTCCAGTAGTTATTCCTAATTTTGTTTTCTTGGCTTGTTCCACTGGTAAGGTCTCCAGAATAATATTGAATATCAGCAGTTATCCTTGCCTTATTTCTGAAGTTTATACATTATCTAGTGTTTCACCATTAAATGTCAGTTTCTGATAAATTCTACTTATCAGGTTAGACAGTTCTTCCACTCTTAGCTTACTAAAAATCTTGAAAGATTAGCATGACTTATTCTCAGCAAATCTGTGCTGTTCCTAAGTCAACACTGCTTCCTTTACTAAGTGCTTACAAAAGACTCTGTTCTCAAACTTTCCTCAGTATTGCACTCCAGCTTATCAGCCTAGTTTTTGGAATTCATGTTCCAAAAAAAACTGTCCATCTACTTATCTAGCATTTTCCCAAGACTTTTTCAAAGGTATTGATGCTGACTCAGCAATGACAAGTGCAAATTTTCTCAGTGTTTTGGGAGACCATTTTTCTGAGCCTAAAGACTTGAGCTAATCAAAAAGCAGTAAAATATTTCCTGACTACTCTTTCTCTTATCTTGGACTTCAATTTTCTTCTGTTTGTTCTCTTCACTCTCTGCAGTTAGTATAGTGACTAGCTTCCTTGTTGAAAAAGAAAAAAGCACAACAAAAGTCAGGTAGCTCTGTTTCTGCCTGTTAGTCTCACATACCATCCTCAAAACTGGGTGTCATTAAATTGCTCATCTTTTTGCCCCAACTGAAGTGAGCATCTACAAAACTTTGGAGTCCTTATAAAAAGTTCTGTGCCGCTTTCTTTTTGATCATATGTTCCACCTTCCTACTCTTTAAAATACTATTACAAATTGTGGGTTCATCTGAGAGGCTCATAAAGCCTTTCTCTTTCGGATTATCTATGCTTTCTAAATTCACAGCCCATGTAAAAAATATTCAAGTCTATTTTCTATGACATTTTGAAATTGGATTTTCTAAACAGTAAAACATATATGATGTGATTATTTCACATTGCATACCTGTTTCAAAACATCTCATATACCCTATAAATACATACACCTAATATGTACCCACACAAATTAATTTTAGAAAAGAATATCAACAAGAAGAAGAAAAAGAATATGTGGAGAATTAAGCCCTGGATTTCACTCACTTCATGTTCATGATTCTGAGATGTCAGGGTTTTCTTCTTCCATGGATCTTGTTACTTACACATTTCCAATGCAGTCTTCCTTGCTGAACAGAATTTACAACAGTAATAACTGCAGGGTTTCTTCTACCTCCTAAGTAACCAAATCATCAGCCATGCAGGCCAAGAAATCAACAGATTCCCCGCCTTTAACAGAATGCCCATGTCTGGATGGTCAAGAAGTCCCCCATAGGTACTACGCCAGCTGATGCAGTAGGAAATGCAATGAACTTCCCCTATCCAAAGTCGCATACATCTCGTCTGGATTGCTCAGTGCACACGTATCAAGTGCTGCCTGAACTTGGACTTACTCCTCAGCTATTTATGTCATGTGTCTTCACTCCAAGTTGGGGTTCCTGGCGGCGGGATCAGTGTATATGTAGCCCACACAGTAGACTCACAGGTAGCACACAAGTTCTCCACACACCTTCTGGAGGAGCTGGTTGGGACAAACTGGTTCCTGTTTTACTTTAGCCTCAATGGGGACAATTCCATATTCCTAATCAGAATTAACACATTGGGGATAAGCTGACAAGGACCTCAGTAGAACTTTCCAACTGGTAAGCCTCAGAAGGGTTGCAAGTGGGCTGAACCATTTATTCTCCCAGTCCTTGGAGTAAGTGGGCAGGACATGGGGAGCCTGGAGCTTCAAGCAGCCTTGTCTGCTTGTCCCAGCATGCTATACGTCACTTTCTATGTGTGCCAAGGACAAGAAAAAGTCAGGAAGCCCTGCCACTAGTCCATACCCAGTCCATTCGCCCGGAACTGTGGCTCTCCAATTGGGACTCTCTTAGGATAATTGACTCAAGTAGTGTGTTTTTACAGCAGATGGTGTCAGCCAGAATCATACCTCCTGATTGAACACCAGTGCAGTAATCATGCTCTTTAAATATTCACAGAGCAAAAAACCCCAAAATCTAACATTTTTGAGTGCCCAGTACTTCACCATCAGTTAACTTAATCTTCCAACAACCATTTGAAGAAAGGACAATTATTATTATCTTCATTTTATACATAAGGAAAGAGGAGCAGAAAGACCAAGGAGCTTTCCTCAAGTCATGTAGCTAGTAAATGGCAGAGCTGGGATTTGAACCCAGGTAACCTGGGCTCTCTGAATTGCTAGGCAATACTGCTTTGCCATGTGTTTGGAAGGAGCAATCTAATGACAAAAAAGGAACATGCATTGGTACTTAGCTTGGCTTTGCTGCTGTTTGCCTACGTGACCTTAGGTAACTCACTTATCTGGGTGGCAGACATTGCATTTTTGGACATTAAGCATTCGTATGCCAGGAACTACAGCTCAATGATATAATTTGATCTGTGCCATGTCCGACTGAGAGATGAGAGAAAGTACAATTTACTCATTCTGGTTTCCCAGATAGCTGTCGCTTATTTCAATTTTAATTTGGTAGAGACTAAACAGACTGATACATTGTTACATGTTCTTATTGAATTCAGGGAAAGCATACTATTTGGCAACAAGTAGAGTCTATATTTGAAACACTGTACCTTTTTCATAATGGATTTTCGAAGAAAATTGTATCGACATCTTAGAAGTGTCATACATTATGAATGTTGTATCTATTAATTAGGGATGATTTCTTATAGCAACTTAGTGGTCTTATATCTAAAAAAAAGACTAGTGAGAAGGTTGACTCTACTTCATCTTTCTTTTCAGAAAAGGTCAAAATTGGCCACAAGTGGTGGCTCACGCCTGTAATCCCAACACTGGGAGGCCAATGTAGGCAGATCATCTGAGGTCAGGAGTTCGAGACCAGCCTGGCCAACAATCAGGATGAAAACTCAACACTACTAAAAATACAAAATTAGCTGGGCATAGTGGTGCACGCCTGTAGTCCCAGCTACCCAGGAGAATGAAGTGGGAGAAATGCTTGAATCTGGGAGGTGGAGGTTGCAGTGAGCCAAGATTGTGCCATTGCACTCCAGCCTGGGTGACGAGTGAAACTCCATCTCAAAAAAAAAAAAAAAAAGGTCAAAACTGCATTTTTGGGTGTAGTTTAGATTCCTTTATAGAGACTAATTGGCCCAAAACTTTTCCAATTTGTATTTCTTTCAAGAAATGTTCCAATCAACTTTGCAAGCAATTCTGATGCTAGCACAGTTGATGTATGAATCCATGCTAGATGGGGAGCTCTTGATCTGATGATGATTAGTTACCTGGAGCCAAAGATGGCATCTTCTTCAACATACCAGCACTGCACAGAAACATAGCAGAACTTTATTCAATTAATTAGTTTTAGTGCATTTAAATTTTAATTCTCCTTAGGTAATTTATCAAATATCTATTCATAAAAGTTGCACTTTTGACATGAATTCCCTACTTGTTCCTAACTACATTATGTAGTCTCTGCAAAACTGCAGATTAACATCCCACATCCTAAGGACTGACAAGAGCCTTTGGGGTTCAGTAGTTCCTGGGTCTGAGTCCTGTGTGAGGTAGGACAGGATATGTGCTTCCATCTCTGAGTCTGGAATTTTCTTTTGGCAAACAACTATCAAATGATTTCAATAAATAGGTGTAAGCAGGTCCCGACATTTTTCTGCCAGAAAGGCTGTTGTGTTGCAATGCTATTCTTGCTAGGTTTTGCAATGGCTTCCTCATTGTGTGTGTGCCTTCACAGGTGTGCATGTGTGTGCAGTCCAGAGAATTACTATTTCATGAGTTGATTTTTGCTCAGAGGCTCATGACCAAGTTTATTCAATCTTTTTCTTGCCTAAAGAAAAAAAAATACAAATATAGTTGTTTTGCCTTACAACAGTCACTTCTAATAAGCTAGACTTTCCATTCTGGGTTTCTTTTTTTTTTTGATGGAATATCGCTCTGTTGCCCAGGCTGGAGTGCAGTGGTGCAATCTCCGCTCACTGCAACCTCTGCCTCCCAGGTTCAAATGATTCTCCTGCCTCAGACCCCCGAGTAGCTGGGATTACAGATGTGTGCCACCACACCTGGCTAATTTTTGTATTTTTAGTAGAGACGGAGTTTCACTATGCTGGCCAGGCTGGTCTCAAACTCCTGGCCTCAAATGATCTGCCCACCTTGGCCTCCCAAAGTTTTGGTATTACAAGCATGAGCCACTGTGCCCGGTCACTTCTGGGTTTCTTACAGATTTTTTTTTTTGGTGCGTCTCATTTCTGTGTTCCTGTGCCTTTATTCTGTTTTTTCAGGTGGCAACAGCATTAACAGACTTTCCCCTAACCACTTGTTTAAATACATCCTCAAACAGTGTTATATGAGAGACCCCAAAGGGACAGTAAGACAAAAATAATCATTGTCACGAAAGCTCAGCTGTGAGTGTAAAATAATGTCCACAAAGCAGATTCTTTGTCATCCTGTGCACTCTGACAGAGCTACGGCAGACTCAGGCATGAGCTGGGAAGTGTTATTTTTCCACTCCCCAGACGCCATCCGGCTCACTGAATGAATGAAATTAAAACATTATTCATCCCGGAATGTAGTTCAGGTTAGATGAATAAGATGCATAATCTGTTAAGAGTAGGTTTTAGACATTCTAATTGCACAAGACACCAATGTGAGTCAGAGTTGGAGCTGAACACTGGGTACGTGTTTCTAGGGTGATACAGATGAGGATTAATTTATTTTGGTATTCATTAGTGCTTAAAAATTTCCGCAAATGATCCTCTCTCTGTTCCCCAATTCTTGCAGGTTTTTCAGAAGCTTCTATTATGAACATCCTTAGTTGGCCTCCGAAGCTGTAACACTGATATGAATTTTAAGGGCTTAATGGTTTAATTGCCTTTAATACAGACAGTGTCCATTATTCAGCCAGGGAATGAAGCTGGTTGAGCATTAGCATAGCAACACCTCTTGCTTTTGAGGTCTCAGTGCAGAATGTGGATGTTTAAACCATTCACCATTCAGTAGGGGACGATTAGGAGGTTTCTGTGGGTTTCTTATAACATGAGCCTACAGGGATGTTCCTCTAATTATTCTAATCCTTTTTTAGTGGATGGCCTAGACTACAGCAGTTTTAATATTTTAAATTCTGCAGCCTTTCATCCAATAAAACCACAGGTGACTCTTGGGATGTGGCTGTAATTTCAGTTCCAATATATTGAAACTTTAATTGTAACTAGAAGTACATCCATCCTTCCTTGGTCAATGCACCAGGGAAATTCATGATGTCTGGGTGGGTATCTAAGAAGCCTGAGTGGAAAGTTATCAATACCCTCCCAAACAGGAAAGGAAACACAGATATTCAAAATCAATTCCTTTCCCTTTGCTATCTTTATGTTGCCCACATTCCCTTTTTCAGTTCTGCAGGGCAGTATCATGCTGACTGTTACCTGAATTTCTGGGAACCTACTTTTTTTTTTTTTTTTTTTGAGATGGAGTCTCGCTCTGTCACCCAGGCTGGAGTGCAGTGGTGTGATTTTGGCTCACTGCAGCCTCCGCCTCCCGGGTTCAAGCGATTCTCCTGTCTCAGACTCCTGAGTAGCTGGGGTTACAGGCATGCGCCACCAGGTCCAGCTAATTGTTTGTATTTTTAGCAGAGATGGGGTTTTGCCATGCTGGCTAGGCTAGTCTTGAACTCCTGACCTCAGGCGATCCACCAACCTCGGCCTCCCAAAGTGCTACGATTACAGGCATGAGCCACCACGCTTAGCCTGGAAACCTACTTTTAAAAAAATGTCTGGTAAATATCAACTCATTCAAGCCTTCCCTTTCCTCACTATTATAAATGCTAAGATGACATGGTTAATTGTACTTCATCAGCCTGATCTTTATTAAGGAGCATGACTCAAGAATAGGGGTTTCAGATGGTTCACAGAAAACATATAACAAACCGTCTTTAGAAAGATTAAAAGGTGCATAGCCTTGTTCACAGAGAATGTAATTAAAACAGAAATTCTGGATTTTACCCATCAGACTAAGTTAAAAAAAAAAAAAAGCTAGCAAAGGCTATGATTTGCTTCCTGTGAGGTCACAAAGGCATTGTCATAATTGCTGGGGGTGTCTGTGAGCTGGGGGGAGTATAAACAGGTGGAATATATTTGGAGAGAAATTTCATTAGACAATATCCAACTTAAATATGCACATACCTTTTAACCTGGATGCTACTTCGAGGGAATTTATTCTACAGATAGATTTGTTCAAGTGCACAAACACAAGGTACAAGAATGGCAGCACCACTGTAACTTGAGGGAGTTGATGCAGCTTAAATGTCCATCAATATTGATTGGTTAAATATATGCTCATTTATACATGGAGTAGCTCTAGATTGACAAGGAAAAATGCTAACAATGTTTGCTTCCAAGGAAAACTGGGGAATAAGAAGGTGGAAAGGAAAAGTAACTTTTGGCTATTTGTATTTGAATTTTTACTATTGTTTGTATTATCTATCTTAAAAAAGGCAACAGGCCAGGTGCAGTAGCTCTCCCCTGTAAACCCAGTATTTGGGGAGGCCAAGGCAAGAGGATCGCTTGAGCCCAGGAGTTCACACCAGCCTGTGCAACATGGCAAGACCCCATCTCTACAAAAATTTTTTAAAAATTTAGCAAAGCATGGTGGTGCATGCCAGCTACTCAGGAGGCTGAAGTGAGAGGATCACTTGAGCCCCGGAGGTGGAGGCTGCAGTGGGCCATGATTGCACCACTGCACTCCAGCCTGGGTGACAGAGACAGACCGTGTCTCAAAAACAAACAAACAAAAACAACAACAAAATGGCAACAAAGCACAGTGGTTCCCTTTTGTTACTAACTTTCCACTCAGTCTCCTGATAGTTAAAATCTTCCTCCAATTCGTCTAAGATGAAATCCCAAATTAGACAAGGTGGGAATGGAGCAGACGCTCTGTTTCAATTCTCCAAGCCTCTGAGTCCCAATCGTAGCAGCAGAATGGACTCTCAGCCATCTCACCAATTCTTTACTCTATGCCAATTCTGCCATGTGCAGATGGGAAAGCATTGTCCACATTCTGCCTGGACAGTTATTTCCTAGTATTCTCGGACAGAAATATCATTTCTATTTCTTTTTTCTTTCCTCAAAAGATCCCCATGGTGTTTCTGCTCTGAGTTTGTTAGTTTCAAAGAGACATGTCTTTATATATGTGTTAATGCTCTTACATCTGATCTGTCCTTTGGAACCAAACACCCCTTTCCCTTTGTAAACTTAGAATATACATCTCAAACCATCAATCTATTAGAAATACCATTTCTTCAGCTAGACTTTTTTTTTTTTTTTTTTTTTTTTAGATAGAGTCTCACACTGTCACCCAGGCTGGAGTGCAATGGCGTGATCTTGGCTCACTGCAACCTCTGCCTCCCTGGTTCAAGCCATTCTTCTGCCTCAGTCTCCCAAGTAGCTGGGACTACACAGGCACACACCACCACGCCCGGCTAGTTTTTGCATTTTTAGTGGAGACAGGGTTTCACCATGTTGGCCAGGCTGGTCACGAACTCCTGACCTTGAATGATCCACCTGCCTTGGCCTCCCAAAATGCTGGGATTACAGGTATGATTCACCACGCCCGGCCTTGAGCTATTTTGAATCTCTTTGGCCTGTTTCTGTCCACATGGACAGCTACGACCTTACGAACCACTAAAAATTCTTACCATCTAGCATCAAACACTGCGCAAAACATCTTTTGTATATAATGTCATTTATTGATAATTCTCTTATCAGTGAGATACTGGTAAATTCCATCTGGGGATGAGGAAAATGAGGTGTCCAGAAGAAATTGGCCAAAGGTCCCATGGCTAGTAAGTGGCAAAGCTGGGATTCAAATCGTGTGAGATTCCAAAGCTTCCACACTTCACCTAATCAGAGAACTATGGGGCTCTTGTCCCTTGACAAAACCAGACCACCACACTGTGGACCCTTTAATCCTTCTCTCATCTGGCTGGCAATGTCTTGCCATTTTACTTCTGCAAACTTCCATCTGTTTCCCAATCATGGGCTCCAGTCTTAGCCCAGGTGCTTAGACTGGTGTATACACACGCCCAGTCCTTCTCCAACAGCTGGAATTCCCTAGTCCCTTGCTTCTGAAGTGGGAAGGGAGGGCAGAACACACACTTGGTTTGATAGATTGCAGGGGGCCAGTTAATGATGAAATTAAAGCCATATAAAGAACCACTAGAATGCTCGCATTTTTCTGCTTCACCTTGGGCCTAAGGAAGTGCATAGCTTTGCTGAGCAGACAGATCTAGTTACTTATTATGATGTGTCCATCCATTGACTTAACATTATGCCTATTTAAAAAAAAAAAAAAGAGTTGACCTCTACTGAGAGTTAAAATTGAGGCATTAAAATAACGATGAACACAAGCAGATAAGTAGCTTTGCTTTCCAAAAGTGAAAAGCAAACCTGGACTGCCCACCTCAGGCTGTCCTGGGCTGCTAAAATGCAGGATCTTGGGTCTTACCACTGACCATTTAGAATGCCACAATCCACATTTTTAGTAAGTTGTCCAAGCCATTCTTTAGCTCCCTAATTTTGGCAGAAGTGGGCCTATTTGCAGAACTATTGAGGATTTCTTTTGCTAAGGCTTAGCTGAATGTCCATTTTACATGTTTGTCTTTTTGATATCCCCAGGGTTTCTTACAATGTGCCATTTCTCATGTGCAAGGGACCTTTAACAGTGACTTGCTTTTTCTCTCCGCCCCCTTATGCTTCGCCTCTGCATCTGTCCACCGCCTCCTGTAGCAAGAGAGTGGAAGCAAATCATCCTAGACCAATGTAGGGTATTTTCCTGGTACGTTTGGAAGACTTGGTCAGCCAGGGAATTGATTTACAACTCTTAAGTTTGGGAAATACTGATCCGAAGGGATCAATATGGCTGTTCAGGGAGTTCTTTAATGAGCTCAGATTTTAAAGGACTAGTTAAAAGCTGTAAAGTCAAGGGCAACAAAAAGACTCTGTCATTACTTGTGTTCAGAGCGGGACCCAGGAGGCTGGAGTCGCTGACCTGGAAGGATGGTGCAATATTAACAGGCAAGAAGGACTGAGAGGAATTACCACACTGTCCTTATTCCTCCATCTTTGTGGTTAAGGAGAACCATCTTCAACAGAAATGGTAGACCAATAAACGAAATAGGCAAAAGGGTTTTGAAGACCAAGGTAATTAATTACCTGGCAGGATTTAGAGACTTCTGGCATGAATTACATCAATCAAATGACAACTGTCAATACACTGTTGGATGTTCTGAGGGACCACAGAAACATGAATAGATGATAAACCAGTACATACCCGAGTTCCAAAATGTAAAAGTTAATTCCATTAGTTATGGAATAGTGAGTGTGGTTTTACTGTCAAGTAATATTCCAGAAGACATTGTTCATTTGTGAACTCTTTGGAAGGAAGCCATAGAGTGGACCGTCTCAAATAAGCAGTGGTTCATTAAGAATAATGTCCAATCTCTGCGGGACTACTGCTGAATGATGCCTGTGGGGACAGGATTTTTAGACTGGGGGAGGGGTGGTAAGGTGTGGAGAGGGTTACTAGACCACTGGAGGGGGTGTGTTTGGGGAGAAGACAGTAAACAGCGTTATTAGATCACAGGTGATGGAGATGAACAAGGTTACCAGCCCTGGTGTGTGTGAGTGGGAGATATGGACAGTTATGACTGGTAGTGGTGATGGTGGAGGGAACATGGTTACCAGGCCACACTGGTGGGGGCTGTATGGACAGTTAGCTACCTACTGGTGTGGTGGTAATGCAGATGGACAGGGGTTACTAGATGGCTGGAGGGAGTGGATGGCTCTCTGGTTAGCAATTAGATTTCAGTGGAGTGAACTGTTCAACATCATCTAGCAGTCTCATGGAGATATGGATCCCCACGGTTGCAAATGGTGGGATGAAGGGTGAGAGGCAAGAGACCACTGTGGTTGAGACCATAGGCTCTGGAATACAGGCTGCTTGGTTAAACTCTAAGCCTGAGCTTCCCTATCTATGAAAAACAGGATACTACCCATCTCACAGAGTGGTCAGGAAATGAAGTGACACATGCAAAGCCTAGCATTAGATGACTAGCCCCTATATATTAGCGCAGATCAATGTCTACCTACCGGGGTTTCCAATGTCACGTGGCTGGACTTTCTTCTGCCCTGTACAGCATGATACCAATGCCTCAAACGAGAACACAGCTGACACACTGAGTAATATTCAGATGATGAAACTGAATCTAGAAGTCACATGGTGGTCAGTGTCCTACTCACAGTATGATGCCCCCATACTGGATAAGGTTGTTCAGATACCTTCAGACCAGCCCAGAGATGATGTATTATTGCCTGTTATCTGGTTAGACATCTCCTTTCAAATGAATGTGGAATAATCCATTTGCTGAGCAGACATTCACTGAGCACCTGCTATCTGTCAGGTGCTGGGGAACAAAGGCAAGTAAGACACAAAGCTCAGATTGATGCAGTGTACAGGTTTCAGGATGAGATAAACAAAAGAGCCCATTTTAATACAAAGCTGTAAGTGCAACGTTGCTATAGATGGGGGTAGAAAGGGAGGGGGTTATTACTGGAACACAGAAATTAACCCAATTTGCAGAGGTGGGGCCGTCAAGAGTCCCTGGGAGAAGATGTCTGGGCAGAGGCAGACATTGAGCAGGAGTTAGGGGAAGGGATGGGAGTGACAGAATTCTAGGCAGAAAGAACAGTATTTGCAAAGGCACAGATGTGAGTAACAGCAGGGTGTGGCACATGCCAGGAACCACAAGCAATTTGGCATTGAAGGATTTTCAACAGTAGGGTGAGAAATGGTGGATATATGCTAGAGCAAGAGGATGGAGACACGGAGTGGGGAATTCCACTGAGAGGCCCTTGGACTTCATCCTCAGGGTAATGGCAAGCACTGCAATGGCACAGGCCGACTGTGTTTTAGAAAGATCACTCTAGTGACTGGGAGGAGCATGAGCTTGTCAGGAGCAACTGGAGTCAGGGAGATCAGGAAGGGCACCTCTGAGCCAGAGAAAAGATGCTCCTATGGGATCCATGCCAGTAAGAAGAGAGAAGAAAGCCCAAGTATGAATACCAAGGCAGAGGTGAACAGACCTAGGTACTGTTTGGATATGGGTGGCGACAGGGAGAAGAGTTGTAGATGATGTATACATTCTTACTGTGGGTAAAAAAGGGAATTCAGGCAGAAGAAAAGTTTTGTGGGAGGAGGGTAAAAGATGATCGATTTGATTTTTGATAGGTGGAGTTTGACGTGTACACAGGATACCCAAGTTGAAATGTCAGTCCAAAAGTTCACAGGACAGTCTGGGTTACAGAGGATGGTTTCAGAGTCAACAGCATGATAAAATCATGACAGAATGAGAAGACTTGGGTAGACTGTGGTGAAAAGAGCAGTGAGCAGAAGAAAGACCTTTAGAAAACACCAACAGGTAATAGGATGGCAGAAAAGGAGGCTGTTAAGACTGAACTGGTCAACTGCTGTAGAGAAAGGTCCACTAAGTTAAGGAATGAAAAGTGTACACTTCATTTAACAATCAGGATATCATAAGTATGCATACTGGTGAGGCTTCTTGGTTGCAGACAACTGAAACCACTCAAGTTACTTTAAGCAGAGAGGTATTTATTAGAGGGTATTATATGGCATACACAATTTCCAGGAGCCCACAGATAAGGGTTTGGATGCCTTCCTGCCAGGAAGAGCACAAGTAGCCAGGACAAACACGTACCTTTACAGGACTATTACTGAGGAAATCCCACTGCCACCACTTCTCTCTACTCAGCACCTGTGACAGGCAGGACAACCTTCACCAGAGTTGCCCCAGATGAAGAAAGGCATCAGCTGCTGTGCCTATAAGATCCACTCTTGCCAAGAGCAGCCTCATTCTAGGATGATCTTGCTCCACCCACCTAACTGAATGCTCACCTTCAGACTTCCAAAAGCCAACTGTTCTGTTACCAAGGTCATTCACAAATGAGACTTCTGCATAGCAACAAGAATCAATTTAAAAAAAATGAAGATGGAGTCAAAAAAAAAGCAAGAATAATCTTTATTCCTTGGAAACACATTTGTAAAAATGCTATCAATAAGATGAAAAGATTCAGAACACATTTATTTGTATGCAGCACATACACTGAGCATCAGAACGTCTGCTAAAATGGAATACACCTGTAAACAAATGCCTTAGGGAGAGTTTATAGGTAGTCAGCTCCACTGTGCAAGGTATGCAGCTGATACCTTCTTGCTGAATAGATTTTTGCAGTAGCCAAAAAAGATCAGATTTTAGTAATAAAATATCTCAAAGGATGTCAAACATTTTTTAGAGGGCCTAACATGGGCAAAATTACAATTACATATACAAAAATGGCACAAGAATCAACTGATTTCACAGAAATACTAATAAAACATTTCAGGTCTATTATTAAGAGAAAAAAATGTTTGACTCAGGGCTTGAAATGGGGGAAATAAATATTTTGGTACAAGCTTTAACCTAAAAGACAACATATTGATTTCTGGTTCTACCAACAGACTAGGGCAACAACCATCTCATCCTACTCTACAGAATGCTTTGGCACAACTTCAAGAAAACCTTATATGCTTTCATTTGAGCCATAAATGATCTTGATTGCACGTTGCTTTTTAAGAGTGAAGTCTAGGGTAAAAACCAATCCCCCAATTCTGACAGTGTGTATTCACAATTATGTCTTCTGAAATCACGCAAGTTAGCAGCACCAATCATTAAGACATTAAAAATTATTCCCATACTTGAGCAGCAAATTCGATCAAAACAAATGCTATGCAATTTAAGATTAGTACGACTGCTTAAATTCAAAGTAGCTCAACTGCTTTAAGATGTGAAATTCAAAGTCCCCCTGTATCTATATAACATCTAATAAGTTATATACTTTATTTAGCTTCTGAAAGGAGTAACTCTGTCAAGGAAGTGGGTATTGCAGTTTTCCTTGTGATAAAATTAGTTTGAATGTATGTCCTCAACCTAAACAAAATGAAATGTTAACAAATTGCAGAATTTTAGAGTTGGAAAGGACCTTGGAGATCACTTAGTCCAACCCTCTCTTTTCAGATGGGGAAAATGAGGTCAATGAAGGGGAAATGACTCGTCCAGGCCACACTAGGGAAACTGGACCCTAGCAATCTCAACTTCTACGACAGGAATATATGCTGAGCAATCTTCCCAAGCTCTTCTGGTTTTATTTGCTCCCATTAATTAAATAACAAAGAACATCAGGAACATAGTAAAATGATAAACATAGACTTTGACTCCAATTTTAAAATCAGAACATCAATATGATTCCTGAGCCTTTACCTTCATTTTAATGAGAATGCAGTCAACAGTAAATTATGACAAGCTATAGTGGTTTTATCTTCAAATATTTACATGGACACCAAAAACACCTTTCAGGACTACTCCTTAAAGACACTCGTCCAAACACATCCATCCATCTGAGGCCAAGACACTTTTCATGGAATGCAATGAAACTATGAAGGTGAATGGAAGAGAGATGCTTCAGTCTCTCAAAGTGCAGTCATGAGTTTATCTCGATACATCATACTTTGCATCCCTCCTAAGTTCTTCTGGTTCTGGTCGTGGACATAATCAAAATGGCTGTCATCTCCACTGGCCGATGCTTTCCAATGCGACCTGTCATCCTGAAAGGATGGCCTGTTTTGTTTGCAGAGCGAATGGTTAGTGGGAGAATGGAAGAAAATGCAGAAATGTAAGTGAAACAACACAAGCACAAAGGAAATGGGGCAGGGGGAACCATGAGCCATGTGAATGGGGATGGCTATGAATGGAAATGAATGGATTTCCTAGTAAGAATTTTAAAAATTCAGATGCAGATCACCTATGAACTTCCAAGCAGAGCAAGGGTCTGTCTATGGTCAAGTCATCATTTCTCAAAGGGTGTCTCATGGGTCAAGTCCGTCTGGAGAAAGCTAAGTGAAGGTGGAAAATGTTCCATTACTACAGGGCTGCTTGGAGGCATGCCAGCATGCACCATGAATGCCTCAGGCAGCATTTGCCAAAAGTGTTGGACTAACAAACTCTGTTTTCATGGGGTATCTTTGTAGAGCTTGAAAATACACAAAATGTTGGGCCCCACCCCATAGATTCTGATCCAGTAGGTCTGGGGTGGGGCTGAGAATTTGCATTAAACAAGCTTCCAGATGACACTAAAGCTGCCAACAGCAGGCCCACCCCAGAGAGGCACTGTTTACGGCTTTCCTCAGAAGGCCTGCTTCTAGGCCATGCCTCAGAAGGAAACTAACATGATAAAACAGGCAATGATAAGCACAAACTTTTGTAAAAACAATGTTAATTAAAATAGCGTTTCTAGAAATCTCTTCTGTTTCTTACGTCTGAAGAATAAAGCACCTTTGAAATACAGTAAGATTTAGAATTATTACTCCACTAACCTAATCTGCTTTAAAAAGTTAAGTGACTACCAAGTGTTTATAAACAATCACGCTTTGGGGTTACAAAATTCCCCAACAAACTTTTTTTTGGCCTTGCTCTAAGTGGGTTTATTTCCAGCATTTTATTCTCCATACTTTCTCAGAGAAAGGCTAGCAACCTCACCTTTATGCAAACTGAACTTGCCAACTATGTTTCTGAAATAGCTTCACACATAAACACCAATTAAGACTGATCTAAAATTCAAATCTTAAAAGGAACATTTGCTTTCACAAAGCTAGCCTTAAAAAAAAAAAAAAAAAAACAAAAAACCTGTCAAGCCTAACTATAAACACAGTCCAGCAGATGCCAGTTGGCTTAGAAAGGATTATGGTAGGTTGGGGCCAAGGTTGGTAAATGGCAGCCCTCGGCCCAATCCCACTGTTTTTCTAAATCAGTTTCATTGAAGCACAGCCATAGCCTCTCATTTATGGATTGTCTAGGGCTGTTTTCAAAGTACAATGGCAGAGTTAAGGAGTTGTGACAGCGACCACAAAGCAGAATATATTGACTGTCTGATCCTTTACAGAAAAAGTTTATTGACCCCTCAGTTTAGGGAAAAAATATCTATTGCCACAAAAAGCAAACTCATTCCCCCAGCCCACCCCCGCAAAAAAAAAAAAAAAAAAAAAAATCCTTAAAAAAAAAAAAACCCCATGACAACAAAATCCCCAAGCTTTCATCACATTTAAAGTAAACAAATTCTCAGGACAGAAAAATGTTACTTAGAAATTTTCAGTAACATCTTGAACACAAAACTAAAAACCAAGAATATATGAGATCAGAATGATTTTAAAAAATCAATTCATTTTTTATTTCACAAAGCATACCTTTGATACATCCACACACATCACTGGCTACCTTTGCTTTGAAAATTTATTCATCTCGGCCATGACAATGCATCCCTTAAGGGTTATTTCTGATGCAGACTTTCTACTCCTAACTAAGCAGAATCTGAACTTTTCTAGAGAAAGGAAAGCTTTCGAAGGTGCAGCTCTGGAAGCACCAGCACTTACCTGACATTTGGAGAGTGAGGATGCCACCGGGGCTGGCTGGGATGGATATTAGGATGATATTGAGGCTAGAAATAAAACACCAAACTTGATTATTTGATGACCTTTTAATTTCAATGGTCCTCATTCGCTTTGTCTGTTCCTGGCATCCACCCGAGGGGCTGGGGGACTAAGAATGGAAAGGCTATAGACCCTGGCTAGGGGGTGGATGTTTCCCAGGACGATCACGTTTCCCCCTCTGACAAAGGCTGGGGGCTGGCACCCAGTGCCGGTTCTTGCCCTCTCCAGAGGCGGCTCCCTGTGAAGGGGCTGGGAAGCTGCCCTTAGAAGGTGACAACACCGGCCTTGAAGGGGGTCGTCCGGAGTACCAGAGACAAGCTGTATTCATCTTCCCAAGGGAAGAGGCGGAAGGTGTCAGAGAGATGGGGAGAGTGGGAGGCAACTTCTCTCTTCAGAAACAATTTTTGTCATTGCTGAAAATGACAATGACCATGTGGAACAGTTACATCTGCACACAGACAAGGACTGGACAGGGATGCTAAGTGAAGCAGCAGGGCCGTGGGTGAAGGTTTTTTCTTTCTCTCTGGTTTATGCAATAAAAATAATCTTCTAAAATGCAATCCAAAACAAAATACCAAAACAAACAAAACCATCCAGAGCGCTTATCATCCTGATAAAACAGGAGGGAGGGAGAGAGTTTGAGAAGAAGGGATGAGGGGAGGGAGGGAAGGAAGGCAGGTAGGGAAAGAGAGAAGAAAGAAAAAGAAGGGAAGGGAAGGAAGAAAGAGAAAGAAGAGAAGGAAGGAGGTTGAAGGTTGTCTTTTTTTTTTTTTTTTTTTTTTTTTTTTTTTTACAGAGTCTCACTCTGTCACCCAGGCTGGAGTGCAATGGCAGTATCTTGGCAACCTCTACCTCCTGGGTTCAAGCGATTCTCCTGCCTCAGTCTCCTGGGTAGCTGGGATTACAGGCACGTGCCACCACACCCCGCTAATTTTGAAGGAAGTTGTCCATTTTAAGAAGAGAACACAGACCCTGTACTCACAAACGGACTGAGGTGCAGCCCTAGCCGGCTAGGTAGCAGCCTGCCTTTCCACTTCTGGCCTGCAGAGGGCAGTGGTCCTAGACATCAGCAGAAGTCAGGGGCTTCTCAAGGCTCAATCTCCTAAGGGGCAAATTAGGCCCTCCTGACATTTAAGTCACTACAGTCTTGCCACTGTTACTCTTTTAATTATTTCTTCCCCTCCTTCTCAGGATACTTTGCTTAGTAAGCAGTGGCCTGCTCTCTGGCACAGAGAATCTCAGCAGTTCTGTTCGTTCCATTTTCATGGACCTGAGATGCCCTC
This sequence comes from Homo sapiens, assembly GCF_000001405.40. Classification (NCBI taxonomy): domain Eukaryota; kingdom Metazoa; phylum Chordata; class Mammalia; order Primates; family Hominidae; genus Homo; species Homo sapiens. Next base: position 109,244,958 of record NC_000009.12, read on the forward strand.
CCTGCCTGTTCTGTATTCAAGCAGCCTTTCCTTTCTCCTTCAAAGACGCCTGTCAGCAAGCAGACTCTGCAGCCCCCGGAAGGACATGCTGCAGGAAAAGGAATCTGGAGAAAATACCTCAGTAGCAGGATCTGGGAGCTGACCAGGGCTTTAGCATCTCCCTGCTGCAATCTCTGCATATTTCTCCTTTAGGGGCTACAGAAACCCACAGAGTTTAGATGATTTGCCCAGAGTCTAACTGTTCCAGGTGTTTTGATCACATAGACAGGCCCAGAATGAGGTTCCATTCATTGGCTGTTCAACAATAGAGAAAGGCTGACCTAGAACTGGACCCTCTATGTTTTCCTCTGGCTTTAAACACAACCAAATCAGATTCATCAGAGAGAGAGGTGGGAACCTTAGCCACAGACCTGGAAAAAGATTTTGGAAACTTCCTTGGTCTCCTCTGGCAATTTATTCACATTCTCAACTGTCAAGGAGTATTTTAGTGTTAACCCAGCTGGTTCTCAACTGGTACACTCATATCCCTTGGAGGACAATGGGAAATGACTGTGTGCATGTTTGCTTGTCATAGTAAGAGAGAAAAGGGAAGCTAATCATCCTGCAATTCCAGGGACAGTCCCAAACAATGAAGAACTCTCCCTCCCCAAATGCCAACAGCGTCCTCATTGAGAACACAGAGATCCATCCTTTGCAGCTGGCTGACCTTGCAGTGCTTGAAATAAGATAAATGCTGCAACACCATCCTCTCAAATACCCTTCACGGTATTCACATGCCAATCAGGCCACTTCTCAGGACGTTCTCTTCCCGGTCAATTTATTCCCAACCCTTGATAGAACACAAGACCTCTAAGATTGGCAAGGTCCAAAGGACCCGTGGTTGCCAATGATGTTGCGATAACAATGCCTAGATGAGTTTCAGTAGATCTGATTTCAACAATCGCCTCATGTTCACTCTAAGCAGAAAACGCACAGTGAGAACACACTACAGGCTATGCGGAGAGGGCACAGGCAGTGCTCAGCTGCTTTGCTTTTCTAAAATTTTTCTCTCCTTCAAGCACTGATCACCTATCAATTACCTGTCTCTACAACTTTTCAGTTACTCACACCTGAAAACCCCTTAACAAAAAACAATCAGTGAATAACAAGATTCAAGAACCCTGGCCGGGCACGGTGGCTCACACCTGTAAACCCAGCACTTTGGGAGGCTGAGGCGAGCAGATCACTTGAGGTCAGGAGTTTGAGACCAGCGTGGCCAACATGGTGAAACTTTGTCTCTATTAAAAATGTAAAAATTAGCCGGGCGTGGTGGCATACACCTATAACCCCAGATACTTGGGAGGCTGAGGCAAGAGAATCACTTGAACCCAGGATTATTTAAAAATAGAGATGGGGTCTCACTATGTTGCCCAGACCGGTCTTGAATTCTTGGGCTCAAGTGATCCTCTTGCCTTGGCTTCCCAACGTGCTGGGATTACACGCATGAGCCACTGTGGCCAACTCTGAGTTGGTCTTTGAGAGATACTTTAATATACTGATAGGAAGCAAAGGAATTCCAGGCAGACAAACACGGGCAAAGAATGGTGGGAAGAAATTATGGGGCAACAATTATGCAATTCCCTGTGAGTTGAACATATGGAGCGTGATGGGAGTGGTGAGAAATAAATAGAGAAGTTGGAACCAGGTGGTACAAGGCTGTGAATGGCCAGAGAGAGAGCCACCCACAGTGGCTTAGGAAGAATGTGCTTGATCCAGGCTGAGCTGTAAACCACACCTTCCATGTTACCAGGCATGGGTGAGCTGGCAGGCGGCACAGGCCCTGGTTGGCCGTCCTGAGAAACAGCAAGACGCCAGCCATAGAAACGTACCTGTGCTCCTTCCTGCAGGCAATGGGCCTAGCACATCACCTAGCACAGTGCTTTACAAAGCAGGTTCTAGAAACCATGTATCTATTCGTGTTAATGAGTTCACCACTACCAAAAAATGGTAGGGGTTGAGGCTAGCGTTTTTTTAAAAAAGATATGAAGGGGCTGAGGCTAGTGTTTGTCTTTTTAAATAGATGAGTTCCCACTGTGTCGTCTGGGCTGAAGTGCAGTGGTATTCATGATAATAGCTCACTGCAGCCTTGAATTCCTGGGCTCAAGTGATCCTCTCGCCTTAGCTCCCCCAAATAGCTGGCACTACAGATGTACACCACCGTGCCAGCTCAAGACTAGTTTTTTTTTTTTTTTTTTTAATCAGGGGCGTGAGAGGGGAGCAATTCGCAAATAATTTGGGGAAACAATACATTTAAAAAAATAAAACATGTCTTTCTTGCAGGATTTCTCAGTACTTTTATACCTCAGTGGACACTGTAAAATCCAAGAAGGGGAATGAAAGATGTGACATTTCCCAAACATTTGACCAAAACATCCTTTCCTGGAAGCCCATCTCAAGGGACTCATGTTCCCTAGGCCTAAAACACACTTTGACCAAAAGCTGCCTCACTTGAATGCCACTAAGGGGCTGTGTGTGGCCACCCAGAAACTTAAACATATGTCCCTGATGCTTGCCAGTTGACAAGGTTAAGAAAAACAGGCAGTTCAGATGGCCAAGAAGTGGCAGGGGTCAGAAGGAAAGGGCTCTTCTCTTACCATTTTCTCAAAAAAACAAATATTGTTATTATTTTCTCAAAATCTGATTACAAATATGATGACTGCTCATTATGGAAAATTTAGAAACTTTACAAAAACCTTTTTTTAAATTTTATTTTTAAAATTTTCCTTCTTTAAAGAAAACCTTTAAAAGCAGTATCTTACCTGGTAATTATGGACTTCTGGATTTGTTTTAGAGCTAAACAAACAAACAAACAAAAAACAGAAAAAAAAAGAAAAATAGGTTGTAGAGTGGCATTATTAATGATTTATTTAACAATCATGAACTATTCCTATGTGCTACATACTCTAATAGGAACTTCCACATAATGACTTTTTTTTGGTTATTGGCTGTTTAAAATGAACATATAACAAGGAAAACCCCAGACAGCAACTTTCACTTGTCCTTTTAGAGCTCACAAACAGAAACAGTAGGAAATATTCCAGAATGCAGTCTCAATGTCATATTTTGGTGACAAAAATGAGGTCCTGTTTCAGTTGGGCAAACCAAGTAATTTTACTCCCATTTCAGGCCTGCCCTGGCATTGCTGGGAGACCTCACAGCACCGGCACCAGAAGCTCCAGTGATGCGCAGAGCCTCTTCCCACGGCAGGGGGAGGCACCGATCCCTCCTGAGCATCTCCCACTGGGTACTGTGGTGGGAGCCACATGTGGGTCCCCTTGCTATTAAAACCACTGTCAATAATCTGGCCACCACTTTGGAATGTTCTCTCCAGACAAGACTCTGTACTGGGAACTTCACATCTGTTATTATTTAATCCACACGACAAGGCTATGAGGTCAACAAATGTGACCACCTCGTTTTACAGATAAAGGAACAGTTGCCTAACAGAGAGTTGGGAAACCTGCTCAGGGTCGCCTGGCTGGTCAGTGGGAGCCAGGGCTAGAATCAACATCTGCAGAATCCTAAAGCCTGTCTTCTTTCTGCTAAACCAACTTGGCTCTTAGAGGGACTGAGAAAAGGCTCAGGGCTCCTCATCATGATCCTATTTCGATGGAATCTTTTTGTTTGTTTTAAGAGATGAGATCTCACATGTTGCCCGGGCTGGTCCTGAACTCCTGGGCTCAAGCAATCCTCCAGCCTCAACCTCCCAAAGTGTTGGGATTATAGGCATGAGCCACTGTGCTTGGCTGATGAGATCTTAAATGCTAAATATATATATATAGGCCGGGCGTGGTAGCTCACACCTGTAATCCCAGCACTTTGGGAGGCTGAGGAGGGTTGATCACGAGGTCAGGAGATCGAGACCATCCTGGCTAATACGGTGGAACCTCGTCTCTACTAAAAATACAAAAAATTAGCCGGGCGTGGTGGCGGGCACCTGTAGTCCCAGCTACTCGGGAGGCTGAGGCAGGAGAACGGCGTGAACCCGGGAGGCAGAGCTGGCAGTGAGCCGAGACTGCGCCACTGCACTCTAGCCTGGGCGACAGAGCGAGACTCCATCTCAAAAAAAAAAAAAAATATATATATATATATATGTATATATATGGACAGAGCAGGCAATCATTATTGCCAGGAGGTGTGCTTGAAATCAAGTGTTATTGCTGGCTTCTCCAACACTGAGAGGCAAACAGATCATTGTTATAAGTCTTGCTTGGGGTCTAAATGGCTCTGTGTTCTGGTTTTCAGGGAGGACCAGTACACAGAGCTAGGCTCTGAACCAGATCACCTCTGGCTGGACTTCATCAGGTAAGTTAAGCGTTCCGCAAGGTGCTATTTTTCTAGTAGTACCTCTGGAGCCCAGAGCACAATTTCATCCACGGCTCCCACAGCAATCCTACTCACCCTGGGATCCCACAGGCTGTGAAGAGCAATTGAACAGCTGCGAACAGCAGTTATTAGCTCATTTGTTCCTAAAGGGTATATTTATCAGGGCTTTTTTTTTTGGGCAGAATTTTTTTTTTTTTTTTAGTTTGTTTTGGTTCCCAATATATAATCTCCACTAGATGCTGGGAGGAAAATGTAATTTTATTAGGGAGAAACAAGCAAAACAATCACTACCTTAGAGAGCAAAGTAAAGAAATTGGGGCTGTAACTTACAAGCCCCAGAGAATTAAAAGCAAGACACCCCGACAAGCTAAGAAAGGTACAGATACCATTTGGCATACTATCTGCCAGAAGGATCCTAAAAATGGGGTGAATCTAGGGACCTACAACTAACCCATCCAGAATACTGCAACCTCCTCCCACCCTCCGGGGCAGGGGGCGACACAGAGCAGTTCAACAGGACCCCTGAGCCCCTTCATCAGATGCTGAGAACAAAACCCAGAGACAAAAGGCAGAATGACGCTGAAAGTAGGATTTGGAATCAGAGATGCGAGGTTGAGTTTCCAGCTGTGTAATATGAGGGACCAGCTGTGTTCTCTAGAACCCTGGGTTCCTTGAAGGTGCCCTGGAGCTACGGGGTGGGAGGAGTGGCAGAAGAGCAGGCAGGAACTGGCCTCTCCCTCCCCACTCGGCTTCATCCGGAGGACCTCCACATTTGTCTGTTCTGTATTTTGGGCTTTGACATCAGGTTTCTTCTAGAGGGTGAAAATCAGAGGGTAAAAGAGTTTGGAAAAACACTGATCTAGCCCAACCTCCTGATTTGCAAAAAAGAAAACGGAGGCCCAGAAGTAGGAAGGCCTAAGTCTCCAGAGCTGGGTTAGAACACAGCTGGTACCTGGAGGGAGGGTTCCTGATGCCTCAGCCAGGGCTCTCCTCGCTCACCGGGGTATCTGCAACCCGCTCCACCCCGTGCCACGTTTTGCCAACTGTCCTGACTGATAGTGCATGGCACAGTCAAGCTGTGCCCATCTCAAAGACCACCCTCTCAGCCGCCTTGAGACCTGCGCCTGGGATGACTGAGAGCCTAATGAACCTGGCCTACCTACCAGCGGCTGCAGTTCAGACCAAAGGTCCAAACAATGCAAGTCTGTGGTTCTCTCACATGACAGCTTGTCTACTCAACAAGCCAAAACTCACATAAGACAGGCAGTTGTTTCAGAGAGAGCAAGAGCGGTATATGCCGGGCAGACTCACCTGGGCAGCTTTAAAAACAAGCTATATGGGTCCCACCCTGAGAGACTGATTCAATGCGCCTGGGGTGTGGCTGCGGAGGATGTTTCAGATAATTATGCTCACCAGATCATTCTACTATACAGGCAAGACCCTGGACACCTGTGCCAGGGAAGAGGCCTGCAAAAACTATACCCCTTGGGCCAAATCTGGTCCACTGATATTTATAAGTAAAGTTTTATTGGAATGCAGTCACGTTCGCTCATTTACATATTTTCCACAGCGGCTCTCTAGCTACAACAGCAGAGGTGAGTAGCTGTGAAAGACACAGCAGAGCCTGCAAAGTCTCAAACATGGACTATGTGGCCCTTTACAGAAAATGTTTGCTGAATCCTGTGCTGGCAATTTTCACTCTTGTGATAAGTTCATTTTCCTGCAGGAATTTCAGTAAAGGTGTTTAATGTCTTCTATGATGTAAAACCTGCACGTCACTGAGCAAATCTAGCATCTGCTCTCGTCCAGCTTTTGCTCGCGAGCAAGGCCTTCCTCTCCCAGCACTGCCTGCCACGCCATGAGCACAGTGTGCTGCGCACAGGCCTCTACCTTTCCCACCCACTGTTATCATAAACAAAGCACACAGCTACTCAAACAAAGCAGCTGTGTTTGCCAAAAAAACCAAACTGTCTTGGAACATTATATTGTGTACTTATTGAAAGCCATGAGCATGGAATAGCCAGGCAGCAGAAAAAGGGGAAAAAAATTACCAGATGACACACTTCCTGATTTCACTGTAGTAAGGAAAAAGTCAACATTGCAAATAAATACGATCCTTAGAGAGGAGAGCTGTGCTCTAGAGCTCAAGGACACTCACCAGAGCTGGGCTGCTATCACTGGGTTGCTTGCTATAAAGGAAAAACAGAAAGTTATGACATCTTAGAGAACTTTATCGCTTTCACCATGCAATGACAGATAATGGCCATGCGAGACTTCTACCATCACAGAGCCTTTCCAACTCCAACCCAGGCAGAACTGCATGGTGGCTACTTCTCCTTTCCTCAGGGAGAGTAAACTACCCCTCCCTCTGATTCACTCAGCAACCATCCACTCAGCAGGTTCCCAGGGCTGGGCGCTCTGGGAGGCAGGGACAAAGAGACACAGTCTCTGCTCTCAAGAAGTTCCCTGTCTAGAGACAGAGAAAGGCAGATACAGAGAAGTGGGTAAAAGGGAAAACAGCACACGGTGATCAGGGATGCAATATAAGCATGGGTCTGGACTGAGGGGCCTCGGGGACGCCGTGAGGGCCTGCATGGACAGAGCCCTGGGAATGAGGTACAGCTTAGCCGCTTACACTCCATTTTGTTTTTAAAAGGATAGATGTGGCAGGGAAAATCATTAAAAGCTTGACAAAGAAGATGCTAGAACTCTGGCTGGAAAAAAGTCAGTGAAATAAGGGAGAGAAAAGAGGGAGGGGGAAAAGAATCACAGACCCTGGGGCCCAGATCTCTAAAGCCATCTGGTGGGGTCAAACCACAGGACGTCCACTTCCCTCTGTGACAGCCACACCAGGGGGTCCCTCCCTTTGTGCTGTATACACCTGTAGGGGCTGGGAACGCACTGCTATCTTGAGACAGCTCTTTTGATCTTTGGAAAATTGTTCCTTACACTGAGCTATTTCTGGACAACTCTGAACCAGTGGACTACACACACCAGCATAATCCTCCTCATGGAACAGAACAGAGAGCGTTCTGGCCCCTTCCTCCCGGGCGCTGTGGCCACCCTTCATCAACCCATCGCCCTTCTCTGGACACGCTCCCATCCCCTGGCCTCTCTCGAAGGGCAGGACTATTTCCTGTGCTGTGGGCATTTTCCCTCCACTAAAGCAGCTGGGAGTGACTAAGAATTTCAGGTAGTCATGCTGTTGCACCATCGGTTCATAAAGGAAAGAATGGTGGGGAACACAAAGTTACAGATTCCAGAAGGGAACAAGTAGAGGTACCAAGTCCCATGGAGGCCCACTAAGTCCTGAGCCAAGAAAAATGCATGGAGTGGCCACAAGGAAATCATGTACAGAAGGGGCCAGGAGGCTGGGAGTGCAGAGGCTCTGCCATAAAAGAGCAAACACTGAGTACAAACTGGGCGTCCTAAGTCGGGGAGCAACCTAGTGTAGAGAAAGAAGAGCTACAAGATGGGATCTGGAGGCTGGGATCCAACAGAAATGAGCCTGGCTTGCTCATTCACTGACTGAGTTGTACTGTGTTCCGGGCCTCATACAGGTATGAGGCCCCAGCTGTAACTGATGGACAAGGTTGAAGGGGTTTGGAAAGGGGAAGGGGGCAGGCATTCTAGGGCCTGGCTAAATTTAAGGGTGAGGAAAGTTTGGACTGACTGTGGGACTTGAGCCGAATATCTAAAAGTTCTTCATGTACTTGTACGTGGTCAGAATTCCAGTTAGCATGGGCCTGATGTCCACACTTAAAATTGCAAGATGATGGAGATACAGTATCTTCTATAGGCAAGAAAGGTGTTTCCCTGTGATATTCCTGAGGTACCGGGGCTTGAGCCCAGGTCTAAAAGAAGCAAAGAGGCACATGGAAAGAAATATGGAGAAAGGGGAGAAATAAATGAACACATCCACGGCAAACACTAATGACAGAGGGATGGCGGAAGTGGCCAGGTCCCGTTAAAAGAACACCACTGGGATTATTTTTCCAAAAGCTCCAGACTGGAGAACTGCGGGTACTTTCTTCATAAGCTGCTTGACCAAGCTCCTCGAGGGCTTAAATGACTCAAGCATAATGTAAAATTCCAAGAAAGAATGAAAAACACACAACCTTTGAACGTTGAATGTCTCCGGGATGGATAACGTTTACTAGGCTTCCTCTCAAAGGTGCTGGTTCTTCGTAACCTGGAGCCATGTGTAGCTTGATATTCTGTCCGCCCACTGGGAAGTAAATATTTTCTCGTGTGTTATCAATATCAGAATCTCAGTACATTACCTGTTTTTGAAAGTGCACTTTTATTTCCAAGAGCTCCAACGTACGTTTCAACTTAGCCTGAACTCACTTGGGTAAAGAAACACAAAGTTTAACCTTCCATTTGGAAATAAAATCTCCTTTGCCAAGTCCAGGCTACAGTCCAGGGGCAGATATTTCCACCAAAGGGCAAAACCTGCAATTTAGGTACCAGCCACTTGGCTGCACAAACCAAGCAGGTTTGATACATCTCATTAAGAGAACATTGATTTTCACATAAAATAACCTTTCACAGAACACACTGCATAGACATTTAACCCATCTTTTAGAAGACTGTTATCAATACCCACTTAACTAGGTCTCAGCTTTCTTTGCTATGCCAAGGCAAACATTACTGATTTCACTAAGGCTTTTTGGGTTTCAACCAACGTGACACCCGGCTGCAGATTCCAGGAGGTTGCTGGTTTCGTCTGATGTACTCCTCAACTGCTTCATTCCAGTTGCTCTTAGTCACCATTTGTCACCTGCTCTGTGTGCCTCTAAGGGCAACCTCTTCTCCTCCAAACTCCCTTCCTTCTTACACTTCCAGAGGAGCAGAAAGGAACATGGTCTGGGACTAAGCCTGGGGCAGTTTCCTCCCAGGAGAGAAAAGCCTGCCTTGGCAACTGCCCTGACTGTCCTTCCCGCCTCACTCCACTCCGAGTAGACACCAGCATTCTGTGGAGTGTCTCCGGTAACCTCTGCATCCTCCACAGGACCCTGGGATTTGATTGTTTCTCAAAAAGAGCTTGGTCTTCCCCCCACCCCGCCCCCGACCCCTTGGAGCATTTAAAACAAAATAATTCTTTAAACAGAAGTTCATAGCTATTTCCTCACACAGTAGAAACATTTGAAATGAGCAAATCTTTTGGCATTTAAATAGAGTTCAGGGATGTGCCATGTGTGGGTAGAGGTTATGAAACCATGTGAAGTTTTAGATATCGTAACTGAGATTCTCAAATGTAAATAGGCCTCAAAAACCCTGGGAGCACATTTTAAATGCGTACTGCCAGGCCTTACACATACACACACATGCATACCCACAGATTCTGACTGCAAAGGTCTCAGATGAGGTTGTTGTCCTCATTTTTAACAAACACCAAGAAAGTTTTCACACACTTTGAGAAAAATGGTCTTAGGATGATAAGCAAAAATATATCAGAATAAGCTCTTGATGTTTTCAGGCTCTTTTCAGATTCAAATATCTACTCATCCTACCTTGGGTTACACATTGATATCTGCTCTCATTCTTAATTACCCCAAATTTCTGGACATTGGCATGCAAAAGGCAATACAGTAGCAGTTAGAAATTTAACAGCCAGAGTTCACAGGGTTGAATCTCCGCTCTACCACTTACTGGCTGTGTGTGATTTTAAGCGTAATGCCTCTGGCCCTGGTTTCCTTATCTGTAAAATGGGGTTAATCAACCTACCTTATTAAGGGTGTGTGAACAGTTCTGGCACAGTGCTGGCCAACAGAACTTTCCAAAATGATCCTGTGTCCTGTGTCTATATTGTCTAATATGGTAGCCACTAGCCACATGTGGCTTCTTGGCCGCTTGAAATATGACTAGCGATACTGAAGAATTACATTGTAAAATTTATTTCATATTCATTAACTTAAATTGCCACGTGTGGCTAGTGCCTACTGTATTGAACAGCACAGCTCTGACTAAATGTCAGTTATTAACAATTTTGTTATTAGTTCCATTTTATCAATGACCAGGTGGGGGTCAAAAGAGCTTCAGTTACTCACCTTAAGAAACGTGGGGATGGGACACACAACCTAAGTTTCTGGACTCAAATCCACTACTCTATTCGCATACAAGAAAGAAATCACAGTTGCCCTCCTTCAGAAGACGTGATCCGTGTTGCAGAAATGGCTCCCTACCTGAATCTGAAGCGAGAGCCCAGCCTGATAAAGTCGGATCTATTGGATTTGCTGTTTCCTGGCGTCCGCAGTCGGAAGAATGCGTGGTGCTCAACTGCACACTTCCAAAGGTGTTTGCAGGTCCTGGCACTGTCTAACCGGAACACAAACGTGTGCTCTTGCTCACGTCCCTTAAAGAGGAAGCACAAGGGCCTCGAGTGGGCGTTTGCAACCCCAACACAGGATTTTCACAGCAAGGGGGAAGAAATGGGAGCCAGGCCTACCTGATCATCATCCTCGACCACCACGAGTGTCAATTTGCTCTTTTTAAAATCCATTTTGGTAATTTTAGGCCTAGTCAGACAGAAAGCATTTTAAAAGCACAATCTGCAGTAAAACTATCTACACATCAAATAGCAGTTTCCTTTCTACTTTTAAAGCTTAGACTAAAAAAAAAATAAAAACATTCATCCAAGTGTGATTATCCAGAAGTTTCAGCGCAACTGCCACAGACCCACAACAGCAGCACCGTGTGCTCTGAGGATGAATCTGGGTGTTGCAGATACCCCTCAATAATCATCCATCACATAGAATTCCACCACAAAATAGGAAAAGACATTTTTAATATTAGACAAAACTAAATTACCAAAAGAATAAGCCTATTTTGTTAGCTCCTTCAAAGATTAATATGCCTGTCGGGGTCAGTCCAAGAGAATATTCACAGCCATCTCTTCCCTACAAACAAACGAAGTGACAATCGGTAGAGGGTTCTAACAGGTCGTCACACAGCAGAATGCAAAATGCAAAAACAGTTTCCTCACCACAAGTTATTTTGTTTGCATAATGTTCATACATTTTTCAGTAACAGCAAAACCAAATTACTTAAACGCACACAGTTCTTACCCTGACAACGTGCATGTCTACCCCATACATTTCCAGCCACTTCGCTTTATTCAGATAGGAGAGTTCCGCCTGGGCAGGGCTCTTTCCCCTTAGAAAAACCAATGGAAATACATGTAAACTGCGACTCGTAAGCCCACAGGATTCTGAAGGGCACGGCCTTACTATGGAACGTTATGCAGCAATTAAAGCAATGAGGGATGCCAAATTATAGTAATACAAAAAGATTCCCAAGACCTTACTGTTAATTGACTAGAAAGACCACAGAACAGGCTGGGCGCAGTGACTCACGCCTGTTATCCCAGCACTTTGGGAGGCCAAGGTTGGTGGATCACTTGAGGTCAGGAGTTCGAGACCAGCCTGACTAACATGGTGAAACCCCATCTCTGCTAAAAATACAGAATTCGCTGGGCGTGGTGGCACATGCCTGTAATCCCAGCTACTTGGGAGGCTGAGGAAGGAGAATCACTTAAACCTGGGAGGCGGAGGTTGCAGTGAGCCAAGATCCAAGATCGTGCCATTGCACTCCAGCCTGGGCAACAAGACTGAAACTCCATCTCAACAACAACAACAACAAAATCACAGAACAGTGCTTACAATATGATCACTTAAGGAAACAACAAAACAAGTTGTATATGTAAATGCAAAAGGAAAAGACTACAGGCTGCCAATGATGGCTTCCTGCAGGGAGGAGAGTGGATGTGTAAGTGTGTGGGTGGGGTGTGCCATACCCGCAGACATTTACGTTGTTTCAGTGTTACACAATGAGAATGGACTAATGCCACCTTCCACTAAAATAGTCACAGGAGCTTTTCAGAATGACTGAGGGATAAGAGAAAGTCATGCTAAGCTCCAGAGTCCAAGGGTGACCTGGAGGAGGCAGTGTTTGGGGAAGATGGGATGGGAGGGAGGAAAGGTTAACATCTAGGAAACCCGTGAGTGAGGGGTGGCGTTGGTAGTCCAGGCATGAAAGTGGTGCCTGCAGGGGGAATGGAGGGAAAAAACAAAGGGGATAAATGACACTGCTGGATTTAGGTATGATGATCACACTTCCTGAAATGTAACACTGTACAGCACACGGTCTCAAATATGTATGTTCCTATACAACAGGGTATATTTCTAAATTTAGGGCTTGTTTCAGAAGGTTCAGGCCCTGAGGTCCCAGAGATGCAGGTATGTGAGAGTGCCTGGGATGCCCTGGGGTGTCACTAAGACAGTGGTGGCTCCCCCATCCGCAATAAACAAATCAGAACCAGGCTCTGTTTGCAGAGAGAGAAAAGGAGTGTGGTTTGGTTCTTGCTGCACATCTCTTAAGAGACAGACGGCCAGGTGTGGTGGCTCCTGCCTGTAATCCCAACACTTTGGGAGGCTGAGGTGGGACAATCACTTGAGCTCAGGAGTTTGAGACCAGCCTAGGCAACGTGGTGAAACCTCATCTCTGCAAAAAATAGAAAAATGAGCCAGGCATGGTGGTATACGCCTATAATCCCAGCTGCTCGGGAGGCTGAGGCAGGAGGATTGCTTGAGCATTGGGAGGTCGAGGATTCAGTGAGCCAACATAGTGCCACTGCACTCTGGCCTGGGCAACAGAGCGAGACTCTCTCAAAAATAAAAAGGACAAGATGTGGGCCTTTGGAAAAACAGGACTGACACAAGGAGAGAAGAGTTGGCGCTGCAGTTTTATGGCCATCAACAGAACAATTCTACTGGTAGATAAAGGAGTGTGATCAACACTTATTTATGACAAAATAGATACATCAGAATGCTAGACGGTTGCATCAAGGTACCTGCACTCTTTCCATCTCTGGAAGATATCAAATTCCATTGCTTCTGTCTGATTTGGAATGAACCGAAACTCAGACACAAGCTCTGGTGTGTGTTCTGGAAGCTCGCACTCCCCAAGCTCCGCTGTAAGTTTCATAAAAGGGAGGAAAATAGGAGACATTGAATGATTTCAGTTATTGCTGCAACCAGGTCCAAAGGCATTTTGCATCATTATAAAGCACAGCCCCCCGCCCCAATGTATAACTCTCTCCTTTCGGGAAGACTTAACTCTCACTTGGGTAGTCATATGTACACTCAAAATCCTAGAAGCATTCTAATGTCCTCCCTGTTGGGTGATACAGCATCATCCTAGTTATTACTGTCTTTCTCTCCACTGTTGTTCCCACCCAGGGAAGCACCAGTTACATTTTCCCCACGAAGGGGTAGAACCCTGAATTTGCAATAAAAGGCAATTGCAGGGAATGAGGATCTGCCCAGAAACATCCATTTAACAAGCCTCTCGTTAAGAGTAGGTCAGAGCAGCACTTCAGGGTCTGCAGTGCTGGAGAGGATAGATCAAGAATTCGGCACATGCAGCATCCAGGGGGAAAGTAGGAAGGGGAGGGAGAGGCAGAGCGAGAGGGAGGCAGGGAGGAGGGGTGCGAGGGCTGCAGGAGCAACTGCGGGAAGTCAGGCAGAACCTGGGAGGGAGACAGCTGTGCAGAAAGGAGGGAGGAGCAGCCACACGAGTGATCCGAGCAAGAAGCCCAATTTGTGCTGCAATTTGTGCTGCCCTTGCCAAGTCCCCCACAGGATGGAGGGCCTGAGGATACAGGTGGCCCCCTCCTCCAGGGATGATGAGAAAATCCACTCTCCCCCACCCCCTGCAGCTCAGGAAGCAGACCCCAGAATGAAAAGGAATCCTCTAGAGTTCCCTCTAACACTAGGCTACACCAAGTGTGGACCACACACCAATAGTACTGCCATCCCCTGGGAGCTTGCCCAAAACGCAGAACCTGAAACCCCACCCCAGACCTATTCAAGCAAAACCTGCCTTTTAACAAGATGCCCAGGTCACAGGCCTGCCCATTTGTTGGAAAAATCACTGAGGTATAATAGTGGCTTTCGAATTTGGGTGCGCATCAGAATCACCTGGTGAGCTGGTTAAAATGCACATCACTGGGCCCCGCCCCCAGAGTTTTTGAATCCCTAGGTCTGGAACCCGGCCTAAGAACTGGCTTTTCTAACAAGTCCCCATGTGATGCTAATGTGGCGACCCTGGAAAACACTTTAAGAACCTCTGCTGCACACATCAGATCCCATCAACTAACACTTCACTCAATTTGCAATCTCTGCAGCCAGGCCTCAGCTCTAGGAGGCCGTGGAGGGTGGTGGAAACAGCTCAGACACAAGAGGACTTGGATCCCAACCCTATCATAATCTATCTATGTGACTGCAGGCAAGTCACTTAACATCTCTGGGTCTCCGGTGCCTGATTTGTAAAATGGGAATTGTTACAAGAATGAAAAAGGAGCACAGGCATGCAACAGATGAGTGGCCTATTAGTTCTCCCTTCTTTTCCTTTTACCTGGTTTAATTTTTAAATCCACCACAAATTTAGTTCCCAAAAGAGCACAGCCTCCCTGCAGGGCCACTGTATCACAACTCAGGAGGCATCGAGGACAACCACAGCAAGACATGTCTTCAAGGCTCAAGCACAGGAGGAAACACAACCCTTCATTTTATTCAAACCTACAGAGATGCTCTAGTGATCCTTAGAGTCCCAGACAAGCTAGCTCAGCTGTGGGTGAGGTGGAAAGCAGACTGTAGCATTTACTCATGGAATGGGGTTGGGGAGAGGGGGCACGGAGGGACAATGTAACAAGAGCCTCGCCTTGTGTCTAAATCTTCAGTGTTTTTCTTTTCTTTTCTTTTGAGAAAGGGTCTTAGTTGCCTAGGCTGGAGTGCAGTGGCGTGATCACAGCTCTCTGCAACCTCAAACCTCAACCTCCCCTGGCTCAGGTGATCCTCCCAGCTCAGTCTGTAGCTGGGATTATAGGTATGCGCCACCATACCTGGCTAATTTTTGTATTTTTTGTAGAGACAGGGTTTTGCCATGTTGCCCAAGCTGGTCTCAAACTCCTGGGCCCAAGCGATCCGCCCACCTCAGCCTCCCAAAGTGCTGAGATTACAGGCATGAGCCACCATGCCCAGCCAAGTCTTTTTATTTCTATCTGACATAACAATCAATTGTATCTTTTTTTTTTTTTTTTTTTTTTGAGACAGAGTCTCGCTCTGTCACCCAGGCTGGAGTGCAGTAATGCAATCTTGGCTCACTGCAACCTCCGCCTCCCGGGTTCAAGCAATTCTCCTGCTTCAGCCTCCTGAGTAGTTGGGATTACAGATGTCCACCACCATGCCTGGCTAATTTTTGTATTTTTGGTAGAGATGGAGTTTTACTATGTTGGCCAGGCTGGTCTTGAACTCCGGACCTCAGGTAATCCACCCGCCTCGGCCTCCCGAAGTGCTGGGATTACAGGGGTGAGCCATCGCGCCCGGCCAACAATTGTATCTTAAAATCACACTGACATTATGATTTCAGCTCAAAGGATAATTTCTCCAAGAACGGTCACAGAGAACTGACCTTATTTGTGTCTGTCTCGGCTCTGGGGCAAGGTTTTGGTTCTACACTACTCTGTTAAGTGTGGTGAGGGCTTCATTGCAATGGGGTGGGATGGTAATACGTGCACCTCATCCTCTGATCTTTCAGGACAACGTACAAGCTTGCAATATTGTGCCAATGGCTTTAGGAGGAAACCTTTCCAGTGGATTAATGGCCTTCCGTCTCTTTTGTCTCATTCGTGACACCCTGACATCTACTGCTGGGCTGTCAAGCCTGATGGTGTGACCTCTGGCAGCTCAGGAACTCTGGGGTAGAGGAAAGCCACTTGCTAAGTGGGTGAGTGGCCGGAGTGCGGAGGCCACGGCCATGTTCTCCAAGCCATGCCTGTCGTTATAGCACTTGCCATAAAGACTGTCATATCAGAAAAATACATCGGAAGCACTGAGCACTGTATTTGGCACAGATGGCTATAGATGACATTACCATCAACTCTACCACCAGTTTAAAGGTTCTGCCTTTAAAGTTCTTGGCGGGGGTGGGGTGAGGGGGGTCTCTCCAATTTCAATAATTCAACTCACTCTGCACTTACCAAGCATCTACTATATGCCAAGTCCCCATTAGATAATAAGAATTAAGAGTCTGGGTGAGGTTGCTCATGCCTGTAATCTCAGTGCTTTGGGAGGCTGAGGTGGGAGGATCGCTTGAGGCCAGGAGTTCAAGACAACAGGAATTAAAAGGTGACTGAAGAATAGAAGTTTCAGGTAATGGGAGCATCCTACGGTCATTAAAAACCATCTCTATGAGTGTACACATGACAAAATACACATACTAAAAATACCAAGTAAAAAAAATTATACAAAAATTTGCAGATGACTGATCAAAATAACATTTTCAAAAGTCCACTCAAAACTCATAGCTAGAAATTCTGGTTGCCTGTGGGTGGTAGGACAGTGGGTTCCTTCCTTCCTTATGCTTGTCTTATTGGTGGGTTGTTGTCCTGATATTCTGTAGTAAGTGTGTACTAATTTTATAATTTGAAAAAACCTCTCAGTTCCACTTTTAAAAACTGGCCAAATACAAAAGTGAGAAGTCAATTCTCATTATGGTATTCATAAGTAATTACTAATTATGAATGAATATGTCATAATCCATAATCCAGTAGAAGCTGATGAACATGCTGGCAAATGAGTGCACAACATATGTCTATCTGATGTACTAATGAAATCCCGGATATGCAGTTACACATTAGTATTCTCTTAATTAGTGCTAGAGACTTTAGCAAGTGTTTCTTCTGCATCCGAAACTACACACCACCAGGGCATCACACAGATAAACGGCCAATGCTGACAATCATGCAGGCAGACCTCTTACCATCCAGTTCCCACTCACATGCAAAAATACCCTTTGCACCCCACCAGTCCTGACATTAATGCTTCCAGTCTGACCTCTCTGAGTGAGCCAGATTCAGGTACTCAAGAACCTGCTGGAGCTTCTAGAACCTCTTAGTCAAGGGACCCAACACAGACCATTTCCTCCACCAGAGTCCACCTCTTCTAACCTCTA
This sequence comes from Homo sapiens, assembly GCF_000001405.40. Classification (NCBI taxonomy): domain Eukaryota; kingdom Metazoa; phylum Chordata; class Mammalia; order Primates; family Hominidae; genus Homo; species Homo sapiens. The sequence continues at coordinate 109,262,340 of NC_000009.12, forward strand.
TCCATCCCCAGAAACAGCCTGAGAATCATCTCAAACTCCTCCCTCAACACCTAAGTCTAATCACCAAGTCCTTCTCCTTGTACTGCCAATGCTATTTCTTGGTGTGTGTGGGGGTGTGTGTGTGTGTGTGTGTGTGTGTGCAAACCCCTGCCCTAGTTAGTTTCCTTTCCCTTCTATTACAGCAGCACCTCCTCACTGGACTCCCAGTCCCAGTCTTGGTCCTGCTCTGATCCCTTCTCCCCATATAGCCAACGTGGCCTTTCTAAAGTGCATATCCGGCCAGGCCTGCTCCCTCTTAAGAGCTTTCAAAGGTGTCACTGCTGACTGCATGAAATTCTTTCTCTTTAAATGGGGCCCGAGGTCATCCACCTGTCCAAATGCTTGAACTTCACTCTGTAGCATCACTCAACTGCTGCTAACCTCTCTGCACTTTTGTGCCTTGGTTCCTTGACTCATGGTCTTCTCATCCCCACAATGGGCCTTCCTTGTCCAAACCTCCTGCACGTCTCTGTTCCTGAAGGAACTGCACTGCAGTCCTTGCTACTCCTTGCCTTCCTCACTGGACTGCACGCCACTTGGGGACAGAGACCGTGTCATATTCATTTATATCCCCAAAGCTAAGCACTGGGCCTGGTATACTGTGGACACTCATTTGTTGAAATAAAAAGCAATAACATTAAAATGCTAATTACTACTAAAGATTAATGTACCTTGTAGACAGAGAGCAGCTAATTCCACAGCTGTTTCATAAGGGCATTTCAATCTTGAAAAAAATAAAATGAAATTAATTCGAAATAGGAACTTAAGTACAACCATACAAAATGTCATTAAAATCATTTTTCAAAAGGTAGCGCTATTTAGATAATGACTTGTATTCTTAGTCATATTTTTGCTGTCTACATTAAAGAATGCAACAAGCGACTTGCACTACAAATTTCCCAAAGTCAATTCTCATCATAGGGCAAAATAACCCAATGTAGGTATAGTTTCTATCAATCGTGTACAATTTTACTGAATTTGGCAAGAATGGAAAAGTTTGGAAAACAGAATGAAAAGTATTCCCTTTGCCTTATTATTTTTAAACATATTTTAAATTTATTTTATCTTGATATAGTACATGCATCTTTTTTAAAGCTGCCTTCAAATCTTTCTTGAAACAAGGTCATAGCGTTAAAAATAAACACACAGACACCATATCGAACACTGCCAGCATGGCTGGATACACTCAGCATTCTAAGTCTATCTAAGGCACAGCCATAGAAGAGTACTACTGCAAATTCAGTGATCTCATTCATACGTAATATTTCAAATTTGGTTAGAAAAACAATAATGACATACATTGGTATAGCACTTCATAGTTTTCAAAGCCTTTTCATTTATATTATCCAATTTGGTCAATGCATCAAGTTTGTAAACCTTTAGGATAGGTGTTGCCAGTGAGCCCCCCCGACCCATCTCCCATTATATAGATGAGGAACTCAGTGTTAAGGGCTCTTGCCCCAGGTCATCCAGCTGGAAAGGAGCAATGTTGGGACTTGAACACCATTCTGCTTTTAAATACAAAGCAGGCTAAACTGCATGTAAACTACAAAGTACTGTACAAATGCAAGGTGTTGCCATTAATATTTTTCCAAACCGAAGACAATTTCTAGAGTTACACAGCCTTTAGTATGAGGAGCACAGTATGGAGAGAGAGAGGTAGAGAGAGAGAGAGAGAGGGAGAGAGGATTAAAAAAAAGTACACACACTCATAATACACACACCAACCAAAGGTCTGTATTGCACGGCTGAATAAGGCAAATGTATACACTGTACAATCTACTTGTTCTATTGGTCTATGGAGTACATTTCACTGAGGTTTTTATAGCACATATTCTATGGAGAGTTTGCAAATTCGGAAATTACATATTTAATTTCCTTCAGATTATATTCAAAATCAGAACGTATTCTTTTCAATAGCAGGGGTTACTTTTTAGACTCAATATAGCCTTAGTTTTTCATGTAATAGAAAATATTCAATACAGATGCTGAAAAATGACACAGTTATAAGAGCTATGCCTGTTGAAACCTCTTATCTTTACGGTAAATTAAGACTGCATGCGAAATCAACCACTTCAGTGCCAATGCTTCTTATACTCAATGATCACTGTGTGCTGCCAGAGGCCTAGTATTTCAAAGCCATTTTTAAGAGGAGAAAAGGAAGTGAGATGAGATGTCTAAAACTTTCTACTGGAATCAGAACATAACCTCTTTCCATTACATATATGCAGATGGTGATGAATGACACTTTTTGACTGTCCAAATACTTGTAAGTGTATACATACTAATAACGTATCTTGCTTGCAAATACGACAAAAGCCATTATGAATGGGACAGTGATGTGATCAGGGAGAGAGTTATTCCCAAATACACATCACTTAAGATATTAAATGGTCTTGGAAATGCTTCAAGCCATATAGTAATCATTTAAAATAGGATGATAATGACAGTGATACAAGTATTAGACTCACTTTACAATGCCTGGTGCACTTTTTTTGAATTTTGAAAAGGGAACAAGGGTAAAAGAGTTAAAACAGTGAATTATTTTGAAATACACTATGATCTATCCTGGGTTAAGAGTTAGAACAAAAACATACTTACTTTCCAGAAAGAATGTCATGCCTGAGTTGTAAAACAAACAGGTACCTGACAAACATATACAAAAGTCAACAGAGGGTAACTCTTTCCCAGCTGCTCCCAATCCCCAGCTTCCCACTGCAAACCCCACCCCACACACAGCATGGAGTTTTGCATTGTAAAAAAGGAGTCCAAATCAAATGAGAACTTTGGTGGAAGCATCTCCTCTTGGGTCTCCAGGAAGGCATCCCAGAACCACGCTAGGAAGGTGAGTGCATGTGGGGAACTCGCAAGATACTTGTAGGATGGAACGTGATACACGTCATGGTCCAATGACGGCCTCCACAACCCCCTCCGTGCTGGAGAAGAGAGCCGAACGTGGCACATGGGCATGCAACATGTCCAATAACCCAGGCAGGGTGGGGCCGCGGGGTCTGGCTCTCAGCCAGCTCCACCAGCGGATTCCAGATCTGCTGCGGTGGATTGTAACAAAAAGTTTGCAGCTGATTCTAGTCAAAAAACCACTGGGGGTTCTTTTCCCCTGATGCAGTGTAACTGCAGACTCTTTTAAAACACAAAACAGGCACAGCACACAAACACACACACACACACACACGAAACAAGAAAAATCCTGGCACTGGACTGCAAATGGTTAGAGGGGTAACAAAAAATGAGAAAGAAGCCAGCAAATAACACGCATGGGGTTTACTCAAGTAAAAAAATAAATGTCTTGGCTTAAATAAGAGGGGTATCTTTTGTTTGTTTTTTACCAGGAGGATGTAGGCATCAGAACCACTCACAATGCTTTGTAAAAACCAAAACTGCCTGTGCTCTGCTCCCTACCTACGGAAACAGAATCCTACACACAAGAGTGGCCCCCAGGAATCTGAGCTGTTCAAAAGCTTCCCAGGTGTTTCTGATTCACACAACCTGGGTTAAAAACCAATCGCTTTGATGACAGCTAGAAGCAGCATTCATAGAGGACTCTGAGGAGCAACACTAGAATGACTGTTCGCCAGAAATCAAGGAGATCGGGCGTGCTGAAGGTTCTAGTACATTCCAGAATGTTCCTGCTTCCTGACAGGTGTTTGGCCACCACTGAACTTCACTTCTGAATGTCAGGATACCATCTTGTATACTCATCTCACAAGAGACACAGTATAAACATGGCCAGAACTCTTGATTCCTATAAGAAAAACTAACCATAGCAGCCTAGCAGGAGCCTGGGTAACAGGGCAAAACGCTGTCTCTATTTTAAAAAATACAAAAAATTAGCCAGGGGTGGTGGCACACACCTGTGGTCCCAGCTACTAGGGAGGCTGAGGTGGGAGGATCACTTGAGCCTGGGAGGTTGAGGCTGCAGTAAGCTGTGATCACGCCACTGCACTCCAGCCTGGTTGACAGAGCCAGACCTTGTCTCCAAAAAAAAAGCCCAGGGGAAATGGTGATAACCAGTCAGTCTTTAAGGCATTATTTAGGGGTCATCTCCCTAAGAACCACCCAGCAGCCTACATAGCCTATATGTCACCACTGCAGTCCATCACACAAACAACGACAAGGAGGCTCTGGGGATATCAAAAGCAGGAAAAGGCTTTGTAGAGAATTTCACTGATGGAAAAGGGTAGAGGGAAACTCCACATTTAAAATGTTACTCAAATTTTCTTTTTCTTCTTCCCTGTTTCTGAAGTCCAAGACATAGACATGGGCAAACAAAACAAAAAAGAAATTCAGGCCGGGCGCAGTGGCTCACACCTGTAATCCCAGCACTTTGGGAGGCCAAAGCGGGTGGATCACTTGAGGTCAGGAGTCTGAGACCAGCCTGGCTAACACAGCGAAACCCTGTCTCCAGTCAAATATATAACAATTAGCAGAGTGTGATGGTGTGCGCCTGTAATCCCATCTACTCGGGTGGCTGAGGCAGGAGAATCGCTTGAACCCAGGAGGTGGAGGCTGCAGTGACCCAAGATCATGCCACTGCACTCCAACCTAGGCAACACAGCAAGATTTTGTTTCAAAAAAAAAAAAAAAAAAAAAAAAAGAAATTCAGGGGAGTTAAAAGATAACATGAAGGGATTTTAACAACTTTGCTATAATTACTCTGTTTTTCTTAAAGAGGTTCCTTGTATTGTAACAATCAAGAGAATATTTTGCAATCTCTTAAAACATAAGATGGCGATTAAGGACTGAGAAATGCTTTTCCAATATCTGCCTTCCCTTTTTGTAGTTGAGATAAAAATAAAACGCCGCAGAGCAACCAATTAATTTACCCAGGGTCCAAGAAAATAGAAGTGTGACAAGAAAATGTATCTTCTAATTTCTATTCACTCAGAAAAATGTCAAATTAAGCAAAGTTGTGGATTTTTAACGGAACACGGAAGCACCGGAAAAGTACTAATAACTCTTGCTGAGAAATAGACAGCAGACAGAAGAAGAGGCAAACCCACAATTGAGAAGAGCCATAAATGACATGTAAGGCAAGCCCTGCTGGGCGGGAGCTTGTTCTGCATCGTGGCCTACCTTGTAAACTCCTCACGAAGGTTGTTTGGTTCTGAAGAATAGTATTTAACTCGAAAGTGTAAAGCATAAGCAGGTCCAACTAAACATTTGGAGATGGAAGGTTGAAGATGTTTTTCCCCCAGTTTTGAAGATCACAGGATGGACAAAAGGGAAAGCACGTTAAATCTATAACATTTAGCACAACATCAGGACAGCATAACTGGGCACGCGACACTAGCCAATTCTTTTCAGTCCTCATCAGGGAAACTGAGATGGATGGACTTTTGTGCTGACTAAGATAGTTTAGCTAGTAACCTCATTCCAGGAGAAAAACCCTAGTGATTTAGACAGATTACTAAAAGCTGACATTTTATTTTCACCCCTGATGCCACAATACTCCAAACTGACAGCTAGTTTTTACAAAGTACAAAGGCTAAAGGAAAGTGATGCAAAGTGTTCTGTTCTCTAAAAATACTTTAAAGTACTTTTAAGAGAATATGAATTTTTAAAAATTACCCAAGCATAAACAACATTAAAAAATGTGGTTTCCACACCTGTACATTGAGAAAGCTGTAGCAGACTATCAAAGAGCCCTCCTACTCTCTCATCCTCTGAGTCTATGTTGTAACTCATTAGAAGTAGATATAATAGGTATAAAGCTGAGTTTCTGAATAGCAGGTTAATCAGTTCTCATTGGCAGAGGCGTCTGATTTCAAATGAGAGCACAGTTGGTTTTTCAATATCCACTAAACATTTTTATTCAAATTTTAAACTCTCATCTTTGGCTAGCCTTAAGAAATTAAAAATCATCCACTTAATACCGAATTGATTTTTAAAATGCTTCCAAGTTCTAATGAAAACATAACACCTCAAAACACTGGCAAAGGAGTTTACTCTCAGAAAAAAAATAAATGAGTGAGCTAAATTCTGCTTACTTACTTTTCATCTGCTTTTTTATGGGTTTGGCATGATCCAGCCAGTGCTGAAAGAAAGAAAAAAAGTTTCTTTAGGAATAGTTCATCAGCAAGGTTATTCAGCCCTCACAGTTACCCTCCTCTAAAAGCCTTAGTAATTCTACCCACAAAAACCAGGGTTTGGATCATATCATGGGTTCTTAGGCTGGGAATCTGCAAACTGCTTGGGATGGTATAAAAAATTCAACGTTGGCCGGGCGCGGTGGCTCACGCCTGTAATCCCAGCACTTTGGGAGGCCGAGGCGGGCGGATCACGAGGTCAGGAGATCGAGACCATCCTGGCTAACACGGTGAAACCCCGTCTCTACTAAAAATACAAAAATTAGCCGGGCATGGTGGCGCGCGCCTGTAGTCCCAGCTACATGGGAGGCTGAGGCAGGAGAATGGCGTGAACCCAGGAGGCGGAGCTTGCAGTGAGTCGAGATCGCGCCACTGCACTCCAGCCTGGGCGACAGAGCGAAACTCCGTCTCAAAAAAAAAAAAAAAAAAAATTCAACGTTTATGCATATATGTGCATTTTTCTGGGGAGGGGACTCCCTAGTTTCTGGAAGTTTTACAAAGTGGTGCCTGAAAGAACATAAAACCCCTTAACCAATTGATCAGCAGAATCACCAACTGCCTTTTCCTTCTGAGTTTCTCAAGTTACAGCCAATCTTCTCCAAGCATTCCAGGTCTCCATTAATCTAGCAAAAAGTACAAGCTATGATACCAATAATCTCTCATTATGCACTGGTCTTGAGGTTGTCGTCCTAAACTCTTTAAAGTACAGAACTAAAATTCACAACCCCTTTATTCTTTTGCCAGGAAAATGAGCCACACGGCAAATGCAAAGGCAGGCAGGGATTTGCCTAAGATCATTTTGCTCTGGTCAATGAGGGCATTTTAACTTCCTCTAGCTTTGACCAAAAGAACTGCTTCAGTCTTATCTGAGGAGATTACAAAATCATCTGCCTCACACAAAAGTTTCTCTATGAAGTCAAAGTCGTTGATACTGCTGTCCTAAGGAGTCTCAGCCACTTAACTTCCATGGAGAACTGCATTTAGGAGCATTCTACTGAGCCCTTCTGTGCAGACAGACATCAGCTCCTGGAGGCCAGGGACCGTGCACTTAATTGTGACTGTTTCCTGTGCCAGGCACAAGATATGGCACCCAGCAGGCCCCTGTTAAGACTCTTGAGAAATAAATAAATATTAAATATAAATTATTTTTTTAAAGTGAGGCAAGTAGGGACTGTTCCCATCACTTTATGTGGACCTAATGCATGCTGGAACTTCTCTGTTAGAAAGACGGCTGGGGTGATACAAGCAGAGTGGGCTACTCATGAGTTACTCAGAGTCAGAGGCCATTCTGCTGACTGCCAATGGGCTTTCAGACACATTTGCACTCTGCACAGTCTAATAACAAGGAGCGGCAGGACCCAACCAGGACAGTGTACTCCACACCTAACCAAAGAGGCCATTATGACTGTGTGGGAGGAAGGGGATAAGGAAACACAAAAGCGAACAACAGATGATTGATAATACAATAAGCTGGGGGCAGTGCCATGGGAGAACGTGGGTTGTGGGGCTTTTGTCATCTCCACTCCAGGCTAGGCAGCCATGTAATGTCACCGCAGCAGGATGTGTATCTCAGACGCACATGTGCAGGATGCTTTATCTCATTGTTAATAGCTTTGAATTGGAAATGACCTAAATGTCCATCAACAAAGACGGATTAGAAAATGGCTCATCCATATAATGAAATACTATTTAAAACTGATGTAGGCCTGTATTTATTGATGTGACAAGAGATCCACAGCACAATGTTACATGAGAAAAAAAAATCAGGTGGAATCTCATTTATATAAAATTATTATTTTCTATCTAGATACATCCAGAAGGAATTGTAGAGGTTATTTTGGGATGGTGGGGCTGTGAATGCCATTTACTTTCTTTTTACCTTGCTTCATAATTGTTTATTTTAATGAGAATATTATTTTTAGGGGGTGGGCTGGGTTGTCACGTCCATATTCATTTGTTGTTTTATGAGTTCACCTCATTAGAATCAGATGCTGCCAGTGCCCTCAAACAAGCTGAAAACCCCCAACTTTGGCCCCTGGAGGGGGCTGATACAGACTTGATTTAAGCCCAATATTTACTTTCCTACCAAGTAACATGCTAATGGCTATGACTAAAACTGTTCTTTTCACTTTCAAAAGAATTCACCATTCATCCCCTAGTCTAATTAGCCCATGAGAGGCTTGTCACTTAAAGGAGCTTGTTCCATTTCTTTCCTTTCTTTAGTCTTCTCACCACCATGTTGAGTAGAACAAGTTTAGGCCTCCCTTTCCTCTCCCTCTACTGTCAAAGTCTCATCTTTAGCCAAGTCCAACTTGTGCAGTCTCCTTGGCTGTGCTTTTTGATCCTGGCTGTGTATTAGTATTACCATCACTTGAGGAACTTCGAAAAAGTCAAAATTCAGGTCCCACCCAAGACTCATTAAACAGAGTCTCAGAGCATCAGTTTTCATAAATGCTTCCAGTGTGCCCGTTAAATATTTAGTACTGAAGTTTTCCACATCCTCTCCTACCCAGGAAGAGGTTCTGATGATCTTGAAACATGCACAACCCCTTCTCGAAATTGCTGTTTGGGCTCTGCAAAATCTCAAGCAATTTCAGGTTTTACAGGCTAGTCCAAGAGGTGAAATGGCCAAACACCTGTGGCTGGTGTGCATTCACAGGCAGACCACAGCCAGATGCTGGTACCGGGTGGCTGACTGCTTTGCCCTCTGGCCACACTGCAAAAGGCACCCCTTCAGCCATTGTGGGCTGGGCTCCATCCTTCCTGCTCAGCCACAGAGCCCTGCCCAAAGCAGGACCTGCCAGGATAGATGCCTATGAAAAGTCTGGGGCTGGTGAAGCCGAGAATGGAATCAGAAACGGCTTCCTCATTTTAAAAGCTCCTTGACCCCTTGGTGTTCAGATCAGGTTTTGCTTGCCTGCATCAGAGGCAATAAGAAACCCAGTCACAATCCTAAAATGAGAGATGACAAAACCTATCTTGTATCCAACCAGTTCAAAATGATCTGACTTTCTTCTTAGCTGCAGGGGCCTTCCAGACTCTGATCACTCGTGTTTTATCCCACAAGACCACCTTGTGGCTTGAACGCTGGGGCAATGAAAGCCCAACATGGCATTTAGTAAACTGTATCCTACGCTCGGCTTTGAGGACTGTATTCAGCAGCGGCGGGACCTGTCTCAGATGTTCACCTGTGTCTTGGCTAAATATAGCCATGCCGCCTGTGGGTAAACGCCAAGGCAAACGGCTCCGGCCCTCTTAGCAGACCATTAAACCAGTCACTGGAAACAGACAGGTGCAATTCTGAGTTCAAATGGCAGGACATTTCACTCAAACACTCTAACGGGTGTTAGAAAGGTGGTTTCTAATCTGAATTTCTCATCCAAGTCCATCTGGCAAAATCCTTTCCATAAATCAAGATGTGTGAGATGATCTTGGCAAGGCCCATCTGTTCCAATAGTACATCAATTCTGGAAATATGACACCCATAAGGCTGGTTGTAGAATTTAATCATCTAAAATCTACATGGGAGCATTGGAACTACAAGGCCTCAGAGCAGCTCAGGAGTTGAAGAGCATCTAACAACTCTCTGCTGGAACATCTCCTGAGCCTTCACCATTAAGTCTGAGTGACGAAACTCATAACGGGATTTCTAGGACCTGCAAATTTTCTTGGCTTATGAAGAGTATCTGAGTCAGGCATGGTGGCTCACACCTGTAATCTCAACAATTTGAGAGGCTGAGGCAGAAGGATCGTTTGAGCCCAGGAATTCAAGATCAGCCTGGGCAACATAGCAAGACCCCATCTCTATAAACTTTTCTTTTTTAAAAATAGCTAGGCATGGTGGCATACACCTGTAGTCCCAGCTGCTGAGGAGGCTGAGGTGGGAGAATCACTTGAGCCCAGGAGATCAAAGCTGCAATGAGCTACGATCACACTACTGCACTCCAGCCTGGGTGACAATAAGACCCTGTGTATATTAAAAATAGGCCAGGCGTGGTGGCTCACGTCTGTAATCCCAGTACTTTGGGAGGCCAAGGCAGGTGGATCACTTGAGGTGAGGAGTTCAAGGCCAGCCTGGACAACATGGTAAAATCCCATCTCTGTTAAAAATACAAAAACTAGCCAGGTGTGGTGGTGCATACCTGTAGTCCTAGCTACTTGGGAGGCTGAGTCAGAAGAGTCCCTTGAACCAGGAAGGCAGAGGTTGTAGTGGGCCGAGATCACACCACTGTACTCCAGCCTGGGTGACAGAGTAAGACCCTATCTCAAATACATATATATAGTTTGTGTTTAAACTAGAGCTGGAAGGAATCTGAAGAGATAATCAAATTGTACCCAAAGGATGAAAAGAGAAGGAAGGGGATGAATGCCTTTGGAGTTTACTGTATCACATCCATCCTCTGACTAAGGCTGGGGTGTGGGAGGTGCAGCCTTGATAAGAGGCAGAGCTGGAATTCAAACTCACACCCCTGTCAGCGTCAGCATCCAGTACTCTAGGTTTCCACACCACGGACTAGCCTAAAGTGCCTTCTCTGCCTGTGGGGGGATCTTTCCTGCTCCCCATGATGACCAAGCCCTATAAACTCACTTAACACCAGCTACCTGCTGGTGTGAGATGACTTCCTTGGAATCATCTAAATCAGTGGTAGAGACCCCTTTAGCAGCTTCCGATTCAGCACCAGTATTTGCACGTGGGCAGGAAAACACTCGGCCTGCCTCCCAGCATTCAGAGACAGGATGAGGAGAGGCCTGTGGCATTTCTTTTTTTTTTTTCTTTTCGAGACAGAGTCTCGCTCTGTCACCCAGGCTGGAGTGCAGTGGTGTGATCTGGGCTCACTGCAACCTCTGCCTCCTGGGTTCAAGTGATTCTCCTGCCTCGGCCTCCCGAGTAGCTGGGGTTACAGGCATGTGCCACCACGCCTGGCTAATTTTTATATTTTTAGTAGAAACAGGGTTTTGCCATGTTGGCTAGTCTGGTCTTGAACTCCTGACCTCAGGTGATCCACCTGCCTTGGCCTCCCAAAGTGCTGGGATTACAGACGTGAGCCACCACACCACGCCCTGTGGCATTTCTTGAGTGCAGTTTACATTTCTTTGGACCACCATGCAAGGAGGCAGAAGATTAGAGTTCAAGTTGCAGCTCTGCCACTCACCTCATGTGTGGCCACAAGCAAGCCCCCCCACACCCCCAGCCCACCTCAGAGCACGGGCACCTGAGCCTCAGTTTCAGCCCCTGTGAACAGAACTAACCCCTAAGCACTGTCTATGGAAACTGCACTGAACCCAATGGGTGGAAGGAAGGGGTTTTGTCTGTTTCCAGCAGTTGTAACATAGATCCCCATAGATCCCACTCTTAGCATTTATACTCTCCTATGTCCCCTCCAGGTATACCTAATAGTCACTCTTTTCTTCTTATAATTACATCTGAGATGGCAAGAGCACCCAGTAGTGTCCACACAAGTGGCAAATGTGATGACATTCTGACCAATCATTAAAGCAAAGCCAAAGGAGCTGCAAGAGTCCCTTTAGTGGCTATTGAACCCTCCCAGCAGGCGCCATATCTATGTACCAACCTCACTATGCAGCCCTGCGCCTCTCACTGCCAGATTCTATGCTGCAAAGGCCAGAGGACGCACATCTGACAAGTCTTGAGACAAAGGTCAAAATAATCTATTTTGGATTCCTTACTGCAAAATGTACCATCAGAAAAAGCTCCCTTTTCATGTTGAAAAGCAGCTTAGGGAAGGACTTACAGTGGCCACATCTACCCTCCAGGACACCTGCTCCCAAGAGAGGAAGGGAGGCTCCTGCTTGGTGGGGCTGTTACTACCACTGCCCCAAATCCCTGCCCCTCCTCTGCCTGGCAAACTCCTCTCATTCTCTGTGGCCCACATCAGTGTTCACCCTTTCTCTTGGATATCTTGTTCATTTTATCAGTAATACGTAGACAGTCTCTCCTCCAGACCCACAGAGGGACCTTTACACTGGTTCTTTAGAGGACTGAATACACCGTAGTTCAGGGGATTACTTGTCTATGTCTCCCAACAGAATGTGGCAGGCAGGGACAACATCCAGCTCATCTGTGCAACCACAGAGCTCAGCACTGAGTAAGCTCCAAGTCAAAGCTGGCTGAATGGGATTGACTGAACCTTCCCTTTCTTCCTTCTATATATGTATGTACGCATGAACCAAGTGCATATTCAAGCCGTATAGCCAAGTGGAAAGTGCTGGACTTTGGAATGAGACCAAGTTCTGAATCCTGGCTTTAACCTTTACAACATTCTTAGGAACATCAGTGTCTCTGAGCCTCAGCTTCATCATCTGTAAAATGGTTCTGTTTTATGGCCTACTTTATAGATCAGTGATGAATATTAAACAAGAGTTCACAAAGACTGTAGTTCAGTGCTGGGCTCAGGGCGAGAACTGGGTAAACAGCACTTATCGTGATCAGGCAGTGGGAAAGTGAGACAGTGCAGGCCTGAGCCCTTGGCTCTCAGAAGCAAGCTTTGATATGTAGACACAGACTCCCAGCCCCTGCTTTGAGCTGTACCAAAGTGAAATCTGCAGAGTGGGTTCCTGGATGGCCTCCTGTTTTGACATGGAAAAGGGAAACAGGAGGTCCTAGTCCCAACTGCTAAAAATAGGTGATATCAATACGCTTTGACAGTTGCTTCAGGGCTGGGCAGGGCACTATGGAAACCAGGCGTGGTTCTTTTCAGGGAGCTGGGGATATAAGCTGGGTATGCAGAGAGCCATGCCAAGAGCCCTGCAGCTGCCAACCTCTGATCTGCATGTCAGGGGCTGGGTGGGAACACCATTGCTTGAAGGAGGCTCAATTATGGGGCAATAAGCCAATAGCCAAGTGAACCATTCCCTTCCGGGTCCATCTATTACCCTACTGTTTGCAGAAACACCTCCTATGACATCCAATCACCTCCCAGGTCCTATAAAAATCAATGACCCCAAAAGCCATCTCAGCAGACTCTCCCAAAAGCCTCTTGATTAAATTGGCTAAGGTTTCTCCCACAGGCAAGGCGGGCCTTACAGGTTCCAATCAGCTAACTGTACCTTCTTAGCATGCTCACCCCTGGGGGCAGTGATGACTTCCGGTCCCCCCTCACACTGCCCAGCTACAAAGAGGAGACCCATATCCACGTCCCAGGTTACAAAAACTTTTCTCCTCCATTAATTCTCTGAGCTCCTCAAATTCCCCATGAAACAGATGTTATTACACTACCTCCACTTTACAGCTAGGAAACTGAGACTCAAGAGTAGGGTGTACTAGAAAGAGCACATAGACCTGAAATTGCAAAATTTGAGTTTGAGTCCAAGCTGTGCTATTCACTAAATGACTTGCCAAGATCTAAGGGCTTTGGTTTCACCATCTAGAAGATGGTAAAAGAAAGATCTAGAAAGATTTGACAAATGCCTCTCCCTCAGGTTCCTTCTGGGGCTAAAAAAGAAGGTTCTAGGTTATGTGCCTTGTCCCCAAGAATCACCGAGTTAAGAGGAGGAGGTCCTAAGTCTTAGGATCTAAATTTAAAGTTTTATATATATATATAAAATATATGTATATACATAAATATGTGTATATATACATATATATTATATATGTGTATCTATATACACATATATAGTGTATATATACATAATATATACGTGTGTGTATACACACACACACACACACACACACACACACACACACACACACACACACAAATAACAAACCCAAGGCCAAACAGTCAAATGGCCACAGAAGGCAAAATAAGATTTGCATAGTAGAAAAAACACTTTGAGAGTTCAGGACACGCTTCATGAAGGGTGAGGGGGGGGTCATCTGAGATGGTCTTGAAGGATGGCTGGGAGTTTAAACAGGTGAGAAACAGCAGAAGGAGAAACAGCATAAGCAAAGGCACAGAGATAAGTGCAGGCATCATAAGACCCAGACTGTAAGGAGTCCAGCTCAGAAAGCAAAGATGGGAATGACTAGAGGGTCCTGGGAACTGCTGCTGCCGCACAGCTCTTGCATCCTCAGAGCTGGAGGCAGATGAGGACCCTCGCCCTCCCACCTGTTTTTGCCTCAAATTTGTAGAGTTGGATGCTGGAAAGGCCTGAGAGCCTGAGCATCTTCAGGTGTCTGGCCTGGGAAAGCCGCCTGTATCCTGCTGTGAACACCCCTCCTGCTGCACAGTGACAGGGCACTGGCGGGCGGGAAAGCCTGCCAGCCAAGTCAGCAGAGGCTCATGGCAAAGGCCTTCATAATGGAGTCACAGACTTGGCTTTCTGGGAATCTGAGTGGCTAATGAGGGGTCACTTGGGGATGAGGACATGCTGCCAAGGTAACAGGCATAGGTTCTAAGGGCAGAAATGAAAGATACCTCCTCCTTTCTAACTAGAGAACGCATTTGCAGCAGACATGCCAACGTCCCCTTTAGACTCAGAATGACTGAACATTAGAAGTGTAAGTTTTCTTGGAGAACAGGTCCAAGTACCCCATTTTACAGATGAGAAAACAGAGGCCAGAGGAGCAAGGCAGCCTATCTAAAGCCTACCAAATGAGTCAGAGGCAGAGCCAGGAACAAGGTCCAGTCTGACTTCTAGTTCAGGGCCACAGATATTCTGAAGCCAAAAATACCACACGCTTTAAGACACACAGGAGAAGGCAGAATCAAGAAGAGTTCCAGGGAAGAAGAGGGCTGGAGAGTGGCAGGTGCTGGAAACAGGTGGAGGATGCTGGGGACAGAGAGAACCCTAAATATGGCATTCAGGAAGCAAGTGGAAATAGGCCTGCCGCTCCAGGTGTAGAGAGTAGATTGAGAAGTAGACATGCAAAAAAAAAAAAAAAAAAGATGGACAGACAGAATCGGAAGTGTAGGGGAAGAAAATTCAAGGAATTTTAGCTGAACGACCTCGGTCTTCTCAGCAGGTGAGGCAACTGCTGGAACAAAGCCTCCGTGGGGACTGGACTAAAGGTCTGTGCTCAGATCCAGACATGGACCTGTCGGGTGGCCAAGAGTCAATCTGGGGCTACTGAGGCTCAGGGAGCAGCTCGGGAGCTTGGACTCTGCTGAACCTGTGATCGGTGCTGATGCCAGAAGGCACAGACCGTGGCTCTCTCCAGCAACGCCTGGCAGGCTGGGACAAGCCACAGAGGAAACAGATGGGCCTGCGTGTCAAGGGGAGGCCAGGGGACAGTCACGGGGGCAGGAGAATCAAAGGCCAAGTGAGGACACAGGTGAGGTGGCCGAGGCCTGGCTGGGGCTGGGAGGAAGGCCAGGGCAGGAGAAGGCTGGGAGGGGACAAAGGGCAGAAGGAGACCGCTGTGGGCCAAGCCCAGAGGGAGGGGAACTGGGAAAATGGAAGGAATCAAGGGAAGTTATCCTGGAATGGGGACTGGCAGAATTCTGGATCTTGGAGTGCAGGTGGTGACAGGACACACGAGAATCTATGTGGGTCTTGTCAATCTGCTCAAATGAAGCTTAAATGACAGGAAACAGTGTCCAGAATATGTAGGAGGGCCAGTAACTTCAGTCCTGAGGCTACCCAGAGGAAGAGAAAAACTGAGACACCAAAGGCCTCGAGGGATGCGAAGGACAGTCATGAGGTCAGAGGGTAGGACACTGGTCGGCCCAACCTCAAAGGAAGCGGAATTGGACTCAGAGGTGGAAAGAGGAAAAGTTGTTCTGCCCTTCTCCCGGGTCCGGTGGACGGAGTGAGAGTCTCTGGCTGAGAAATGAGAAGGAACCCGGGAGGGTTCGAGGAGGACAGTTTGAGGAGGACACAGTTTGGGGGTGGGGTGGGGTGGCATAACAGGACGTCCTGAAGATGCAGAGGAAGTGGCTGAGGTTGAGGGACACATCTGCACAGGGACATCCAGTGGGAGTGTCCACCCCAGAGGCACTGTAGCCAGGATGCATTCCCGTCCAGATTCCAATCTGTCACCGAAGGACTCAGCATGTCACTAACATTCTCCAGCAGACCTAATTCCCAGGTACCGATTTTGTACATCTTCACCTTACAAATGTCACATGTCACCTGACAACTTCCAGATACAATCAGGAAGTATCTGATAAGTATCTTCCAGTAGACAGCCTTAACCATTATGGGAGCTCCAGGTCTCCAGCTCAAACATCCTGATCAGGGAACCCAGACTTTAATACACTGTCTAAAATAGTGCTTCCCCTCCCCCCAGTCCACCCTTTCCTCGCCTTTATTTTTCTTGACTCCTATTACCATCTGGCATATGACATATCTATGTGCACTGCTTTATCCGCAATGCTCAGCACAGGGCCCAGTGCATAATGGGCACTCCATAAATAGATTTAGATTGTCGAATAAATTATCTTTGAAACCCCAAGCTAGATTTTGTTGGGAAGGGGAACTATGAAGTCATTCCTGCTTTTAAAAAGAGTGGGTCTGAGCTTTGTGGAGTTCACTCATTCTAACATCTCCACTGTGAACAGTTCTGTCTCAGGCAAAGTAAGTAAAGTGCTGACCTAACACAGCTTCCTGGAACCTGCAAGATGGTTCTCGGCAACAGCAAGACCTGCTCCAACCCCATCCACCCCCAACCCCACTAAGCCTGGCTGGCATTCAGCTCCGTTCACAGCACCTGCTCTCTACCCAGCCAGACTCTGTAAGAAGATGGTGGCACAGCCTCTTCTGCTGGTTAAAAATAAAAGCAGCACCATTAGAAGAGTTTCTTTCTTTTCCTTTTTTTTTTTTTTTCAGACAGGGTCTTACTCTGTCACCCAGGCTGGAATACAGCCACTAGGGAGGCTGAGGTGGCAGGATCGATTGAGCTCACTGCAGCCTTGACCATCTGGGTTCAATCAATCCTCCTACCTCAGCCTCCCTAGTAGCTGGGACTTCAGGCACATGCCACCATGCCTGGCTAATTTTTGTATTCTTTGTTGAGATGGAGTTTCACCTTGTTGCCCAGGCTGGTTTTGAACTCCTGGACTCAAGCAATCCACCTGCCTCAGCCTCCCAAAGTGCTGGGATTACAGGCACGAGCCACTGCCCCCAGCCTGAAAGAACTTCTATAATGATGTTTCTTCTTTCTACCTTTTCTAGAAATGTGCCTATAATGCATCCCTAATGAATCCCATTCACATCCTCTCCTGGTTACTGGCCACCTCAAGGGTGAGGCATCCTACAAGCATTGTGACGCATGGCACTTGGGCACCACAACCTCCATCCCAATGCCTGTTACTGGCACAGTATCACAGTTTTAGTCTTGTTTTTCTCTACCCATTTCTAGCAACTGTGGACGTGCAATTAGCAATGAAAAGCCAATCTGTTCTGAAATGAATCAAAGCAATAACCTACCGCAACCTGGGCAGAGTCGAGGAACTGGAGGCCAAAGTAATCTGTTTCCACAAGGTCCAAGTGGTACACAATCTGATCAAACAAATCCTGGCCTTTGGCATGTTTCTGGAAGACAATTGGGAAGATGAAAAAACTTAGGGTGAGACAGCTAGATAAGAAAAAAAAGGTTAAAAAAAACCTACTTCTCTTTGTAAATTGCATACATGTCAGCACACACAAATTTTTAAATTTGTAATTAGTTTGATTATAAGGGTAATACAAACTCATGATTAAAGAAACTCAAATGCCACATAATAGCATAAAGTTAAGAATCTAGATAACCCTGTTAACTTTTGCTAGTCTCTTCTTACAAAAAGAATACTTTTTGGATGAATACCTACATGGGAAGATAAGCTTTGCCAAAATCAGACACACTTGAAGAAGGGTGTAACAGGGCCTTACTCTAGCGTAGCAAAAGCTGGGCTGTTTCTCAATGCAGGCAACCTTACTTAGGAAAGAAAGCTCATCCTCTGAAATTGGCTCTTCCAGTCTTCCGATTTCACAAAGTAGGTAACGAAGTCTCAGGGAAACCCAAAGACCTGCTGGAGGTCACAGGCCATAACCAGGACTCAAACTCAAATTCCAGGTTCATGCCAAGGTTTTGACTATGTGGTATACACATGGGGCATGAGCACAAGAAAGCAGTCGGAGAAACAAGGGGTCAAGTCCTGCATCTGCCACTTGACTTCGTACAAGTCACTCCTCCTAACGTTTCTATTCCTGCCCCTGTAAAACGGGCCTCAGGATACCTACTCTCCCCACCTCTCCTTGGGAAAACTGAGAGAGAGTCTGAATGAGAAACCACCACAAGGATACTGAAGTCTCTGACAAATGAAAAGGCTTCTTAATAGTCACCCAAGCGGAGCAGACACGCTTCTCAGATAAAACGACATCATTCTCAATGGATCCAAACACAAATATGCTTAAATCTAAGTGCCATAATCACAAAGAAAAAAAAAAACCCAACTCCATAGGATGACTCGGTGGCAACTCCTTATTATGGAAACTGGTAAAGAAAGGGAAAGAATCCAGCACTGACTCTCCCTTTAACTGCAGCACTGGGTAACCTAAGAGTAGACGGCAGCATATGCAAAAATTAATTCAAAGTGCATCAAAGACCTAAATGTAAGAGCTAAAACTATAAAACTCTCAGAATAAAACACAGGCATAAAGCCTCATGACTTTGAGTTGGACAATGATTTCTTAGCTATGACACCAAAAGCACAAGCAACAAAAGAAAAAATAAACTGGACGTCATCAAAATGTGAGACTTTTTTTTTTTTTTTTGCTTCAAAGGACATGGAGACATGAAGTGCAGACAACCCAGATGGGAGAACATGTTTGCAAATCTAGAATATATAAAGAACTATTACAGCTCAATAATAAAAAGACAAGTATCCAATTTAAAAATGGACAGAGGGTACATACAACTAGTTCCCCCCAAACATACAAATGGTCAATAAACACATGAAAAGATGCTCAGCATCACTAGTCATGAGGGAAATGCAAATCAAAATTACAATCAAATACTATGTCACACTCACTAGGATGGCTGTAATTAAAAAGGCCGGGCACAGTGGCTCATGCCTGTAATCCCCACAATTTGGGAGTCTGAGGCGGGCAGATCACTTGAGATCAGGAGTTCAAGACCAGCCTGGCCAACATGGTGAAACCCTGTCTCCACTAAAAATACAAAAATTAGCAGGGTATGGTGATGGGCACCTGTAATCCCGCTATTCAGGAGGCTGAGGTCGGGGAGGTGGAAGTTGCAGCGAGCCGAGATTGTGCCACTGCACTCAGCCTCGGCGGTAGAGCGAGACTCCGTCTCATAAATAAATAAATAAATAAATAAATAAATAAATAAATAAATTAATTAATTAATTTTAAAAAAGATCATAACAAATGTTGGAGAAGTAGAAACCCTCATATACTGCTGATGGGAATGTAAAACTGTGCAGCTGCTCTGGAAAATAGCCTGGCAGTTCCACAAATGGCTAAACATAGAGTTAGTTACCACATGACCCAACAATTCTACTTCTAGGTAAGAGAAATGAAAACATATGTTCACGTAAAAACTTGTACACAAATGCTCATAGCAGTATTATTTATAATATTCAAAGGTAGAAACAACCCAAATATCTATCAACTGATGAATGGATCAACAAAAGACAGTATAACTGTACAATGGACTATCATTTGGCCGTAAAAAAGAATGAAGTGCTGATATGTGCTTCCACATGGATGGACCTAGGAAACATTATGCTAAGTGAAAAAAGCCAGACACAAGGAGCCACCACACATCATATGATCCATTTATAAGAAACCTCCAAAGGAGGGAAATCTATACAGCCAGAAATTAGATTAGTGGTTGCTTCGGGCAAAGGGGTTTGGGGGACGACAGCTAAGGGGAGTACAGTTATTTGTAGGGGGCAGGGGGATTTAAATGAAATGTTCTAAAATTGCTTGTGGTGACAGCTGCACAACTCTGTGAATACACTAAAAGCTGCTGGATTGTACATTTTGGATAGGCAAACTGTATGACACGTGAATCTAAAGAAAGCTTTTAAAAATAGTAGGTGGGTGGAGTTTTTCTTTATTGAAGTATTTCAACAAATAAATGAAGAAATAACAGAACTGCAATATCATCATTTTGCAACCCCTAATGGGTAGTAGGTTCTAAGCACTGAACATCAGTGGCTACTAACATCACAACAGGAGACAACCAGACATTACGTACCTCCTGATAAGAACACCCCATCACCTAAGATGTAACCTTGCTCCCCAACCTCTCTCTCCGCAAGATTTAGCCTGTGAGAACCACTCAGGACAAATGATCTCATTTCTTTTTTTTTGAAATGGAGTTTTGCTCTTGTCGCCCAGCCTGGAGTGCAGTGGTGCAATCTTGACTCACTGCAACCTCTGCCTCCTGGATTCAAGCGATTCTGCTGCCTCAGCCTCCCGAGTAGCTGGGATTACAGGCGTGCGCCACCAAGCCCGGCTTATTTTTAGTAGAGACAGGGTTTCACCATGTTGGCCAGGCTGGTCTCAACTCCCGACCTCAAGTGATCCGCCCACCTCGGCGTCCCAAAGTGCTGGGATTACAGGCGTGAGCCACCGCGCCCGGCCAAATGATTCCATTTCTTTCTTCAACAAGCAGAATATAGGGAAGAGAAGAGATAGAGGGGATACCTACAGATTAAAAGAGATTTAAAATACACTTTTTTCTTAAAGGCAAAATGAAAATGCAACGTCTACAGATGCACACTTGGGTGACAAAACTGGAGAAGAACAAGGAAGCAGCCACAATAAAGTCAGGGTAATTGTTGATCTTCTGGCAAGGTTACACTAAGGGCTTCTGGGCGGTGGGCAGGGTTCTCCCCTGACTTGTGTAGTGTTACCAGGATGTCTGCCTTCTTGTAACCCAGTAAACTGGGTACCTTTGTTTTCTTTGTGCAGCTGTATTTGTGTGACACACATAGCAGCAGTAACACAAAGTAAAAACAAAGAATGAAAACTGCATCATGGGATTACAGCCTTCAGGCTCTTTCCTTCCTCGACATACTCCTCTGAAGGCAACAGGTCAACAGAAGCAGAAGGCAGGATATGCAACTGGAGAAAGGAGGCTGGAGGGATGAGACGGCCTCATCTCTCCACCACAGGGACGCAGAACC
Source organism: Homo sapiens (assembly GCF_000001405.40). Classification (NCBI taxonomy): domain Eukaryota; kingdom Metazoa; phylum Chordata; class Mammalia; order Primates; family Hominidae; genus Homo; species Homo sapiens. The sequence continues at coordinate 109,283,527 of NC_000009.12, forward strand.
ACGATACATCAACACTCCAGAATACTGTTCAGCCATTATACAAGATAATTACGAAGATGAGATAAAAAACAAGGAAAATTTTAATGACAATGTTAGGTAAACAGACTTTAAAGGAATAAGCAAGCTGTGATTGCAACTAAATAAAAATACATATGTGTTATGTACATAGACTGCTTGATAAAAACAGGAAATTTGCTAAAATGAAAATAGTTGTACAGATGCTCCTTATGACGGGATTACATCTCAATAAACCTATTATAAGTTGTAAATGCACTTAAGGCCAGGCATGGTGGCTCATGCCTCTAATTCCAGTACTTTGGGAGGCTTAGGCTGGAGGATTGCTTGAGGCCAGGAGTTCGAGATCAGCCTGGGCAACATAGCAAGACCCCATCTCTACAAAAAAGTAAAAAAAAAAAAAAAAATTAGTTGGGCATGGTGGCATGCATCTGTAGTCCTAGCTACTCAGGAGGCTGAGGCAGAAGGATCACTTGAAGTTCAAGGTTGCAATAAGCTGCATTGTACCTCTAGCCTGGGTGACAGAGTGACACCTTGACTTAAAAAAAAAGAAAAGAAAAAACGCACTTAATACACCTAACCTACTGAACATCACAGCTTAACCTAGCCTACCTTAAACGTGCTCAGCAAAAATCATTGAACGCAAAGCCTATTGTATGATAAAGTATTGAATATCTCAGGTAATTTATTGAATAATGTACTGAAAGTGAACAACAGAATGCTTGCATGGGTACCCAAAGTACGGTTTTCACTGAATGCATTATTACTTTCACACCATCATAAAGCCACAGAATCCTTAGTCAAACCACTGTAAATTGGAAACCATCTATATTAGGATGAAGCATAGAGAAACCGCGGATGGCTTTGTTCCCAAGTTTTTTGTTTGTTTTAGACAGGGTCTTGCTCTGTCGCCCAGGCTGGAGTGCAGTGGCAGCATCATAGTTCACTGTAGCCTTGAACTCCTGGGCTCAAAGGATCCCCCTGCCTCAGCCTCCCCAGTAGCTAGGATTACGGGCACACCCCACCACACTGGGCTAATTTTAAAATATTTTGTAGAGGCGGGGTCTTGCTATGTTGCCCATGGTGGTCTTAAACTCTGGGCTCAAGTGATCCACCTCAGCTTCCCAAAGCACTGAGATCGGAGGCGTGAGCCCCCACGCCTGGCTTCTCCCCAAGTTTTAACAGTGATCTTCTGGCAGTTGTCAGAGACCAAATACAATTTCTTAAAAATCACCATTCTGGTACTTTTCCTTCTTGACCTTAACAACCCACCCTTTGGATATTTTTTTCCCTATTACTATCCATTGCCACTGGCTCTACACAATACCTATTATCATGGCTCAAGTGTTTCATTAGAGAATCTGCTAGTGGGACAGAACTAGTTAAGTAACACTTTTAGCAGCAGGATGTGGCAGAAAAATTGGGCCAGGAGGAAGCAAGAAACCTGTGCTCTAGTCCCAGATGCACCACCAACTGCGACCTTAAGCAATTCACAATTTCCCCAAATCCATATCGCCAACCCAGACTTATCCTGCAGCAGCAAATCTGCCATGGTGCCCTGAATACACAGGGCCACCAAAACTCAAATGGCCCCAAATCCAACCCATTCCCCACCTGGGTCTGTTTTGGTTCTGGGCTGACCATCCCATCACACAGAGTATTAACTGAACCATCACAGCTCTACTTACGTAAAATGAAGAGGGTTAGCCTAAGTTTCTGTCTAGGTCATTCCAAATCTCACTTTTCTGATGTTTCTAAAATGGCTCTTAGTGTAGAAGGGGCTCGAGGTGGAGGTTGGGAAAGGGATCTTTCAAGGGATGGCAGGTCCCTCCTGCCATGCTAGATGCTCACTGAGCTGGCTCGGAGGTGGAAGACAGCAGGGGCTGGGGGATAGGTATCATCTTTACTCAACTCTGATGCTTTTTTAAATATATCTGTAACTGCCCCTCCCATATGTCCCCCAAGTATGTTCTTTGTTTGCTACCTTCTGCTGGAAGAGAGAATTCCCAACAGCCCTTTCCAGCTTCAAGAATAATCTGGTTAAATTATGAGGGCTGGAATGGAGGGATCCTCCAAACAGGGGTCCCCAGTGGGTTACCAGGTAGAATGAAGACAAGGTGATCAAGGTCACTGCCCTTGAAACCACCATCTCTCACTCTTCCCAGCCTGCAGTGTCCCCTCTCAAAACTAAGAAAGCTCCAGGTAACTTACTTTGCCTGCACCGCCAGCCTGGACACCCCACCCGGGGCAACCCCTACAAATCTGAGATGACACAAACTGTCATTTCAGGCTTAGCCCAAACATTCCGTCTTTCAGGAGCCTCCCCAACTCTACTCCTGCCCCCGGAGAAGTAAGTGCTCCCTCCTCAGCATTCCCGTAAGCAGGTGTGTGCCTTAAGTATATACATACTCATCACACTGTACTGCAGCTGCCTGTGCTCCTGTGTCAGAATCCTACTTCTGACTGAGAGCACTCCCTCCCTGAGGACAGGGACCAGCTGTGTTCATCTGAGTACCCACATCTCTGTCCCTCCATCCCCAAAGCACAGTGCCTGGCTGGCACACAGCAGGCGCTCCATAAATGACTATTATATGCAGGGGAGGGTAGGTGGGTGGGTGGGTGGGTGGATGGATGGATGGATGGATGGATGGGTGGATGGATGGATGGATGGATGGATGGGTGGATGGATGGGTAGATGGATGGATGTGAATGGAAGGATAGATAGCAGCAGGAGGTGGGTAAGATCTGGGGCCAAGAAAGAGATGTTCTGGATGAGCCATGCTACAACACTGACAACAGACTGGTGGTGCTCTACCAGCAGAAGGCCTAAAAAAGAGGATACACTCATTAAAATCTTTTCAAATTCAGTATTCCATGAACAAGCACCTAGGGAACTGTGTGCACTGCCAAAGCTGTTTACCTAAGCATAATTTTGTTGCCATTATGCGACGCGTTGTCTAGTGGTTATAACAGAAGACGAGTTACTGTGACGAGCCTGGAAAGCCATTTCTTGTTGCCTTATCGTTACCCAGGTCTCCCTCTCTGTGACGAATTCATCCACTCATTTAACAAATATTTGCCAATTGCTCATCAAGTCCCAACCACCACTCTGGGTGTTGCAGACACAACTCACGTTACTCCCTCACTATGGGAAGCCCTATAGGAACTAAAGGAAGTTCTCACTGAACAAGTACTTCTTGAGGGGCCAAGTCATCCAAAACAGGGTTGAAACGCAAACCCAGAGGTTGCAACACCATTTCCCTCCCTGCCTTCTTAAGCAGAATGTACTGAATGTGACAGCTAAGTTGGGATCCCCGTTCTGAAATGCAATAATGCTCCATCTCCTTCCAGACTTGTATGGTGAGCTGTTCCCAAACACAGTAGACTCCAGAGAGCTCCTACCTTTGAGTTCTTGCATCAATGTTTTCTAGTTTTTCTGCCAACACATTAACTTTTCCCAAAGACCAACAACTGGTGTTTTTGAGTCAGTCTATGTCTCTGTAGCAGCTCCTTCTGATGACATGAGCTAAAAATAACCCAGCTCATTAAAATCATGTGTAAAATAAGAGTACATAGTTGCCAGTGAAAGACTGGGGCAGGCAGGCAGCCAGCAGGACAAGGGATGGACATTGGGATATCTTTGCTGGCCAGCCTGAGATTCTCATTTTGCTTATTCACTGGTTCCTAGCTGTGCTCCTGATAAGGGAGACTGCTGGACAGCTGATGTCTTAACTGCCCCCCAAAATAAATGAACTATCCTGACCTTCTTAGGTAAGATGCTGCTGACAATGTCTGACTGCAACCTGACCCAAGTGCAACATTAACAGGTCAGATCTGGTCCCGGAAGAACAAAGAAGATAGAAACCAACCCATCAAATCTCATTAGTCTCAATAGCATAAGATGCCAGCCATCCCAGGCAGGTTTGAAAGGAGGAAATAAGCTGTATGTGAGCGTGCCAGTCAGATGTATACATCCTACTTGTGAAGTGAATTGCAAAAGCACGGTGCCTATGCAGTCAAAGTGATCTCAGGAACCATCTCCTTGAGGGTAAACGTGGCTCCCCTTTATCTACCTGCCCCACATCCATCAGATGATGTGTCTTTCTTTTTTGAGACAGGGTCTTTACTGTTACCCCGGGTGGATTACAGTGGTGTCATCATGGCTAACACCAGCCTTGATCTCCTGGGCTCAAGCGATCCTCCCACCTCAGCCTCCCGAGTAGCTGAGACCACAGGTGTACTCCACTATGGGGTCCCACTATGTTGCCTAGGCTGATCTTAAACTCCTGGGCTTAAGTGATCCTTCTACCTCAGCCTCCCAAAGTGCTGGGATTACAGGTGTGAGCCACCAATCCTGGCTGGCAAGTCTTTCTGTGGCCAGCTTCGGGAAGGCCTCTTCCCTTCCATCTCCATTACAGCTCAAGTCATGTCACTTTGTACCTGGACTACAGCAACAGGCCCCTAAGTGGTCCCATGCTACAGTTTGAATAACGGCGTCCCTCCAAATTCATACATTGAAAACTAATATCCAGTGTGATGGTACTAAGAAGTGGGGCCTTCAGGCCCCGTCACTAGGGCTCTGCCCTCAGGAATGGGACTAGTGCCTTTATGAAAGACATTGAAGCCAGCAGCCTTGCCTCTGCTGCTGCGAGAGGATGCAGCAACAGGGTGCCATCCACAAGTACCTCACCAGTCACTGAATCTACTGGCTCTGTGATCTTGGATATCCAGGCCCCAGAACCGTAAGAAAAAGTTTCTGGGCCAGGCATGATGGCTCACGTCTATAATCCCAATAGTTTGGGAGGCCAAGGCAGGAGGTTCGCTTGAGTCCAGGAGTTCCAGACCAACCTGGGCAAGACAGGGAAACCCCATCTATACAGACAATAAAAAAAACTAGGGCTAGGCACAGTGGCTCACGTCTGTAATCCCAGCACTTTGGGAGGCCGAGGCGGGCGGATCACAAGGTCAGGAGATCAAGACCATCCTGGCTAACACGGTGAAACCCTGTTTCTACTAAACAAAATACAAAAAATTAGCTGGGCGTTGTGGCGGGCACCTGTAGTCCCAGCTACTCGGGAGGCTGAGGCAGGAGAATGGAGTGAACCCAAAAGGCGGAGCTTGCAGTGAGCCGAGATCGTGCCACTGCACTCCAGCCTTGGTGACAGAGCGAGACTCCGTCTCAAAAAAAAAAAAAAAAAAAAAAAAAAAAAAAAGCTGGGTGTGGTGGTATATGCCTGTAGTCCCAACTACTCAAGAGGCTGAGGTGGGAGGATCACTTGAGCCCAGGAGGTTGAGGCTGCAGTCAGCTGTTCATGCCACTGCACTCTAGCCTGGATAACACAGCAAGACCTTGTCAAAAAAAAGGAAAGGAAAGGAAGGAAAAAGAAAGGAAAGAAAGTTTCTGTTGTTTATAATTTACCCAATCTAAGGTATTTAGTCACGGTAGCCCAGAAGGACTAAGACACCCACCCCCTAGTGGGTCCCTCCTGACACCCACCTTTCCTGTGTTTGCCAGAATGGTCTTTCCGTAAACACAGCCCTTGTCTTAGTCACTTCTCTGCTCAAAAAACATCCACCAGAGAATAAAGTGCAGGTTCCTCAGCCTGGTGTCAGGGACTCTGCACCCATCAACCCTGCCTAACCTAATTCAAGTTTTATCCCTCCCAGGACCCTACATGTACCCTAGGCTCCGGTCAAACTACAAAGCGTGTTGTTCTCCAAATACAAGGCCCACCCCACCATACACAGCAGGCCCCGCCTCTCAGGCTTGGCTCGTGTCCTTCCTTTGCCTAGGATGCCCTTCTCCCGCACCCCCATTCCTTTCTCCACCTGCAGCAAGCCAGTTTCCAGGGCCAATTTCAAGTAACACTCTTCATTATTCAGCTTCCTTGTTGGCAGCACCCTGCCCTATTCATATTTGCTTCTCTGCCAGCTGACATTCTGAGGCTCAATAAACATAAACACTAATGTGGATTAAGGAGAATCCTCAGTTCCTACAACAGTCTTCAAACAACTCACTTTTCAGAAGCCTGATCTGCCTGGTCCAAATCCACTGGAATTCTCTGTAGCTGGCCAGGACCTGGATGCAGAACCCTGTTACTCCTGTCATCCCTTCCAGACCCCTCGTCTGTCCTAACGCACACTAGGACATTGACGTTTTGGAAGCCATATCCCACTATGGCCTATCCTTGTGGCTAACAAAATGCTATGCCTTTTATATACAAAATGCTAACAAGTCCTAGGTTAGAAAACAACCAAAATAGTTGTAGTGATGGTTTCTAACCCCAAGTGCAGGCTTTGCATTTGTTCCAACTAAATTGCATCCTATTTAAATTGGCCTATGATCTATCCTATTAAGAACATTACAAGTCTCAGTTTGTTATTCCACTTATCAGTGATTGATACCTGTTTTACGGCACGTGGGAAATCTGCTAAGCAGGTCTGACGTGGGGAGTGGTGGTGCTGGGGTATCTTTCTGTTCTTCGACAGTACCTAACGGCACCTGTCCGATGGTAACTTCAAACCCAGGCATGACTGCACACAGTTGTACCACATGGGGCTGTGCCCTGGGACTCTGTGAGGCAGAAATGGTGGGTTGGAAACTAGTTCTACCACTTCTCTAGCAATATGACCATGGCCTTAGGCACCTCCAAGTTTTGGAGTACTCTCATCTGCCCTGTCACCCTTGCTAAATCATGCTAATAATGAAAAAGCAAGATAGCAAATGAGCATACACTGCGCCCTGTGGTGTTCTACACAAAGGAATTATTGTGACTTTCATCGAAACCTATTTCTCCCACTTGTCCACAGGAATAACATGGTGTGCTCTTTGTCAGATGCTTAATAAAAATAGAGGTATGTGAAGTTTAGTAATTTCACTGAAAGAAAAATTGAGGTTAGTCTGGTTTGGGGACTTTTGTAAACCCATGTTCATCCCTAGAGATCAATTCCTTCTTTTCCCAGTCCTTAAACACCCCTAGTTTAAATTGCTATCCCAGAGCTCCACCTGGGATCAGCAGTTGGCTTCCCAGCCAGCAGTTCCCAGAAGGCACCAACCTCAAGGCCTGTTTCAGCTATTTCTAGGAAGTGCTGATTTCATGATTAGTTACCAGCTCTGCTCTCCCCTCAATAACTTGCCACTTTCTATGAGCCTTGGCAGGAAACTAGCCATATATATATATATATATACACACACACACATACATATATATACCTCACACACACACACACACACACACACACCCCCCACCAAGTGGCCCAGGAATTCCCATTGCCAACACTGCTAAGCCGTCACAAACAAATATAAACTGTTTACTCTTGGACATCATAAATACGAATATCTGAAATTACCAAATAAGTTACCTTAACATTTCATCATGAGTAAGAAATACCATCTCAGCCATCAGCAAGATTTGGTGACTCAAAACTAGAACACGATGATGCAAAGACCATGCAGAAGTGTCCATGGTCTACTGGACTTATGGCCAGGCTGTCCAGCTTATAAATTTCACCTCCCAGTTGAAGGGTGCCTCAATGTCACAAAGGTTCTATGACCCCATTTCGCAGATGAGACTGAGCCTCAGGGAAATTACATCATCAGTTCATACCGCTTATAAGTAGCAGAACTATAATAGGGGCCCAGCCTTCCTGATTTTTAGGACAGAGTTCTTTCTATCTCATCCCACTACCTCTCTAGCCATCTCATTCACCTTTTTAGCTCCAAGCACATACAATATGCCTTGCAAACAAGAAATATTTCTTAAGCCCAATTTAACACATAAATACTGAAAGCCTACTCCACGCATGGTCTTGGCTAGGGTTGGGATACAAGGCCACACACAGTCCAACAAACAGATCTCACGGTGGGGAGGCAATTCCCAATTCCCACTTAGTCTGAAGGGCAGGAAAGCTGTAGCACAGGGAAAGCAGATTATTTGCTCACAAACTAACACAGAGGCCAAGACGCTGTAGTGAGAAGGGACGTCAACAGTCTAGGCGGCTCCTGGAAATTCAATTCTGGTAAAACAGAGCACATGTTATTGATTTCCTGACTTGCCAGGCTAACAATCTCTTAGAAATCAGAGGAAGCAACAAAACAACTGTCCTTAATTTTGATCAACAAGGAAGTAAGAACAATCTTAGAAGAAAGTGACTGCCTGTCATCTTGGTGTGCGAGTCCGTGGAAGGAGGCATTGATGATCAGTTCCACGGATGACCAGGGCCCTCCTCACTCCATGGGCAAGGGGCTTCCAATGTGCTGTAGATGGCCCAGACAGGCAGATTCTAGGCTCAACTGTTCCACCACAGAACCATAGTCGCACTGGCTTCGACTCACGGAGGGATCAATTTAAAACACTGAGACTTTGTGTTGCATTACTGATCAGCTATTGATCAGCCTCTGTTCCAGGCCAATAAACTGTCCTTAGGCCATGCTGTATTTAGATCTCTGCAGAGATTCAAAGCGCTCATTTCTTCCTTTAACAGCATCTCCTTCACAGGGCTGCTATGAGGACTGTGTGACCCCACTGGTCACATTCCTATGAACCCTCTTTCAATCAACACAGAACGCCTAACATCTGCTAGGGACCTCAATTCCTGTCTACCTATAGGTCTGTCCAAACATGTCTAACACCAGTGATTCAATAGTGTACGAATGGGTTTCCCATTTATTCCTCAAGATGCTCACTAAAGCCAAGGATACCTGAAGCTACTTGATTCTGGCTGCCCTGAGACTTGGTTTCACCCATCACTTTTTCTGGTCACAATACTAGCAGACACACTGGCTAATATACTATCCCTACTGACAGGGACATTAACAAAATATCAGGCAGCCTCCCTAACACAAAGGTCCACTGGACAAACTTCTTTTAAAGTTTGTATTGGGAGCCTCCCACTGTTGCCATTATCATCAGGCAAGGCAAGTCATGTAAACTGTCACAGTGCACTTGCCCAATTGAGTCCATTCAAATCCCTCATGAATGGGAATGGGAGGCAGGAGATACCCTGAATGACCTCTAAGGCAGGTGCCTCCCATCCCAGTGGCTTCCATCTTACACCAAAAGACAAGCAAGTACATGGGGACTTAAAAAGTACCAGGTAGCCAAATACCTAAGGTGTCAGTTTCAGTATTATTCTTTTAAACTGTGGAGCTTACAAACATGGCTGCAATTCTCTGATACTCTTATCAAGAGAGGGGGTCTCTGTCCTTTTCCCTTGAATCTGGAAGAGCCTGTCAGTGCATCAACCCAATCAAATATGGTGTTAATGATGTTCTGCGATTTCCAAGGCTAGGTGACAGTTCTCCTAGGAAGCTTGCTCTAGAAGAGCCAGCTACCATGTGAAACGTCTAACTACCCTGAGACTGCCACGTTTAAGAGGCCACAAGCACGTGTGCCAGTCAACCATCCCAGGTGAGCTCAGCCTTCCAGCAATCCCTTCCAAGGTACCAGATATGTGAGTGCAGCCATTTTGGACACTCCACACGAGCCCACCTTCCAACTGACCCCTTGGTCAATGCCATGAGGAGCAGAAGCATCTCCCAGCTGTGAGCCCTGCTCAAATTCTTGACCAACAGAACCCATCATGACAAATGTGGTTGTTTTACAGCACTAAGCACTGGGGGAGTGTGTTATGCAACAAAAGATTACCAGAATGAAAACCATATATATACACAGATACAGTGTGTATGCATGGTATTGTATGCGTACATAAAAGATTTTGTATTTATGATGTTTTTCATAATTTAAAAAATGTTTCTTCTTAGGACATCCCCACAGCATGACGTTAACTTAGGTTTCATTTGCTTGAAGACAAGGAAGCAGAATAAACATATGCATTCTTTTTTTTTTTTTTTTCCTTGAGACGGAGTTTCACTCTTGTTGCCAGGGCTGGAGTGCAATGGCATGATCTCAGGTCACTGCAACCTCTGCCTTCTGGGTTCAAGTGATTCCCCTGCCTCAGCCTCCTGAGTAGCTGGTATTACAGGCACCCGCCACCACGCTCGGCTAATTTTTTGTATTTTTAGTAGAGATGGGGTTTCTTCATGTCAGCCAGGCTGGTCTCCAACTCCTGACCTCAGGTGATCTACCTGTCTTGGCCTCCTAAAGTGCTGAGATTACAGGGGTGAGCCACCATGCCTGGACAACATACACATTCTTAAAAAAAAAAAAAAAAAAAAAACATAAACTAAAAACTGTTTTTTGAAGGGCACTAACTCTGTTTAGGAGAAAGATGTTAACGATATTGGACTCTCTGAGGCTGCCTTACGCTACATCACCAACTCCATATTAGAACTCAATAAACCACATTGAAAAGAGGAGAAGGGGATGTACAGATAAAAAGAACTTAAGAGACATATCTACTAGATGCAATGTGTGGTCTGTAGTAGCTTCTGGTTAAACAAACCAACTATAAAAGGTTTTTAAGATAATTGCACTAAACCCATCAAGGACTTTGTATCAGGTGACATTAAGAAATCATTGTTGGCCGGGTGTGGTGGCTCACGCCTGTAATCCCAGCACTTTGGGAGGCTGAGTCAGGCAGATCACGAGGTCAGGAGATCGAGACCATCCTGGCTAACACAGTGAAACCCCATTTCTACGAAAATACAAAAAAATTAGCAGGCGTGGTGGTGGGCACCTGTAGTCCCAGCTACTCGGGAGGCTGAGGCAGGAGAATGGCGTGAACTCAGGAGGTGAAGCTTGCAGTGAGCCGAGATCACGCCACTGCACTCCAGCCTGGGCGAGAGAGAGTGAGACTCCGTCTCAAAAAAAAAAAAAAAAAAATCATTGTTAGGCCAGATATGATGGCTCATGCCTATAATCCCAGCACTTTGGGAGGCCGAGGTAGGTGGAATGCTTGAGCCCAGGAGTTTGAGACCAGCCTGGGAAACAGTGAGACCTGATCTCTACTAAAAATAAGAATTTAGCCAAGAGCAGTTCCACATGCCGGTAGTCTCAGCTACTCAGGAGGCTGAGGTAGGAGGAAGATTGAGGATTGCTTGAGACCAGGAGGTTGAAGTTGCAGTGAGCCATGATCACATCACTGCATTCCAGCCTGGGCAACAGAGACCCCGTACCCCCTCAAAAAAAATAATAATTGTTCGTTTTGTGGAGTATAATGATATTGTGGCTGTGTGTGTGTGTGTGTGTGTGTGTGTGTGTGTGTATAAGTATTTATTAGTGAATATTTAAGTATTAACAGGTTAAACAATAAGTTGCCTGGGACTTGCTTTAAAATATTTCAGAATCATAAGTGGGTGTTGTGTACATGAGAGTTTCACCACACTTTCTCGATATTTTGTATATTTTTAAATCTCCATAATAAACACTTAAAACAAAATCTTGTAACGTGCAAAGGAGTTGGGGATTGGAGGGTGTCAGCACAGTGTGGGCTGAGCCCTGACTTGGAGACTCCAGGTCACTGGGTGAAGAGTCTGACATCCACGGTGACGAGGAAAGTGTTGCGAGATGCAGACAGAAAAAATTACTCCAAACCATTAACAATTAATCTCTTCCACACTGTGAAAACAAAACACAATACACAAGAGTCCTGGCACCCAACTCAGCACCCACCTATGGACGTTGAGTCACATTTTGTCCCCATGCCCCAGTGCTTGGTGCACCTTATAAAGGGGATGCACTCCTGGACTTTGTGCCTAACTTCACAGACACCACGTCCTTTTACAGCAAGAAACGAAGTATATGCAGCAATGAAAGCTAAGTTCTTAGCTTTGAACATCAAAGCTAACTTTCTACCCAAGCTAATTTTATGTAAACAATATTTTTATCCCTTAGAAGATTGCTGAGGGATACAGGATTGATTTTTGACTTTGAACTAAAGCACCATAATCCACAACCCAGCAGAATAAGAACATCACGATATGGAACAAGACAAGCTCCTCAGTGGACATACTTGGATGGCCACCCTGCCCAGGACTCAGTATTACAGGCACAAGAACATAGGAATGTTCTAGAAATCTGCACATTCAAGTCCTTCATTTTATGGATGGAAAAAGTGAGGCAAGAGGCAGGTCACACAGCCAGGCAGTCACTGCAAAACCAGAATGAAAAGCAAACCTTCTGACCCTGAGACCAATACAATTTTCCTTCTTGGGACTATGTTCAGGCGACTGTATTATGGACATTATCTGAACAGGAAAAGAAAAGGCAAGGCTCGCATTTCTGCTACTGAAAGGTTAAGAACCAAATATGCAACACCAAAAAAAACCCCCAGACAGCTCAGTGTTATAAACTCCTTGGCCATAAAAAAGTGGTTTAGGTAATTCTTTTTTTCTGTTTTTTTTTCTTTTTTGTGGCAAATCAGGAAAAAAACCCACAACCACCTACTACTACAGGAGAAAGAAAAAGAAAATGAAACAAATTTGTGCCTCACTAAACAGTAACATGCAATTAAAATGATGGATGTCTCTGTGCCAGAGGTTGAATTTGAAACAAGCTGCTGGAAGAAGGGCAGCCCTGAAAATAAATTGCCAAATTACTTTTTGCAGCCAGATTGCAGATTCCCCCTCCATGCAATTCTGAAAGCAAATAACTCCACATAAATAAATATGCAACAAATTCCCAGGAAATCTAGCCAAGAAACGTGAACAGAAAGGACTAACTTTGGGTGGATGACTGCCCCTACCCATCCTTGCAACTTAGGAATGTGAGAACATTTGAAAAGTAAGGCATGTCAATGCTATCTCGCACATGACGCTTCCTGAAACTTCCAAGTCCTGTAGTGACTGTTCCCCCATAAGCCATGAAGCTTCCATAGCCCTGAAATCATAGTTTTGGAATCTCATAATACACCTTATGATGCAGTGCACTGAAGACATGGACTCGGGAGTCAGCAGGTGAGAGTTTGAATCCTAACTCTATTACTCAGCTCAGGCTAAGTTTGATGTCCAGTAAATTTCTTACCTAGCAAGGATGTTAAAAGGATTATATGAAATGATGATGAATTTAACAGGGTTTGGCCTGGGTTCACCTATGGGACGGGCCTGGGGATGAAGGTAGCCTCATTTTAGGTGGCATGCCTATTTACAGAAGAGGGAGGTGAGGCCAGGTGCAGTGGCTCACATCTGTAATCCCAGCACTTTGGGAGGCAGAGGCAGGAGGATCACTTGAGGCCAGGAATTCAAGATTGGCATGGGCAACACAGCCAGACCTCCATCTCTACACAAAATTTTAAAAATTATCTGGCATGGTGGCACATATCTGTAGCCCCAGTCACTGGGGAGTATGAAGTGGGAAGACTGAGTTTGAGCCCAGGAGTTTGAGGCTGCAGTAAGCTATGATCACACCACTGCAGAACGAGGCCATGTCTCAAAAAAAAAAAAAAAAAAATGAGGGAGGTGAGCTCATGATGGCTAAGAGACAGGGTAGTGTTATGGGCTGAACTGTATCACACCCCCCACCCCAAATTAATATGTTAAAGTCCTAACCCCGGTACCTTGGAATGTGATTGTGTTTGGAGACAGGGCTTTTAAAGAGGTAACTAAGCTGAAGTGAAGTTGTTAGAATGACCCTAATCCAATCTGATTGGATGACAATTGGTGTCATTATAAAAAGAAGAGATCGGGACACACAGACACCAGGGACACATACGCAGGGGAAAGACCACATGAAGGCAGAGGGAGAAGAGGCAGCTGGGGGGGTGGGGGGGGATCTGCCAGCCAAGGAGAGAGGCTTCAGAGGAAACCAACCCTGCCGTACCACGATCTTGGATTCCAGCCTCCAGAATGGTGAGAAAATAAATTGCTTGCTGTTGTTTAAGGCACCCAGTCTGGGGTACTTTGTTACAGCAGTCCTAGCAAACTAACAAGAGACAAGAACACAGGCTTCAAGTTAGAGGGCAGGTTTGAAGCTGGGCTCCACTACTTACAACCAGCATGACCCCAACAAAGCCCCTTCACCTTTCTGAGCTTGTTTTCTGTCTGTGAACGGAGGTGATAGCACGCATTTCCCACCGAGTGATTTGAGGATGAAATGAGAACCAGTGCAGATGCGTCATGTGGCACAGTCACGGCTGTCCACCGGCAAAGCCAGGGCCTCTGCCCAGGACCTCTGACTCTAAGCCCCAGGACCTCCCACAGCATCCCTGCGGCAATCAGAGGCCTCGCTGCGTGGCAGCCCCTGGATGCTTTGCACGGTACTCCCCTGGACTGAAACTGATGGTGAGAGCTGTCCCTAATAGCCTGGATGCTTCTTGGGCCAAGGCACAGTCTTGAACCCCAAGCTCCTTGGGTCCCACTCATGCCTGGTATTCTGTACATAAGAAGCAGAACTTTAGAGCTATGTACTTGGCTCTGCGTGTAAGATTTTCAAAAAGGTCAATGAGTGGAAAAGCACATGAACTTTTTTCCTTTAACCCTGTCTATGGTGAGCTTGGCTGTTAGGGTCATAAAACTATAACTAAGGCATCACTATCCATTCATCTGATGGAGGAGTATACAAATAAAGTTGTCTTTTTATAGATAGCCTTTTTTCTTCTGGGTGAGTCAGTAGTCTTAAGAAAAAAAAAAGTCACTGCCTCTTGCAGGAAGAAGGCAGAGAATGACACGTTCAGCTGGAGAAAAGAAAGGTGTGATGCTGACAGCCTCTCCTTAGGCTTGGATTTATACAGATTATCAAGATTATTTCCCTGAGGTCTGTGGTTTGTGGTTAGGGTGAGCTACTGTGAATAGAATCTTGACTATAAGTTCACCACACAAAAAGTTAGCCTTTCCTTACCCATTCACTAAGAAGAAAATTTCCCAATCATATATGCTTTTTTTTTTTTTTCCCCAAGACAAGGTCTTGCTCTGTCACCCAGGCTGGAGTGCAGTGGCGCAATCTCGGCTCACTGCAACCTCTGCCTCCTGGGTTCAAGCAATTCTCCTGCCTCAGCCTCCTGAGTAGCTGGGATTACAGGCGCCTGCCACCACACCCAGCTAATTTTTGTATTTTTAGTAGAGACAGGGTTTCACCATGTTGGCCAGGCTGGTCTCAAACTCCTGACCTTGTGATCCACCCACCTCAGCCTCCCAAAGTGCTGGGATTACAGGCGTGAGCCACGGCGCCTGGCCCATATACGCATTTTTAAAAGCAACAACTGAATGCCAAGGAACAAGTGTTAACTGGTACTATGATGAAATATTACTTTAGAAGACACAAATAGGAAATTATTTACAGAACCAAACACCTAGGTAACGTCTCGTCATCTTTTAACTGCTAAGAGTTGACCAATTTTCGCTAACCCCAATTTTCTCCAGTTCAAGCAGAGCAAATTTATCTGGAATGGTTGAGCACACAGGGCTCCAATGTCCCAGGTATTGTCCAAAAGTATTCTTACAAAAAAAAGTACACCATGTCCAAAGGTACCCCTGCAAGAGTACCACCAGACCAGGCACTGAACCCCCCACAGTCCCTATACCTTCTAAGATACCTAGAGAAGCAAAAATAGGAGGGAATTCTGCAATGGGGTTACACATTTGCCACCCACACACCAGGCACTTTGAGGAATTCCTGCTGGATGCTGTAAAGACAGGGGACATTCTAACGAGCGAAGTGGGTTATGAGGAATGGAGGTGGGCAGTCACTACACAGGTCTAGCCAACTGCCACTCCATGGGAAATCAGATCGTGCTATCAGATCTTCCAATCTTTCAAGGAATTATACAAATGTGATTACTTACTTATTTATTTAGGTAGAATGGGAAGATTTTTAAGAACCTTGTATGGCTCTCTAGATTTTTTTGTTTGTTTCTTTAAGACAAGGTCTCACTCTGTTGCCCAGGCTGGAGTACAGTGGTGCCATCATGGCTCACTGCAGCCTTGACTTCCTGGAATCAAGCAATCCTCCCACCTCAGCCTCCTGAGCAGGTGAGACTACAGGCATGCACCACCATGCCTAGCTGATTTTTTTTCCTTTATGTTGAGATGGTGGGGCGGGTCTTGCTATGTTGCCTAGGCTGGTCTTGAACTCCTGGCCCCAAGAGATTCTCTTTCTTGCCTGAGCTTCCCAAAGTGCTTGGATTATAGGCATGAGCCATGATGTGCAGCAAGTTTTGTTTTGTTTTTTTAATTGAAGCATCACATACCTAGACAAAAGTGCACAGATCATACATGTACAACTCAAAGAATTACCACAAGTGAATGTGCCTGGCAACCACCATGAAGGTGAAAATACAGAACATTTTCAGCAATACTCCTCACCCCTCGCAAAGTTCCTTGTGTGCCTCTTTCCAATTTCTACCCCTTCCTTTCCTCCCACGGGTACCACAGATTCCTCCTGCCTGTGCTGAAGTTCATACACATGGAATCATATAGCATGCCTCTTTTACAGCTGTGTGGGGATGGTCCACTCACCCCCATCCCCGCACTCACAGCAGAGCTTGCAGCTATGAACAAAGACACACCACTGCCATAACACAACCCTACGGTGAACAGAAATAACACCCAAGTGGATTCACCACAGTGAAGAAAGGCTTCCGAGTCACAGAAGGAGGGAGGAGGCAGAGATAAGAAGAGACTAGGTGGGGCGGGGGACAAAGTCAACCGAAGAGGAGGGTCTGTTCCCAGATGAAAGGGAAAGCGAAGGGACGGGGCGGTGGCAAGTGCCAGAGGTAAGAAGCTAAAAGTTCACGGTCACCGACAGGGCAGAGAATACCCAAGTCCAGCGATTACAGCCAGGGTGGCTGGGGCCATGACAAAAACTAGCCCAAATTTCTATCATGTTCCAAATCTTTCCCTCAATGGACCTAAATATACTATTAACAACGGCAGCACTATCCATCTCAGTGGGAGTTTGAGGGAGACTCAATTAAACGCAGCTCCAAAAAATTTTAGCGTATTCATCAATTGCTCACATAGGTTGAACAGCCGCAATTTTAACCTACAACCCCACCATCACAATCTTAAATCCATTACTTTACCTGATATTAACAGTAACCATATTTATATTATTCAATACAAATACAGGCCAGGCATGGTGGCTCATGCCTGTAATCCCAACATTTTGGGAGGCCGAGGTAGGCAGACCACTTGTGTTCACGAGTTTGAGAACAGCCTGGCCAACGTGGGGAAACCCTGTCCCTACTAAAAATATAAACATTAGCCAGGCGTGGTGATGGGCGCCCATAATCCCAGCTACTCCGGAGGCTGAGGTAGGAGAATCGCTTGAACCCCGGAGATGGACATTGCTGTGAGCCAGGATCGTGCCACTGTACTCCAGCCTGGGCGACAAAGCAAGACTTTGTCTCAAAAACAAAGAAATAAACAACAACAATAAAAAAATCAATACAAATATAAGTGCTACAACATGATCACTATCCTATATGTGAAATCAGTTACCACTACTAACATCCATAGTGCCTGTTACTCTACTATCCCTAGGAGGACTGCCCCCACTAACAGGATTTCTACCCAAATGAGCCATCACTCAAGAACTAACAAAAAATAATAGCCTCATTATACCTATACTCATAGCCACCATAGCCCTGCTCAACCTGTAATTTTACATATGCCTAATTTATTCCACATCACTAATGATATTTCCAACAACATAAAAATAAAATGGCAATTTGAAAACACAAAACAAACCCTCTTCTTGCCGTCACTTAGCCCCAACGCCCTGAGATCCTGCATCTGCCCCAAGAGGCAACAGGCTGACTTCTCAGAAGGAGGAATCAACAAAGATTACAATTTCAAATAAACACAAAGTCAACAGAAGAGTACAGTAAACACCTGTCACTCAGCTTTGACAATGATCAACACTGTGTATCATCTTTTCCTCTATTCATTCCTCCCTGGCCCACCATTAATTTTTTTATACTTTTTTGGGGATGGTAGTAAATTGCATTTGCCTTGAAATGTACAAATCTAAGTTATCCTACTTTGACAAATGGACTGGTGTACCCCACACTCCTCTACCACTCAGCCCCTTCTCATCTCCCCAGAAAGTTCCTGGGAGTCCCCTTCCTCGTCAATCCCTGAGCTTCCCTACCCCCGAGGCAACAGTTATTCTCATTTGTTTTCTCCACAGATTAGTTCTGCCAGTTCTACAGCTGCGTGTACATGGAATCATACAGAGGCTACTCTTTTAAGGTTAATTTCACTCAGTATAATGCATATGAATTAAAAAAGCCTTCAATATGCAGTTTTGGCTAATCTCATGTAGACACATCTACATACTTCCTGTGCCATCTTATATGGGTAAGCTACAACGCGTTGAGATAAATATTTCCGATAAAAATAACCCCAACTGATACTCAGGTGGCTAAGGTGGGAGGATCTCTTGAGCCCTGGAATTCCAGGCTACAATGAGCCATGGTCGCACCATTGTACCCCAGCGTGGGAGACTGAGCAAGACCCTGTCTCAAAAATAAATAAACAAACAACTCCAACTGGATTCAGAACCATTTTTGTCAATAAACTATTCAAGTCCTGCTTCTTCCCTTAGTCCCATGTTACAGATGCCAGTTCCTGCACCTAAAGTGCAGCAAAACAACTATGCCAGAGCTCTGGCCACCAAGAGTCAACTTTCAACATCCCCAGAGAAGCAAGGTAGACCGAAACTGGGTAAAAGCATGTAAAAACCATAGAGTTCTCTGCAGATGCAAAAGACACATATTCTTACCCAAGTGGTAGTTACTCAGGGAAAGAGTGGCATCCCTGACTTAGTCTTTATCTACCTGGAGCCTGGCTTGGTTCTGTGTACACAGCGGGTCCTCAATAAATGCCTGTCTCTTCATTGTTCTCGGCCTCTCCTTGGCTGGTAGATGGTCGTCTTCTCCTGTGTCTTCACATGGTCCTCCCCCTGTACAGGTCTGTGTCCACATTTCTTCTTCTTAGATGACACCAGTCATATTGGATTAGGGCCTGCCCTAGGACCTCCTTTTAACTTAAATGCCTCTTTGAAGACCTTATCCCCAAATACAGTCACATTCTGAGGTACTGGGGGTTAGGACTTCAACAGATGAATTTGGGGAAAATGGAGGGGGCCACAATTCAGCCCCAAACAGCTACCTCCTTAGCCAAGTTGGAACTGCAGAACCTGCTCTGCCATGACTGACAGGGATGTCATCCCTGTCAGGATACTGAGGTATCCTGACCTAGGGGACTATATGAGGACTAAGAACACACCCGAAGATCCAACGTTCTCCACAGGATCTTAGAGCTTGCTGGCCAACTTCGGTCCTATGACGAGTCATAAAGGCCCAGTAATGTGCCTTCTCACAGCATGGCCTTTCTGGATCCTTCTGTACCAGGGTGCAGCTGCCTCCCTGGCTGCAAAGATAAGATTTCTCCTTCCCATGAAGAGAACCAGATGTCCCTAAGCTTTTCCTCAAACATAAGAGACAGTGTAATATAAAGATTAAGCTTACATTTTATCACAATTAAAAAAAAGAAGCTGGGTGCAGTAGCATGCGCCTGCAGTCCCAGCTACTCAAGAGGCTGAGGTGGGAGGATCACTCAAGCCCAGGAGTTCTGGGCTGCAGTGAGCCACGACCATGCCAATGTACTCTAGCCTGGGTGACTGACTGAGACCCCATCTCTAAAAAAAAAAAAAAGAGAAAAGAAAAGAAAAAAAGGGGTAAAAAAAGGGTATACATAGTATGATCCCATTTTTGTTGAAAAAACTTTTTTCTCCATACTTAGAAAAAAAGAGGCAAGAATATACACCAAAATGTTAATGAAGTGGTGATCACTTGGTGAAAGTGATAAATAAAAAAAAAACAATTTTTAAATTCTTTAATCAATAATTCCTAAACATTATCAAATAAACATGTATTACTTTTATTTTTATAAGTTGTGGGTTTCTTTTGGGGGGCGGGTTTTGAGACAGCATCTTGCTCTGTCTCCCAGGCTGGGGTGCAGTGGCGCGATCTCGACTCACTGCAACCTCCACCTCCCAGACTCAAGCAATCCTCCCACCTCAGCCTCCCAAGTAGCTGGGATTACAGGTGCACGCCATCGCACCTGGCTGGTTTTTTTTGTTTTTGTTTTTTGTAGAGATAGGGTTTCACCAAGTTTCCCAGGCTGGTCTCAAACTCCCAGGCTTAAGCAATCCACCTACCTCAGCCTCCTAAAGTACTGGGATCACAGGTGTGAGCCACCATGCCTGGCTGGGTTTTTTTTCTTTTCTTTTCTTTTCTTTTTGTGGAGAAGGGGTCTCTTGCAATGTTGCCCAGGCTGGTCTCGAACTCCTGGGCTCAAGCACTCCTCCCACCTTGGTCTCCCTAAATGCTAGGATTATGGTTGTGAACCACCACACCCAGCCTTTTATTTTTTTTTAAAGGCACAGAACTGATATGACCGGATAAGTTTTATAAAAAATAAAATAAAATCAGTGCTTTTCCCATTATGTTTTTTCCCTTTTTCTCTTCCTATTCAAGCAACTAGGCTGTTCTGTTCTCACTGTCTTGGGAAAGGTATGTTATAACCAAAAAAAGAAAATTAAAATTTTTAAAGGGAAAAGAATGAAGCAGATGGATGCCGGAACCAGACTCCCTGGGTCCACCACATTCTAGTGGCAAGACCTTGATGAGGTAATTTAACTGTTTTGCACTTCTGCTTCCTTATCCATAAAACAGGGCAGTAGCTACCTTGTAAAGATTTTGTGAGAATTAACCAAGTAAAGATACATAAAGTGCTCAGAACTGTGTCTGGCACATAGTAAGCACTACTTTGAAAAGAAACCTTTACTTGGGGTACCTCTGCCTTTCTGAGTCCTTAAGACTCATTCCTCAACATTTCAGTGGTCTTAGAACGCCAGCTGGCTTCCAATACTAGATATACAATCCTATACTTGACCCCTAACATTTGAGGGAAATTCACAGCAATACTGATTCACTCCAATTAAACCAAGAGCTTTAAGCGCACAATCAACCCCAGGAATTCTGTTCTGCAGTCCCGAGGGGCACCTCTAATGATTTCTGCTCCTGGAGCCGTATCATATGTTGTTCTTATACCATAGATGAATTCTTCCTTGATGTTTCATCTTTGCCCTTCTAAAGGTCAAAGTCAACAGCAGACACCAGCAGGACAGTGCAGGGGCCAAGAGTACTTAGGCACTGTGTGTTCTCTCCTAGTTGCCTGATCTCTGTGTGCCTCAATCTCCTATATAATGAGGATACCAATAGGAACTGCCTACTCCATGGGGGGATGAGGGGTCAGAGTGAAGCCATGGAAAGGGCTTGGAACAATGTAAATGGTCAATCCACTTTGAAAACATAATGCTGAGTGAAAGAAGCCAGACATAAAATGCCACATATTGCATGATTCTATTTATATGAAATACCCAGGGACAGCAAATCCAGAGAGACAGAAGACAGATTAGCGGCTGTCGGGGTTAGGAACAGGGGAGGAATGACGGCTCAACAGGTAGAGGGTTTCCTTTTGGGGTGATGACAATATTCCAGAGCCAGATAGTAATGATGGTTTCTCAACAATGTCAGCGTACTAAATGTCACTAATGGTCGATTTTGTGTCACGTATATTTTACCACAATTTTAAAAATCACTTGCAAAAACTAAAAAGGTCAATAATGCCATCTATTGCTTGAATTACTACATAATTACTATAACATGTGCTAGGTCCCACCCAAGGCAAAAAAATGCCCTGCAAGCTCCTAGGAGGAGAGGGAATGCTATATGGGAGAAGTGGAAGAAGCGCGGGAAGGTGGGGTGGTGGGGTGGGAGGATGGGGGGAATGATGGGATAAGCTTCATAAATGTGGCATCATCTGAGACAGGCCCTGAAAGATGGCTAGGCCCTTAAGGGATAAGAATCAGCCAATACGAAGGCAGCACAGGCCGGATGAGGTGGCCCAGGCCTGTAATCCCAGCACTTTGGGAGGCCAAAGCGGGTGGATCACTTGTGGTCAGGAGTTCAAGACCAGCCTGGCTCACATGGTGAAACCCGGTCTCTACTAAAAATACAAAATTAGCTGGGTGTGGTGGCGGGTGCCTGTAATCCCAACTACTCGGGAGGCTGAGGCAGGAGAATCACTTGAACCCAGGAGGAGGAGGTTGCAGTAAGTGGAGACTGCGCCACTGCACTCCATCCTGGGCGAAAGAGGGAGACTCTGTCTCAAAAAATCAAAATAAAAATAAAAGGCCAGGCGTGGTGGTTCACACCTGTAATCCTAGCACTTTGGGAGGCTGCGGTGGGCGGATCACCTGAGGTCGGGAGTTCAAGACCAGCCTGGTCAACATGGTGAAACCCCGTCTTTACTAAAAATACAAAAATTAGCTGGGCATGGTGACCCAGTGCCTATAATTCCAGCTACTTGGGAGGCTGAGGCAGCAGAATCGCTTGAATGCGGGAGGTAGAGCTTGCAGTGAGTCGAGATCGCGCCACTGCAGTCCAGCCTGGGTGGCAGAGCGAGACTCTGTCTCAAAAAAATATAATTAAATTAAATTAAAAAAATAAGGCACAGGTACAGATACACAGGTGAGAAGTGAAGGGGACACTGGGGAGCTGCCAGAGAGCCACTAGAGTGACAGCCGTGAAGAAAAACTGGAGAAGTGGACTTGAACAGCCTGGAAATGACTTTTAAGTCTAGTTTTGTATTTACTAGCTGTGGGATATGGGGCCAAAATCTTACTGGTGAGCTTTCTATAAAATTAGAACACCCAAAATTCTCTCGAGTAAATGCTATAAGGATTAAATGAAATGATCAAAGGTGAAAGCCTGATCTAAACCTACAACACCACACAAAAGGAAGGGAAGGAGCCCTGTAAAACATTGTTTCTCAAACCTGACTGCACCTCAGAATCACCTGGGGAGTTTTAAAACATTCTGGGCCAGGCGTGGTGGCTCACGCCTGTAACCCCAGCACTTTGGGAGGCCGAGGTGGGGATGGATCACCTGAGGTCAGGAGTTTGAGACCAGCCTGCCCAATATGGCAAAACCCCGTCTCTATTAAAAATACAAAAATTAGCCAGGCATGGTGGTAGGCGCCTGTAATCCCAGCTACGGGGGAGCTGAGGCAGGAGGATAGCTTGAACCTGGGAGGCGGAGGTTGCAGTGAGCCAAGATCGTGCCACTGCACTCCAGCCTGGGCAACAGAGCGAGCAAAAAAACAAACAAACAAACAAACAAACAAACAAAAAAACATTCTGGTGAAGGGGTCCCACCTCCCAAGCCCATCAATCTTGGTGGCAGTAGTCTGGGGTATAGCTTAGAAGCTGGACTTTGAAAAACTCCCCAGAAGATTCTAAGCATGCAGTAAACATCAAAAACCACTGTTGTATTAACTTATTAATCAGCCAGCCTTCGAAAAGGCAGAGTAAAGCAATGCTTTGAAGGCTGGAACACTATACAGAGCTGACCCAAGAATCCACTGGGGGCCACCAAGGCAAAGTCAAGGTAATGCAGTTAACATCCACACCCCACCCTAAATGAGCTCCTTTAGAGCAACGCCCATACATTTGACCATTTTGTATTCCTCCCACAGGGCCTTACAGACACTAGATGTGCTGCAGTTGTTTTTTTTTTTTTTTTTTTCTTCAAGAAATAAATGAAATAGCTGAAATAAAACAGTTCTTGTCAGTAAATGGATGCAACTGTAACTATCTGGAAAACTTACCTATGTGGAAGAGCTCATTCCCTGAAGCGAGTTAATAAACGACATGTTACAGTAATTCTATTATAGTACATACAATCCTTTCCCTTTTAAAAGACAGCATTAAATTTTTCCTTTTTTTTTTTCCAGGAGCGTCTTTAATTAAGAGGAACTTCATCGCTTTTAGAATAAAGCTAAATACCTCTGGACTTCAAAGCAAAATAAATCCCATAGCTCTAGAATACTGAGGTATCCTAAACAAATACCTCCGACCTTAAATTTCCTGCTCTCCCATTACAATATCCCATATCCCAGACCTCCTTTCTCAGGTTTCATCCTGGAGTGTCCCATTGGATGTGTCACTGCTGGCTGTGTGCATGACCTGGGCCAGTTCCAAGCCAGCTTGGGCCCCTCCCTGGACTTTAACCAGCCATTCTTGCTACCATCAAAGCAGTGCTGATGCCACTCAATACAGATTGTAACCGACTGAGCAGAGGTGATATGGGCCTTGGGTCTCAGGCCCCAGCAGGCAAGAGCAATAAAAGGACTCCAGTCGGTGAAATGCCATGGAATGGGCTGTCAAGAGTGCGCTGCAGGTTAATAACTAACCCCGGTAGGCTTTTACAGTCTACCGGCCTTCCCTGGATGATGCCCACATCCATCACATGGGCAGGAGAGCTGGAGAAAGCCCCAGCTCTCATGTGCCAGGGTTGAGAACCCTGGTCGCTTTCAGAAGAGATGGCAGAGTCTCAGAGGGGCAAAGAGGCTCGCTGGATGTCGCTCATAAGCGCTGGGGGGCTACGTGCAGGAAGCTACACTTGTTACACCCTTGTTACTGCTCATTTGCCACGGTGAGCAGCAGCAGACTGGAGTGAGCAGCCTTCCAAGGCAGATGGGAAAGGCCTTTCGCCGCCTCCAGAATGAGATTTTGGACCAGGTGTTCTCCAACGGTTCCCTCAGAGGCGAACCCCACTGGTTCAAGCTGTCCCACACTCGGCCCAATTCCCTTCTCATTGATTCTGCATTCCCTAAAATGTCTGCTGGCATCTCCAGCCAGGAGAGACAGAATGGGTTCATGGAGGGCCTCCCGAGTATGTGAAGGGGACCCAAGCAGGAGTGAGCTAGAGGGAGGAAGAACCCACACTCGAGGAAGACATTCAACAGCTGATCTCCACTCAGCCTTCTTGAGGATAAGGATCTTACTGATCTCTGTGTGCTCTGATCAGATGCTTGAAATAAGACCATTCCCGGTACTAACTGTACCTCAGGGGTGACCAATGTTGAGGATGCAATCAACAAAACTCGGAAAGTAACAAACTGTAATAGGACAAACGGCCTCACTTCTCCAACAGATAAATGGCTCAAAAAGGTGAAGAGAAGGTTTTTAGGTTAAGAGTCTTAGATAGAATATCTATCAAATGCAATGAAAGAACCTTGCTGAAAACCACAGAAGAAAATTTGAACATTGGCCGAATATCTGACACTAAAAAATAATTGTTCATTATTTTTAGAAGTCTTGATGAAGTCTTGTGATGTTGCCCAGGCTGGCCTCGGATTCCTGGACTCAAGTGATCCTCCCATCTCAGCCTCCCAAGTCGCTGGGATTACAGGTGTGTGCTATCACAATCAACTCTATTTTTTTAAAACTGGTCCTTATCTTTTAGAGATACCTACTGAAATACATGTTTGAAATTAAATGTTTAGGCCAGGCACGGAGACTCATGCCTGTAATCTCAGCACTTTGGGAGGCTGAGGCAGGCGGATCGCTTGAAGTCAGGATATCAAGACCAGCCTGGCCAACATGGTGAAACCCTGTCTCTACTAAAAATACAAAAAATTAGCGCGTGGTGGCGCATGCCTGTAATCCCAGCTATTCAGGAAGCTGAGGCAGGAGAATCACTTGAATCCTGGAGCCAGAGGTTGCAGGGAACCAAGATCACGCACTGCACTCCAGCCTAGGTGACGAAGCGAGATTCCGTCTTTTAAAAAAAAAAAATTACATGTTTAGAATTTGTTTAAAATAATCAGGAAAGGGCAGTAGGGAGGGGTATAAAAGGAGAGTGGCCACAAACTGATAAGTACGGAAATGAAGATGACTACTTAGGGTCCATATATAGTTCTCGCTACTCTGGAATATGCTTAGAAAATTCCATAATAAAAACTTCAAAAAGAGTGGGCAGAGCTGATGTGAATACTATAGATCCCGTAGTTGCTCTCACAAAAAGCCACCAGCAGCAACCAACTTCAGCTCATTCACAGTGAAAAGTGAAATCAAAACATTAATTCCTACTTAGTGAGGAAAGACCTGCCAGGGAAGCTTGTCAACTTGGGGCTTACAGTGTTCGCTCCCTTATTCCACCGAGGTGACCTCAGAAGCGGAACGGGATACGGGAGACAATCTCATGGAGTCCAGAGGCCAGTGAGAAAAATACAACTCCACCTAAAAACACATGTGAAAATCATAAAACAAAACATTCCAGGAAGAACTACACATTGCTAACAACATATGAAAGACACTCAACCCTGGCCAGATGCAGCAGCTCATGCCTATAATGCCAGCACTTTGGGAGGCTGAGATGGGAGAATTGCTTGAGGCCAGGAGTCTGAGAATGGCCTAGGCAACACAACCAGATCCCATCTCTATTATTAAGAAATACACACACAGAGAGAGAGAGAGAGAGAGAGAGAGAGAGAGAGATGGATAGGTGAAAGGTACTCAACCCCATCAACAACTGGGGGAAGGTAGAGACTACAAAGGTGCCACTAACTCCCACTATCCTGGTAAAATCAAACAAAGAAGCTGACAATGCCAAGTGTTGGAGAAGAATGGATTAGGGAAGCTTTTACATGCTGTGGGGACTCTGGAAAACAATTTTGTATGATTATAAAGGGCCCCGCCCACTCTTCCTCCCAGGTACACACCCAGGATAGATGCTTCCTGGCACATGTACACCAGAGACCAATTCCAGAAAGTTCAAAGCGGTGTTTTTTTTCCCTAATAGTTCCAAAGTGAAAACATCCCAAATGTCCACACAGGATCAATTCCAGTATATGCATGCAATGGAATAACTACAAAACAGTAAGAACTCCAGTCATCTCACTGACACAAATTCTCACAGACACAATATTGAAGGAAAAATTCATGTATATACAGCTCACAAACCTGCAAAACTAACATGATATTGTTTAGGAAAACGTACACATGCAGAGAACCTATAAAGAAAAGAAAGGGATGAAAGACAAACTTCAGGAGGGAGGGAGGGAGGGGAATGTGACTGAGACAGAGCATGTGGGGACTTTCACAGCATTGGTGATGGTCTTTGTTCCTAAGCTCGGTGGTGGGCACAAGGATGTTCATTGTGTTATTTCTCTAAAACTATTCATGTTATAGAGAGTCTTTTGTATTTATATTTCATCATTTAAAAATCTAAAGAATGTGCTGGACAGAGGGCTTGCCAACACTGCGCAACTCAGACAAAAATGTAAGGGGGAGAAAACTTGCCTGCCACACACCCCCAAACGAAGCCCAGACAGCCTTGGAAGATGATCAGCATGATGCAGAAGAGTCCCAGGGAAGAGGTGTCAGAATCCAAGAATAACACCACGAGGTGAGGGCTGGGGACATCCAAGTCTCTGGTGGCAGTGCCACAAGTGAATGGGTAGGACCGAGTTAAGACGGTCCAGACCTGCATAAACATCCACAATCCATGAATGGATAAACTGTACGTGGTATACTCTTACAAGAGAACATTACTCAGCGTTAGAAAGGAATGAAGTTCTGGCACCTGCTACATACAACATGGATGAACCTTGAGAATACTAGGCTAAGTGAAATACGCCAGCACAAATGGACAAATACTGTAGGATTCCACTTATATGGGGTACCTAGAGTAGCTAAATTCATAGACAAAAAAGTAGAATGGTGGTTGCCCGGGGTTTGGGGGGAGTGAAAATAGGGAGTTAATGTTTAATGGGGACTGAGTTTCAGTTTGGGAAGATGAAAAACGTCTGGAGACCAATGGTGGTGAAGGTTGCAAAACAGTGTGAATGTACATCATGCCACTTAACTGCATACACTTAAACACGGTTAAAATAGTAAATTTTATGTTATTTATATTAATACCATGATTTTCAAAAAAATTCATAATTCAGGGTAGGTGCAGCTCAGCAAGTGAACAGGTAGAGCAAAGGAGATGCATTATCAGGCTGACTTCAACGCACCTGAGCGAATGCTATGCTGCAGACAACACTCAGCTCATGAGACAGGCATGGAAAAGAAACCACAGAGCTGAGGGATGCCAGCTCTGCAGGCACCCGCTGAACCAGGCAGTTGGCATCCTCACAGCTGCAGGGTAGACCATTCCACCCGGGGGGACTGAGCTGGGTAACAAAGAAGCACCGGATGATCCCACAGGTGGGACAGGACCCTTGGGATATCATCTTCCAGTTCTTGGCTTCATGAAGAAAATGCTGGGCACTCAGCCAGCTATGACTTTGGGGAAAAGAACCTGCAAAAAATGCTGAGAAATGGTAGACAGAATCCAAATGCCAGAGATGCTGAAAGGCAAAGTGGTTCAGAAAAGACAGGGGATTTTACTGCATGAAATTCTGACCTTCCCAGGGAGTTCTAAGAGAACACACATTTAACACAGGAAGGCTGGGTGTGCACAGCATGGGCTGAGGGGAAGAGCACTGGAAAATGAGTCCGGAAACCTAAATTCAATCTGGCTCTCCCATACTTACCAGCAGAGTGGCCCGAGGCCATCTGCTCTCCGAGACCATCTGCAAAGGGGATGATAACGTGCACCTTCCCAGGCGGCAGTGATTAAGGGAAGCAACACAGATTCTGCATGCCTTGGAGATGGGGCTGCCTGACGCGTAAGTGATCAGGTGCTTTGCATATCAACCTCCAAGCCCCCAGAGACAGGTATTACTCACTCAAACCACATCACACACAGCAGAGAATAAGAGTTGAATTTAAGTATTCTAGAATACACACAAAAGAGGGCACCAAACTGGTGAGAAGCCTGTCAAGAAATGTGGATGGGGAGGAGAAAAGAAAAAAATGTTTTAAAGGATATACACCACGCTTATAAACATGTATACAAAAGCACAAAGATGGAAAGGAACAAAGTGAAACCAACCAGTTGCTATGCAGCAGGATAGGAATATGAAAATGTTTTTCTTTGAGATAATTTTAATGTTGTTCTACTAAGCACTTTTTAAAAACATCACCTACTTCTGATCTGAGTGTTGAATTATGGCCATCAAACCATTATGCACTCGAGTGAAATGACATTCAATGAGTCTAACTAAAGAAGTAAATCTGATCCCAAGTGGCCTACAAAGGTGGAAGCCCTTTGGGGGCTCAGGGGTCGCCATCCAGCTCGGAACCTCTGGGGCAAGCTCAGAGCCCTCCCACCCCCCTCGCCCAGCTGTGCTGTCAGAGACCTTCCCAGACCACAAATCAAGCTAGAGTCTGCCTTTACTAGCTATGTGACCTTGGACAAGTTTCTTAACCTGTCTGCTAAACCCTGATTCTTTCCTCTACAAATCAGGAATAACAACAGTAACCATCAACACAGTTTTTGTGAGGATTCAACAAGATAATCACCTAGATGGGGTCCCGACATCATCTTCATTTCAAAGGCAACTCACTCACTCACTCCTTTAAGATCCAGGCATACAGCCAGAACTCATCTGAATCCCCTACCCCAAGGAACCCGGAGCCCAGGGATGGGGCTTTTCTGACCCCCATCTTCCACGCGTTTCCACCTGCTGTTCCCTCCACCCAGACACAGCTGAACTCCTACACATCCTTTGGGGCAATTCCATTGTCACTCTGGGGACCAAACCTTCTCCAGCTGCCCGGGTGTGGTGGCTCACACGTGTAATCCCAGAGCTTTGGGAGGCCGCAGTGGGAGGATCTCCTGAGGGCAGAAGTTCCAGGCCAGCCTGGGCAATATAGTGAGACCCCAATGTTACCAAAAAAAGAAAAAAAAACCTTCTCCAACTCCAGCCCACACTTCAGTTGCTCACCCCCGGCACCACCCCATGTTGGTTTATGGGTATCTGTTTACTCTGTCTGCCCCTCAAGACTGGGAGCTTAAGAAACACTCTTCTCTCTCCGATACCCCTCCCCCATGCTTAATGTAGTGTAAGGGCTCAGTAAGCCTTTGCTGACTGAAGAAAACATATTGTGAGCAAACAAAAACATTTTGGAAAACAATTTAAAATAAACCAGAAATTAAAATCAGGTGGGACTAGTAAAATTAATCTAGCTCTAGAGAGAGGCCACAGAGGCTGCAGAAGGAGTGAGATTAGAGGGATTAGGGTGGTGGGGGGGCACACCAGGATGCTGCCCGGCTCCAGCCCCACTCTGCCAGGTCAGCTCTGGCTGGTAGCAGAGTCACAGGCATCCTGGGCTGGCGAGAGTCGAGACTGCCCCATAGCAGCTGCTTTCAGATGCAAGGGGACTCTGAGGTCACATCAACAAGACCTTTAACCTGCCAGCAAGAGAAAGTAATTGTGGTGAGGAGGGTCAGAGTGCCAGGCAGCTTGCTTCCTACCAAGGGAGGGGCAGCAGGCAGCACACAGCGCAGATGGCTAACAAGCACTGGGGGCTCCCCACCCCAGCTAAGAGTCCCAGGAAATGTAGAGAGGAGAGCCGAGGGCCTCACCCTAAAGAGATACAAGCTCCAAGTCGACCATCCTTATTCAACTGTGCTGAGGTGGGAGTAGACAGAGACTTCCATCAACCCACTTAAGTTCATCATTTTAAAAACATGTTTATATCTGAATATGAAATAAAGCACAGATGAATGCGCACCCCTATTTTAACAGTGTTTAATGAAACTGTAGATGTTGTTCCAACCTTTGTGTATTTTCAAATGGGTCTTCGATGAATGCATTGTAAACGAGAAATGAAAGGAGAGCACACACACGAACCTGGAAAACACACCCAGATGAATCAGCAGCTGACCCTGCCCTCAGGCAGCAGCCACGGGCTACAGGTGGAAACTGGAGTGCAGTTCCCACTGGAGGAGAAGGCTCCAGGCAGGGCAGAGAGAGGCCCGGGGAGGAGCCCACTCCCAGCCGGCCAAAGGAAGTCAAGCAGTGGGCAAGGATGGAACACGTGTTTTGAGGACAAATGGTAGGCGGAGGATTTCTGTGGTTGCCAGGCTGGATTTTTTTCTAAGTCCCCACGCAAGAATTTAAGGGAAGGCCCCACCCCCATCGACCTTCTGCTATTTCAAAACGAAACAGACCTGTGCCTTCATCCACTGCAGGGTACTAGGAACAGAATTCAATGAGATTATGCACGTGAAAGTGCTTAGCAAGTTAATATTTGTTCAGAGCCCTGTACCAGTGTAGGGTCATGTTACCGGCACTGGAGAGGCTAGGCTGCGGCCCCTTCCCCCTGCAGGCCAACCCCCGCCCCTTATTAACACTGACAAATCCAGCAAGTATAGAAGGGGAGTTAGTGCTCTTGCTTGTATCACGACACCCCCTTTGGGAAGGGTGTTCATTACCCCTCTCTCACCCCCCCCCACCTCAGCCTTTCTTTTAAAACAAAGAAGGCATATCCAAAAATAACACAAACTCATGACCCACTAGATATCCAAGGCCTCATTCCAGGTCTGAGAGGGGATGTGGGTGGGGCAAGTAGTGGAAGGCCACCTTTAGCCAATACCTACCCTACAGGGGCAAAAAAAGCAAGCCACCCAGAGCCCTGGGATAAGCCAGTGTGCCCATGGCAGCCAGAGCCTTGGGAAAGGGTAGAAATGAGAAGCTGTCTTCAACCTCCTGCGGGTCCCTTAATTCTTCCCAACCAAGAGTGAAGACAGCTCTATCTCAAACCTTCACCCTCCCCAACACACTCACCCAACTCCACCTGTGAGCTGCTCTACCGTTGCCCCCTTCTCCTAGCCAGGCCCTCATCACCCCTTACCTGACAAATGCAATGGCATGACTGGTCTCCAGTCCCTCCCCTAGCCCTCCACTCCACTGTGACAAAAATGGGCTCCCTAAAGTACAGGTCAAACCCCAGCTCAAAGACTGCCAACCCCCCTACCATTGCTACAGCAATGGTATTGCTCGCCCCATTGCTACAGCAGTTTATAATGCATGGTGTAGCTGCCTCTGTTCTCACAGTTCTAGGGCCAGGGTTTTTCACTGGCTGTGAAGAGACCACCTGCATCAGAATCACCTGGAGTAACTTGTTAAAAGTTGAGCTTCCTGATATACTGAATCAAGAAATTCTCGGGGTGTGCTCTGGGAATTTTAATGGAAGAAAAAAAATCCCAGATGAACTTTGTGAACACTGAAGTTGGGATCATTTTTTCCACTGTTTGGGAAAATCTGTTCTATTTCCAACTGCCAGGAATGTACCCCATCCCTCTTCCATGATCCTGTGTTAGGACGTGGGGTTAGTCTTCCCTCCCACTGCTGACCCTACGCTTGACACCTTCAGACGCTGACAATCAGGGTTCCCAAAGCAGCCGGTTCCAACTCTTTCACTGACTGACTGAAGGGAAGTCACTTTATAGCCACAGACCACAGCTTCCCAGTTTCTCCAATGGGCCGGGGAGGTGCTGTCCAGGGTCCCCTTCAACTCCAAAATAAGCCATATGACCTTTATGTTGTATCATGTATGTTATGTGAGATCAGAGGTTTCAGTCCTAAAATTCTAAAAACCTGGATTCTCCTGTTTTTGCTGAAAAAAACATCACTTTTCACATCCAAAGTGAAACTTTTAAAAAGCATTTCTCATACTACATCCAACTTCCAATTTCCACTAAAGAAGAGCCAAGCAATGGTTAGCCTGCCTGGCACAGCATTTTTTTTTTTAATGTCTATTACTAGAAACTTCTTCAAATCTTTCCAAAGTTCAAAGTAGAGGAAGGAGAGGTTTCTAAGATTACAACCTACTAGCAACCTTTCAGCACTCTGTTGCACCATGAGGCCTTCCCGTCACCAAATCCTCCCAACATCCCCATTTGAAAGATCAGGAAGTCAATGGCTCAGAGAGCTGCAATTGCCCAAAGCTGCAGAGCCAGGGTGCAATATGCAAAGGTAGATCTTCGAATTCTGAAATCCTCCATGTTTACACTGGACCACAATGAGTCAATGTTGAGTTCCAGATGCAGGGGAGGCAAGTGCACCAAATGCAACAATGGCCCATGGGCCGTTCCCTCCAAAGCATGGCGGGAGTGCTAACTGGCCGACCGCACATCCTAACAGCTTTCCACACTGAGCACACAGGGCAACGGGAGGCGGGGCTGAGCAACAGCCACACGAGCAAAAGCGATGCCAGGGATTTAGTCAACAGAGAGCTAATATGAGTCAACAGTGGGTGCCGCTGCCAAGCACACTAATGGGATCTTCAGCTGCATTAATAGAAGGAAAGCGTCTAGGGCAGGCCGAGGGAGGGAGTCCTGCCCTGCTCTGACCAGACCACACCTGAGGGTTGGGCAGGGCTGAGCTAGGCTAAGGAGAGGGAGGTGCTGTCGAAGGCAGGGCCAGGGTTTCTGAAGAGGACTGGCTCAGGCTGGCACTCTGGTTGGTAGGGCGAGCAAGGGCTCATCTGGAAGTTGGGTTTGTACAGCAAGTCCACTTTAGACTGCATGTTATAGATTTTTTTAAAAAGATCCTTTTATTCACATTTTATTTTATCAAAGACTGGAAAGCTGCTGACTATCCATAGCAAAGACTAAGAACACCCAGGGGCCAAGCGCAGTGGCTCATGCCTGTAATCCCAACACTGTTAGGGGCTGAGGCAGGAGGATCGCTTGAGCCTACACGTTTGAGACCAGCCAGGGCAATACAGTGAGACCCCATGTCTATAAAAATAATTTTTTTAATTAGCCGGGTGTAGTGGTGCACAACCGCAGTCCCAGCTACTAGAGAGGCTGAGGTGGGAGGATTGCTTGCGGCTAGGAGATTAAGACCGTAGTGAGCTGTGGTCGTACTACTGCACTCCAGCCTGGGTGACAGATGAGACCCCATATCCAAAAAACAAAACAAAAAAAAGAACACTCAGGGATGCTAGGTGACTCAACCTATCACCAGAGAAGGGGGCTCCAAGCCCTGTCAGAAGAAACAATTGCAGCTACTTTTCTCTTTATTATATACAACAACTGGCCTGTGGCTTTGCCAAGGGACACTGGATCTGAGACCCCATAATCTCAAGTGTCAAAGTCTCCTGGAAGTCCTTCCGATTCCCCCATCCCATCCGGCCACAGCACCCTGTCTGGGTGTGCCAGTCATATCACTTAGCATCACCCAGAATAAAAGAAACGTGTTTTCACCTGCGTTTCCCAAGAGCCTCCAGGCCACATCTCATTCACCTTTGTGTCTGCAGCACACAGCTTGGCACATTGGAGACGCCCAATAACTGTGGTCTGGACTGGACTGAGGTGCCACAGCACGGTCACACTGAGGGTGTTATTGTGTTCCAGACAATTTCAGAACACAAGCATCCTAACTAGGGCTAATAAAAAGGTTTATGACAGCACATAGCCAACTTTTAGGAGGTTGAGCAAAGGAATTCTCAAGGCTAACGCCGCCTGAGGGTTTTTATTACAAAGGAGACATTTAGCCTGGCAATGTCCCTGGGTGCCTGAGAAGCCAGCTTGGGGTATCACGGTCAAAGGTAAATCCTATCTTGCGACAAGCAGCAAGGCAACACCAGGGCCCAGGAAGCGGTAAAAATCCAGGAACACAAAAGAGAATAATGACAAGCAGGGCCAAATGTCAAAAAGGACAGCATAAAGAGTGAGCCCAGTGAAGTGGGTCTGAGGAGCAGCAAATGCTACAAATGCATTGGGGAGCTGGCCGCCTGGCGTTAACCTCGTAACTCAGAATTAATTACAGGAGCACACACTCAGATCTGGGAAGATTAGTGTAGGAGACTGTGATGCAGTCCTAATATCTAATAAATCTTTAAATCGATGAGCTGTGCCCACTGGCGATTTTTCTTCATCTTTCCTCCCTGAGAGCTCACGTGACACAAGCCAGCATTTGCTTTTTATCTGCCTGTGGACAGGGGGCATATACGTGTGTGTGTGTGTGTGTGTGTGTGTGTGTGCACGCGCATAAATACAATGTGGGCTTCACTAAGTCACATCATAGAGGAATCAAGAAATTTGCCGTCCTGGGAATACCTGGGACAGGGGAATTCTTTTGTCAAGCAGCCTTTTATAAAGTGAAGAAACCTTTTAGGATGCAAATATCCCCTTCCCCCACCAGGCTCCAGTGAGGGCTACACTGGCTGGAATCAGTCAGCCTTCCTGTCCCAACCTGTTCGTTTGTGTACCTGTTTGGGTCTATTCACCATGCACACCACTTAAGCCTGTCTCATGGAGCTGACAAGCAATACATTTTATAAACGAATCATCCCCAGGGAACAGATGAGAAAACCACCGGCAAGGAGCACTGTCAAACTTCCCAAGGATAGCATTCCTTTCCCAGATCCGAGATGCAAACTACGCCACATCCTCTCCTAACACAAGCTGCCCACTCCAGAGGCAGCCTGCTCCCCTCTCCTCCTCCCCGGCTCCTCAGGCCTCCTCTCCCAGCTGAATAAAAAGCTGGAGAGCCTCATTGTTGGGGAACAGTAACATTTTTATGCTATTTTAAAGGCAACAGCTCTAAGCACCCGAATGTTGGCTCCTTTTCCATCAATAAAAAGGCCCCAAAAGGGTATTTTCATAGCAAAATGATATCTTATGGAGAGCACAAAGAACCACAAAAATAAAATTGCCATAAATTGAAACTGTCTCGAAATTCAGCCTACACCGGGAAGCGTTAAACTCCAAGCCAGGCAGGCTCTGATTTTCCCATCTGAGACCCTTTTCACATGTTCCTAGTTCTCTCATGAAGTCCAAACATTTCTCCCACCCGGGAAGGCCTATATACTTCCTTGGAAGTCCGGGTATGTTATTTCTTCCCTTGACATCCTCGAGATGATCTGTAACATTCATCTAAAGCTCAATTACCGCTGTGTCCTCAGTCACACCCAGAAATTCCCGAAGGCACCGTCTGCCGCAGCGCCGGGTGCACAGTGGGCGCCCGATTAATGTGTGGTTTGATTTGATCTGATCTGGCCCCTTCAGCCAGGAAGACTCACTGGTAACTGGACGCCCTGCAGCGGACCGCAGCGCCGGCCCAGCTCTCAGCTGGCGCGGGGCGGGGGTGCAACCACCTGTGGGCGGGTGCCCGGGACGCAGGCCCAGGCGCCGCCGCCCTGAGGTGCCCCGCCGACCCCACGCACGGTGCCCAAGGGAGAAAGTCAGGCGCGCCTGGCCCCCCGGGCACCCCGGGGTCGACTCCCAGCGCCCCAGCAAAGGGCTCTGCCGGTGCAAGGCAGGCAGGTCTGAGACAGCCGACTCTAGAGTTAGCTCCCAAGTCACCCTACCCGCTGCGAGGAGGCTGCGGGGCAGATGGGGCTCAGGGAATGGGAATGGGGTGTATCCAGAAGGGATCAGCAGAGAGCAGAAATGGTCTAACCCCCGCCTCCCAAACTTGGGGCGCCTGCCGAGCAGCAAGCGAGGGGATCTCCTCTCTGCTGTCTCATCAAGGCCTGATGGCGAGTTTGAGGGGGGACAAGCTGGACACCCCAGGACGGCCTCACATTGATTTGAGATTTTCTACCCAATAACCCAGTATCAGGAAGACCCCTGCTGGAAGCTAGGGACGGAAGGGGAGCGCCGGCCACCCACACCAGGGGGGGCGGGGTCTCGGGACTTGGGGACCGTGTGTACTGGGGAGGGGGCGAGGCCCCAAGGACTAGGTGGGCGCCAGAGAAATCGCAACCCCGCGGCGCAATGTGCCAAGGAGGGGGCACGGGCCAAAGGTGGGGCCCCGGAAGAGACCGGGACGGGGTGGCCCAAGAAGAAAAAGGGTTGAGGAGTGCTCGGAGAAGAGGATGGGGGAGGGGATCCCCAGGGAGGTGCAAGGGAAGCGCCCCCGATGCAAGCACTGGGGGAGGGGGAGCTGCCTCCAGGGGCGCGAGGTGCCAGTGCCCCAGACTGGCCCCGTCACTCACCGGCAGGTCCACGCTCACTTCGGTCCCGTCGAGCAGGAAGACGCGGCAGTAGAGGGTGGCCTTGGCGGCGCCGGCGGCGGAGATGTGCACGGCCGCGCCGCCGGTGAGCAGGGGCCCGCCGCCCGCCGGGAACACGCTGCCCCCGGGCGCGGCGGGCAGCGCCGAGGAGGAGGCGGCGGCGGCCGGGCCCCCCCGTGGCCCCCCATCGCGCTCGTCCCCCAGCCCGGCGGCCCCGCGCCCCGCCGCGCCCCGCGCGTAGCGCTGCATGGAGCGGCGGCCAAAGGTCCGGCGCAGGAACCGCAGCATCCTGGCTGGGGGCGCCCCCTGCCTCCGCCCCCTGCGCTGCCGCTGCCGCTGCCGCTGCCGCTGCGCCGCCGCCCGGGAGCGTCCCGCGACGCCGTCAGTGCCCTCGGCCGCCCGCGCCGCCTCTCGCGGGCTACGGCCCGGGGCAAGCCCGCGCCGAGGCCGAGGCCGCGCTCTAGCCGCCTGCGGGGCGCGCCGGCCCGGCCAGCGCCGGCTGCGAGTGGCCGCAGGCGGGAGGGCGCGCTCGGGGCCGTCCCGCCGCCGCCGCCGCCGCGCGCTCTCCCGGGCCGGCGGCCTGCGCGGGCTGCCGAGGGGCTGCTCCGGACGGGCGGCTGCGGGCTGCCAGGGGGCTGCCGGGGGCGCGGGAGGCGGGCTGCGGGCTGCTCCCGCGCCGCGCGCCGGCCGAGGGCCAGCCGGAGCAGGGCGCCTGCGTGGTCCTGGCGCGCTCGCTCCCACTCGCCGCGCCGCGCCCGGGGCCCGAGGAGGCCCCGCCGAGCGCCCGCTCCCAAGGCGCCTTTTCCTGCGCCCGCAGCCCCCGCCTCCCACCTGGGAGGCTGCACCTCCAGCCGCCGCCGCCGCCGCCGCCGCCGCTGCCGCCGGGACTGCAGCACGCCCTCCTCCCTCGGGGCTGCGCCGGGTAATTGCAAGCCGGGTCTGTGCTGCCCCCTGCCGGCCCGAGCGCCCCCTGCTGCTGTAGGTGTGCTCACGTGTGTACACGTAGGTGAGCACACACGTGTTTCCGGCGCCCAGAGCCCTGGAGGCGCCGAGTGCCCCTTTGCACCGATAGGAAAACAAGGCCGCGTGCCCTCTGGGAAGCGTTGCCCCGGAGACCAGGCAGAATAGCACTACGTTTTCCCCCATGAAAAAATAGCACTGTTTCCTCTTCTGGAAAAGGAGAGGGGTGGACTAGGTAATCAACACGGTAATCTACAAGGTCCTTGCTACTTAAGTTCTGTCAATTTAAGATCTCAGAGCTGGAAGGACTTTTTTAGTCATTCCAGTCCAGTGGACTCATTCCACATAAGGAACTTGAGGCCCGGCGAGGAGAGGAAGTATTTTTCCAATATGCTACGCAAGAAAACACCTTTCCTCAAGATCTCAGGTCCAGTATTGAGATAAAGGCCTGGATAAATAACAGAGAAGGCTAGTGAAGTTGAAAATTACTGAGAAGCAGAGTAGATCTGAGGCTCTGAGAATGAATAGTGTAGGACACACTGAGAATATTGGAGAGAGACGGAATTGTTTCTAAGCAGTGGCCCTCCAGTATACAAGTTCAAGGTCCGCTTCGAGTGAAGAGGGTTGACCAGTGCTGCTAAATGAGGAATGTGGAAGAGGATGAAGCTGAAAGGAGGTCAGGCCTCTTGGGAAGAATAACACTACTATTTATCATTCCCTTAATCTTGTGCCAAACACCGTGCTAAGCCCTTTCCATTCATCATCTCAATCCCCACAACAGCCTGGTTAGATAGACGTTCTTATCCCCATTGTACAGAGGAGGAAACTGAAGCTTAGAGAGCTTAAGAGACGGGCTCCAGATTCCATGGTTAAGACCAGCTCTTTCACCCAGCTCCAAAGCTGTTGGCTGCTAACCACTACCTCTGCTGCCAGGCAGAGGTGTGTGCATGACTGGCAGGCAGGTGAAGATGTCTGAGAGGCCTGGAAAACGCAGTGGACACAGCAAAAAAGACAAAGAGGAAGGAGTGCATTTATGAGGCATTCTAAAACAGACATTTATTAAGGATCAGGCGCTGTCTGAGGTGATTTCATGGATGGAATTTTCATTAGTCCACACTCCAATCTTTCCAGGTATTCTATGTAACCCCCAAGTCACATAGGACTGCAGTTCGGGTCTTAAGAGAAGTAATATCCTTGTCCGAGGTCTCAGAGCTCCTGAGTGGCAGCAGCCAGTACCCTCACTCATTGTCTAATGTTCTTTTTATGATACTATGGAGGTCTCCCATGTGACAGTGTTCTCTGAGAGGGCATCTGTAATCGGCCTTCAGGTACCCAATCTACTCCTCTCCCACCGCTCCACCCCAGACTGTATTTAATAGAACACAGCCACAAGCAGATGTTCAAAGGTAGTCCAATTCTGCTTACTGGTTTCTAAGGATAGTCCATTTCCTACTATATAGCCCAGGAGTGCTGTGGCACACTGACTAATAGCCACCCAAAGATGTCCGCAGACCAATTGCTAGAATCCGTGAATATGTCCCTTTATGTGGCCAAAAAGACTTTGCAGATGTGATTAAGTTAAGGAGTTTGAAGTAGGGCGATTATCTTGTATTAATCCAACGTAATCGCAAGGGTCCTTATAAGAGGGAAGCGGGAGGGTCAGAGTCAGAGAAGGTGTCACAACAATGGCAGCAGAAGTCAGCATAATGGAACCAGGATATAAGGAACCTGGGTAGCTGAAAGAAGCTAGAAAAGATAAGGAACAAATTGACCCCTAGAGATTCCAGAAGGAATGCAGCCTTGATTTTAGCCCATGAAACCTCCAGAATTGTGAAATAATACATTTGTGTTGTTCTAAACCACTAAGTTTGTGGTAACTTATTCCAGCAGCAACAGGAAACTAATATGAGTGCACTATTAATAATATGGCTGGGTGTGGTGGCTCACACCCGTAATCCCAGCACTGTGGGAGGCCGAGGTGAGAGGATCACTTGAGCCCAGGAGTTCGAGAGCAGCCTGGGCAACAAGGTGAAACCCTATCTCTACAAAAAAAAAAAAAAAATTAATTAGCCACACGTGGTGGCACATGCCTGTGTTTCCAGCTGCTTGGGAGGCTGAGGCAGGAGGATTGATTGCGCCCAGAAGTTTGAAGTTGCAGTGCACTGCATTGCACCAAGGTAATGCCACTGCACTCCAGCTAGGGTGACAGAGTGAGACTCTGTTTCACAAAAGATAAATAATATATTACTTTGGTGCATTATGGTTTTCAAAGCCCTCTACTCCCATTCAGTTTTGTGATTTATCCATGATCATTCTCTCCCACTAGACCTAAGCTACATGAAGATAGGAGTTTTTTGTCTCCCTCCCTCCCTCCCTCCCTCCCTTCCTTCCTTTCTTTCTTTCAAGACAGGGTCTTGCTCTGTCCCCCAGGCTGGAGCACGGAGGTGCAATCACGGCTTACTGCAGCCTCAATCTTCCAGACTCAGTCAATCCTCCACCTCAGCCTCCGAAGTAAATGGGACCACAGATTCTCGCTATCGCACCCGGCTAATTTTTTGTAGAGATGGGGTTTCACCACGTTGCCCATGCTGGAGGACGTTCTCTTATTCATCATTATATCCCCAGCCAGCACCTAGCCTGCTGTCTGATAAGTAGTAGGCAGTCAATAAACGTTTGTTGAATGAATGCAAGATCTCACCTCATCTTCATAACAGCCCTGTGGGGTAGATA
Organism: Homo sapiens; assembly: GCF_000001405.40. Classification (NCBI taxonomy): domain Eukaryota; kingdom Metazoa; phylum Chordata; class Mammalia; order Primates; family Hominidae; genus Homo; species Homo sapiens. Next base: position 109,323,849 of record NC_000009.12, read on the forward strand.
TTGTTATTGCCTTTTAGAGACAGGGAAAATGAAGACTGGAATGGAGGCTCTTACATAGTAGCACTGGCAATACTATGTCATCATGAATCACACGGGAACTCCAGATTGCTTTAGTTTTACCTCTACCTCCTATGTGTCAGGCACTGTCACCTCATGGATCTCATTCCGTCCTTATCACAATAGTGATTTAAGCACTATTCTTTCCACCACACAGGAAAAGCCAAGGCTCAGGCATTCCTTTGACTACATTTTATGTCAAGTTTCAACCTTAGAATTTCAATATTTGATGAGTAAGTTTGCATTTTGTCTGTTCACAGTATTATGTGATTCAATGCTTGCTCTTTCTTAATCTTTGTCTTTCGAACCGAAAATTCCCTATTCTTGTTATCTGAACTCTATAACCAGCCCTTCAAAGATTTTAATTGCTCTTGCTTGGACCTCTTTTATGCCCAGTGTGAATGGGCCAGAGCTGTACATATCTTCTGTTTATCAATGCATTGCTCTTTTATGGGCCTTTTGATCTTCAAATGGTTATTCATAACCCCCAGTGCTATGGTCTGAATGTTTGTATCCCCCAAAAATGCATATGCTGAAATCCCAACCCCCAAGGAGTAGGAGGTGGAGGTTTATTAGGTCATGAAGACAGAGCCCTTATGAATGGAATTTGTGCCCTTATAAAAGAGACCCCAAGCCTAGCGCAGTGGCTGATGCCTGTAATCCCAGCACTTTGGGAGGCCGGTGGGGAGGACAGCTTGAGCTCAGGAGTTGGGGCCTAACCTGGATGACATAATGAGACCTCATCTCTGAAAAGATTTTAAAAAATAAGAGACCCCAGAGGCTAGTCCGAAGGTAGAGAGTTATCTCAGTTGAGTGTTCATAGTCAGTTACAGATCAAATTCCTGTTCGACTCTTTCTCCCCGTCTCACTGCTGCACTTGAGTAATCTTAAAAAAGAAAAGAAAGAGAGAGAGAGAGACCCCAGGGACTCCTTGCCACTTGCACCATGTGAGGACACAGTGAGAAGGTGCCATCTATGAACCAGGAAACAGGCCCTCACCAGGCTCTGAATCTGTCAGCAACTTGGTGTTGGACTTCCCAGCCTCCAGAACTATAAGAAATACATTTCTGTTGTTTATAATACAAGTTCATGGTATTCTGTTAGAATAGCCTGAAGGAATAAGACACCCAGGATTTCTCATGCCTTTCTGTCTGAAACTGTCTTGGACTGAAGTTCTCAGGAAACAGTCTACACTAATTTCTAGATCCTTTTCTTGGTCATAAGCAGTAGCTTGACTTCCTTAGTCTCATAGGCATCTTTTGGAATTTGTCTCTAGAGTCACCTTCTTGCCTTCTTGTTAAAGCTCAACTACCACCTCTTTGCCTACTTCCTCCAGGAGAACTTTCCATTATCCTTCCCATCACTACTCAGTTTTGTGTCATCAACAAACCTTGGAGAGTTCCTTATGCACTCCCTTCCTCCAGAGTAATTTTGCATGTTAATTAAACAGCCCTCAGCCCTGTCTTTAAGGAACTCCTCTCAGAAATGTGCCATTTGTCTCTATCCTTTGTTTCCTGGCTCATTTCCTAGACTCAACAAAATTGTGCCCTCATTTTGTTGGGCTCCATTTTTTTTCCCATAGAGCAGGATTACACTTTAATGTATGTTCCTATTCACTCCCTTATAAATGTATTCTTTTAATAAACATTTATTGAGAACTTACTATGTGCCACAAAGCCATCCCTACTGCCACAGGTGTTTAATGTCAGCTTAACCTTTCCTCTATCATTTCACAGTAATAATAGCTATCATTAATTAAAGACCATATAGTAGGCAGCTGTGGTTTCTGCCAGGCTAGCATCCATTTTCTTTCTTTTGGTTACAGAGCATGGGTTACTTTGTGGAGCCATTTCACCTAGGCCTAACAGTCTAGGTGAAGCTGACCCCACACTGTGCTGCAGGTGTGGACACAGGATCAGGCCTGGCCAATCAGAGAATTGCATTTCCTAAAGACCTGCTACCGGCTCAAGAATGGACCATAACCCATGCCAGGCCAATGAAGGTCAGCCCTTTAACTCTGGCTGAAATTACTGGGAATGGGCCATTTCTTTCCATTGGAATTGGAGAATGAGAAGTGTGCAGGCCTGGAACTGCCTGCTGAAGACCCACTTTGACATAATTTGGAGAAAGCCTGAGGAAGACACCAACACAAACAGAGGCAGAGTCAAGAGATGGAGAGACACAGAGGGCAATTTGATTTTGACTACCTGGATTCAGCCATGCCTGAAGCCAGACCTAGCTCCTGGAATTTACAACTTAAAGAGAATTAGAATGGTTTTTCAGGTCCCAGATCTTCTCTTTGTTCTCTTGTTCTCTTTCTTGAGCACAGGACATAAACATTATTTTGAATAGGTGCTCACTTTGTTTATTATTTAAAGGACTCATCTCCAGGCAAATAATTAGAATGCAATGCTTATCACTGAATTGTACAGAAATAAATGGACAGTTAATGAGTCATCTAAGCTTTTAGATCCAGAAGTGGCAAACATGGAAGGACTCTTTGGTGACTACAACTGAGTCCCAAATTTACATTCTTAGCTAATCCTTTCCCTCTGCTCCAGATGGTATTTCTGACTTCCTCCTCAACATCTAATCCCTAGTTTTCCATTCCAAACATCTACTATCTAGCCTTCCATCGAAACCCCAAGAGATCAGTATCTGGAGAGAAACAGGAGGGTCCCCTCCTTACCTGATGGCAGCCTTAGCCTGGGTTCCTATCTGAGGACCCATTTCTTCCCCAGAGGATGTGCATCCTGGTTTGGGAAACACATGTGGCTCTGATAAAATAATCCTAATATCCATATGGAAGATGCACACAGAGAGTGGAAGGGGGGTACTTATTATAGCACCTACCCACCCTGCCCCTTCCATCTCCATTGTTACTTACCCTTGGGTTGCCCATGCCATGCTCCCTCTTCCTGGACATCCCTGATGTGCTTGCCTGTCCCTTACAATCTCTTAGCCAACTGCTTTACCTTTGTTCTTCTCTGTTTGATGGACTAAAATCGGTCCTGTCCTATAGAACTTCCTGCAATGATGGCAACATTTTACATCTGCTGTATCCAATACAGCAGCCACTAGCCACATGGGACCATTGCGTACTTGAAAGATGGCTAGTGAGACTGAAGAACTAAATATTTAATTTGATTTCACTTAAATTTAAATTTAAATTCACAAAAAGTAAATTTAAATAATCTCATGTAACTAGTGGCTACCGTACTGCACAATGCAGGACTCCACATCACCCCCACCCCATCACGTATAATTGGGTTCATCTCCCTTGCCCCTGTCCAATCCCCTTGGGAAAGTCTAGTTCCAACTGGTAACCCCTTTTTCCCTGTCCTAGACTGCTGACATTAACTTTCCCATGCCTGGCCAATTCACAAGCTATGACACCTCCAATCCTTTTTGCCATCAAATCAAAAACCCAGCTCCTGCCAAGTTGGTCAAAACCAAGGTAAATTGTTCTTTCAGGGAAAGCCCTTGGCAGCTGGGCTGCTGCTGGTGGTGGAATGTGCTGTTGAAATCCTGCTGCAACTCAGAGCTCACCATGGAAGCGGCATTCCAAAGTAGGGGTCCCGTGACTCACCTATGTTAACATTACACAACCAAGATACAGGAACCACAGACACAAAAGGAACCCTCCCCATATCCTCCTTCTCCTTTGGGAAACTTCAAGTCCTGGTTCAAGCTAAGGAAAGAAAATTTGGAGAAGAATGTCTTGAGTAGAATCAGAGCCATGCCAGTGAAGTGTTGATAGGAGTGAGAGCCGTGAAGGGCCTCTGAAGTGAGCCAGCTGGCCTGAAGCTAGTGATCCTGGTGATCTTGAGGAGGGTACAGTGGTACAAGGAAGGAATGGACTTATATGGGCTTAAGAGAAAATAGACGCAGGGCAATACAGATGGTAGATCCTGACCATCATTTTAGAAGTTTAGCGTCAGGCCAGGTGTAGTCGTTCATGCCTGTAATCCCACTACTTTGGGAGGCTAAGGCAGGAGGGTTGCTTGAGCCCAGGAGTTCAAGCCTAGCCTGGGCAACATAGCAAGATCCTGTCTCTACAGAAAAATTTTTAAATTAACCTGGCATGGTGGCATGTGCCTGTAGTCCCAGCTACTCAGGAGGCTGAGGTGGGAGGACTGCTTGACCCCAGGAAGTTGAGGCTGCAGTGAGCTATGATGACACCACTGCACTCCAGCCTGGGCAACAGAGCAAGACTTTGTCTTTAAAAAAAAAAAAGAAAGAAAGAAAGAAAAGAAAGTTAGCATCAAAAGGAGGCAGCGAAAGAAAGAACATGGGGATGCACTGTCGCTCCTGCCTGTAATGCCAGCTACTTGGGAGGGCAAAGCAGGAGGATCACTTGAACCCAGGAGTTCAAGACCTGTCTAGGCAACACAGTGAGACCCTTAGCATGGGTCTCAAATAAATAAAAATAACTTAAAAAAAAAAACCAAAAAGCTACGGGACTTCTGCTGAATTCTAATCTGATATTCACTTTTCTCATCTGTAAAATGGGCAAATACTGCTCACCTCAAAATTTCATTACTATATGACATTCACTATATGACAAAACAAGCGTAAAAAACTTTAGAAACTGTAAAATCGTATAACAATGTAAGAATGGAAGAAGGAGGAAACATGGGGCAAGGAGATTAAAGGTTTTAGGGGCATGGTTCCTTTTTTTTTTTTTTTCTTTTTTGAGACAGAGTGTCACTCTGTCGCCCAGGCTGGAGTGCAGTGGCTTGATCTCGGCTCACCGCAACCTCCACCACCTCCTAGACTCAAACGACTCTTCTGCCTCAGCCTCCCGAATAGCTGAGTAGCTGGGACTACAGGCATGTGCCACCACCCTGACTAATATTTTTGTATTTTTAGTAGAGACAGGGTTTCACTATGCTGGCCTGGCTGGTCTTGAACTCCTGACCTCAAGTGATCCACCCGCCTCAACCTCCCAAAATGCTGGTATTCCAGACGTGAACCACCTCACCCAGCTGGGGCATGGTTCTTATTTTAATATTGAGGAGGCTGATGTATATGAAGAGCAAAAAAAAAAAAAGGAAGAAGCCTGTGGAGAGGGAGAGACCAAAGGGATGAAGAGCAGCAGAGAACAAAGAGGAGGTTTATGGAGAAGGAATACATGGCATTTTCTTCCTTTCCTTTTCTTTTAACTGGTGATTTCTGCTTTAGATAGATGGCGTTTTCTGAAGCTGGAGGGAAGATGAGGCCCGGGAAGCTGGGTGTAGCTGAGAATTGACAAATGCTTATCAAAGGCACTCTGCTTTTCATTCCCAAGGGAATAATAAAAAGGATAGCACCTCTTTATGCTGTGCAGAGATTTATGGTTTATTAAGTGCTGTCACAGACATTACCACATTTAATTACTCTTTATGACAACCCTGGCAGGGAGGTGTTTTTATCCCCGGTTTATACCGAGGAAACTGGGGCTCAGAGAAGTCCTGGGACATGCCCCAGGTGACATAGCTGGGAAGCAGCAGTGCGGTCTACGATCGGAACTCCTGGATCCCACAGCTGTTTGGCTGGGCCTCCTTCCCTTGCTGACGTCCTCTTCAAACTGAAACCTGGCCCTACCCAGCGGCCACACGGGCTCCCGCCCTGACTGACTCACTGGGAGGGGGCCCCTGTTCTCCACTCCTCGGAGCCAGTTTCTGACCTTGATGTCTCCACCCTCTCTTCAATTTCTGCTCTGAGATACCCTCCCTCCCTTCATCTCCCCCTCCCCCGGGCCTTTTCTCTCTTTTGATTAAGCTGTTAGAAATGAAGGCAGGCATTTTGATAATAGTAAGATGGAGTCCACAACAGGACCATCCTGCTCTGCCACTCCCCATTCTGCTCGTGGGATTCTCAAGGGACCAGACGCCACCAACCATAGCAACAGGATACAGGCTGCACTTTGTTATCTGCGGGGCCTGCCCAGGGCTCAGGGCTCTCCAGTAAAGCTGGAATGGAGCCTGCGGCCGTCTGTAGGCCTAACAGGGCCTCTCCTTCTGCCCGAGCCCTCCTTCTTTGAGAGATGTTTCCTCCTTCTGTTCAGTAGCAGACTCGATGGAGAAGCAAAGGCAAGTGTGTTTAGGTGTGGGTGGAAGGAGGAGAGGGCCACATTCTTGTGTGTCATTTTTTTTTTACACTCAGTGACCCTATTTGCGAGTAAACTTGGCCTAGCTGCTGTACTGGAACGCGACCAATCAGATTAGCTTTCTCTCCTCTGAAGAGCTGAGGAAGGAGACTTGCCCAGTGTTGGGAGTTGGGCAGGACCTCTCTGCCCATTATAGCAGTTGAAGCTAGAAACATCCATCTCTTCCTCACCCCCAACATCTACACCCCCAATCCCCAACTTGTCCCCAGCCATCCCTCAGGCCCCTGGACCACTGCACTGGCCTCCTCCTGCAGCCTCTCTGCAGCACCCAGGGTAAAATTCCTGAAAGGGAGATGGACCCTATAGTTCCCCTACTGACAATCTTGCAGCAGGGCTGGTGACAAGGGACGCCAGCAAAAAGGACACAAAGTTCTAGGAGTCTGAAAGGGGCCCTGGGTGGTCTTTGTTGCCTAAATGGACAAATTTCACTTTAAAGAATTGTAGGTTAGGCCGGGCGCAATGGCTCACACCTGTAATCCCAGCACTTTGGGAGGCCTAGGCGGGCGGATCACTAGGTCAGGAGTTGGAGACCAGCCTGACCAACATGGTGAGACCCCCGTCTCTACTAAAAATACACAAATTAGCTGGGCATGGTGGCTTGTGCCTATAATCCCAGCTACTCAGGAGGCTGAGGCAGGAGAATCGCTTGAACCCAGGGGGCGGAGGTTGCAGTGAGCTGAGATCACACCACTTCACTCCAGCCTGGACAACAGAGAGAGACTATGTCTCAAAAAAAAAAAAAAAAGTCTGGGGTTTGAAAAACTATCTTTGAGATCTAATTCTACCCATGCTCACCACCCCTTGACCTTAGTTAAGTCACTTCTCCGTGGGCCTGCCTGCCCTGGTAGAGCTCTACCCCCCAACCCTGCACCCTACAACCCTTCACACACACACACACACACACACACACACACACACACACAGAGTGGATGGCATATATAGCTGTTCATTACATAGCCATGGTCACCACGAGAGAGTGAACATCAGACAATCTAGTCCAGAAGCATTGTCCGGAGGTGGCATTTGAATCCTGGCTGTGACACTTCTTGGCTATGTGACCTTGGGCACAGAATTTGAGTCCTCACACCTTAGTTTCTCATCTGTTACAAGGCCATAATAATAGTAGTGACCTCCTAGGTCTGTTGTAGGGAGTAAACCATGTAAAGCACCTCAACTCTGATGGGTAAGTACCCAATAAATGTGAATTGTTATTGTTCACATTAGTGGTCATGTTATTATTGATAATTTTACTTCCACTGAAAAAATAGAAACTTTCTGGGTCAGAGCCTGACTAGCCTGGCAGGGGGCCCAGGGAGGAAAGGGGCCCCAAGCCTCGGGCAGGAGAGTAGCAGTAAGGTCAGCAGCCCAGAGCCTTTGGTCTGCGGGTTGGCAAGGACCATGCAGAAGAGCGGGGGGGTCAGTGGGGGTGGTGATGGGTGGGGAGAGAGAGAAAGCAAGCTTTGGCTGTGGCCAGGGAACAAGCTCCCAGGGAACAGAAAGTCTGCAAACCGGTCTGGGCAGTCCCAGAGCCAGGCTGGGTTAGCTGGTACAGGCTGGCATCTGGTAGGCAGAAGGCTGCCCATAGTACAGCTGCCCTTGGGCACTGCCTGAGACCTCCTCTCCCATCTGGGAAGCACTGTCAGGGACTCTCCAGGCATGGCCTGTGACAGCCCTTCCGGGTCTGAGAGAGAGAGAGAAAGGCTGCTTTAGGGAAATCTGGGGCACACACTCTACTACTAAAACCATACCACACCACTTAAAGTCCAACAGAGGTGGATTTCAAACCCCACTCCCACAAGGGTAACAACATCATTCAATGGCCAAAGGATAGTCTTTTCAATAAGTGGTGCTGGGAAAAACTGGATATCCACATACAAAAGAGTGAAGTTGGACCCTTACCTTCTATCATATAAAAAAATTAACTCAAAATAGATCAAAGACATAAACCTAAGAACTAATGCTATAAAACTCTTAGAAGAAAATATAGGGGAAAATCTTCATGACATTTAATTTGGCATTAATTTTTTGCATATAACTCTCAAAGGCACAGGCAAAAAAAAAGAAAAAATAGATAAATTGGACTTCATCTAAATGAGAATTTTTTTTTTTTTTTTTTTTTGAGATGGAGTCTCGCTCTGTCACCCAGGCTGGAGGTGCAGCGGCGCGATCTCGGCTCACTGCAAGCTCCGCCTCCCAGGTTCACGCCATTCTCCTGCCTCAGCCTCTCCGAGTAGCTGGGACTACAGGCGCCCGCCACCACGCCCGGCTAATTTTTTGTATTTTTAGTAGAGACGGGGTTTCACCGTGGTCTCTATCTCCTGACATCGTGATCCGCCCGCCTCGGCCTCCCAAAGTGCTGGGATTACAAGCGTGAGCCACCGCGCCCGGCCTAAATGAGAAACTTTTGTGCATCAAAGGACACTATCAACAAAGTGAAGACAACCTACAGAATGAGACAAAGTATTTGAAAATCATATATATATGTTAAAGGATTAGTATCCAGACTATATAAAGAACATTTACAGAGCAGTGGGTCACGCCTGTATTCCAAGCACTTTGGGAGGCCAAGGCAGGTGGATCACCAGGTCAGGAGTTCGAGACCAGCCTGGCCAACATAGTGAAACCCCATCTTTACTAAAAATACAAAAATTAACTGGGCATGGTGGCGGGCGCCTGTAATCCCAGCTACTCAGGAGGCTGAGGCAGGAGAATGGCTTGAACCCAGGAGGCAGAGGTTACAGTGAGCCGAGATTGCACCACTGCACCCCAGCCCCAGTGACAATCCAAGAGTCTGTCTCTCTCTCTCTCTCTCACACACACACACACAAAGAAAATTTAAAATTCAACAACAAAAAACAACTCAATTCAAAAATGGGCAAAAGATTTGAATAACTATTTCTCCAGAGAAGTATACAAATGGTCAACAAACACATGAAATGTTGCTCAACACCACAAACCATTAGGAAAGTGCAAATCAAAACCATAATTTATACCACTTCACATCTATTAGGATAACTATTATTTAAAAAACAAAACAAACAAACAAAAAAACAGAAAAGACCGAGTGTTGACCAGGATGCAGAGAAGCTGGAACCCTCAGGCATTCCTGGTGGGAATAGAAAATGGTGCAGCTACTGTGGAAAACAGTCTGGCAGTTTCTCCAAAAGTTGTAATAGAATTATCTTGCGATTCAACAATTCCACTCCTATGTTTATATACCCACAAATAAAGGAGAAACTCAAACACATAGGTGTATACCAATGTTCATAGCAACATTATCCACAATAACTAAAAGGTAGAAATAAATATTCAAATGTCCACCAACAGATAAATGGATAAACAAAACATGGTATATTAATATAATGGACTATTATTTGGCTATAAAAAGGAATGAAGTACTGATCCATGCTGTGTTACGGATGAAACTTGGAAACATTATGCTAAATGAAATAAAGCAGACACAAAGAGACAAATATTATACGATTCCAGTTATGTGAGGTATCTAGATAGGGAAATTCATAGACACAGAAAGCAGAATAAAGGTAATCAGAGGATAGGGAAAGACTGAATGGGGAGTTAACATTTAGTGGGTACAGAGTTTCAGCTTGAGATGATGAAAACTTTCTGGACACAGATGGTAATGATGGTTGTATAACATTGTGAATGTATTTAATGCCAATAATAGTAGACTTAAACTGGTTAAAATGGTAATATTTTTACGTTATGTATATTTTACCACAATTTTTTTTTGGGGGGGACAGAGTCTCGCTTTGTCACCCAGGCTGGAGTGCTGTGGCTCAGTCATGGCCCACTAACCTTGACCTCCTGGGCTCAATCAATCCTCCTAGCTCAGCCTCCGAAGTAGCTGGGACTACAGGTGCACCCTACCATGCCTAATTTTGTATTCACAGTTAAAAGAAAACCTACTCTACCACTTCCAGTATGATCTTGAGCGAGTCAATTAAGTGATCTATGCCTCAGTTTCCTTAACTTTAAAAGGGGAATAATAATTGGGAGGATTAAAGATATCCCATGGTTGAAATGCCTGGGGCACAATAGTTGCTCAAGTATTTTTTCCCTTATTGCCTTTTTTTCCCAAAAACAAAAATAGCTTTATTTCTCTCCTTGATTGTAAAACAAACATACTCCCTGTGAAAACATTCTTCTCAGGCAATATCTAACATAGAGAAACAAGTTTTAAAAAACGTAAGTTTGGCCAGGCAAAGTGGCATGGGCCTGTAGTCTCAGCTACTTGTACTTGGGAGGCTGAGGTGGGAGGATGGCTTGAGTCCAGGAGTTGGAGGCTGCAGGGAGCCATGATAGTGCCATTGCACTTCAGCCTGGGTGACAGAGTGAGGCCCTGTCTCTAAAACAGTTGTATGTATGTATGTATGTATGTATGTATATATGTATGTATGTATGTATTTATTTTGGAGACGGAGTCTTGCTCTGTCACCCAGGCTGGAGTGCAGTGGCGTGATCTCAGTTCACTGCAACCTCTGCTTCCTGGGTTCAAGCGATTCTCCTGCCTCAGCCTCCCGAGTAGCTGGGACTACAGGCACCTGCCACCACACGACTAATTTTCGTATTTTTAGTAGAAATGGGGTCTCATCATGTTGGCCAGGCTAGTCTCGAACTCCTGACCTCAGGTGATCTGCCCACCTCAGCCTCCCAAAGTGCTGGGATTACAGGCGTGAGCCACCACACCCAGCCATGTCTCTAAAATATAAAAATAAAAAAAATTAACAAACAAAAAACAAGAAATAACACAATCCCATCATTTAAAGAAAACCAGATACCATTTTGATACACATCTTTTCAGACATTTTTTTTCTATTTCCATACATGTGCATACACACAGACATAACTTTATATTAAGTAAAGAGCATTCTTTAGGTAAAGCAAAAAAGTGTAATATTTTTAAATAAAATATAAAACAGAACATGACAGTGCAATAAACAAATGCAATAGTCTACCAATATAAACACATCCTAAAATTTTAAGAAATTTAGAATAGTCTGTATGATTTCACATTCCTGACCTTGGAAATTTACGTTCTAGTAGTATGGGGGAGTTGGGGAGCACAACAGATACATTTTTTTTCTGAACAAAAAACGAGATGCTTTCCACATGCTATGTTGTAACTTTCCCTTTCAGTCCATAAAATACCTTTCCAACATCCTTATTGACTTTTCAAATGTATTATTTAAAGTACTTCTTAAGACGCATTTGCATTTTGACACCGCGTGTGAGTTTCTGCAGTGGAGTAACTGGATGCTCTGTTTTTTCTTGCTGTAGGCCACACACTGAATTTAGTGTGCTGGTGACCGTAATGCCGCAGCAGGAATTCTCAAAGTACCTTCTTCACGACACCATTTCTTCAGCATGCTTCAGCCTATGAAACTCCTTTGGCAGGCAGAATAGATTCCAGAAAGATGCTTCAAACATTTTCCTCTTAAGGATTCACTGAGAATTTGTTAAAGGAACATTGAAGGCTCTGATCAGTCTTGCAGTAGAGAAATCGGTTTAATTTTGTTTCATCCAGTTGTCTCTTCTTTACATGAACACCGAACACTTTGGCCACATAACCAGAGTGACGTGGATGTTTGATAAGCGTGTGTGTCAGTCATTGTGTATAAAACACCTATGGGAAACACTGTAGTCAGGCATTTACTAAAACAGAAAAGGGCTGCATTTCTGACCGGTGGGGTTTTAGGATGCTGTCACTAGAGATGTTGAAACCTCTGTTTTATTTCTGAAAATATTGGGAATAAAAGGCTTAATAGCAGAAAAAGGGGCTGTCTAAAAGATATTATTGTTGGGAAACTCAGGGAAAAGAGAAGACATGGATAGTAAATGCCAATGGGAAATGGTTCATCTTCACCAATAATCAAAGTTAATGAAAATTAAAACAGATTTGGGGCACTTTCTGACATTTACTAAAAAAAAATATGGGGAGGTGGGAGGGAAATGCAAAATAGTATTCCTAGTGCTGGAAAGGTTGTGATAAACTGACATAGTCTGTTTCAGTGGTTACAATGACAGTGTAAATTTACGCAACCTATTGGAAGGCAGTATGTAGCAAGAACCACAAAGATAGTTATCTCTTTGACATAGTAATCCCACTGCTAGCAATCTATCCTAAGAAAATATTGAACAGAAAGCTTACACTGAAGTACCACCGACAATAGTAAAATGCTGGCTGTCTCTTTTGCTAAAGTTTCACATAAGAGGTATGAGATGAGGTAGAAATGTCCTGTTGGAGGTGACTAAGTACACTGGGAAATATTAAGAAGCGGGTATTCGTGCGTTTGAATTCCCTGAGGAATTTTTAAAACACAGAGTCCAAGGCTGGTATCACATTTGTGCAAAATCAGTCTTTGGCTCTCTACCTAAGTGACTACGTTTGGCTTCTCTCTTCCCACTCCCTACCTTCCATTTCCAGTGTCAGATTCTCTCTGCTTCCAGTTTAGAGTCCAGAAAGGGAGAATCTGACTGGAAGATATTCTTATGTGCCAAGTCACAGGTCACCGGCCAGCCAATGAAATCAGCTTGCTTTGTGGTCAGTGCCCAGCCCTGATCCCAACCACTGTAGATGGTTGAGCAGGGTCATACAAAACACAGTCCCCTATGCCTCTCTGCCTCTGTCTTCTCAGTAGGGCCAATGGACGAGACAGTTTGCTCTGGTTTCAAAGGCAATCAGAAAAACATCTTGTAGCTCTTTTGGGGGAAAAAGCAGATTATGTCATCCCACATTTCCAGTTGATAAGAAATCCAACTGACCCTTTAGCTTGGGTTACAGTAGAAAATCTAGGTGAACCAGCCTGCCTTACTTGGCCAAGTATTCTAATAGAGATAAATACTGCATAGCCATGTAATAAACAACCACTGAGACAATTAGCAAATATAACCTCCAGTAGCATGGGCTTTGGCCTCCCACAAATTTCAGAAATGTTGCCTTCACTTGGGTCAGGGTTTTAAGTAGCACTTTCCCAAATTATGTTAGCAAATTAGCAGTTTGGAACATCCTGCTCAGCTTCAGAGATCCTTGCCAACCTCATCCTGCTCAGAGAAAGCCATGCACAGTCTTTTCTTATTATTATTTTTTTTCGAGACAGAGTTTCGTTCCTGTTGCCCAGGCTGGAGTGCAGTGGCACGATCTTGGCTCACTGCAACCTTCGCCTCCCAGGTTCAATCAATTCTCCTGCCTCAGCCTCCTGAGTAGCTGAGATTATAGGCACCCACCACCATGCCCAGCTAATCTTTTGTATTTTTAGTAGAGATGGGATTTCATTATGTTGGCCAGGCTGGTCTCAAACTCCTGACCTCAGGTGATCCACCCACCTCGGCCTCCCAAAGTGCTGGGATTACAGGCGTGAGCCACCACGCCAGGCCATGCACAGTCTTTTCAAAGCAGATCGTGTAATGTTTCCTCTTGCTGAAGTTTGCCCAGTGCAGTAGGGTTAACTGAGGAGGGGCCTCAGTATTGGAGCTGCCAGACTGATGAACAAGAAGCCTGAATGTCCAGGGTTGCAAGATAAAAGAGGAACCCAGGCAGAGGTAAAGATGCCCTCTTTCCCTGAGCATCTCAAGGTCAGCGAACTTCTTGCTGTGCTATCTAATATGAGAGCCACTAGCCACCTGTGGCTATTTAAATTTAATGAAACAAAATTTGAAAATTCTGCTCCTCAGTTGCCCTAGCAACGTTCAAGTATTTTAGAGCCACATGTGTCTAGCGGCTACCATTTTAGACAGTGCAGAGGAAAACCGTTTCCTTCAGTGCAGAGAGTTCTGTTGGACAGAGCTCTGTCCCTGTGTTCCCTCCCTGCTCCCCACCTGCTAAATGTCGGTCATGCTGTGCCCACCCTGTGGGTACAGATATCACAAAGCCAGTTTGGAAATCTCTTGAGAGTTTAGTATTTGTGCTTGGAGACTTTTTGTTTTTTAATAGAGATGGGGTCTTGCTTTGTTGCCCAGGCTGGTCTTGAACTCCTGGCCTCAAGCAATTCTCCCACCTTGGCCTCCCAAAGTGCTGAAATTACAGGCATGAGCAACCACACCCAGACAGTTTGGCTATCTAGTGACACAAAAACCATGTAATAAAAATCCTCTGAGGAGGGCTTCTTGGCTCTAGATTTTTCATGGTTTTCTCTCCCTCTGCAGAGAGAGGGGGCTCATTAGTTCCCCCGTTTTGGTCTTTTCTATCAATGCAGCCATAATCTTCATTTCAATGAGCTGGCGATCTGTTTCTGTGCTCCTATAAGGGAGAGAAGCCTTTTTCTCTTTTTGTTTTCTTCTTTTTAGAGATGAAGTTCTCACTCTGTTGCCCAGACTGGAGTGCGGTGGCATGATCATAGCTCACTGCAGCCTCGAACTCCTGGGCTCAAATGATCCTTCTGCCTCAGCCTCCAAAGCAGTGGGGACCACAGGTGCCTGCCACAACACCTGGCTAATTTTTAAAATATTTTGTAGACATGTGGTTTTACTTTATTGCCCAGGCTGGTCTCAGACTCCTGGCTTCAAGCAGTCCTCCTGCATCAGCCTCCCAAATTACTGAGATTACAGGCATAAGCCACCACACCTGGCCAGAGAGAAGCCTTGAAACGGGGAATAGTTCCAGGGTTTCAATGTCATTAAGGTTTGGGGAAAACATAAAAGGCTGCAGCTTAAACATAAACCAACCAACCTTCCCTCCCCCTGCTCACTCTCATTAGGCCAACTAGTAGTAGTACCATGCAATACAGTGGCTTCCCTGGGAGCGTTTCTGAGGAGACCACTCTGTCCCAAGAGTGGCCATGCCCATCAACAAAAGCCTCAGAGGAAGCCTTCACTCAGTAGAGCTGAGCCCCAACTCTCAAGTTTGCTGTTTGGAAGATTCCAAGGACATGCCCTGGGGGTTCCTGAGGCCCCATTCGATCTGCACCTTCCCTTATTCTGGTCCCAGTTCTGGAGGCACAGGAACAGAACAGTTGTTTCACTGCAGAGGGCAATGGCCATTGGCCTAGCTGAACATCCCCAAACAGAGTTGCTCCCTCATTTGCATTCCCAGCCTGCTACCCACAACTTCCATGAGCAGAGGCCGTCTGAATCGTCTGGAGCAATCCAGCCAGCCCTGTTGCAAAACATCCTGATGATAGCCACCTAGGTTTCCCATCTGAAAATTTTGACTTTTTTCCAAGAGAAGCCTTAATAGATTAATTAGATCTTTGCCTCTCTGGGATTTGGCAAATAAACAATGTTGCATTTATACCAACCTTAAGTATAAAGGACTAGTGTGTTTCATCATCAAAGTTAGCCAACCTGGGTTTAACGTGAGAGGCAAGAAGGAGTTAATATAAAGTATGTATGTTGTGGGGAGGAGAAGATGGGTGTGGAGGTGAATTTACTGCATCCTTAACCCCTAGGCCCTTCAGATAAAATTTGGTAAAGAGTACAAATTGAAACAAAAGAGTACAAATGTATACTCAATGTGAGTATACATTTCTTGATCTTTAGGTCCAATGTTACCCTAGATGACTAGATGCATAACTGAATAGATCTTGTTTCTGAGAGTGACAGCCCTCTTTAGCATTTGAATAAGTTGAAAACATTTGTCATGTTTGTTTTTCAGGTCTTGAGGGAGGGCTTCAGGAATTTATTTATTTTTTATTTTTTTTAGACAGGGTCTTGCTTTGTGGCCCAGGCTGGAGTGCAGTCATATGATCTGAACTCACTGCAGCCTCAACCTCCCGGGCTCCGGTGATCCTCCCACTTCAGCCTCCCAAGTAGCTGGGACTATAGGCATGTGCCATCATGCTTGGCTAATTTTTAAAATTTTTTGTAGAGACAGGGGTCTATGTTGCCCAGGCCGGTGTTAAACTCCTGGGCTCAAGTGATCCTCCTACCTAGACCTCCTAAAGTCTTGGGATTGCAGGTAGTGAGCCACCACTCTTGGCCAGAAAATTTTTTTCATAGTGATTTTTTTCAGGGGATCTGTTTCTTAGGTCTAAGTGCGATACCTAACTTATCAAATAAATTTGTCTTTGATTTAAAAATATAAAATAATTTTCTATTTCTGGTGATTTAAAAACATAGATAGATGAGAGACAAATAGATTAATTTGAAATTTAGCCACAAGAGGTCCAATGTATATATGGGTTAAACAGTCCTTGACACTTAGTAACCAAAATGTTTTAATTTCTCAAAATTTATAGAAGCCTTTTTCTAACGAGGAGGAAATCATCTTATAGCGTCTTGAGCACATATTTCTCTATGATTCAAGAAGCAACATCAGAATGCTTCAAAGCCATTTCAATAAGGCCAGATCACCTTCCCACCCTCCTCTCCGACACACACTTTGTAGTCCATGCTTTACTGTTTTTTTTTTTTTTTTTTTGCGTCACCCAGGCTGGAGTGCAGTGGCACGATCTTGGCTCACTGGAACCTCTGCCTCCCGGGTTCAAGCAATTCTCCTGTCTCAGCCTCCCGAGTAGCTGGGATTACAGGCGTGAGCCACCTTGTCCGGCCATGCTTCCCTGTCTTTTGATGCCCTACCTCTTCTGCCTGCAGCTCTTTGCATATACTGTTCCCTCCACCCAAACTGCTGTGTCTTCCTTTCCTTGGGCCCCAATTTCTAACAGCTTAGCATACTCCTACTTGCTGTTTAGAATGCAGAAATTAAATGGATATTTTCAGCCAGGTGCAGTGGCTCACGCCTGTAATCCCAGCACTTTGGGAAGCTGAGGTGGGCGGATCACCTGAGGTCAGGAGTTCGAGACCACCCTGGCCAATACGGTGAAACCCTGTCTCTACTAAAAATACAAAAATCAGCCGGGAGTGGTGGCACATGACTGTAATTCCAGCTACTCGGGAGGCTGAGGCAGGAGAATCGCTTGAACCCGGGAGGCAGAGGTTGCAGTGAGCCGATATGGCGCCACTGCACTCTAGCCTGGATGACAGAGTGAGACTCCATCTCAAAAAATAAATAAATAAAAATAATAATAAATAAATAAATGGATATTTTCAAAGTAAAAAGTAGATACACAGCAGCAAATTTGAGATACTTAGCACAGTGAACCAGTTCTGCTAGGTTTTTGTTTGTTTTGTTTTGAGATGGAGTCTCACTCCGTTGCCTGGGCTGGAGTGTGGTGGCGCGATCTTGGCTCACTGCAACCTCCGCCTTCTGGGTTCAAGCGATTCTCTTGCCTCAGCCTCCCGAGTAGCTGGAATTACAGGCATGTGCCACCACGCCCAGCTAATTTTGTATTTTTAGTAGAGATGGGGTTTCACTATGTTGGTCAGGCTTTTTTTGAACTCCTGATCTCAAGTGATCCACCTGCCTCTGCCTCCCGAAGTGCTTGGATTATAGGTATGAGCCACTGCACCCAGCTGCTACTTTCAACTTATCAGAGAAGTCTGGCTTCTCCTAACTGTTGGGTTCTTGATCCCCTGATCAGTCCCACCCCAACAACCCCTTCCTTGGTCCCTGAAGAAGCATGGCTAGTTTTCCAGGCGCAGTTCCTGGTTCAGGACAATGCACTTCTGCAGACAGCTCTCAGAGCCCCCAAAGCAGCTGCTGAGCCTCCCTGCTTCCCACACCCAGAAATCTCTTTCCGTGGGTCTTGCCAGAAGGCCTGGGGTTCCTGAAGCCCCGCCTACCTTAAGGCTGCCTCACTGGAGAGGTACTTCACAAGGGGCCGAGGCCTTCCTGATTGGCATAAGAGCCATTTTTAAATTTTTTGGCCACGGTTAACTAAATGTTCCTGACTTAGCTGTCAAACTTGAATCAGCCTCTTCGCGGGAAGGCCTGAGGGCATGTTAGCCAGCCCCAGTGTTAACACAGCATGAAGCTGTACCCTAGAAAAAAAGGAGGAAGGTGATGGCCCTACCTAGAGAAGAATTCTCTTTTACAACTGCAGTTTTAAAGACAGAATTGGCAAGCCAGAAAGAAAGGAGAATAATTCTTACTGAGCACCTTCTCTGCATACTCTGCATTCATACATATTTTTTTAATTCTCATAACAACCTAAATGCTTGTATTATTTTCCCCAGGCCTGCCTGTAACATCTGTGGGGCCAGGATGAGGTCCACATACCATATGCCTCAATTTTTCAAAGTTAAAAATTACGCTAATAAGCTATTAACTAAAAGATGCGCTAACCTCCTAACTTGACACATGTCTTCTTAATGACCTGGAAGGCCAAGTTCACATTTAGAATTCTTAAGCTCATCAGTGTTCTGTGCTGAACTGTAGCCAGGCAGGGAGAGCTGCCCCCTTCTCTTCTCAACCCTGACTCTGTCTTGAACCACCACGAGGACACACCTGTGTGGAAGTAGGATGCTCCAGCTCTGTCCACCTCCATTCTGATCACCCCCTTCCCATCAGCTGCCTTTGACTTCCTTTGGGGCCTAGGAAGGGCCATGTAGTCCAACCTCAAGGGGAAAGATCTGGGGAGTAACCTTCAGAGAACCCAGAAGTGGGCTCAGCCTCATTTGGACAGGGAATTTCAGGGTCCTGGCTCTTGTAATGTGGTCTAGAAATGGGAGCGATTGGGCCAGGTGCAGTGGCTCACGCCTATAATCCTAGCACTTTGGGAGGCCAAGGTGGGTGGATCACCTGAGGTCAGGAATTCAAGACCAGCCTGGCCAACATGGTGAAACCCCATCTCTACTAAAAATACAAAAAATTAGCCAAGTGTGGTGGCGGGCACCTGTAATCCCAGCTACTCAGGAGGCTGAGGCAGAAGAATCGCTTGAACCCGGGAGGCGGAGGTTGCAGTGAGCCAAGATAGCACTACTGCACTCCAGCTTGGGCAACAAGAGCAAAACTCCATCTTGAAAAGAAAAGAAGAAAGGGAAGCAATTGTTCTAAGAGGCAGGTCCCTTTGGCCCCATGAAACCCCTGCCCAGCAGGGTGAGTATAGGCAAAAGAACACTGGAATAGGGCCTTATAGTTGATGGGTTGATGAGGGTTGATGACAGCAGGGGCCCCTGTTGCCTTAGCTTAAAGGTTTTACTGACTTCATTTCCTGCGCAAATGAGCTAATCAAACAGCGTTGCCGGGAGAGGCCAATCCTTGGGACAATGAACCCAGGGAGAAGAGGCAAAGTCCTTAATCCAAGGAGAACAGCTGGTGGCATGTTAATCCATGGGTGATGCAGGGTTGACACACCAGTACTGCACATTCTCAGGTCACTTGCTGAGTTCATGGATGTGAAACGGAATGCTCAGATGCCAAACATCTCATGACCATCACATAGCCAGTCAGCGACAGAGCTAGGCTGTGAACTCGTATCTGTCTCATTCCAAGATCCCTGCTCTTTCTATATTCCGTATTACTCCATGAAAAACCATAGAGGAGGGTGGCTGAGGTTGAAAAGAAAAGAGGATGCAGAAATTAGAGGGCTGAGTCTTCAGGATTTGATGAATCTTAGCTTTCCTGACTACAACACAAACCAAAGTCCAGTCCAAGGGGCTCCTGAATATCAGTTGGACACCCAGATAAGCTCCTGACTGATTGCCACCCTCTAGCCCCCGTAGGCCATACTCCTGCACTTAAAATGCAAGATTCTTGTCTGTAATCCCAGCACTTTGGGAGGCTGACATGGGAGGATAGCTTGAGCCTAAGAGTTTGAGAACCAGCCTAGGCAACATAGTGAGAGGCTGTCTCTTAAAAAAAAAAGAAAAAAAAAAACTTCCACGATTCTCCCCTCAAGTCTCACTCTGTTTCCCAGGTTGGAGTGCAGTGGCCTGGTCTCGGCTCACTGCAGCCTCTGCCTCCCAGGTTCAAGGGGTTCTTGTGCCCCAGCCTCCCAAGTACCTGGGATTACAGGTGCCCACCACTACGCCCGGCTAATTTTTGTAAATTTTTAGTAGAGATGGGGTTTTGCCATGTTGGCCAGGCTGGCCTCGAACTCCTGACCTCAAGTAATCAGCCTGCCTTGGCCTCCTAAAGTGCTGAGATTACAGGTGTGAGCCACGCGCCCAGCCCCTTAGATGCATATCTCATTGTCCCAAACTTCTCCACCTGCTAACTTTAAGATTTCGCTTTGATGAACTCTGACTTTTCCTCTCATTCCGCCGAGCCATTCTGCCTGCTCAGTGAAAAAAGGTGGCCTTGGGTTTGCCAACCAATGACACTTTCCTCAGGCAAGGGTAACTCACAGAGTACAAGTGACACAAGATTTTTTTCTTCTTAAATTTAACTACTAAAATTATAACTTATTTATAGATCTCTAATTGGCTTTGTAAATGAAGGCCAGAATGCATCATAAAGCAAGATTCAAAGAAAGAGAACACCTAAGTACAGATTGGAAATATGGCCATTAAATTTATATGCCTATCGAGGCTGGATGCGGTGGCTCATGCCTGTAATCCCAACACTTTGGGAGGCTGAGGTGGGTGGATCACTTGAGGTCAGGAGTTTGAGACCCACCCGGCCAACATGGCAAAAACCCATCTTTATTAAAAATACAAAAATTAGCTGGGTGTGGTGGTGCATGCCTGTGGTCCCAGCTACTCGGCAGGCCAAGGCACAAGAATCACTTGAACCCGGGAGGCATAGGCTGCAGTGAGCCAAGATTGTGCCACTGCACTCCAGCCTGGGCGACAGAGCAAGAATCTGTCTCAAAAAATAAAATAAAAATGAAAATAAATAAATAAATAAAATGTATATACCTATTGAGGTATTAAAAGTCTTGGCCTTCTTTCATTATCCTTTTAAGACCAGTGGTTCTCAATCTGGACTCACGTTGAAATCACCTGGAGAGTTTTAAGGGACACTAAAGTCTGGGTCCCAACCCCAGAGATTTTGTTGTGATTGCTCTGGGTGTGAGGACTTTAAAAAATTCCCCAAGTAATTTTTTTTTGCACAACTAAGATTGTGCATGGGTTTGAAGGGCAAGTCTTGCAGGTCTCACAGTAACTATCTGAGTTGCTTTTAGTATTTGAAAGTATGGACCTTGAGCCTGCCGAGACCCAGTATTTCCAAAGCTTCCCAACTTTGTTAACTGTGAAACGTCATTGACTTCCAGGGTCATAGGCATACTCTCCATACGGTCTAAGTTCTTCCTGCAATTATGGCTTTAAGGAAAGAGGGTCTTAATTTGTCTCCTGCATAAATGAGCAAGTCAAGTGTGGTGGGCCAGGAGGGGCCAATGCCTGGGAAGATAGATCCAGGGGGAAGAGGCAGAATGCTTATCCCAAGGGGAACAGCTTGTGCCATCTTCATCCTTGAGGGTTCTTGGGTCACTTGCTGAGGGGTTTTTCCCTCTCTTTTCAGCTGCATTTATCCAGCTACTATGGGCTGCTCGGGCTCTGGCAGGATCTCCCTGTGTCAGAGTCTTCTACAGTAAGAACCCTCTCAAAAGGTGTGGAAGGGGAAACAGAAGAGGAGCTAAAGGCTCAGGAGCTCAGGTCCCTGCCCCCACCTCGTCCTCCTCAGCACAGCCCCGATCACGTGGGTTGCCACCCACTCATTTGTTGGTGACTCTGAACCTTGGTTAGGGACAATTACCCACCACAGTCTCTCAAGCAGCTGCTTAGAACTTGCCCAGCGAGTTCTGCAGCAAGGTCTGGCCTGCTGAACTCACCCCAGGACTGTGGCTCCCTGAGGCTGGAGCGGAGCCTTTTTTCAGAAGCCTCTCAGATCGACTTTCTTTATAAGCTGAATGTGGCCTTTGCGGTCACCCTCTTGGTCATCCACAGATCTAAAGATTCCTGACCACACTTGTTGTCAGCCGAAATAACAAACCAAGCTCTCTCCCGACCCACGATGGAACCAGGCCTGGGAAGAGAATGCCCACATTGTTTTATTGTGAGATCAGGCATAGCTTTCCCAGTGGTAAAGGGAAACCCTCAAATGCCTTTAATACTTCTGCCAGTCCTGGCAGGTTATTTTCATTCTTCACCAGGGCACAGAAAACGATTGTTTCAGGGAACTCTCAAGCTCCCTCTAGTGTTTTCAATATATTGGGCATTACCTGAGCATCAACATTTTGAGGGACCTAAGGAAATAATCAGATGTTTGGACTAAGACTTATGAATGGAGATCATCATACCAGTGATATTTATTTATTTATTTATTTATTGAGACGGAGTCTCGCTCTGTCACCCAGGCTGGAGTGCAGTGGCATGGTCTCGGCTCACTGCAACCTCCGCCTCCTGGGTTCAAGCGATTCTCCTGTCTCAGCCTCCTGAGCAGCTAGGATTACAGGCGCGCACCACCACGCCCTGCTAATTTTTGTATTTTTAGCAGAGACGGGGTTTCACCATGTTGGTCAGGCTGGTCTTGAACTCCTGACCTCGTGATCTGCCCACCTCAGCCCCCCAAAGTGCTGGGATTACAGGCGTGAGCCACCGCGCCTGGCCCAGTGATATTTATTATGATAGTAAAAAATATAAGTAACCCAAATAGGGAAGTGGAAAAATAATCATGATACAGTATGGCATACCACTTTGAAACACTGATGTTTATGAAGACTTTTTAATGACATGGGAAAATGTTCATGACGTTATCGTGTTAATGAAATTGTACGTACATTGAGATATACACAATGTAAAGAAGTATGTAATATGTGCACAGAAAAATGTTGGAAAGAAATGTCCCCAACTGTCAGCTATTTCTAGGGGTGGGATTATAGGTCATTTAAATTTTCTTCTTGAGTCTATATCTGAAAGTCCCACACTGAGTTTGTAGAAAAATATAATTAGGATACAGGAATTTACAATCTGGAAAAAGTTATTCTATCAGTCGGGGCCTCAATAGGAAACAGGTGGTACACTAACATCAAAACGGTTTGAGGATGGTTCGTTGATAAGGGGATTAATTTCAAAAGTGTGGGAGTGTGGGGAAATCACAAGGGATGCTGCAGGGTCTTTCGTATAGAGCTACAGAGCTGTTACCATTGCTAGGAGAAAGAGAAGAGGCAAGGAAGGAGTTCACAGAACCTAGAAGGAGAAAGAGACACACAGCTGGCCACAGTAAGAGGAGCAATGACTTTCGGTTGGGGGAAGACCCAACCAAAGGTGACCTCATAGTGTCTGTCACTTGCCTCCCTCCTCTGATCTCCTGGGGATCCCTGCTAGACAGAATCAGCTGAAGCCAGCAGGCAGGAAGATCATGATGCAATCCATACAGACCCATATCATGAGGCTCAGAGCAGAGTACAAAAGGGTAGAGAGTGATTTAGGGCTAGGAGGTGTTCATATGAAAGATATCAAGCAGAGATATTTTTGATGTTGTTTTGTCTTTAGAAACAGGGTCTCGCTATGTTGCCCAGGCTGGACTTGAATTCCTGGGCTCAAGTGATCCTCCTGCCCCAGCCTCCCAAATAGCTGGGATTATAGGTGTATGCCACTATGCTCAACCCAACAGAGTTTTAAAAAGAATTTGTAAAAGCTTGAAGAATTTATTAAGTGAAAGTCAGAATGGACTTTAGGGTAGTTTTCTAGACCAACCATGGCTTTCATTTTGCAACATACCTTGATCAAGTCCTGGGAAGATGACCACTGGACTTTCGCAGGGGCAACCTTAGACATGGGCAGCCCTTTGCTCCTGAAAAATACCAACTCTCTTTGAACCGAAATGATTATTAGAGAGCTGTATGTGAAGAAGCAGAATGATGTAATGGGAAAAGTGCAGAGATAGAACACCTGGATCAAATCCATGCCACTTGGGCAATTTATTTGTCTTGGTCTCTTTTCTCACGTGTGAAATAGGTGTAATGAAATTTATGACAGATTTGTTGTGAGGATCAAGAGAGATTATATATGTGAAGGAACTCGATATAATATCCCACACATGGGAAGCACTCAGTGGATGTTGAATGTGAACCTGAAATCTGTCTCTTGGAAACTTCTTACTACTGGTCCCATAGTGACCCAGAGCACATCCTCTGTCTTCCTCACGCTGGTCCTTCAAATGTTTGAAGATAACAGGAATGTCCTCCTGAGTATCCTCTCCTTCAAGCTAAGTGTTTCTAGTTCCTTTGATCATTTTGGTTTTTTAAACACTGATCCTGTTCCAGGCCGTACAAGGTCGTTCATGCCTGAAATCCCAGCACTTTGGGAGGCTAAGGCGGGAGGGTTGCTTGAGCCCAGGAATTGGAGACCAGCCTGGGCAACACGGTGAGACCCTGTCTGTACAATTTTTTTTTTAATTAGCTGGGAATGTTGGCATGCACCTGTGGTCCCAGCTACTTAGGAGGCTGAGGAAGGAGGATTGCTTGAGCCCAGTAGGTCGAGGCTGCTGAGAGCTGTGTTGGTGCTACTGCACTCCAGCCTGGGTGACGGAACGAGACCCTGTCTCAAAAACAAAACAAAACAAAACAAAACAGGGAGAGGACTTGTTTTTAGATGACCCATGATCCCAGCCAGATGGATTTCTATAGAAGAGGCATCTGACCAAAGCTGTGCAATTAAATGTCTGCCTGGGGAGTTCTGAAACTGGAAGGAAGCAAATCAAACCCTCTTTCCTGGTAGGAGCTGAGCAAGGTGTGGATGAGAGGAGCAGAGAAATGGGTGAAGAGGGACTGCTGCAGCATTCAGGCATCTGGTGGCAGTTGCTCCAAAAGCTCAGGATAGCATGGCCTTTCCAGTGGATTGTCATTCAGTCCTTCTTGGATTCTGCGAACCAATAAAGTCCCATTGTCTAAACCAGTTCCTGGGTTTCTGAGACTTTCAAATAAAAGAATTGCATTGGCCACAGCATTGGCCAGATTTAAAAGCCTAGAGCATGGGCTCTGGAGTCCAAGACACCTGAGTTTGAATCTTATAGCAACCATTTCCTAGTTGTGTAATCTTTAGCAAGTTTCACAACTACTCTGAATCCATTTTCTTTTTTTTTTTTTTTCCTAATTAGAAAAAAATTTTTTATAGAGATGGGGTCTTTCTATGTTGCCCAGGCTGGTCTCAAACTCCTGGCCTCAAGCGATCCTCCTGCCTCCACCTGCCAAAGCTCTGGGATTACAGGTGTCGGCCACCATGCCCCACCTGAACCCATTTCCTTTACCTGCCAAGTGGGAACAGAATTACATACTTTACCACTTTATTAAAAGGAGCAAGAAAGGATAATATATATATAGTTCTGTACCTGGCATGCAGTAGACTCCTCTCACTGATGATAGCAAAGTAATTTATCTGTATTATTCCTGAGTTTTCAGTCAATTCAGACATTCACATAAGCTCTCACAAAATGTTTCCCCACCCTGAACTCGCATTGACTTTTCGAGCCTAATTGTGGGATTTTAAGAATTTCCCTGCTCAATTTCCTCCTTGTTAATTCCCAAGAAATTGTTTAACAGGAATGTCTAAATTTTTGAAAAGACAGATGCTCTTCTGTCCCCAAGGAGGATTCTGACTTGTGTTGCTTTCAGAGCTTCAAGACCAGATCAACAGCAGCAGTCAATGTTTAAAGAAGTCTTTCTCCTCTGCTGTGTGTAGATTCTTGGGCCCTTTCCCAGAAATGACTTTCCAGAATAATTGTCCTAGAAAGCTACACACAGGCTGCCTGTCTGCTGAATTGCCACACATTGGAGGTGATTCACAGTTCCCATCATTTATCCACAATGATAATGTGCAAAAAGCCCTTGGCTTGGAGTTAGAAGATTCTGGGTTCAAATTCCAGCTCTAGAAATTTTTGAATTCCTTGGGTTTCTAGTAAGTGTTTACTTGAGGTCTTGAAACATCAGGCAGAATGATTCATTCACTTGTAATTCATTCAACACACATTTAATAAGCACACTTCATATTCCAGGCTCTACAGGGACTGGTGCTGGAGTTATTAGATGAACACCTGCCAGTGACCTCAAATAGATCGTATTCTAATGAAAGAGATTAGCAACACAGACCTATAATTGAATGGGTATAGTAGTGTAATTAATGGCAGGTGCTGCAACAGAAAACCCCTATCCCCAAGTCTCAGTGGCTTTTCACAAAAAAAGGTTTTTTTTTGTTTTGTTTTTTGTTTTTGTTTTTTGGTTTTTTTTGGCCAATGCAAAGTCCAGTATAGGTTAGGAGGATTTCTTCCTTCGTATAACCACACCATATGGAACACAGTGCTGTCACAGTGGGCTAAGGAGAGATGGAGGAAGTACATTGGCTATTAACTGCCTTGACCCAGAAGTAGCACCCATCACTCCTGCTCATAGTCCATTGGGTAGAACTGACCACATAGTCGGCCGAAGCTAACTTCAGCAGAGGCTGAGAAATCCAGGGAAGCTCATAGGTACCTGGTGAGCACTAACTATAATATCTCTGCCCCATGGGTAAAGCTGTGGTAACAGTGAGCAAGGGGAGTGTATTAATTATGACTCCGTAAATGCCTGTTTTCATTTATTTATTTTTTTGGGACAGAATCTTACTATGTTGCTCAGGCTGGAGTGCAGTGGATTCTCACAGGCGTGATCATAGCTCACTGCAGCCTTGAATTCCTGGCCTCAAGAGATCCTCCCACTTCAACCTCCTGAATAGTTGGGACTGTAGACATGGGCCACCATGCCCAGCTTTGTAAATTCATGTTTTAAATCAAATTTAGGAATATTTCAGTCATTATTTTTTCAATTTTTTTTCCTGCTCAATTATCTTTATTTTCTTTTTGGGATTCCAATTACAAATGTGTTAGACATGTATGTTGATATTATAATTACATATATGATAGACTTATTATGATGATATTATCTAATAGTCTGGTAGAGTCAGATTGATAGACTCTGTTCCTTTTTTAAAAAACGTTTATCTTTTTCTTCATGTTATATAATTTCTATAGCACTATTTTCAAGTTTACTTACTCTTTCCTTGGTTACTTTCATTTTGCTCCTAAGTCCATCTGTTACATTTTAAAATTTTAAAAAAATGTGTAGAGACGGGGTCTCGCTGTGTTGCCCAGGCTGGTCTTGAACTCCCAGACTCAAGTGATCCTCCTGCCTCACCCTCCCAAAGTGTTGGGATTACAGGTGTGAGCCATTGTGCCTAGTGGTTTTCTTTGCTCTTAAGCCTGTGTTTTATATTCCTGGTTCGTCACACATCGGACCATTTTACACTGTCAGCTGGACATGAACATGGGAGGTCACTTTGTGCAGCTTCCCTCCTTTAATCAGCCTGCTTGTGTTCCTCTTCTAGTGCCTTCAGGGAGCTCCTTACTATTCGTAGCAAGCCAGGATGTTACAGCTATTGTCTGTCAGATAATCCATCTAGCAGGATCTTAGATTAGTCAGAATTGGAAACAGAACTCTGTGTGGGCTTTTAATTTGCTTTGGCCTGACAGCATCTCACCTCAAGGACAAGCCTTTCATTTCATGCCCCAAGACTTCTCCAGTGCTGCCATGTGGGATGCTAGGTGTTCGCACAGGTGCCCCCCAGAAGAGCCCGGGGAGTTACAGCCTTCTGGGAGCAACCATGAAATACTGGGAGTCAACGGGAGTCAAGGGGAGTCAATGGATAAATACTTCTGATTGCTGTTAGTGTAGACTTTTTTATTTTTTATTTTTTTAAGAGACAATATCTTGGTATGTTGCCCAGTCTGATCTCAAGCTCCTGAGCTCAAGCAATCCTTCCAAGTAGCTAGGACTGCAGGTGCACACTACCATACCTGACTAACAATTCTGAGAGGGGTTCTCAGAATTGTAGGATTAAGCCCCAATTATCCCAATGATGACTAACATAATAACATACTCTTTAACCAGCCTTTCCTCTTTCTTTGTTTTACATGCTTTTGTACCTCACTCTTTTATACATATACATATTATAGAGATGGAGTTTTGTCCTGTTGCGCAGGCCAGAGTACAGTGGCTATTCATAGGCATGGTCAGAGCTCACTACAGCCTCGGACTCTTGGGTTCAAGCAATTCTCCCACCTTAGCCTGCCAAGTAGCTGGGACTACAGGTGTGGGCCACCATGCCCACCTAGTTTTTGTATTTTTTTTTTTCTGTAGAGTTGGAGTTTCCCCGCGTTGCTCAGGCTGGTCTTGAACTCCTGGACCCAAGTGATCAAGCTCCTAGACCTCCCAAAGTGCTGGGATTACAGGCATGAGCCACTGCACCTGGCGTCTGCACTCAAGTTCTTGTCTCAGTCTCCATTTTTGGAGGAAACCCAGGCTAAGACTCAACTGTCAGTCATATTTTCTCTTTCTGGGACCTGGGGGCAATACTATGATTAAGGTTCTTGTTGGGAGGAGATAAAGTAGAAAAGCTAGGTTAGAATCCCCCCCCTTTTTTTTCTTTTGAGATGGAGTTTTGCTCTTGTTGCCCAGGCTGGAGTGCAATGGCGCCATCTCGGCTCACCACAACCTCCGCCTCCCAGGTTCAAGCAATTCTCCTGCTTCAGCCTCCCAGGTAGCTGGGATTACAGGCATGCGCCATCACGATTGGCTAATTTTGTATTTTTAGTAGAGATGGGATTTCTCCATGTTGGTCAGTCTGGTCTCGAAGTCCCGACCTCAGGTGATCCACCTGCCTTGGCCTCCCAAAGTGCTGGGATTACAGGTGTGAGCCACCGCGCCCAGCCTAGGATCCCATTTTTAAAAGCCTTAAATGCCATCTAGGAAGTTTTGGATTCTATTCTGTAGAGAAGAAGAACTTCCCTACAGAGTATGACAGTATGAGACTGATGAGTATGAGTATGAGATTAACATGATCAAACTCTTTAAGGTCTTTTATTGTCCCAAGATTTGAGGATGCTATGATTCTACTGACTTTCTTGAATTTCAGTTTCTGTCATTAATAAATTGGAAATAGTAGCACTTCCCTTTCTACTTCACACACTTGTAAAGACCAAATTAGATTATGCACATTCCACAAAGAGCTAAATAAATGTAGGGTGCTACTACCATTACTTTAATCTGAAGTATGTTATATGTTAGTTTGAGAACTGAGCATTATAATACCTAATAAAATATCATATTTGCCTACTAGAATTTCCAGTTGTGGCAAAAAACCATTTTCAGCATACAGTTTCATGGACCAGGGAATCCAAGTGCAACATTCAGCAGAATCTATAAGATAATAATAAACAAACTCTATCTGTAAGGAACTGAAGATTCTAAACTAACAAGGGGCTTAAATGATACAAGTAGGCCTTCGAAGATTGGTATGGAAGCTCTGTGTGTCTTAGGCTTCTTTCTGCTCTACCAATCTGAGAGTGTGTCTTCCATCTTCAAAGTCTCCCAAATGGCACCTTCAGACATCATGTCAACTTCAAAGTAGGAGGAGGAAGAAAGTGGGAAAGGAAGAGGGTGAATCTTGAAGTTGAGTCAATATCCCCCCTCCCATAGAACTTTCTGGAATTTTCATCAAATGATTTCTACTTATGTCTCCCTGGCCACCTTTTAAGCACAAAGAGCTCAGAAATATAGTCTTTTAGTTGGGCACAAGTCATCCCCCAATGAAATCAGGGCTCCCTTAGTGAGAAAGAAGAAGAGAATAGGTATCTGGTAGACAATGAACTGTCTTGGCCATACATGGTGTCATGGAAAGAGCCCTAGATGAAATCCGGGATGTAAATTCTACTTTAGCCCTTACTTCTTGCTCATTGGGCATGTCACTTTCTGAGATTCAATTTCTGCATCTGTAAAATGGTGCTAAAAATTTATACTTTACAAAGTTTGCCCTTTACAGAACCATTTTGAGGATTCTGTGAGAGAATCTATATGATGTGCCTAGCACCATGCCTGGCACAGTATAGATTCTCAATTTGTGGAATTTAAATCTAACAGAATTCTATGCCAGGTGCTAGGCTGCCTCAGAACTTGAACTTCGAGTGTGGGTCTGTCTTCTTTCTGGTGGCACCAGCCCCCGCCACCTTGCTGAGCACATAGCATGTGTTGAATAAACAGCTGTGGAAGGAATGAACTGATGAATGAATCTCCATTTACAGAGGAGGAAAAGGTGATTAGGAGAGGTAGGTTAATCCCGTGGGTGTTCCAACACTATGTTGGCAGAACTAGGACTCCAACTCAGGCCTCCAACACCACGGGACATAAAGTCTTTTTTTTTTTTTTTTTTTTTTTTTTTGAGACAGGGTCTTGCTCTGTTGCCCAGGCTGGAGTGCAGTGGTGTAATCTTGGCTCACTGTAGCCCCAACCTCCTGGGCTTAGGCAGTCCTCTCACCTCAGTCTTCCAAGTAGCTGGGACTACAGGCATATGCCACCATGCTTGGCTAATTTTTGTGTTTTTTTTTTGTTGTTGTTGAGATGGGGTTTCCTCATATTGCCCAGGCAAGGGCATAATGTCTGCCCTCGAGGAACCCAGTGTGTGTTGAGATGTGTCACATAGGTACTGTGATGCTCCACCCAAGCCCCCTTCAGTGCTCCTGCACCCACACCCAGATGTGGGGGAGTGTGGCTGCTGCTAGCCCTAGCCATGCACCTCAATAGGAACTGCCTTCAGCAGCAGGGAACTGCCTACCCCAAAGTTATGCCCCCTCCCAGGGTGGCCCAAGGCCAGGGATTGGTTAAAGAGTGGGAAAAAAGCCCAGCTCCCCTGCCATAATTTTAGGACAACTCTGAGAGCCCACCATGGCTCCACAGAGCCCTGAACGATCAACTGAGGCACAGTTGCACCTACCTTTCATTTTTCTTCCCCAAATCAGTCCTTCCGTTCTCACCTTCTTAATGGTGTATCTTCCCAAAGCATTCCTCAATAAATCTTCTGCTTGTAACCCTCCATCTCAGAGGCTATTTCCAGGAAGCCCAAGCTAAATTAATTCACAAGAGATTCTCAGGTGTCTTCAGCCACCAGGGCTGGGAAGCAGAACCAGAGCAACAAGACCAGCTGTTCTCCATCCCTCATTACTCCTCTGCCTCTCTGCGTGAGTGCTTCCTGACAAGTCCAGCTTTCATGGCCTCTGGCAGCCCTGATGGCATCTTAAGACTTCTTTTCCTTTTTTTTTTTTTTTTTTTTTTTTTTTTTTTTTTTTGAGATGGAGTTTTGCTCTGTTGCCCAGGCTGGAGTGCACTGGCATGATCTTGGCTCACTACAACCTCCCCCTCCCGGGTTCAAGCAATTCTGCCTCGGCCTCCCGAGTAGCTGGGACTACAGGTGCATGCCACCACACCTGGCTAATTTTTGTATTTTTAATAGAGACGGGGTTTCACCATGTTGGTCAGGCTGGCCTCGAACTCCTGACCTCAAGTGATCCACCCTCCTCAGCTTCCCAAAGTGCTGGGATTACAGGTGTGAGCCACCGTGCCTGGCCAAGGCTTTTCAATGTTATCTTCCATTGCTAATTCCCTCCTTCTCTGGGGATTTCTGAACTGGTTTCTGCAAGAGAGTGTCTCATGGGCTTAGTTCATCTTTTCAAGTCAAGCCACCTTGCAGGTTGCCAGTGATCCTGTAGATTGGGTGACTTTGGGTCAGCAGTTTATCTCTGGGCCAATCAGCAGTAGCTGTGGGGTATAAGGAGTCGGGAAGAGGTTCGTGGCCCTAGGGTTTCCCCTTCAGCAGGGTGAGTGGTGGAGGAGGTGTTGCAAGGACTCTAGCATATTATAGGTGCTTTCAGAGCACCCAGGTGAAAGGAAAGGAAGTAATGAGAACACCATGTCAGGCACAGCAGGGAGGCAGGGCTGCTGCCCTATGTTTTTTGTTTTGTTTTGTTATTTATTTATTTAAGACAGAGTTTTGCTCTGTCCCCCAGGCTGGGGTGTGGTGGCATGATCTCGGCTCACTGCAATCTCTGCCTCCTGGGTTCAAGTGATCCTCCTGCCTCAGCCTCCTCAGTAGCTAGGACTACAGGCGTGCACCACCACTCCCACCTAATTTTTATTTTTATTTTTAGTAGAGGCAGAGTTTCACCATGTTGGCCAAGCTGGTCTTGAACTCCTGGTCTCAAGTGACCCGCCCGCCTTGTCCTTCCAAAGTGTTGGGATTACAGGTGTGAACCACCGCACCTGGCCCCTATGTTCTTAATTAAGGAGAAAGCAGGCTTGATTTGGAATGAAGCGTTCAAGGAGGCGGAGGAAGGAGTGGGTATGTGCGGAATGAAACCACGTGGGGCGGCCCTGCCCAGTTTAAAACGAACTTGAACTCCAGGTATTACAGAAGAAGGACCATGGGAAGGAAGGAGCAGAGAGATCAGAACCGACCACAGTGGAGAGGCGAGAGCCAGTCCGCAGCCAGATGTCACCAGACTTGCTTTAGTTAGGTATTGTTCTCTACTGCATACGGTGGGCTCTGCAGGGAGTTGCTGCTTGCCCGCGGGGCAGGTGCTCCCAGACCACGTGCCAGGGCTTAGTCACGGCAGCTTTTGTGCTCCGCCGCATTGAGTGTTTTCTTCCATCTCCCCGTGCCCACTTACAACAGTCACCGGGTCTTAAACGTCCCCACAGCCTCGTTTCCTCCTTGTTCTGTCTGAGGGAGGCATGATACATCCTCACACCCCCTCACAGTTCTGTTTTTGCATGGCTTGGATCTTCCCACGCCCCGTCTGAGGTGGGCCCAGAGGCGTTGTCTGCTATTTAGGATACTGTCCAAAACAGTAGCCACTAACCTCATGTGGCAATTTAAATTTAATGACACTGGCCAGGAGCGGTGGCTCATGCCTGTAATCCCAGCACTTTGGGAGGCCGAGGTGGGTGGATCGCTTGAGGTCAGGAGTTTGAGACCAGCCTGGCCAACATGGTGAAACCCCGTCTCTACTAAAAATACAAAAATTAACGAGGCGTGGTGGCCTACACCTGTAGTCCCAGCTACTCAGGAGACTTGCAAGGCTGAGTCAGGAAAGTCGCTTGAACCCGGCAGGCGGAGGTTGCAGTGAGCCAAGATTGGGCCACTGCACTCCAGCCTGGGCAACACAGCGAGACTCTGTCTCAAATAAATAAATAAATTTAATTACACAAAAGAAAATTAAAAATTCTGTTCCTCGGTCACAGGAGCCGCATTTTAAGTGTGTAGTGGCTATGTGTGGCTAGTGGCTACCATATTGGATATCACAGATACAGAACATTTTCGTCATCTAGAAAGTTCTGTCGGACAGTGCTGCCTCAGAACTCAAACTTCGAGTGTGGGTCTGTCTTGTTCTTTCTGGTGGCCCCAAGCCCTGCCACCTTGCTGAGCACATCGCACGTGTTGAATAAACAGCTGTGGAAGGAATGAACCAATGAATGGATCTCCATTTACAGAGGAGGAAAACGTGATTAGGAGAGGTTAAGTTAATTCTGTGGGTGTCACAAATATGTTGGCAGAACTAGGGCTCCAACTCAAGCCTCCACCTCCACACCCAGGCCTTGTTTAGCCCCTCTCTGCAGCTGCCTTGATTTGCCACCAACCTCTGACAGGAGGAAATGGTTCTCACCTGTCACCACAGCAAGCTCCTGCTGGCTGATTGGAAAACCACTTTACAAAATGACTTATAATTTCCCCTGTCCCCCAAGGTAAAAGGGATATAAAACGTGTAAAATGCAGAAAATTAGAAAAGGAAAAGTCATTCATTCCTCCAACACTCAAACCAGCTCAGTTAACATTTTGGTATGTTTCTTCACAATCACTTTGCAATACTGAGGCTTTTCCCACAAGTTTGTGTCATTTGCTTTTGAAAAATTGATTTTCTAGGGCCAGGCATGGTGGCTCATGCCTGTAATCCCAGCACTTTGGAGGCCGAGGTGGATGGATCACCTGATGTGGAGAGTTTGAGACCAGCCTGCCCAACATGGCGAAACCCTGTCTCTACTAAAAATGCAAAAATTAGCCGGGCATGGTAGTGCACGTCTGTAGTACCAGCTACTTGGGAGGCTGAGGCACGAGAATCACTTGAACCCAGGAGGCAGAGGTTACAGTGAGCTGAGTTTGCGCCACTGCACTCCAGCCTGGGTGACAGAATGAGACTCTGTCAAAAAAAAAAAAAAAAAAGAAATAGATTTTCTAGTAAGTTACTTAGGCCAGATACTTTCTGCTTTCTTCTCCCAGTTTCATCCTGTTGCTTCTGGGCCCATTTCTCTTTTTCTTTTTTTTTTTTTGAAACAAGGTATTGTTTTGTTACCCAGGCTGAAGTGCAGTGGCACAAACACAGCTCATTGTAGCCTTGACCTCCCGGGCTCCAGTGATCCTCCTGCCTCAGCCTCCTGAGTAGGTGGGACTACAGGTGCACACCACCATGCCCAGATAATTTTTGTATTTTGTGTAGAGACGGGGTTTCACCATGTTGGCCAGGCTGGTCTCAAACTCCTAGGCTCAAGCAACCTGCCTGCGTCGGCCTCCCAAAGTGCTGGGTTTATACGTGTGAGCCACTGCACTGGCCATTTCTGTCTTTAGATATCAGCATAGTCCAGAATTCATGGATATTTTTTCCATATCATGTGCTACACATAATATGGAAGAAGTAAAGGCCATGCTATGGTCTGAATGTTTGTGTCCTTCCAAAATTCATGTTGAAACCTACCCTCCAATGTGATGGCATTAGGAAGTGGGGGCCTTTGGGGGTGATTAAATCATGGGGTTGGAGTCCTCATTAATAGGATTAGTGCCCATTAAGGGGCTAGAGACCAGAATTATTCCCTTCCACCATGTGAGGACACAGTGAAAAGGTGGCCAACTATGAGGGCCTCCCCAGACACTGAATCTGCCAGCACCTTGATCTTGGACTTCCCAGCCTCCAGAACTGTGAAACATACATTTCTGTTGTTTATAAGCCACCCAGTTTATGGTATGTTGTTATAGGAGTCCAGATGGACTAAGACAGGCAGGGACTGATAGGGTATTATAACTAGGTGATTAGGGTGGAATATTTCATACCTGCCTATGAAGGGAGGCCAGCCACAGGCTCCGCGCTTACAGAGATGAAAGTGAGTTGCCTGCCTAAAAAAGCTAGGAGTCGGCCAGGCATGGTGGCTCACATCTGTAATCCTAGCACTTTGGAAGGCCAAGGCAGGTGGATCACCTGAGGTCAGGAGTTCGAGATCAGCCTGACCAACATGATGAAACCCCGTCTCTACTAAAAATACAAAAATTAACCAGGCGTGGTGGCAGGCACCTGTAATCTCAGCTACTTGGGAGGCTGAGGCAGGAGAATTGCTTGAACCCAGGAGGTGGTGGTTGCAGTGAGCTGGGATTGCGCCATTGCACTCCAGCCTGGGAGATAAGAGTGAAACTCTGTCTCAAAAAAAAAAAAAAAAAAAGCTCGGAGTCACAAAGGGCTGCTTCCCCGTGGAAGCAGGACCAGAAAAACTCTACCTCTTTGCTCTAGGCCATGTGCAGATATGGGGTCTGAGTGCATATCTGTGTGGTATGAGAATTCCAAGTGGAGAAAATAACGGAAAGGCTTGTCCAGAACTAGTAAATCTGGGGGACTTAAGAGTCTATGAAATCACGGACTCTCAGAAATCTGATGAAGATGAGCTTGAAATGTACTTACAAACCCACAAGGAAATAAGCCACACATAGTCAGCAGCTGCAACAAACAGTAGACTTTGCACCCTACAAACCAAAGATAATATGACAGACTGAAACTTTGAAACAAGCAGGGTTAATTTTTTTTTTTTTTGAGATGGTCTCGCTCTGTTGCCCAGGCTGGAGTGCAGTGGTGAGATCTCAGCTCACTACAACCTCCACCTCCCGGGTTCAAGTGATTCTCCTGCCTCAGCCTCCTGAGTAGCTGGGATTACAGGCACATGACACCATACCCAGCTAGTTTTTTTGTATTTTCAGTAGAGACGGGGTTTCACCATGTTGGCCAGGCTGGTCTCAAACTCCTGACCTCCAGTGATCCACCTGCCTCAGCCTCCTAAAGTGCTGGGATTACAGGCATGAGCCACCATGCCCAGCCAGAGTTAATATATTTTTGAAGATTTTCCAGGCATGGTGGCACACACTTGTAGTCCCAGCTACTCGGGAGGCTAAGGTGGGAGGATTGCTTGAGCACAGGAAGTTGAGGCTGCAGTGAGCTGTGATCGGGTTCCTCCAGTGTGGGTGACAGCAGTGAGATGCTGTCTTAAAAAGGTTTTTTTTTGTCTGGGCACAGTGGCTCATGCCTGTCATCCCAGCACTTTGGGAAGCTGAGGTAGGCGGGTCACTTGAGGCCAGGAGTTCAAGACCAGCCTGGCCAACATGGTGAAACCCCGTCTCCACTAAAAATACAAAAAAAAATTAGCCGAGCGTGGTGACATACACCTGTAATCCCAGCTACCTGGGAGGCTGAAACATGAGAATTGCTTGAACCTTGGTGGTGGTGATTGTAGTGAGCCACGATGACGCTACTGCACTCCAGCTTGGGCGACAGAACAAGACTCAAGTGTCAAAAACAAACAAACAAACAAACAAAATTTAAGAGATAAGGGAACAGGTGCCTTCAGCCTTAAGGCAAGAGCAGAGCAGTATGAGAAAAGAATAGGCAGGTTTGAAAAACATCTACATAGAAATTTTAGGGAAGAAATAATACAGTGATTAAAATAAAGGGAACTTGTGGATTCAGAGAAGTGAGAAAAAAATGGGCATGGCTTTTTAGGGGATATTTCTGTGAATGATAACTTTTCCTGTGAACCAGGCACTGATTCAGGCATTTCAAATATGTATTAACTTGTTTCATCTTCATGAGCTAATGAAGTGGGTGACAATGCTCCTTACTAGGGAGGCAGGGAACATTCTAATGCACCTGTGGAGTGGCCATCCCCAGGACAGTCAAGGAATAATAATAAAATGTATATATTATTATGTATAAAATAAAACACTGAAAATGGATTATCTCATTTAATCCTTGTTTAATAATTTCATTAATCCTCATAACAAACCCTCAAGGAAGGTGTCTTTAACTCCTCCATTTTGCGGATGAGGAAAGTTCCTTAATGTTTACACAATCACCAAGCAGTTCAGTTGGGATTTAAATAAGGGCAAGTTGAATTCACGGTCCAAGCTCTTAACGATGATGTTAAGGAACCAGTGATTATTCATTTTGACTTGAATTTCATGCATTGCATATTACCAAATAGGTAATACAGTCACTGATTCAAGAGGTTCCAAAGGGCATATAGTAAGCCATCTCACTTCTGCCACTGTCTTTGCCTCTAGACGCAACCTGTGTTCCCAGTTTCTTGTGTAACCTTCCAGTTATGTTATGCCTACAGACGCAAGTGTCCATATACATCTGTCTACATAGATGGATATTCTTTTCTCCCTTTTTACATAATTGAAAGCTTCCATATACCTTGTTCTGTGTCTGCTGTTTTTGTTTGTTTGTTTGTTTGTTTTTGAGGTGGAGTGTCATTCTGTTGCCCAGGCTGGAGTGCAGTGGCATGATCTCACTCAGCTCACAGCAACCT
This sequence comes from Homo sapiens, assembly GCF_000001405.40. NCBI lineage: Eukaryota > Metazoa > Chordata > Mammalia > Primates > Hominidae > Homo > Homo sapiens. The sequence goes on from NC_000009.12 coordinate 109,361,274, forward strand.
CTGCCTCCCAGGTTTGAGCCATTCTCCTGCCTCAGCTTCCCGAGTAGCTGGGATTACAGATGCCCACTACCATGCCCAGCTAATTTTTGTATTTTTAGCAGAGACGACGGGGTTTCACCATGTTGGCCAGGCTGATCTCGAACTCCTGACCTCAAGTGATCCACCCGCCTTGGCCTCCCAAAGTGCTGAGATTACAGCCGTCAGCCACCGCACCCAGCCTGTTTTGCTGTTTTTGTTTAGCACTCTAGCTTGGAGAGCATTATGTTAGTAAATAATGATAAAGATAATGTGAAATATTTACTATTACCGGCGGGGCGTAGTGGCTAACATCTATAATCCTAGCCCTTTGAGAGGCTGAGGTGGGAGGATGGCTTGAAGCCAAGAGTTTGAGACCAGCCTAGGTAACAAAGCAAGATCCCCCTCCTTGTCCCCACACCCCATCTCTACAAAAAATTTTTTTAAGAATTAACCTATTGGCTGGGCGCAGTGGCTCATGCTTGTAATCCCAGCACTTTGGGAGGCTGAAGTGGGCAGATCACCAGGTTAGGAGTTGGAGACGAGCCTGGCCAACATGGTGAAACCCCGTCTCTACTAAAAATACAAAAATTAGCCTGGTGTGGTAGCAGGTGTCTGTAATCCCAGGTACTCAGGAGGCTGAGGCAGGAGAATGGCTTGAACCCAGGAGGCAGAGGTTGCAATGAGCCGAGATCACACCACTGCACTCCAGCCTGGGTGACAGAGCGAGACTCCGTCTCAAAAAACAAAACAAAACAAAACAAAACAAAACAAAACAAAACAAAACAAAATAACAGGAGAATTAGCCCATCATGGTAGCATGTGCCTGTAGTCCCAGCTACTTCAAGGAGGACTGCTTTTGCCCAGGAGGCTGAGGCTGCAGTGAGCCGTGATTGTGCCACTACACTCCAAACTTATCTTTAAAAAAAGAACATTTACTGTTACTAATACTAATAAATAATTGGTGGGCCATGGTGACTCACGCCTGTAATCCCAGCACTTTGGGAGGCCGAGGCGGGTGGATCACCTGAGGTCAGGAGTTTGTGACCAGCCTGGCCAACATGGTGAAATCCTGTCTCTACTAAAAATACAAAAATTAGGCGGGTGTGGATGGCACATACCTGTAGTCCCAGCTACTCGGGAGGCTGAGGCAAGAGAATCGCTTGAACCTGGGAAGTGGAGGTTGCAGTGAGCCGAGATTGTGCCGTTGCAATCCAGCCTGGGCAACAGAGCGAGACTCTATCTCAAAAAAAAATTAATATAGAATGATAAAGTAATAAAAAGTGTCTCGTTCTTGTCTATGACTGCAGAATATTCCAGTGTACGTCTAAATCATGTTATTGAAGTAGACCTCTCTGAGGGGCATTTGTGTTGTTTCCAACCTTCTGCCATTACAGTGCTGCAGTGAATAACTGGATGTGTGGTCTACTTCACACAGGTGAGGACTATATGTTCCTGATGGTTGAATTGCTGGGTCAAAGTAATGTGCATTTGTGATGTTTAAAAGAATTTTTTTCTTCTTATAAAAAAACACATGGTAATAGTGGAAAAACCCTAAGATCCCCTGTAATTCATAGACCTAGAGACACTCATTGTGAATATATTGGTGTAGTCTGAGCCTTTTTTTTGTATACACGTACACATACACATCTTGGACATCACACTGTTTACCTAGTTTTTAAAAATCCAGTCTTTTACCCTGAATAATATGCCATAGCCACTTTTCATGTTATTTTAATATTATTTACAAGTGGCATTTTCATGATTGCATAATATTCCATATGACCATACCATAATTTTTACCCACATCTTAAATATTAGATACTTAAGTTTCTAATATTGCTGTGTGTTAGACACCTCAGCAATGAATATTGCTTTACAGAAATCATCGTCCCAATTTCTGTTTTATTTCCTGGTCATTTTGTATTCTAGTCATTAGAATCAGTGACTGGAAGTTTTTTGTAGTCCTGTTTTATTCTAGTCTTTAGAACCAATGACCAGAAGTTGGGTTACAGAATATAAATATTTTTGAAGTTCTTTTTTTTTTTTTGAGACAGAGTTCACTCTTGTCACCCAGGCTGGAGTACAATGACACGATCTCGGCTCACTGCAACCTCGGCCTCCCGGGTTCAAGTGATTCTCCTGCCTCAGCCTCCTGAGTAGCAGGGATTACAGATGTGCTACCATGCCCAGCTAGTTTTTGTATTTTTAGTAGAGACGGGGTTCACCATGTTGGCCAAGATATTCTCAATCTCCTGCCTTATGATCTGCCTGTCTCAGCCTCCCAAAGTGCTGGGATTACAGGTGTGAGCCACTGCACCCAGCTGGAAGTTCTTAATATGTTCTATTAAATTGCCCCCCTAGAAAGTTTCTCCAATCTTTCATCTCACCACTTCCTTACCAACATTGAGTCTTGTAGGAAATTCAGCAAAAGGTGCCATCTATTGCTGTCTTCTTCTGATTATATATGTAATGCTTGTTTATTATTAAAAAATTAGAAAAGAGCAAAACTTAAAAAAACAAATCTCACCCATAAGCTCATGATCTTGGTCTAATTACTATTAAAACGTTGTTGATTTTCCAGGATTTTCTATATTTAAATATTTTTCACAAAATGATCACTACATATGCTTCAAAAACATGACTTTTAGTTTTTGCCAAGTTTAAACTAAAAAAAACACACACATTTTTTATTTTGTCATATTTGTTCCAAATACTTTTCTCAGTTTCTTGACTGCTTTTTTATTCTGTTTCTGGTGTTCTGAATTTTTGTATGGTCAGATCTAGAAATATTTTTATTTTTTCTCCCCCATGGCTCTTAAATACTTCTTGCCATGAGGATGGGGCATTAAATCATGTAAAAAAGGAAGATTGGTAGTGTAAGGGAAAGAGTACTAGCCTATATTCATTCAAAAAGCATGTATTAATGTCTACTTAACACTGTGTGTGTGTCTGTGTAGGGACACAGAGATGGACAGTGTATGATTCTCTCCAGGAAACAGGGCTCCAGTTGAGAAAGGAGCAGACAAGGAAGGCTTCCTGGAGGAGAGGGCATTTGAGCTGGACCTGGGCAACTGGGAAGGCATGGGGCATGTGGGTATGAGGAAAGGAGAAGACAGAGCTGAGGGAATTGCTGAGGACAGAAGTTGTCATATTCCTGGCCGGACACAGTGGCTCAGTGCCTATAATCCCAGCAATTTGGGAGGCCAAGGCAGGAGGATCACTTAAGCCCAGGAGTTCAAGACCAGCCTGGGCAACAGAGTGAGACCCCCGTCTCTATTTTTAAAAAACACAATAAAATAAGTTATTGTCACATTCCTGTCAGAGGGAGCAAGAAGGCACTGTGTGTGCACTGGGCAAAAAAAACTTAAAGTGATTGGCTTGTGGAAAGAGAGTTGTGTTCAAACAAGTCATCTTCACATGAAGGTTTGGAATTCCAAATTGACTTTGTCCACACCATATGTGCAATATTAACTAGAATACCTTGGGGATGGTGACATCGTAAACCAAAGTGGAAATAGAATGATGGGTTTCCTCTCCTTCTTGAAGGCTGCTCCTTGAAGTAATACAGTTTGGTTTTTGTTTTGTCTTTTCTTCTTTCTTATCCTCAATTTCTATGGAGTAATACAGTTGTAATTCAAATAACATGAGGCAGGGACTAGGTAACTCTTGCAACTTTGAAGGCGGCCTCTGGACACTCTTCAGGGGCTTGTGGAAGAAGCCAGTTTGTCAAGTGTTTGGGTCAGTGATGGGCTGATTTTAGGGCCAGCCAAAATATCAGGGCCTTTTAGAGCTTAGTCTACCCCGATGGACCCCTCCTTTCTCTGGGGAGCTGTTCCTTTCTGCTGCTCTTGAGTTCTGTTGGGGTGGTCAACACTAATTGGCCTTCGGGGTGAGCAAATACCCTGAGGTGGGCCAATCAGACAGCTCTGCTAAGCAGGGCTGAATTGGAATGGAGGGAATGTTCTCTTTCCTTTTTGGCTTTGGAGCTGTGAGGAAGAGCCACCTACCAGGCTATTTGAAGACATCCAAGATAATGAAGTCTGAGAGAAACAGAATTAAAAGGAGCCAAGAATCCAACTCTTCCATCAAGCCACCCTACTTCCTGAAACCTTCCCTCCATTCTGGCACCTCCCTCGTGTCTTGCCCAGGAGTCACCCTTTTTGGCTTAAGCTAGTCTGAGTTGGGTTATTGTCACTTGCAATCAAAAGAATCCTGTCTGACACAAGGAGGAGTGAAAGGCTCTGACTCTTACATCTAATTTCACTGCCAAGGTTAATGTTTCTTCCTTCTTCCATATATATGTATCTGTAGCAATGTTCTAGCCTTTAAAAAATTTACAAATGACACATGTTCATTACAGAAACAGACTATACCAGTTAGCAAAAAGAAGAAAAAGAAATTCACCTATAACCCTATAAGTAGAGATAACCATTCTTTATTTGTTTGTATTTATTTATTTTTTGAGATGGAGTTTTGCTCTGTCACTCACGCTGGGGTGCAGTAGCACAATCTCGGTTCACTGCTCTGCCTCCCGGGTTCAAGCAATTCTCCTGCCTCAGCCTCCTGAGTAGCTGGGAATACAGGCACACACCACCATGCCCAGCTAGTTTTTGTATTTTTAGTGGAGACAGGGTTTCACCATGTTGGTCAGGCTGGTCATGAACTCCTGACCTCAGGCGATCCACCCAGCCTCCCAAGTTTTTTTTTTTGTTTGTTTGTTTGTTTTTTGAGATGGGGTCTCACCCTGTGGCCCAGGCTGGAGTGCAGTGGTGCAATCTTGGCTCACTGCAACTTCTGTCTCCCGGGTTCAAGGGCTTCTCCTGCCTCAGCCTCCCGAGTAGCTGGGATTACAGGTGCCCGCCACCATGCCCAACTAATTTTTGTATTTTTAGTAGAGACAGGGTTTCACCATGTTGGCCAGGCTGATCTCAAACTCCTGACCTCAGGTGATCCATCCACCTCGGCCTCCCAAAATGCTGGGATTACAGCCGTGAGCCACAGCACCCAGCCAAGTTTGGGTTTTTTTAGAGACAGGGTCTTACTATGTTGCCCAGGCTGGTCTTGAACTCCTGGGCTCAAGCAATCCTCTGGCCTCAGCTTCCCAAAGTGCTGGGATTACAGGTGTAAACAACCACACCCAGACTAGACAGCCATTCTTTTTTTTCCAGACAGGGTCTGGCTCTGTTGCCCAGGCTGGAGTATAGCGGCAAGATCTCGGCTCACTGCAACCTCTGCCTCCCAGGCTCAAACCATCCTCCACCTCAGCCTCCCAAATAGCTGTGAATACAGGCGTGCACCACCATGCCTGGCTAATTTTTGTATTTTTGGTAAAGACAAGGTTTTGCCATGTTGCCCAGGCTGGTCTTGAACTCCTGGCCTCAAGCTATCCGCCTGCCTCGGCCTCCCAAAGTTCTGAGATTACAGGCGTGCAAGAACCATTCTTAACACGTTGGTGGTTCTCCACTTTTGCTATTATCTGTCTATCTATCTATCATGTCAATCTATGCACTATCTTTGATTTATTTGTCACTGATCTATTATCATCTATTTATCTAAAACAGTAATAGATAACAGAGCACTTATGCACCACGAATGGTCTAATTTGCCACATAACAACTCAATTTTCATGCCAACCCTATGAGATAGGTGACATTATTATCCTCAGTCTATAGATGAGAAAACTGAAACTCCGAAGGGTTAAAGAAAACAGGCCAGAGAGTTTAGGTAGCTTACCAGGACATACAACTGGTAAATGGTGAGAAGCTGGAACTTGAATCTAGATTGTTTGGCTCCATAATATCTATTCTTAGCCCCCACACTATACTGACTTTAGCTAAAGTTCGAATCCAAGCCAAGTGTGGTGGCTCGGACTTTTAATCCCAGGGAGGTCAAGGGAGGATCACTTGAGCCCAGGAGTCTGAGACCGGCCTGGGCAACATAGCAAGACTCCATCTTTACACAACATTTAAAAATTATCTGGACATGGCAACTGACACCTGTAGTCCCAGCTACTCGGGAGGTTGAGGTGGGAGGATCGTTTGAGCCCAGGATTTCAAGGCCGCGGTGAGCCATGATGAGCACCACTGCATTCCAGCCTGCGTGACAGAGTGAGATTCTATTTCAAAAAAAAGTTTGAATTACATCGTGATACCATTTTGTAACTTGTGTTTCTTACTTATCAAAATATCATGGCTACTTTCTTTTTTTTTTTTTTTTTGAGATGCAGTCTCACTCTGTCACCAGGCTGGAGTGCAGTGGTACGATCTTGGCTCACTGCAACCTCCACCTCCTGGGTTCAAGCGATTCTCCTGCCTTAGCCTCCTGAGTAGCTGAGACAACAGGCATGTGCCTCCCACACCCAGCTAATTTTTGTATTTTTAGTAGAGACAGGGTTTCACCATGTTGACCAGGATAATCTCAATCTCTTGACCTCGTGATCCGCCCGCCTCGGCCTTCCAAAGTGCTGGGATTATGGTTGTGAGCCACTGCATCTGGCCATCATGGCTACTTTCTGTGTATAGACACCTACAGTTCCCAAATCCACTTTCAGAGTTGCGTGGTGTCTCATAACAAAGATACCTCAATGTTTACTGAACCACATTCAGACTAATGAGCACTGAGATTGTTTCAAAATTTTCACTATTATAAAGATAACTTGCTGTAAAAATCATATTAAAAACTGTCTTTATATCATAAAACAAATCCCTTAAGTTATTCTCTTAGGTCAAATTCCCAGAGGTGAAATTACTGGGTTAGTGGTTTCCCATATGTTATGGGGCTTTGATGTCTGCAAACAAACTGCCACTCAGAACAACTTAAGCTCTTCCTCCTGGGGCTGATGAGGCTGTTTTTAATTTTTTTCCTTCTATTGTTTAAAGTTGAGATTTAATTTACATAACATAGAAGTCACTATTCACAGTGTGAAATTCACTGGTTTTTAGTGTATTCACAACATTGTACCACCATCAGCACCCTCTAATTCCAGAATATTTTCATCACTCCAAAAAGAAACCCATCAGCATTCACTTCCCATTCCTCTTCCTTCCAGCCCCTGGCAACCACTGATCCACTTTTGGTCTCTATGGAATTGCCTATTCTGGGCATTTCTTACAAATGGAATTATATAATATGGGGCCTTTTGTGTCTGGTTTCTTCTGCTCGGCATAATGTTTTCAAAGTCATCTATGTTCTACCATGTGTCAGCACTTCACTCCTTTTTATGGCCAAATACTATTCCACTGTGCACATACACCACTTTTTGTTTGTTTGTTTGAGACAGGGTCTCACTCTTGTGCCTAGGCTGGAGTGCACTGGCACAATCATGGTTCACTGCAGTCTCGACCTCCTGGGTTCAAGTGATCCTCCCACCTCAGCCTCTGGAGTAGCTGGGACCATAGGAGCACACCACCATGCCTGGATAAATTTTTTTTTTTTTGTATTTTTTTGTAGAGACAGGGTTTGGCCATGTTGCCCCGGCTGATCTTGAACTCCTAGGCTCAAATGATCCGTCCACGTCGGCCTCCCAAAATGCTGGGATTACAGGTGTGAACCACTGCACCTGGCCAACTATGTTTTGTTTATTGATTCATTAGCTGATGGACATTGTAGTTGTATCTATTTTTTGGCCATTATGAAGAATGCTGCTATGAATATCTTTTTCAGTTTTTGATGGTATGAAGAAAAGGGAGAGGAGAGCTTTCCTGAAATGAATGAGGTAGATTTGAAAAGATGAAGATTAAAAAAAAAATTGTCAGAGAGGATTTGCCTGAGGCCAATTTACTTAAATAGGAAAACAGAAAAGTAAAAGAGGTTTGCAGGGAGGTGTCTAGAAGGAAAATATCAGCTCTTTGGCCCCTTGCGCTCTTGCGCTTTCAGACAATTCTATACAAGGCAAAAATAGAATTCCTACAAACTCTTTGTAATTGAGGACAATCTGGATTTGGTGCAAGAAATGGACCACGGTAGGGGCTGTAACTTTAATCATTATTTTAGAAAGTATATTTCTAGGCTTTTCTCAGTTGTTGGTTTCAAGTGACTGAGTTTTGATGGAGGTTTATAAATAGCATCTCTTTTGTTTAGAAACTGGACTTACTGGCCTTGATCACAATCAAGCACGTTCTCCCTCACACACCTTCCCTGTTTGCCGGGTAGGTCTCTTACTGCAACCAAAACCCTACCCCTGACCTCAGTGAAATCTCAGTTTCTCAGTGGAGCCCCAGAGGCCTAGGGCAGAGTGACTCACACTCTGGACAGAGTCCAGACAGCACCTGCCTGGTGGGCAATGCCCTCTCACACCAGGGAGTTCTATTGTATTTTTTCTTTTGCTGTGTTATGTATAATTTAAAATATCTAATTTTACTTCTCTCCTCCTTTTTCTTTTATTGTGTTATAGGGAATGCTGATAGTTATCACACACAATTTAGCTCATAGAGTACAGGAAAATGAGATAGGCTCATGACCAAATAGAAAAAAAATTGAGATCTGGGATTTGCCCCTAGTTGAAGTTGAGGAGTGTTCTGTTTGGCCGCTTTTGCGGAAGGGTGAGCATTTTCACTTACATGAGGGATGGTCATTATTTGCCAGGTGCTGTTATATTTTACAAGTATGAGGAGAATATTGAGAGTGAAAGGGGTGGACTATAGCGGACATTTGTTTTGATCATCCAGCTTCTCATTTGGAGACATCTCCACCGTGTAAGGCAGAAATCAATTCCCACATCTCAAATTACAGAGGCGGAAAATGCCAAATTCTTGCATTTTCAGCCTCCCTTGCAGCTAGGCATGGGCACATGAGCTAGGCTCTGCCAGAGATCATCTCTATTTTTTTTTATTAAACAGAGATGAGGACTTGCTATGTTGCCCAGACTGGTCTTGAATTCCTGGCCTTAAGTGATTCTCCTGCCTCAGTCTCCCACCTCCCTCCCAAAGGGATTACAGGGCATGAGCCACTGCATCCAGCCTGCCCCCAACTCTTAATCAGAATTCAGAGAAGCCAAGAAGCATGAACAATGTAGATTAGTTACAGTGAGGGTGGTAGTTGCAGGGCCCCATCTAGTCAGGGTCCAGGGTAGGGTGGGCCTCAGTGGTGTCAACAGTTCACGCCGTGCTCTGTGCTTAGGGGTAGGGGGGTTCTCAGGGACCAGGTCTGAGATGGGATTTTGACATTGTTACTGGCCACACCAGTTTATTTTTTATTTTCATTTTTGTTCTTTTGCCACACCACTTTAGAAGCACCACCATTTCTCCCTGGGGTATGAAGCTGGGAGAGGGGAGGGGAGAGAGAATTCCTCCCTTTACTCACAATTGTCTACTTGGCATTAAATGAAAAGATGCAAGTTAAAGCCTCCAAGGCATGAGGCTTATTTGCAACAAGTATTCCATCAGAATCTTGGGCTGACTGTTGGGTGGTAAAAGGGGCAGTATGAAGGTCAACAGATGGGAAGGGGATGGAGTTCCAGCTGGAGCAGGTTTCAGGTTAGGCCAGAAAGCCATCAGTTGTGATGCGATACCTGCGGAGCTCCAGGGCAGTGCAGAATTTGGCACAGTGGTTCTTGTGGTCTATGTGAGGAAGCATGGTCAGTACTGCTACCTTGCATAGCTCCGGGGGGCCTCCTTTACATTGCCGTCTATGGAGGAACAGAGATGGTAAAAACATAAGGTTGTCCATGGAGCCACCTGGCTGAGTGATGGGCTGCATGACTCAGAAACTGGGTTGGGGTGGTGGCTGGAAGATGGCGTGTTTCCCCACACCCCTGAGAGGAAGGAAGAGGGTTGCTTATCCATGTTGGAGAGGGCCAGGGTAAAGCTGAACCCTACTAAAGGAAAGCACACAATGCCTGCGCCAAGACCACCACGCAGCAGAGGACCACACAGGACGAGGCTGGGGACCCCACATGAGCAGTCCTCCCCTCCTCACCTGTCTTGTTGTGGGGCTCTGGGGGACAACAAGGCCTCTGAGAGAGAGGACTTGGACTTCTGTTTAGAATTATGATAAAATATGACTTCGACTACACTATGCACTGAATTATGTCAGCTCCCAAATTCATATGCTGAAGCCCTGACCCCCATGGGGTGGTATTTGGAGAAGCCTTTGGAGGTAGGTTAGGTGAGGCCAGGAGGATGGGGCTCTCATGATGGAATTAGTGTCCTTACAAAGACAGGAAGAGATGCAGGCTCCCTGTTGTCACCATTTGAGGACACAGCAGGAAGATGGCCATTTGCCTTCTAGGAAGAGAGTCCTGGCCAGGAAACAAATTTGCTGGCATCTTGACTTTGGACTCCCTGCCTCCAGAACTGTGGGAAATAAATATCTATTGCTTAAGCCACCTAGTTTATGGTTTTGTTATAGAAGCCTGAGCAGATTAAGACAACTGCATGCTTATTCCCAGAGAGGCAATTTTAATAACTGGATTTGATTACAGAATCATTTGAATAGGGCCAAGTGCAATGGTTCACGCCTGTAATTCCAGCACTTTGGGAGGTCGAGGCAGGAGGATTGCTTGAAGCCAGGAGTTGGAGACCAGCCTGGACAACAAAGCACAATTCCATCTCTCTCTTTTTTTTTTTTTAATAAAAAAAGAAATCATTTGAATGGATTAAAATGTAAATAGGAATGGCACAAAAGAAAAGGCATTTACCGTGGCTGATTGAAGTGCTCAGGACTCAGAAATGTCTGCATCATTTTGAGAATAAAGGTTTGTGTTCAGACATAGCTGCCTGAGACTCTTCAGACTGGTTACACATGTCCCCAGTGTTAGAGGCCCAAAGAACAATCTCACCATTGTCCCATTTCTAATTCTTGTTGGTAGCACCAACATCCACACAGTTGCCCAACTTATGAAATGGCCTCATCCCCTGTTTCTCCCTCTGCACACCTGCCAGGTCTCAACTCATTACTTTTCTTTTTAATCATGTCTGGGTTGTGATCACTTCACCTCCATCCTCACTGCCACCATCTCTCCTGAGAACTCTGCTGCTGCATCCCAACAAGTCTTACCTGGTTCTTCCTCTGGTTTGGGTAATCATGTTGAAAGTCCTGGGGCAGCCTCAAGGAAAATTCCGGAGACTTCCTGGATCCTAAAAGGAATCCAGAGGCTTAGAGACTAACCACCAAAGGTTACAAGGGCAGTCACAGATGAGGACTGGCCTGTATAATTAGGGGGTAGGGTTCTGGGATTTCTAGAAGTTTGTTATCTGTCCATTCTTACTCAAGCGGTTCACGTACATAATGGATGGGTGCTGATCCTGTCAAAAGCTATCAGTGCTATACTTCAAGACGGTGGGTCACAGCCAGGCATGGTGACTCACACCTGCAGTCCCAGCACTTTGGGAGGCTGAGGTGGGCAGATCACCCGAGGTCGGGAATTCAAGACCAGCCTGGCCAACATGGTGAAACCCTGTCTCTACTAAAAATACAAAAATTAGCAGGGTGTGGTGGTGCACGCCTGTAATCCCAGCTACCCCGGGGGTTGAGGCACGAGAATCACTTGAAACCGGGAGGTAGAGGTTGCAGTGAGCTGAGATTGCGCCACTGCACTCCAGCCTGGGAGACAGAGAGAGATTCTGTCTAAAAAAAAAAAAAAAAAGTGGGTCAGTCTTGCTTAAATGACAGAATTGCATTTGTTCCTGTATACTGGGTCTTGAGTAAGGTTAACTCCTCATGAATCAGCCCTTTAGTAGATCTGAAGTCAAAGAATATGCAGGGGAAGCTGCTAATTGTGCCCTAATAATAATTTCTTCTTCAATAAAAGCCTCTTGAATTCAGCCTGTTGAATTTTGGCTGTGTACTGCCATCTAGGATAAAGACTACCTTTCCTAACCTGTCTTGCAGCACAGTGTATCCATATGATTAAGTTCTGGCCAACTGTTTGTAAGTCAGAGTAGTGCATGAAATTTTGAGGAGGTATACTTAGAGGGAAAGGGCATTCTTTTGTTTTTCTTGCTGGAATGTTGATGTGATGATTGGAGCTGGAGCAGCCATTTTGGACTATGATGTAGAAGCTCTGTGTTGAGGACAGTGGAGTGACCAGATTGGAGGAAACTGGGTCCCCAGTGAGTGGTACCAGCTCTGGGCTGCTGGTGTTTATGTGAGACAGAAATAAACCGTTTTGCTTGAACCACCTTTACTTTGACTTTCAGATTCAGAATTTGATACCTGAAGACAAAATGCTGCAAATAGTATCTAAAATGTGGCAGTGGCTTAGTGGAATTGGTGGGCCAGCAGATGGCAAAGATACAAATATTGCCTTTTGTGTAATGGCTAAACATTGATGAAATTGTTATCTGCTACTGGGAATGTGGAAGGTGGACTACATTCAGACTGAGGCCACACACAGCAAGAGAAAATGGTGGGAGGATGCAAGAAGTGTGAATGTTGCTCCTTGTTGCTTTTCACAGTCCTATACATGAGATGAACTGGGGCTACAGCCAGCCAGCTTGCAGAGATGGGAGGTGTTACAGTTGATGTTTGTCTTCTCCAAATCTCATGTTGAAACGCATTCCCCAAAGTTGGAGGTGGGGCCTAATGGGAGGTGTTTGGGTCATAAAGGTAAATCCCTCATGAATAATGTCCTCCCTGAGGATGGGGTGAGTTCTCACTCTCTTCATTTCGGTAAGAGCAGGTTGTTAAAAAAAGCCTGGTCCTTCTCCCCGCTCTCTCTTGCTTCCTGTCTCATCATGTGATCTGCACACACTCACTCCCCTTTGCCTTTCACCATGAGTGGAAGAGGCCTGAGGCCCTCACCAGAAGCAGATGTGGGTGCCATGCTTTTTGTACAGTCTGCAGAACTGAGGCAAATAAACCTCTTTTCTTTATAAATTGCCCAGCCTCAGGTATTCCTGCATAGCAACAGTAAGCAGGCTAAGACAGGAGGGACTCTTGCTTTGCTCAGAGAGGTGCTGTCAATAGCTGCACTCAAAGTTGATTAAAGTCTTGAAGCACTGAAAATGACAACTGCTTTTGTCCTTCAAACTGCAGCTATTAAGCGCAGTGGCCTTGAAGTGGCAGTCTTAGTGCAGATAAGGCTTCTCTGCCAGAAAATGCAAACCAGGTTGCTTCAAAGACCAGACTAAGGGTGTTGCTCCCACCCATGCTTCTCTTTTAGGCAGCCTCAAGGCAACCACGTTTATGTCGAAGAGGCAGAAGCAGAGCAGATCTTCCGCTGTGAGTAGCTGATGGATTCTATTGTCTAAGAAATGCATGCCTGGTCTTCCTGAACCATGAAAGTAACCCTGGGGACTCCCCCAAAACTGCCCAAGGAGTAAGCAGCCTATAGAAGCTGTGGTGGACCAGGTGCGGTGCCTCATGCCTGTAATCCCAGCACTTTGGGAATGCCAACATGGGAGGATCACTTGAGCCCAGGATTTTGGGACCAACCTGGTCAACTCAGCAAGATCCTACACTCCAGCCTGGGCAACAGAGCAGATTCTATGTCACAGAAGAAGGGCAGCCAAAGGGTTGAGCGATGGCAGAGAGCACTAATTGTCCCTCAAACCTATTATTTTGTTTCTCAGATAGAAGCCCTGAATTTGTTAGGCACATGGTTTCCTGGAATAAAAATGACCTTCCCTCTACTCTCTTCCTTGCAGTAGGTATGGCCCTGTGACAAAGTTCTGATCAACAGGATGTACAATACCCAGGTGGCACCTCCTCCAGGGAGGGATCATGCTTTTCTCCTCCCCTTGCCTCCCTCCTACTAGCTGGAATGTGATGGAGCTGTAGACTGAGGATGGCCGAGCAACAAGTGGGGAGGAATGTGGGACCCTGGTGACCATGAAGCCACCCTGGCAGCCCTGCAGGACAAAAGGTGAACTTGTACTATGTGAAAGCTACTCGTCAGGATGGTGGAACCTAATTTGGGTATAGAATTTGCCACACCAGGTGATATAATTTTGCTGTGTCCCCCACCCAAATCTCACCTTGGATTGTAATAATCCCCACGTCAAGAGTGGAGCCAGGGGGAGACAACTGAATCATGGGGGAGGTTTCCCCCATACTGTTCTCGTGGTGGTGAAAAAGTCTCATGAGATCGGATGGCTTTATAAATGGGAGTTCCCCTGCACAAGCTCTCCTGCCCGCCACCATGTAAGACGTGACTTTGCTTCTCATTCGCCTTCCACCATGATTGTGAGGCCTCCCCCAGCCCCGTGGAATTGAGTCCATTGAACCTCTTTCTTTCATAAATTACCCAGTCTCAGGTATGTCTTTATTAGCAGCATGAGAATGGACTAATACCCCAGGACAAGGCCAAGATGGGAGTTCATGCTCCTGACCAGAGGGAAGGTGGAGATGAGCAGAGAGCACTCTCCTCCAAAAGAGTTGATTTCTAAATGAAAGGAAAAAGCAAACACAAATAAGAAAAGATTTGCAGAAATCAATTAGAATAAAAATGTCAACAGACAATAACAGTGTTGCATAGCTTGAACATTTTTATATTGATTAAATTGTTTTTCAGTAGAATCACTGACAGAACAGGTCAGAATGAAAAACATTCCAAATATACAGAAAAAAGATTACTGCTCAGTTAAGGTCCTTTTCCAAATAACTTCACACAAATCCTTTGGTTGCTCCAAACAGAATGAGAGCTATGAGAATGGTGGCCCAGCCCGGCCATCAGACTCCCAAGCATTTGGTCCCCGGTCTGAGGTCACAGAATCTTTGCCACCTTTACCGAGACTGCTCTCAGCTGAGGACAACAGGCAAGAACCAGAAGGTGGCCATCCTTGTCTTTGCATTCAACAGCGCCAAAGTCTGAGGGACAAACTCTTGGTGACAAGTCTCAGAAATGTGACATGTCTCTGTAGCAGCCATAAAGCTTTGGTTTAGGATTAATTTTGATTCTCTGGAATATCAGCCTCCCAGAATGGCAAATCTTGACCTCATCTAGTCCAGCCCAACCTTCCCTTTTTACATATAAGAAAACTCAGGGTTGAGGGCAACATATCTTGCCTAAGTCCAGGTCTAGACCCAAGCCCTGCCTCTCACAATCTTTCCCCATTTCTGCTGCCTCTTTGTTGCCTCTGGAGGATGAAGAGGGCTTTTTCGCTTGCCCTCAAATGCTCATTTCTGAGGTACCCCCCCCAGAAAAAGGTCAGGTAGCAACACAGCAGCAATAGTATCCACACTAATCTAAAAGCATATTTAAATATGAATTACTGTGGTAGGAAACGAAAGACAACTGTGTGATCCAACCACTGCCCCCTAACCAAAGTTGCATTTTTTTCTTCTGGAAAGTCAAAACACCAAGTGCAGGTTCTAGAGGGTGACACCAGCAGGGATCTCTCATCTTGATTAAATTGGCACATCAACATGTTTAATTAGATCTTTCAGAAAGTGCCAGAACATAGGATGTAAATGTCTTCTCCATTCATATGCAGCCAAATTTCCCAGGCAAAATACTTATCCTGATTCTGATGTAGTTCTTCACTTAGGACTAAAAAAAGGCTTAAGTATAATTGCTTAAGTGTATAAGGTGGTGAAACAGGAATCTTGAGCTACGGATTTTAAGTGGTAATAGCTACAGGATTTACTTGAATTGTTTGCTCTTTTAGGTAATTCTCTTGTCTTGTTCTTCCCAGTATTTCCTGGATTTGTTCCTGGCAACCTCGCTGGGTCTGAACTGCTGGCCTGCCCAGTGGCAGAAGACTGCTTGCAACCTTTGGTAGGCTTTTTAGAAATTTATGTGACCGTAATGGCTGCATTTCTGCAACCATAATAAACAATTTGTTTTTGGAAAAAAGCAGTAAAACACCCATCTCCAAAGACATTTAGACTACTTTGCAAGCATTTTGCACACAGGGTGATGATGCATTTTTACCAAACAGTAATAACTTGCTAAATATCCTAATGGCATTTAAATTTTTGCCAGCGTTCCCTCCATCCCCCTTTCTTGGAGCTTGCTGAATTTTTGTGAGTCCAGATTATTTTGTGCTCTTGTTCTCTCTCTTCTAGAAGAGCATTTTCTATTTTCCTCTCATAAAAACCCAGTTAGGCTGGGCACAGTGGCTCACGCCTATAATCCCAACAGTTTTGGAGGCTGAGGTGGGAAGATCACTTGAGGCCAGGAGTTTGAGACCAGCCTAGGCAACACATCAAGATCCTGTCTCTACACACACACACACACACACACACACACACACACACACACACACACACACACACACACACACAAGCCAGGTGAGGTGGCATGTGCCTATAGTCCCGGCTACTCAGGAGGCTGAGGTGCGAGGATTGCTTGAGCCCAGGAATTTGAGGCTGCAGTGAACAATGATCATGCCACTGTACTCCAGCCTGGGCGACAGTGAGACCCTGTCTCTAAAAAGAGAGACAAAAATCCAGTGGATTCTATTTTTGACTGATGTGTTTTTGGGCTAATCACTGATAACTAAACTTTTCTAAGTAACTCACCCACAGCAGTGTCTGTTGCTGTTCTAGCCGATAAAAAGTCACATGAATAGCGTGATCTTATTCAATCCTCATGTTCCAACTAAAGTCCTAAGTATTGTTTCTATTTTACAGATAATGAAAGAGAGGTAGAGCTTCTAAGCAACCAGGCCCGCAAGTAGTTAGTGCTGAGTGGGCGTAGGAACTGAATCCCCTGCCCCTTAGCTGCAAACTTTCTGGTGGTTTCTTGTTTTCAATATGGGGTTATGGTACTGTGTGACATCTCCCTCCCACCTCTGCCATTTAGCAGTAAAATATCCATGTGGAAAAGAAACAAAGTATGCAAGTAAATATGCTAGCTCTAGAGATAAAGAATCTCCCATATAGGTCTTCATCCGTCTTGCTACCAGCAAACTATTCAATTGGCACCGAATTTGCTGAATATCAAAATGGCTTCATTTATGTGCATTATAATATGAAAACATCTTTTCTATAAATACCATTAAGAACCTGGCTTTACTTCCTCTTCTGAGTACATAAAAACCGCTGTTCAAAAATACCACATTAAATGTTTACACAATTTATTTTCCTTAAATAATAATTTGCTACAATCCTGTCACAAATTTAAAAAAATTTAACACGGTATTCACAAAGGCAGAATTCTTTAGGACAATCAAAATGATGGTGTTCTTAGAATAAATTAACATCAGATTGTGTTTATATTCAGATAGTCTGATCCTCTCCTTTGAAATGCAATGGAGACCATTGTGACTGGGGGTGAATGCACACATTTGTTCTTCCATACAGAGACTCATTCTTTATATATACTCAACGGTAATTTGAATCGTTAGGAATCCTGAGAAACACTCACCCCTGGGCACACACATGTACACAGCCCCACGGCCAACCCTCCAGAAGCTGGGTTTCCCATGGTTCAATTACTAGAAGCTCTTTTCTCAGAAGGCCAAACATTCGGAATATTTAGATGACACTGTCCCATCTCCCCTTGGGAAAATCATAAGGTTTCAAGTGGAGGAGCTTGAAGTAGCAGCAATACATGTAGGAGATTCAGTAGTCGGTGATTCCAGTCCTGGGTGCTGAGTGTGCAGTAGGAGGCAAGCAGAGGCAAGAGACACACCTGCTTCTACAACTAAGCCACAAGATGACCAGAACACACTGAGAGTACCAGTTCTCAGAGCCTCAGCTGAAAATTCACCTGAATGCACATTACTAATCCAGGTTAGGCACCAAGAGGGAACCTGAAGAGGGACACAATTCTCAGAAACATGAATATTGGAAGTCGCTGGGAGATGGGACAAAGGGAGGGAGGGCAGAGAGGTGTTGCTCAGCCTTCAGCCTGACCCCCAGTGCCCTGCCATCTAGTACATACGTCAGGGTTTCCTTAGCATCAGGGCGGGTGAATCTGAATTGTTCCAGCTCCACCTAGAAGCACAGAAAGCTCAGCCCTTACAGTCTGACACACAGAAACAAACAAAACATCCAAATGACCCAAGATAACCACACCATCTTGTTGCTGGGAGGACAACAGCTCTGTGGGTGTCCGGTCTCAATTGCTCCAGGATGCCGACAGGGGTGTGTGTGGTGATGTTAGGGAAGAAGGCATTAGGACAGGCCCCAAACTGAGATCCTTTTTGTATCTTTCCATAGAAATACAGGCCTAAATGATGCCATAATTGCATGCTTATCTACACCAGTTCCTATGTACACGATATCTTTTCTATAGAAGTTTAAAGTGCCTGGGTTCAGAGGTGCCCATTCCTTTCCCACAGCTACTGGTTCCTCTTGCTGCTTCCAGAGAGGTCTGTCCTCCTCTTTCAAGGAGGATGCCCTTGGGAAAGAGGAATGAACTTTTTCACAGTTGTCTTAACTAGGATCCAGCATTTGGACTAAACCTTCTTCATACACACGAAGAATCGCTTCACACACAAACTTGTACTGGCTCTGGAAAAGAAAAAAATGCTGTCAAGTCCTGTAGCTCCAGGAAATGCTGCCTACCACACCCTGTACCGGTGGGTCTTTTGCAGCATTTGTAAATATTCCCTGAGCGCCAACTCTGGGCCACAGGCCAGGTACACCTGTGAAGCCCTAGTTCCTATATGATGCGGGGAGGGGGCACTCCCAGAGAGGGGTGGGCAAAGTGTCATGGAGACATGACAGAGGGAGAAACTGGCGGTCTGGGGGAGGTGGGAAGGAGCAAAAGTCCCTGCGGGACAGCCCTTCTTGTAAGTGGAAGTGTGGAAGCCTCAGTAAGAGCCCATTTTGAGAAACGGGGTCAGGGAGCCTGCTCCTGGACTCAACACCTAGGCATGTGGAGGAGGAGGGGCTGCACAGGTGGGCTGGGACCTGGTTGTGGGCACCTTGTGTTGGGGTAAGGAGTCTGGATTGTGTTTTACAAAGCAGAGCCACTGAAAGATGCTCTGCAGGATACAGTTATTTATCTTAGCAAATACCTAAGAAACATATTGTAGCAAAGTATACAGGGGGGATAAAAGCATTTAGACTGAGCTTCTCCAGCTAGGAAAATCTATCTATCTATCTATCTATCTATCTATCTATCTATCTATCTATCTATCTAGTTTTCAAGACAGAGTCCTGTTCTGTCACTCAGGCTGGAGTGCAGTGGCGTAATCTTGGCTCACTGCAACCTCCACCTCCTGGGTTCAAGCGATTCTCCTGCCTCAGCCTCCCAAGTAGCTGGGACTATAGGCACATGCCACCATGCCTGGCTAATTTTTGTATTTTCATTAGAGACGGGGTTTCACTATGTTAGCCAGGCTGGTCTTGAACTACTGATCTCAAGTGATCCACCTTCCTTAGCCTGCTGAAGTGCTGGGATTATAGGCGTGAGCCACCGTGCCCAGCTTCCAGCTGGGAAAATCTACCAGGATGATGGACTTTTTTCTTTTTAACCAGCCACGAGGTCTTCCATACCAAAAAACAGGGCAGAGAATGGCCCTAATAACATAAGCTGATTTTTTTTCTCTTAACAAGATTTTCTGGGTACAAACTAATATAAAACTACCAAAGCTTAAAAATTTATTAGGGAAATCTTATAAACTTTGTCCACAGCCTGTGAAGAGACAGAGCTGGTTGGAACATATAGTTCCTGCTCCTTTCTTTGCTAACTCCTCATGTACCCTGGGGGTTTTTACCAGAGAAGACACTTCTCCAGGAAGCCTTCCTAGACTTTCCAAATCCTGCTTTAGATACTCTTCCACCATGTTCTCAGACAGCCCTGAACTTCCCTCACCGCTGCTGACACTTAGCATAGACTAATCCAGTTCTCCTACTAGATACAAGCCTGTCTCTGCACCCTTCTTTGTCAAATGAATGAATGAATGAATGTGGGATGGTCCCCATTTTGCACAGGGAAGCTGAAGCTTGGAGAGAGGTTCAGGACTTATGCAAAGGTTGTTCCATTTGTGGTGGGACCTTAATCATGCTCTTTCCACACCGCTTCACTGCCCCGCTTGCAGTTCCAGGGGAAATCCCCAAGAGTTATCCCCTAGAGTTCCTCTTGAGGACAAGAGGATGTTGCACATGACCCTACTTTGAGCTCTGGCCTGCCCGTGGAGGACACAGCAGGTACTCAGGCACCACACGGGTGGAACAGAGCTCAAAGTAGGGTCATATGCAACATCCACTGAGCCAAAAGGAGTACCCAGGTCTAGGTGGGTCGGTGCGGGGGAGGATAATGGACAAATGATTGTTCAACGATACAGAATGCAACCAGGGCTGCTCCCTGACAGACGGGCTGGCAGGAAATAAACCACAGAGGCAGCAGAGCTCAGAGGTGAGATGGGTGTGGGCTGTAGCCACTGACAAGCTCTGTGACCTTGGGCAAGTGATTCAGTCCCCCTGAGCTGCAGTCTGTTGACTCACAAAGCCCTTCTCTCAGGCCTGCCTGGTGTAAGTGCTCAGAAAGTGCCAGCCACCGTAATTACTGGATTTCTACTCACTGATGTCTGCACCATCATGGCGCGCTGGTCTCGCATTTTTCGGACAATATCCAGTGGGTAAATGGGCAGGTTCCTCTCAGTTAGGCACATGGCTGTTTCCATAGTGACCAACACACCGGTTCGACCTATTCCAGCACTGGAGAGGGGAGAGAAGACAGACTTGGGATTTGTCTGAGTAGCCTTTCTGCATGGCCCAGCGAGCAGTTCCCCGCTGACTCCAAAGGGGCTTTCCTCCCTTGGCCTTCGAGAAGACAAAACGCACACTCACGGCGTGCTCTCAAACAGGCTGAGACAGCCTGTCCTCACACATCTGAGACTGGGGGCTAGCAGGCAGTGGAAAGAGGGCCACTGTGAAGTGCCAAACCTATTCCCTTTCTCACTCACACCTATGACGAAGGTCAGCTGACAGAAGGACAGGAGAAAGGGTGTGTGAGGGGATTTTCTTCTTCAGTTCTGTGCTACATTCACAAAGTTAGGATTTCATAAAATTCCAAAAAACTTTTGAAATGGTGAAGAACCACAGTCAACAGAGGTTTGTAAGGGCACACGACTTTGTGGGATGTAGGGTGGGTCTGGCGCCTGCCAATTGTCTCCAGGCCTTTTCCGACAGGGAAAGGATTCCAAACCTAACAAAACAGCAAGCGCCATACCTGCAGTGAACTAGGACGGGCTCGCTGTCCACTCTCAGAGACCTCACATAGTTTACAAATTCCAGAAAGTCGGAGGAGTCATCGGGCACACCGTGGTCAGGCCATGCGACGTACTGGAGATGTGTCACTGTGTGTTCTTCCCCGGTCTGTGGGAGATGCAGTGGCCTTGGTGAGCCCATCCAGGTGGTGAGCATGAGGACCCAGCCCCAACCCAGACACAGGGTGGCCCTGTCTCCTGATGCTTTCTCCCTCTGCGCACAGCCCTGCTGTGGCCCCTAGCAATTCCTCCCCTCCTTCCCCAAAGATCCCCATCCCCTCTCAGGCTCAGCTGTGGGCCTGTCCTGCAGGGCTGCCTTCCTTGATCACTTCTGCCCAGTGATCTCCTCTGCCCAGTGATCTCCTCCATTTGCTGCTATGGTACTTGCCATTAGAGGCCACACATGCTGACTGTTTTTTTTTTTTTTTTTCAACTGTGGCAAAATATACTAACATGAGGCTTACCACTGTAACCACATTTAAATGTACAGTTCAGCGGCATTGAGAATACTCGCAATGTTGTAGAGCCATCAGCACTACCTATTTCCAGAACTTTAAAATATCCCGCAAACATAAACCCTGCACCCATTATGCCATATGGCAAAATGTCCATAGATGTCCTTTCTCCTCCTTCCCCAAGCCCTTGGCAACCACCGTTCTACTTTCTGTCTCTATGAATTGGACGACTCTAGGCACTTCACAGAAGTTGAATCCTACAGTATGTGTCTTTCTATGTCTGGCTTATTTCACTTAGGATAATATGCTCAAGGTTCCCCAGTGTTGTAGCAGGGGTCAGAATCTCCTTCCTTTTAAAGGCTGAATCATATTCCATTGTATGGACAGACCACGTGCTGTTTATCCATTCCTCCATCGATGGACACTGGGCTGTTTGCACCTCGTGCCTGTTGTGACTAGGGCCACTGTGAACTCTGGGCCCTGGCTCTTTGATGGGCAGTCTTGCGCACTTACTGACACGCTTGCCAGGTGCAAACAGAGTGCACACCTAGAAGCGTGACCACCTGGGATGACAGTGGCCGCTGATTCAGCACCTGCCCCTCCACCGTGCCCCTCAGGCTGCGGCTCACCTGGGTGTTTGTGACCAGCATTTCTCGGGACACATAGGCGATGGTGCAGTCCTCTGACTGACACTGGATGTGAAAGCCGCCGTGGTTCATGACGTCGGGGGGATCTGGCCAGTACTGGTGACATTTGGTCTGTAAGAAACCACCGAGAGTGAGTGAGCCCCGTCTGTGGGGTGTTCCTGCAAGCAGTTAACCCTGGACAGGTGGACGGGTTAGGCATCCTCTCATGCACACCCGAGAGCACTGATGGGAGAAAACAAACTCAGCCAAGTCCATCAGCTGTTTCTCAGGGCGGGGTGGGGGCAGCCTGCCAGGGACTAGGCCACAGGTCTCCGCTCAGCCCCAGGCTGCAGCCTGGAGGAGGAGGACGCAGCGTCTTCATCACCAGGGGCCACTCGCTGGAAGAGCACCAGTGGCCTCAGATGCAGGACCTTAGCCTGTGAGCAACCTCTCTACCCTCCCAGACCCCAGCCCCTCAGGCCCCTCCCCACCTCCAACGGCCCCTCCTCCTGCACCCCTCCTCCACCATTCTCCCCACCCTTTTGAGGGGGAGGCCTCCAGGCACAGCAGTTAAGGGCACACATCTGGTGTCATACACAACTCCGCTGGGATCCTTTCCTCCTCCATTTGTCAGCCAGATGATGTCGAAACAGTTGCTTAACCTCTCTGATTTTCATGTTTTCCACCGGGAAGATGGAGGTGGCTCCTGCCTCAACGCTGGTGAGGCGGCCGGCGTGGGTGTGCAGTACTTAGCCACTGTAGGGGGCAGGCGGGGGTGGCCATGACTTCTGTTGCTGTCATGGGTTACATACCAGCTTGAGTAACAGTGATGAGTTTCCACAAAAACCCAGATTAAGGGACTCACAAATCGAGATGAATACCTTTCTCACTGGAGCAGCGTCTCTGAAGCCCTTGAAGGCTTTCTTAGGTGACGCCCTAAAGAGGTGATATCCCACACAGCAGACAAGGAATCCAGGGCTACTCGGGATTAAGTGACTTGCCCAAGGCCATGAGGTCACAGTGATGCAGTCCAGCACTCTTCCTATGGCACCCCAGTGTCTCTCAATATGGCTGTGCTGTCCGCACAGACGGGCTGATCCCACCACCCTCCCCAGTTTCTATCCCTGCTTCTAAAACCTGCAACTTGTCCTGTAAGCCATCTTAGCACCTGCCTCTGGCTTCTAAGCAAACTTCAGGGCTAGGCTGTCCATCCCATCATAGATCCTTCTGTCAGTTAAATCCTAAGTCATTAAACAAGCATTTTCCCCTGAGCCTATATGTGGTTATAGCAACTTAAGTAAAAAATACATTTGTTCATGGTGGAAAAGTGGTATAACCATAAGACATATGTAATTTGTTGGGAAACAGCCTCTCTATTCTTACTTTCAAATGTCACAGTGAATACTTGAAACTAAACTATGCCGCTGGAAAGCTGGAGTTAAGAATTTACTTGGAAACCTTAAACATGGGTAATTTTGGTTAGTAGCCATTCTGTGACTTTGCTTAGACATGACAGGTTAAGGGCTGTAGGGCCCAAGGCAGAGTTGACAGACACAAGCCCTCTCTCACCTCCTCATCTGCATAGGAAGGATAAATCCCTGTCCTGTAGGCTCCCAATGGTCCTGCCCACAGGGTAATTGCAGAGAAGATATTCTCTGATGAGATCAACCCATGCAAGGCAGAACTACCAATATCTGTACTGCCAGAGAGACTCCCCTTATTCCACAGTGAATCTGAGCAGTACTAGACTCTCTCTTTACCTCTGACCAAATACAGATTGCAGTTCAATTTGGATCTGGAAAAACTGGTGGTGTAGTGGAAAGAACAAGTCTGTGGAGATCCTGAGTTTCAACCCTGGTTAATAAATTCTACTAAACATATTTGGTTAGTGATCTCGGGCAAATTACTTAACTTCTTTGGGTCTCAGTCTCCACATTAATGCTGCTGCAGCGAGGGGCGATGATTCTGAAGCTTCATATCTTCAGAACGGTAGATGCTAAGCACTGAATGGTGCCTTTCATGAACATGGCTTTACCTTGGCTTCAAAACAACCCTATGAGGTAGGTACTATGATTGTCTCTGTTTTGCATATGAGTAAACTGAGGCTCAGAGAATGAATCAGTGTGTGTCAGATCACAGAGAGAGGAACTGGGGCAGAGCTGGAATGTCTCAACAGGCCTGTGAACCCTTAGCCAGGCTGGTAATACTCTGGAATGACAAGAAAATGCACCTTCTTAGGGCTGTGGTTAAATTAAACAGTAACATATGCAAAGCTGAGCATATAAGAGAAGAAGCACTTCTGGAGAAGTTGTCAATGGACAACGAAGATCACTGAAGCTAGGAGGCTGGCAACATGCTGCTGGGGACGAGACCCTGGGCAGATGCTGCCAGAACTCAGAATGCTCTGTCCTCAGAGATTCACAAGCCTGAGTGGGGCCTGTTTCTCATTTCCAGTCCCCAGGTGTGGTTTCGAGAAGAGGCTTCAGGAAGGGAAAGCTGACCAGGGAGATGGTTTCTGAAAGGATGTGTCTTTCTGGACCAGAGGAAACAAGCCACAAGCTGGGTGGAAGACAAGCCATACGCCTGCTGTGAGTCCTGCTCTACTAAATGCATGATATGGGTGAACACAAATGGGACATACTGAAAATTTCAGCTCTCAGAGAAAGGGATAAATCTGCTCACTTGGAGTGACCGACTCCTAATCCAGAAGAACTGGTGGGCAGTGATGAAGATGAGATAGGAACTTAGGGATAAAGGGCTCGGGTCATCTGGTCATCCAAGGGTTTGTAACAGGAGAGGGAGGAAAAGGGAGGAAATATGCACCCTGGATTTCAGAAGAACAGGATTCTAACGATGGATAACATGCCAAAGAAGGAGAGAGAGCACTATCTCAGGAAGATGGACCAGATAGGGTTTAGTGGGAGTCATGGGCCAAATTTAGAAGGCTTCATGGTGAAAAGCTTGCTTTCTTGTTCACTTAGTTAATAAACATCCCTGAGGATGCAGAGATGAATGAGACACGATGTGGCACTGTCCTCAAGGTGCTCTCGAATCGGTGTTGGGGGAATGTGGTGAAAAGAAAAGAAAGAGGGAAGTCAGAGACACAGGCGGCTCACACAGGAGGAGGAGGTAATGTCCTGGAGAGAGGGGATGGAGATCTCAGTATTGAAGGACGAGGGTCTTCATCAGGTTGGCAAGGCAAGGATGGATCATTCAGGCAGAGGGAATGGGACACACATGGTCAAGAGGTAAAGAGGCACATGATGTACCCAGGGAACGACAGACAGTACAATACACCTGCACAGAAGGTACCAGTCTCAAGGTGAGACTTTACGTGGTGCACCTGAGAAGCCACCAGAGGGTTTGAGCAGGGAAATGACAGGACCAGGCAACCCTCTGGAAAGGTATCGCTGAAAGCTGTGCCAAGGGATGGACAAGACGGGGGCTGGGGGAGCCTCTAGGCCAGGAAGCCACTAAGGAGGCTGCTGCTGCTGCTCCTGGAAGAGAAATGCAAAAGCTCTGAGAGAAGGTGAGGGTTTGGGGGACAGAGAGGGGAGACTGGCAGCGGCAGACCGTGGTGAGTGGATGTGGGAAGTGAAGAGAAGGGAGGGGTAAGACCGATTCCAGGTTCCTGGCTCGGGTGACTGGGCAGATGGGTGCCACTGGCCAGACTGGTGAGCTCAGGGCGTGTACCACCTGGGTGCAGGTGCATGGCTGACAGCTTCAGCTTCAGGCACCTTGTATGTGAGGACACTCAGGTAGATGTGTCCTATCAACAAATGAGCAGATGGGTCTGGGTTCAGGAGGTGGAAGGAATCAGTGCCTAGATCCATTTGCTGAACCAACCAGAGGGCCTGATGAAGCCTGACTCAGAGATCAGTTCTCTGCCGAAGAGCCTCGTTGCCTAAGTGTGCATTTCACCAAACAGTGTGTTTAACAGATAACAAGAGCAAGGGGGATTATAGAGCTTTGTGCTGCCTCAAACCTCTTCCTGTCACCTCACATGATCCTCATGGCAACCCAGGGGCCCCTAATGTTGCCCAGAGCAGCAAACCTATCTGCCTCTGGCCCTGTGAGACAAGGAGGCCAGGATCCTGACTCACTATGCCACGTGGAGCACCCACTACTGGATGAGGCAGCCAGTCCAGGGTAGCTCATTCTTAATTCTCAAAACAATCCCAAAAGACAGGCATTACCACCTCCTTTCTAGTGATGAGGCAACTGAGGCTTAGAGCCCTGTGCAAGGTTAAACAGTGGAAAGCGGTGGTGCCAGAACTCAAACGCCTCCTCTGACCCCAAAGCCCCTGCCTCTGACCGCCAGTGGGCCAGGAAGAGTACCTGCATTATTCACGTGTAGTAGCAAAAAATGATATTTCTCTCCAAAAGAAACATCTCTGATGGAAAGTGAGGGAGAATAACTTATTCAATTGCAATGTTTCTAAGAAGAAACCCATGAGCCTCAAGGGAGAGCACAAAGAAAAACATTTTGGGTGGGAATTTAAAAAGGGAGAAATCAAGTATCTCGTGGGGAAGTGTCCTACTGACCGCTGGGGATATGAGGCTTCAAAGAAGGCTCTCTCTGCACTTGCAGACCTGAGAGTAGCACAGCGAGGCTGGGGAGCGGGGGTGGACTCCAGCCAGCTGCACACCTGCTGGGAGTCCCACTCTACTAAATGCATGGTATAGGAGAAAACAAATGGGAGATGCTGAAAATTTCATCTCTCAGAGAAAGGCGCAAAGCTGCTGCCTGGAGTGATGGACTCCTAATCTGGAAGAACTGGTGGGTGGTGATGTGGACGGGTTAGGGCCTTCAGGATAAAGGGCTGAGGTCATCCTGTCATCCAAGAGTTTGCAACAGAAGAGGGAGGAAACATGCACCCTGGATTTCAGAAGAACAGGTTTCTACCAATGGATAAACAGGGGAGGTTAAGTTCCAGGGCCAGAGATAGTGAAGGGAATGCTAGACCTCAGAGGAGATGGGAATCTCTAATGCAGGAAACTGACAAAGCAGCTGGAATAGCTTCAGTGAGAAAGAAAGGGCTGGGAAACAAACCCTCCAGGTCACAATGGAGACCTCAAATGAGCTCAGGTGCAGAGTGGACATCAACAAAAAAGAGGGGCTGTCAGCAGCACGGAGCTGGCGGACAGCAGCCATAGGAGTGGCTGGAGGAAGCTGAGGTCTCCTGGATCACAGAAAGGGCCTTTTCTCCCAAGCTGGAAAAAGCAGAATGAGGGAAAGAAGGGGGCTGCTATCCAGGGCAACCAACCCTTAGGGTTATCAGCCCTAAGACAAGAGACCATTGCTGGGCGGTGGGGGCTCCCTTTTCTCTGAGGAGAAGAATGACCTTCCTGCTGAAAAGGCAGAGTCAACTTTACAGGGAAGAGAAGGGCAGACAGACAAGACAGGGACAGCGCTGAGCTGCCCAAATGGATTCTATGGAAAATGGCACAGTGATGTAATTTCTCCTTTTTACAAAGGCCACTGTTAACCTGGCACACACACTGCTCTTTCAGGACCAGCACTTGTCCTGAATGGGCAAGGCCACGTCACTGCAGGGGTGTTGGGGCACATGAAGTAAGGCTAGGGGAAGTGCCTTCTGGCTTGTTGTAATGGATCCAAGCTGGGACTGGGGAGGAGGAGGGCTGAGCCTCCCGTCACTAGGGGTGTCTATTGGTTGCTCTGTAGAGGAGACTTAGGGTCACATACGGGCTGGACCAGGAGACGCTGAAGACCCTTCTCAGCGCTGAGATTCATGTTACACAGAGTAGGGTGTGACACTGCACACATCTGAATTAGAAATCAAGCTACTTACCCGCCCTCGTTCTGTGAGAGTCGTCAACATGACAATGAGTGACAACTTCTGATCCCAGACAACCTGCCAAAACTGTGCACAGGTATGCGGCAGGGGCCCCTGAGTGGCGATGTACTTGTTCACAAGGTTAGCAGCAGGAATTTCCATCTGGTAAGAAATTGGTAAAGTATTAGAATCTGTTGCTGCCCCAGGGTGCACAGGGAACTGGATTTTAAACTATTCTACTTGCTAATTGATATTGCACCAGAAAAATTATCTCTTTATCAATTCACAGCCAATAAGGAAAATCAAACAAGTTATTTCTAAAACTTCTTGAAAAATATCTGACAACCACCAGTATTAGATCTTTAAGATAAAAGTGTGTGGTACTCAGTAGGCAAAAATCAGAAATCTATCTGTGAGATGGCAGAAGAGTTTAAATGACTTTCATTGCTCTATCCTAAATATAATCAATATTGGCTATCTGCATTTTCAGCCGTATGTACCAATCCTACCCCTAAGTCTTTCCCTATGCAGGGTTTTCTATCAAAATCTATTTACGTTTATTTAAAGCATAAACCTTACAGGTTTACACCACCAATTCTTGTTGCACTTTGCCTTCTGCATGGCTTCCAATGCTTGTATCATGAAGTTGGTCAATCTTGACATTAAATGTTGAAATGTTTTGAAATGAATGTTTCAGGTAGAAATATTCCTGCTCCATGTTTCCTTTTTGCCCTCTGGACTGAGTCCTTTTGACGAAAGAACACTCAGAACCTGCTGAGCTTTGGGCTGGCACTGGGATTCACTCACTCTCAGGTGAGCAAGGTAAAGGAAGGCTTCTAATTCATGGTTCGGCTGGTGCTTGGATAAATGGCTTCCTCAGTCCTGGGATTATATGAAAAGACTGGTCTTTATGGTATTGCTGCCCCTAATGTTTCTGATGCTCTGCTTTTAAGACACCGGGAATGTTGAAGTGAGGGTCAATGAATCCCATAGATGCTTTGGAACAGGTGGAATCACTGATGAGACCAGTTTTTATTAGGGCATTTCTTGACACTTTGCTATAACTTGAGAACTTAATCTGAGAAATCATCTGTCTATTTAGGAGTTGGCAGACCACGTATCGCCTGAAGGCCAAATCTGTGTGCCACCTTGCAAACTAAGAGCGGCTTTTAATCTTTTTAAGTGGTTACATTTCAAATGCAAAGATCACATATTACTATCTGGTTGGCTACAGAAAGTCTGACCCCAGGTTCAGATAGCATTAGGAGATATACCTAATGCTAAATGACGAGTTAATGGGTGCAGCATACCAGCATGGCACATGTATACATATGTAACTAACCTGCACATTGTGCACATGTACCCTAAAACTTAAAGTATAATAATAATAAAATAAAATAAAAAAGAAGGAATGGAAGTCTAGAGAGGCCAAGTAAGTTGCCCAAGATGCGTTTTTAGAGAGAAAATAAGTGCTTTTCCCATAACATGTGAAACATTCCACTTTTTCTTTTTGGCTTATATGTACAGAGGAGGTTTTATTTTTCTCATTTTTTTTTTAAGGCAGGATGACACTCATTACATGGAGAGAAATAGACAGTTTCATCACTGGCAAAAACAAACACCTGAATGGAAGCCACTCAGTACAGGGGCATGTGGACGATTGAATTAGAAACACAGAACAAGTCTGGTCCCATCTTCTGTTAGCTTTGTGACTTTTCAAATTATTTTAACTCTCCGAACCTTAGTTTTCTCCTCTGTAAAATGAGACTATTCTGCCTGCCCTCCCATGGCTGTTGTGGTGCTGAAATGCGGTGGTGAACGGGAAAGCACTGTGTCAACTGCAAAGCCCCACACAGGCCCTCATCATCGTTGCGACAGTGGTGAATGTGCTCTTAAGCATCATCCAGATTCCTAACTTACGTTCACGTAACTTGCATTAATATAATCTTCATTTCCCTGCAATAATACCCGGGTGGTGTCATCTGCGGGGAAGAGAAA
Source organism: Homo sapiens (assembly GCF_000001405.40). Classification (NCBI taxonomy): domain Eukaryota; kingdom Metazoa; phylum Chordata; class Mammalia; order Primates; family Hominidae; genus Homo; species Homo sapiens. The sequence continues at coordinate 109,391,216 of NC_000009.12, forward strand.
AATTTACCGATTATTCCGAGCATTATTTTTATCATACCAAGTAAACCAGAGTTCAGTTCCCAGCCCCATCTGCAGCTCTGCCTCATTAGCATAAACACTATTCCCCAACTGTTCCGAGTCTGAAATGGCTGCAATAAAGACGGTGGTGTTTACAGACACACTGAAAATCGTTCCAGAATACCAGACAATCTGTTTTAAAAAGGGAAACATTATCTCAGTGTAGGGGGGAAGGAGGCATTCATGCCGGATACTCACAAGGCAGCACATCTTTATATCGGTTTTTGTCCAAATTTTGAGGCAGCTTTGCAAACGTGATGGCCAAACCTGGCTTTTTTCTGTAGAGTTGCTATGTGAGAAATAGAGAAAAAAGCAAGCATTGCAAAAATCAGATGAAGAAAGTGTGAAAACATACTTTATCATTCACAGTACCAAAATCTTAACATTTTAAAGTGATTATGTGTTATATACTAAAAGAAAATCTTCCCAATAAGAAATTCTACAGTTCCATGAGAAACTGACTAAACTCTTTAATAATTTTTTTTTTTAATTTGAAAAAATGCCATAGGAAGGGTCTGGGTCTCAGGTAATGGAGCATGGTAAGTGAAACCTTGTCTTTATGACAACTATTTGACAAGAGCTAAAAGCAACTAGATGTGGGGGGGGGGGGGAAGAATTCTGGCTCAAAATTAAATGGAAATCATCTAAATTAGTCTAGAATCATTTCCCTTCAGTTCAATGTAGTGAACCACACCCTTCCTTTAAGAACGAGAGCATTTCATTCATCATTTCAGGAGTCTATTTCCACAGGAAAAACATTTATCCCAATATATAGTACATTTCATTTACAGAGGTACTTCCCTACACATGTAATCACTACGAAAAATCTCAAACAACACAATCTTTGCATATCTAAAGTCATGTATTAGACATATTTGTATGGTATCTGATGTGATTTTCACAACAGCCCTGTAAGAGATATTAATTGTATTCTTATTTTGCAAGTTCAATGCTTTGTTCGAGATCACAAACAAGAACTCAGATCTGACTCCAAGGCTTATGTTTTCTTTTCTATATGACTGCTTTTTCCCTTTAATCCTTTCTCACCAGTGGTTTTTATTAACTCTATGGGAATTTAAAAACACAGTTTTTTCAGTGTTGGAAGTGATTTTTTTTTTTTGCGGAAAATTTGGGAAATTCAGACTAATATAAAGAAAAAAATTATCAGCAATTTCACAACTCTGAGATGTGCTTTTTGTATATTTTCTCCAGCTTATTTTTTCTGTGCCTACATGAACACAAATGAACAGAAGCACATATATGTAAACGCATAATACATTTATATACTATGTTTTTAAAAGCAAAAAATGAGATTGAACAACATACTGGCACTTTTTTTTTCTCTTCCTGAGACAGGGTCTCTCTTTGTTGCCCAGGCTGGAGTGCAGTGACGTGATCTCGGCTCACTGTAACGTCCACCTCCCAGGTTCAAGCGATTCTCGTGCCTCAGCCTTCCGAGTAGCTGGGACTACAGGTGTGCATCACCATGCCTGGCTAATTTTTGTATTTTTAGTAGAGACAGGGTTTTCTCATGCTGGCCAGGCTGGTCTCAAACTCCTGACCTCAACTGATCTGCCCGCCTGGACCTCCCAAAGTGCTGGGATTACAGGCGTGAGTCACTGCACCCGGCTATATTGGCACTTCTTATGCTATGTTCTACTCAACCTAAGTGTCCTAAAAGAAGATAGTAAGTATTCCTTAGAAAAAGTTTCAAAGTCAAGACATTTGGAAAACATTTATTTTATGTTCTATGAATCTCTAACAGGACAAGTCCTGCAATGCATAATGCATACATTTGTTAAATTCTGATCAGCTAAACATATCTCAAGCTAATTTGGCCGTGGAAAATCTCAGCATCTAATGGAGTATTCTGGGAAATAACTACCCTAATTTTCAAGCTGCTTTCTCCTACTTATTATATAGTATCTATTTCCCCATGTCATTAACTATTATTTACACATATGATCTTTAATGGTTCAATAATCTAGTTTACTATAATTTGTATTAACTTTTATCTTACTTTTTCATTAGGCTGTTTTGAAATTTTTTTTACTCAAACTTCTAAGAAGAGAATTACTATACCAAATAATATTTTTAATGGTTTTTTTTGTCTTTTTTTTTTTTTTTTTTTGAGATGGAGCTTCACTCTTTCACCCAGGCTGGAGTGAAGTGGTGCGATCTCGGCTCACTGTAACCTCCATCCCCTGGGGTTCAAGCGATTCTCCTGCCTCAGCCTCCTGAGTAGCTGGGATTATAGGTATCCATCACCACACCTGCTTAATTTTTGTATTTTTAGTAGAGACAGGGTTTCATCATGTTGGCCAGGCTGGTCTTGAACTCCTGACCTCAGGTGATCCACACACCTCGGCCTCTGAAAGTGCTAGGATTTTTGAGTTTCGATACATATAACCAAGTTGCCCTACAGGGATGTATGATAAATTCACCAAATTGTGGCCAACATCCTTAATAAAGATGTGTTTGCAGTTTGAATAGGGAGGGTAAAAAGGATTTTTCCCTCTATGTTTTTGCAAATTGTATTGTTTTGTAAACTGGCTTCTGTTAGTCTGTTTTTTCTCTTACTAAATAAATAAATTACACAGAACTCCCCAGAAGATAATTAACATAGAGAGTTTGGGTCATAATAATGGTGCTGTATCTTATACATTTGCCAAATGTCTAGAATTTCCAAACACTCCAAGAGCTCAGCTACTCACCACCTTTACAGTTTCAGTTCATAACCATCAGGCAGCTGAACAACTTCTTAAATAACTGCAGTCTCTAATAAACTCTGTGAGTTCATTTTAGGAATAAACTAATGATTTATTAGAGGTTTTGGGTTGACTCTGGCAGAAGGCGGGCACCTAAGTTAAATTTACCTAAACGGCATTTTAGTTCTAACTGATTAAGTGAATATAATCAACAATTAAGTGAATATACAATTAAGTGAACATAGTAAAGCTAACCTGGTGGGAAAAAGAGATTTTTTTTCAAACAATGAAAGTGTAAATAAAATCAACTTGAGGTGGTCTAGCAGAAAAGCACAGCTACAGAAAAAGGCTTTAATTACCATAAGACTTTAAATGTATCTCAGCAGTAATGATCTGTTGATAAATTTGTAAAGTACTAAGATTAATCCTACTAAGATAAATCATATATTAAAAAGTGTTATGGCAGTGTTTACATTTTTTTTTTTTTTTTTGAGACACGTTGCCCAGGCTGGGCTGCAGTGGTGCGATCTCAGCTCACTGCAACCTCTGCCTCCAAGGCTCAAGTGGTTCTCATGCCTCAGCCTCCTGAGTAGTTGGGACTACAGGCATGTGCCACCACATCCGGCTAATTTTTGTATTTTTATTTATACAATTTTATACAAATTTATAACTTGTAAATTTATACAAATTATACAATGAATAATTTATACAATGATGATCATATAGTAGCAACACACACAGTGTATATAATGTGTAAAGACACAATCTTGTGTGTGTATACATGTGTATATGATATATCTGCAATGAGCACTGGAACAAGTATGGAAGGATACATAAAAAATTGTTGTTTGTAAATTATAACAAAGAGGAAGAAACTGGCCGGGTGTGGCAGCTCACGCCTGTAATCCCAGCACTTTGGGAGGCTGAGGCGGGCAGATCACGAGGTCAGGAGATTGAGACCATCCAGGCTAACATGGTGAAACCCCGTCTCTACTAAAAATACAAAAAAATTAGCTGGGCGTGGCAGCAGGCGCCTGTAGTCCCAGCTACTCGGGAGGCTGAGGCAGGAGAATGGCGTGAACCAGGGAGGCAGAGCTTGCAGTGAGCCGAGATCGCGCCACTGCACTCCAGGCTGGGCAACAGAGCGAGACTCCATCTCAATTTAAAAAAAAAAAAAAAAGTGGAGGGAAGAAACTGAAGGGGATAGGAGTCAGGAGACTATTTTACTTTGGTTATTTCTGAATTATCTGAATTATGTCAATGAGAATTGTTATTTTTAAATTCAAATGACTAAAGTGAGAAAAAGAAATACAACAAAAGAAATCTATTTATAAAATTAAAAAGCACAAAATTTTTACAAAAAGCTAGGTGGACAAATCAAAGTTAAGGTTGTTTTGGCCTTTGGAAAGTTTGACAACACACTCATATTTATGTCTGCAAAGGCTAACACTGAATAGGACTGAAGCAACTTAGTAGAAACAGAATTTAAACATTTAGTTTCCTAAGTGTTGAGAGTTGGTTTTCGGCTGGGCACAGTGGCTCATGCCTGTAATCCCAGCACTTTGGGAGGCTGAGGTGGGCGGATAGCTTAAGCTCAGGAGTTTGAGACCAGGCTGTGTAACATGGTGAAACCCCATCTCTACTAAAAATATAAAAATTAGCCAAGTGTGGTGGCACATGTCTGTAGTCACAGCTACTTGGGAGGCTGAGGTGGGAGGATTGCTTGAGCCTGGGAGGTGGAGGTTGCAGTGAGCCAATATTGTGCCACTGCACTCCATCCTGGGAGACAGAGGAAGACCCTGTCTGTGTGTGTCTGTCTGTGTGTGTGTCTCTCTCTCTCTATATATATGTATATATTTTTTTTCAAGTTCCTATTTTTTTTTTTTTTTTTTTTGAGACAGAATCTTACTCTGTTACCTAGGCTGGAATGCAATGGTGTGATCTCGGCTCACTGCAACCTCCACCTCCTGGGTTAAAGTGATTCTCCTGCCTCAGCCTCCCGTGTAGCTGGAATCTGTATACAGGCGTGCGCCACCATGCCCAGCTAATTTTAGTATTTTTAGTACAGACTGGTTTTCACCATGTTGCCTAAGCTGGTCTTGAACTTCTGCACTCAAGCAAGCCACCCGTCTTGGCCTCCCAAGGTGCTGGGATTACAGCCGTGAGCCACTGCGCCTGGCCTCAAGTTCCTAAAATTTATCGACTCTTCTCCAGGCCCTGTGGGCTGCTTGGCAGTCTGGTTATGAAACACTGCTCTGAGAAGGCGGAGGGACAGAGTGGAAAGTGAGTGTAGGAATCACAGGTATGTCTTTCTGGAAGGGTCAGGGATGGAACGGAATGAGTTAAGGCTTTGTGATATTGGCCAGAGTATGAGACATGGCTTTTAAGAGAACCTTCACTTTTTTTTCATTTTCCAATTCATCGGAAAAACAACAATTTGCTTTGGTTATTCCTGGGCTGAAGGAGTGTGAGGGAGACAACAGCTCCTGGCTGCAGGTCCCTTAGATTCTGTCCTAGAATGGGAGTCACCAGGAGGCTGAGAGGCAGGGTCACAGGGATACAAAATGACAAAACCACTGAATTTTATGAAAAATTATTAATTTTTATGTCCTAAAATGCTTTGTTCTCATTCTATCAGAGTATAGTTATAAGAAGCTCTGAAGCTAACGGTAAATTATAAAAAGTTCGGCTAAGAGGGGTTGCTAAGGAACAACTGTATTGAAATTACAGTATCAGTATCACCAGCTCTGGCCTCCAAAGACAAAAAATTTGAATGGTGGGAGCAGATGCTCTCCAATGTGGTAGGGGTGCAATGGATGGTTTTTTGGCTTAAATATTTCTTCTTAGAACAAGTCACCTACTATAATATTAGAGAAGGCATCAGGTGACTCTAATCTCCTCACTCAACCAAAGGTGTGCAGCCTACTCACATCCCTCAGGTGAGAGCTTCACACCCCCAACTGGCTCTAACCAGCGGATGCTGGCAAGGCCCAGCAAGTGGAAGCAAGCACTCCGTCAACTCTATGAACAGAAAAAGGGGAATTCCTGAAGGCTGAGAACCCAAGAAGGGGGAAGAAAAAGGGAAAAGGACAGGAAAAAAAAGGGGGACCGGGAATCAAGGAAACCATGGGTAAGGAGACAGCAAAGGCCAGAAGCAGATTGCCTTTCATGCCCTCCACAAAAACCCAGAGTCGACTCCAAGGAACCAAGTTTCAAAATGGCTGTTTGCTGTATCAGCCACTACGGCATTATCTTTATGGGGACAGGAATCTCATTTGTTCACTACCACAAACCCCAGACCAGCATTGTGCCTGGCACATAGTAGGTGCTCAATAAAAATTTGTAGAGTCAAGGAATAATGGGATCTGCTGCTTTCAAAAATGAGTGCCAACCATGTGAATAAAGCATGCCCAAGAGAATTTCAAAGCAATTTCAGCTTTCTTAGACATAGTGCCCTATAACTAAGCTGAGGGTAACCCATTTTTCCCAAAGAGCCCACCCCAAGAGGTTGTTTTAGTACCACTTGGTAGACAAATTAACAGTTCACTACTCACGGGTAGCTCACCCACACTAGGACATCGCTTTTCCTTTGTATCTGACCCAGCCAGAGGGCAAGAGAAACCATCTAGCGGGGTCTTGGAGCCTCTACCTACCTTCCCAGAAAGGTTTGCTGAATTGAAATCGTTGCTAGTAATTTTGGGACCTTCCATAGTGCCCCTTTCCAGGCACAGTCCCAGATGCAGATTCTACTGCTGGCAAACCTAACAAGTATTCTTGCAGGGGCCCTTTCAGACAGACACACAACAATAAGTTATGGCAGCACTTCCTTTAGGTGGGTCGCTGGCACTTGAAATGTAAAGGCTGCACACACGGTCATTCCAAAGCCCCCAGTTTGCTCCGTGTATCCCAGATACACATTATACTGATGATGTTTTCTTTCCTTAAAAAACAAACAAACAAACAAAAACAACAAACTATTTGGAAAACCGTTTTTAAAAATGCAATCTTTTGGGCCGGGCATGGTGGCTGATGCCTGTAATCCCAGCACTTTGTGGGGCCAAGGTGGGCAGATCCCTTGAGGCCAGGACTTCTAGACTAACTTGGCCAACATGGTGAAACCCCATCTCTACTTAAAATACAAAAATTAGCTGGGCATGGTGGCGCATGCCTGTAATCCTAGCTACTGAGGAAGCCAAGGCACGAGAATCACTTGAATCACTTGAACGTGGGAGGCAGAGGCTGCAGTGAGCCAAGATCACACACTGCTGCACTCCTGCCTGGGCCACAGAATGAGACTCGGTCTAAAGGGTTCTAATCTTGAAGATACAATTGCTCTCATTAATTTCTACAGGTGTCAATTTAAACCTCTTATAAAGTTTTCAGCTACCTCTGCCCTTCCAAATGCACCTTTTATAATTATCACAGGAGCCAGTGAGTCACTTGTTTTGACATTAATGGCTATCTTCTATAATGGGCAATGTAGGAGTAAGTAAAGTAAAAACAGGGGCCAGAAGAACAAAGATGGTTTCTGGTTTTGGTGAAGATGGTGGATGCTGAAGTGGAGGGGCCGGGTATCTGAGTTTGACATGACCTTTGGTGGTCTTTTGTAGCCACTGCTGTAATCCATCAACTGGGGGATGCAGGCATTCTCTTGTGGTGTTCCTCATTTTCGAGCTCTTAACTAACAGTGGGCAAGGAGGTAGGGAAGCTGTGAGTCACCTGGTCACTGGATGAAAATGGACACTGGGATCCTTTGTTGCTGGGAAGCTGGTTCTCAAATAAAGGACAGGTTAGCATCATCACTTAGCTTTTATCCAGGAAAGTCTATACCAAATGCAGATCCTGTCCTTTGCTTAAATGGACACTTCAACTCAGGGAACATGTAGATTAATCTCCAAGTTTTTCTTAGGAACAAACAAAAACAAGAGCTTCCTGGAAGTGGTAATTTTGGGGTCAGTGTGAACCCCAATTCTGCTCCTTTACATAAGAGAAAGAGGAACACCCTACCTTGGCTACACAAAGAGTATTTAGGCAGTTTGGGGCCAATCAAAAATACCACCAAACTGCTCCCATTGATGTAGGTCATACAGTGTGGCTACCAAAGGGAATGGCTAATGTTGGAGGATAGAGTGAGGGCTGGGTACACTCAGCAATGGCGAGTTGCCGACAATAAGTTAAAATTTTATTTATTTTTTTGAGACAAGGTCTTGCTCTGTTGCAGCCCAGGCTGGAGTACGGTGGTATGACCATGGCTCACTGAAGCCTCAACCTCCGAGGCTAGAGCAATCGTCCCGCCTCAGCCTCCCAAAGTGTTGGTATTACAAGCATGAGCAACTATGCCTAGCCTAGATATTTAACATATATTCTAATTGTGGCTCTATCTCTGACTAGTTGTGTGCCACTGGGCAAGTCCCTCAGCCTCTCTGATTTTCGTTTTCTCCATCTGTAAAAGGGTGATCCTCATCATGCTGGCCATATCGATTTCACAGTACTGTTGTGAGAGTTAACAGAGACAACATATGTGCACCACACTTGCTAGGTTCCAAAGTGCTCTAGAAATGCTAATTATTAAGTGTGATTTTATGACAGCTGGGACCAAATGCTTTCTGGAACACACTTGTGATTGTTTACTGAAAGCCACAGGAGGGACTTTTTTTTCATAAAGGGAATTCCCTTTATGAAAAAAAAAAAAATGCTCCAAAGCAAGCACTGATAGAAACCAGCTCTCGCAGAAGGGAATTAAGGCTACCCCAGGGCAGGTCTTTCGTGCCATGGAGTGGGTGGTGTGGACACCTGCAGTGGGCCCTGCTGGGGAATAGCCCCTTCCTCTTCCTACTCCTGTCCAGTGTACACCCCCATCAGCCAGGACGCCCACCTGCCAACCACACTGGAGAAGGTAGAGAACTGGAACACCAGGACTAGACGACCCAGAGCTCCAAACCCAGCACAACACAGTTACCTTTTTTTTTTTTTTTTTTTAGCTGTTATCCTGGCTGGAATGCATTGGAGCCAACACGGCTCACTGCAGCCTCAACTTCCCAGGCTCAAGTGATCCTCTCACCTCAATCTCCCGAGTAGCTGGGACCACAGGTGTGTGCCACCATGGCTGGCTAATTTTTTTATGTTTAGTAGAGATGAGGTCTTGTTATGTTGCCCAGGTTGGTCTCAAACTCCTGGCCTCAAGTGATCCCCCTGTTTTGGCCTCCCAAAGTACTGGGATTAGAGGCATGAGCCCTCATGTCCGGCCTGTGACCACCTCTTAGGCAGACATTGGGCATGTTCTACAGACTCTTGGAGCCTCCCTTTATTTATAAATAATAACAGCTATTACTTTTTATGGCACTTTGACCACATACCAGACAACACATTAAGTATTTATCTCATCTAACTCTTAAATGAACTCACAAGATACCCAATTTATATATGGGCAAACAGAGGCCACAGAGGTTAGGGGACGTGCCTAAGGCCACACAGGAAGTGAGGGTAGAGCCAGGATTTAAAATCTGTCTGGCTCCGTGTAGGGAGACAGCCTCTCAGATATTTTCTAGCTCAGATGTTCTATTATTCTAATAACAACTCTCATACATCAACAGCATTTTGTAGTTTTCAAAGGTTATTTCAGAGTGGCTAAGAACCACCCCTTGAGTTGGCCAGCCTGGGTTCCAATCAGCCTTTGACATTTACTGTGAGACCTGGAAGAGGTCACTTAACCTGTCCAAGACTGTGTTCCCTCATGCCTACAACTGGGATAATGACAGCATCTATATAGGGCTCTTGTGAGAATTACCTAAGGTGATATCCTTTAAAGCCTGTGGCACATAGTAAGTGCTCATGAAAGCTTTCCTTTCCTACTAGTTTCTCATTTTATCTGGTTTCCTTTTCTATGCCTCTCCTCTGGCTGCTCTGTAAAACACCATTCTCGCACCTGTAACAGTGGTTTTCACATGATGGTCTGTTTAGCCTAGGGCTCCCTGGGGGCCAGTGAAGGAAGACTGAAGAGGCTGGGCTTTGAGGACCCTACTGGTTCCATCACAGGTCACAGAGCAGACCTGCTTTCATCTGTTCTGTATTTTGGAATTCTGCAAATGATTTTATTAAAAAGAAGGGTTTCCTACTTAAATATCCTACTTGAGGAACTGTATAGACAAAAATGAAGGAAACGTGTACATGCTAAAACGCAACCCTAAAATGTATACGTTCTCCTTTTCTTATGCTATCATCCCACCATACCCTCCAAAGACAAAGCCTCGGATGCACAGCAGTGGTTCCGGTTGGGTCTTCACCTCCTCTCCTCTGGAACAGCGTGTGCATCAAAACAGGTGCTGATCTTGTTAAAAGTATCAGTATCTAGGTCCCATCCTGGTGCTGCCAATCCAGTAGCTGTGGGCGGGGCCTTGATTTAATAAACTCCCCAGGTGATCTCCATACAAGTGGTCGGAGGGTCACCCTCTGAGAAACACAGGTAGGGGACAGGGTGGGTATTTATCTCTAATGTCTTTGAAAACTTTTTAAAAAGTTGAACACTTTTCAAGGGAAATCACCTGTGGGATTCCCATATGTAAAACACACCTCAAATTGGAGCCACCTGCGTGAAGGAGGTTTCATGAACACCGAAAACACCAGCCTTTGGCTTTTCCTCAGTGAGAGCCCACAGCGCCTCCTTGTGGACTATCTGATAAACTGGAACCAGTTCTCGCAGGGCTGAAGGACGGTGGTCACCTAGAGGCATTGCCCAGGATCTGCACTGCGCTGTCCACCCAGGTAGGCCTGTCTCTTTATGCTACGTGATACCCCATGAGCTTTGTCTGCATTTGGGCTGAGATTTTCCTGGAATATGCTCCCCCCACACACTTAATCCTAATCACCCCTTTATTAATCCCACACATCTCACTCCAGGGATCTCCTGGAGTCCCCTCACCTCCAGTTGCTGCAGAACATATATTCTGTATAATAACATCTTACCCTGTCTTGGTCTTCAGCTGTTTCTGGGACACATGATGTACCTCCTAAAATACACTAAAATTAGACTGTAAACTCCTTGGGGCCAGAAACTCCCCTCTCCTTCCCTCATCAGGTTCCTGATCCAGGGGAAATACCCAAGACACACTCGCTAAATCAACAAACAAACGACTTCTCACTGCCTTTCCTGTCCTCTCTAATACCAAAAAACCGGTATGCACTGTGACTGGCTCTTAAGTTCTTCCTTGTTTCGATTTTGGAGTGTGTGAAAATATGAATGAGTTTTACTGCTCAAAATGTGAACTTTTTTGAAAGGCAAGGCCAGAGAAGATAACCTCTACATTTCCTTTTTTTTTTATTTTTATTTTTTGTGAGATGGAGTCTTGCTCTGTCACCTAGGCTGATCTTGTCTCACCGCAACCTCCGCCTCCTGGGTTCAAGTGATTCCCCTGCCTCAGCCTCCCAAGTAGCTAGGATTACAGGTGCCTGCCACCCCGCCTGGCTGATTTTTGTATTTTTAATAGAGACAGGGTTTCACCATGTTGGCCAGGCTGGTCTTGAACTCCTGACCTCAGGTGATCCACTCGCCTCAGCCTCCTTAAGTGCTGGGATTATAGGTGTGAGCCACTGCACCCAGCCTACATTTTCTTCTTTTTAACCAAAAGTGTGAACAGCCTCCTGTAGGCCACTGAAAAAAAGGGCTATTTCCCTTTGTAGAATACTCAGTAATATATCTATTAGTTCTATTCAAGTAATTATAGTTACTACCCTTTTATCCAGACTTCATTTGCATAAGTACATAATTTTTGTTTTATATTGTGTCAAGATGATTAATTAAAAATTTTAAATGGCTGGGTGCAGTGGCTCATGCCTGTAATCCTAGCACTTTGGGGGGCTGAGGCAGGTGGCTTGCTTCAGCCCAGGAGTTTGAGACCAGCCTGGGCAACATGGCAAAACTGCATCTCTACAAAAGAATAATAAAAAACAAATTAGCCAGGAGTGGTGGTGCATGCCTGTAGTCCCAGCTACTCAGGAGGCTGAGGTGGGAGGATCACTTGAGCTTGAGAGGTAGAGGCTGAAGTGAGCCAAGATGGCACCACTGCACTCCAACCTGGGTGACAGACGCCCTGTCTCTAAATAAATAAATATATTAATTAATTAATTCCCTGTTGATTGTTTTGGCGGGGAAGTCAGTCACCTTTACTTTTTGGCTTGTGGATTTTTGCTTTCTACTGCTGTTCAATGCACATTGCTTTAATGTGTTTTCACATGCATCATAAAATCAATCTTTCACTCAAAGCTCTCTGCTTTGCATTCCTTCATTTTAAACATTCCTATTACTCATGCCTTCCTCAATTACTCTGCAGTCACACACATTTCACAAATGTCCGAGTTTTGCTTCTTTTTCCTTTATGTGGTTTTCTAATAAATAATGCATTGTTGATTTCTGTTCTTGAGTCCCATGTGACTCTCTTCCTGAATTTATGAACCCAGACTGTTGTTATTTCTAATGATGATCTATTTTCTTTTGTTGACCTATTTTATGCTTTTTGGTGTTATTTCTTTTATTACAGGAATTACTCTGTTTTCTTCTACTTTTAAATAAATTTGGGAGATGGGCTGGGTGTGGTGGCTCACACCTGTAATTTCAGCGTTTTGGAAGACCGAGGCGGGAGGACGGCGTGGGACCAGGAGTTCATGACTGGCCTGGGCAACACAGTGAGACCCTGTCTCTATTTTAAACAACGACAACAACATATTTAAAAAATAAAAATAAGAAAATAAATTTGGAAGATGAACACATTCTATTTTAATTCTGTTAGTGATCAGTAAAACTGGCTTAAAAGCTGAGTTTCCTTTGGTTCCCTTTTGTTTTATAAAAAATGTCTGTGTGTACCTTTGTCAACAGCCTGAATCCTATGAATCACAGGTTCCCCTGGGGAAGATGGGGGTTTGAGTTTGGTTTCTTACTTGTGTTTATAGGGTTCTGGGCAACTTGGGAGGGCGAGACACTATGCCCTCATGGGATAACACTAATTGCTCCAAATTCCAGCACATGGCTGGGGGTGGTCAGAGAGCTGGTTCCTTCACCCACAGCCACCTCTCCACTGCCTTCCACTGCTGGGAGTTTTGAGCTTTTGTGTTGGCAGTTAAATACACTCAGAGTCCCTCCTCCTCAGTTTCTGGCATGTTTCTCCATGACTACCAAATGTTACTAGAATAAGAGGGTGAGACAGAGTTCAGCGAGGGTGGCCACCCTGATCCCTGCTTGCTGCTCCGAGCCTGAGAAGGGGGCTGCCTGCTGTGCCCTGTTATCCACGACAAGCACAGGCCTCGCCCTGTCAGTCCTCAGAGACTCAGTTGACTGCTTTTGGTTTGTGAAACACACAATCATCTCGACCAAGGAAACAAGGGCTTGTGTCTCTGCCTCATTTCCTCCACTGCTCAGAGGCAGGGGCAGCCCAATAGGCGACATGGCAGTGGGATTCAGCCTCCAGAGGGTCTTACCTCAAACTGGATCAGCACCGTCCCGCTTTCGAGGCCCTTCTTTAGCTGTGCCATGGATCCCTCCAAAGTGTCCCCACCCTCCGGACACATGGGGAAAATGGCTTCGGGGAAAAGCTGGTTCAGTTCATCTTCAGACTTGAAGTCAGCAAATGAGCGGACAGCTGTAACGTACAAGACAGTGCATCTGACTTGTGTAGCAATACTCAGGTTTATCCGTCTCCCTCAAACAAATCACACCTATGACACCTGAATGCAGATGGTTCAAAACATCTTATTAAATGATTAAGCTACATGGTAATCATTTTCACCAAAGATACTACTTCTAGGTGAATGATTCAATATGTGTTAATTACATAAAATGACATACTAATCTTCCTGGTTAGTTTTAAATAATGGTGTTTAACACTCAGAGGCTTTTGTCAAAGGTAAAGAAAAGAGAAAGAATGTTATTTAAAAAAGCATATTGTTTCTGCTTGCTCTTTCTGACCGGGTTATTCTTCTACCCATCCCGACTCCCCTTTCTTTCTCAGGTTTTTTCATTTACTTCCCTAAAATGGGCATTTCCTCAGGCATGAGGGTGAGGTCCCAAGCTTTTCCTGTGACACCATCATTCCTGAGAGCTCAATCCCTAACTCAGGGCCGTTTCTATGTGGGAGGCTCCCACGTAAATATCGTAGTCCTAGCATCTCTTCTGTGCTTCAGCCTTACCTCTTTAGTGCACGTTTTCCCTTCATGTTAAATTCAATACAGGTGAAAGCAAAGCTAGGACCACCCCCCCACAACTCCCAACCTTGCACAGGTGGGGAACCGGAGAGATCTGGTAAGGCCTCACGGAGGAGGTGGGGTCAGAGCTGGTCCTGGTGGCTCTGGACTGAGAGTTGCAGTGGGAGCAGAGCCGAGGCAGGAGCACAGCAGTATGGAGTGTCAGCCAAACGTGTGAGGCAGGCAGAGACGCAGGGCTTTGCAGACACAACCTTCATTTACTTTCAGTATTTTACAGCTGTGCACGGTGTTCAAGGAACTTGACGTATTATTTTATAACAACAACTATAAAGACAACAGTGTGATGCTCAGTAGAGGCTGTCCTTCAAACCTCTGCTCCCATCAGGCAGCAATGCAGGTACTTTCCAGTCTAAGTGCCATTGATTGATTGAATGATTGAGATGGAGTCTCACTCTGTCACCCAGGCTGGAGTGTAGTGGCACAGTCTTAGCTCACTGCAACATCCACTTCCTGGGTTCAAGCGATTCTCCTGCCTCAGCCTCCTGAGTAGCTGGGACTATACCCACATGGCACCATGCCTGGCTATTGTATTTTTAGCAGAGATGAGGTTTTACCATGTTGGTCAAGCTGGTCTTGAACTCCTGACCTCAAGTGATACACCCACCTTGGCCTTCCAAAGTGCTGGGATTACAGGTGTGAGCCACTGTGCCTGGCCCCAAGTGCCATTTAATCTTCACAGCAACCCTGTGAAGTCGGGACCACTGCTGTCCTCCTCCACACCTGAGCCAGCTGAACCACAGACTGGTTATGTAACCCCTGCAAGGTCCCCCAGCCCGCAGAGGCAGAGTGAGGAATCACCCGAGACAGTCAGACCCTGCTCTCCTCACTGCCTCCCCGACAAAATCAAACACGCACGAATAAAATATCACCAGATCCTTTAAGAAGGGGCTGAAAATGCAAATGTCTGCAGAGTCATGCCACTTAGAGAGTGCGTGATGTGGGCTGCGCTGGGCCTGGGAGGAACTGGGAGCTGGGGGCTCATGTCCTGTATAAAGGGGCTGCAGGGGCGCTGTCTCCCCCCAGAAGACTGGCCACATGGGGACAGGCCTCCTGGGGGCAGATCTTCACATTTTTCAAGTGAGAAGCCAAACATTCGGTTATTACCTGAAGATTCTTGATTTTCAAATGTTGGCTACAAACTCAACATTTTCAAGAGCAGATAAAGGGCTGGAGCAGGCGCAGCTTGGCTAGGACAGCTTCCCTATGGCTCCTCCCCCCAGGTGGCCATTACCTCTCCTCCTGATCACCAGGGCCAGCTCCCGTGAGTGGGACTCCCGGCTGGCTTTGATGAACATCACCACTTGGTCATGCGTGTGTTCTGAGATGTCCCGGCCATTGATTAACACGATTTGATCCCCTTCGTTCAGCTTAGGAATGCAGGTGTCCGCCTGGGTGGTGGGGAAAAGCGAGTTTCTCCTGTTACCATAACACAGTCCTTGGGGGAAGAACGCTGACTCGCTCTGCTCCCAGACACCTGGGACCATGATCAAGTTTGCCTTCTCTCCCTCGGGTAGTACTGTCATTATTTGTATAATGCATCCACTGCTATGTGGACATGGTAGATGGTTGTAAGATATAAAGAAGTACTGCTCAGAATATAAGTTATGAAACATTTCAGAATAAGGATATAAAAATTGCTGAAGCCATTTCTCCGTGGTAGTCAACCTTCACTTATTATAATATAACTATACCATTTCCAGCCTTTTGTTTCCTAGATGTACTGTTAGGAAATGATTTGCCAGCTAGAGGTGAGTATTTATCTGTCTTGCAAAGGTGAAAGCTTTTGTAAGCTTCACAACAGAGGCAAAAACCATTATGGAGAGAAGCAATGAATTGAACAGCACAGGAAAGAAAGCCTTCTGAATTTACAGAAACTGTAAACAGTAACAAAAGTTAAATGACAAGAGCTTAAGGACTACCTCAGAGTAAAATCCCAACGTGGTTCACTGTAAGGAGGCACAGTGACTCCTACTGCTTTAAAAAAGCAGATGATTAAAAGGTAACTATGGAGCCAGGTGAGGTGGGACACACCTGTGGTCTCAGCGACTTGGGAGGCAGAGGCAGGAGGATCGCTTGAGCCTAGTTTGAGGCTGCAGTGATCATACCACTGCATTCCAGCCTGGGTGACAGAGCAAGAGCGAGACCCTGTCTCTTAAAAAAGAAAAATAGGTTAACTATGGAAAGTGATGAACATGTTAATTTGTTTGACTGCAGTACTATATGTATAACAAGACATCATGTTGTACACCTTGAGTATGCACAATAAAAAAATTAAACGAAAAAATTACTTGATATTATTTTAAAAACAATAAAATAAATTTATTTTATTTTTGAGACAGAGTCTCACTCTGTCGCTCAGGCTGGAGTACAGCGGCGTGATCTCAGCTCACTGCAACCTCTGCCTCCTGGGTTCAAGGAATTCTCCTGCCTCAGCCTCCTGAGTAGCTGGGATC
This sequence comes from Homo sapiens, assembly GCF_000001405.40. Classification (NCBI taxonomy): domain Eukaryota; kingdom Metazoa; phylum Chordata; class Mammalia; order Primates; family Hominidae; genus Homo; species Homo sapiens. The sequence continues at coordinate 109,407,684 of NC_000009.12, forward strand.
ACACCTGTGTGCCACCACACCCAGATAATTTTTGTATTTTTTGTAGAGATGGGTTTCACCCTGTTGGCCAGGCAGGTTGGTCTCAAACTCCTGGCCTCAAGTGATTCACCCTCCTCGGCCTCCCAAAGTGCTGGGATTACAGGTGTGAGCCACTATGCCTGGCCTAAAAACAATAAAATAAATTTGAAAGAAAAACAAAGCAAATGCTCTTCTTAGGAGGCCTACACAGATGACAAAAGGGGCACTGGTGGAAAGATGGTGAGAAGAGGCACAGGGCCCACGTGCCCACTTAGAGTGAGCAGAACAGCAGACTGCCTAAGTTTCCTTCTCTTGAAAAGGACTTCTCAAAATTGAATGCACACTAACCACTCAAGGCTCTTGTTAAAAATGCAGATTCCGGTTCAGCAGGCCTAAGCTGAGGCCAGAGATGCTGCATTTCTAATGAGGTCCCAGGTAACATGGGTGCTATGGCTTCAAAGACCACACTGAGCCGCAAGGTTATAGAAAACATGGTGATGTATATCTAAGCACATTCTTTGCTCTGGCAAAAAAAGAAACAGGACTCAGAAACAGAAACCTGTTAGAATTAGGGGGAAACAAACAAACACGAGGAATAACATGGAATGTATTTACTTACAGGTGACTCTGGGTTTATCCTTGATACCACAAGAGGCATCTTTTGATCCACTCCTCCCTGTAAACATTTTAAAATAAAAACAAAACAAAGTTTTTTAAGTTAAACAAACAAACAAACAAAAAAACGAGTAGCTCACAGCATCAACAACATGGAGGTACCAATAAATGTGAGTCTTTGGTACAGGGAGGCTTCAAACTTCACTATGACTGATTCGAATCACACGTCATTTCAGAAATATGGAACAAATTCCTGACCCCTCTGGATCCAGCGGGCTGACCAGGACTCTGTTCAGAAGCCTCCCTCTGCCATCCCCACAGTCCATGAACTAACAGATACACTCAGAGAGAAGCTCCTCCTTAAAAACGCAGATGCCCCCAGAGAGGGACTCCACAGCATGTCTTCGAGTGCTGCTAGAACAAACCTGCACGTTGTGCACATGTACCCTAGAACTTATAATAATTAAAAAAAAAAAAAAAATATATATATATATATATATATGGGCTTTATATATATATATGGGCTTTAATATATATATATATGGGCTTTATATATATATATATAGGGGCTTTCAGCAGAGGCGAGCGAGGCCTGGGAAGGGGGCACACCCTGTGAGCGCATCTGGCCTGTGAGCGCTGGTCCTCAACACAGCTGCTGGGGCAGATGAGGCTGTGCATGATGGCAGCTGGGGGGTAGGCGACCACCTGCCCTCACTTTGTCCTAGAGTAGGGATGAGTAAACGTTTTCTGTAAAGGGCCAGAGAGGCTTTGTGGGAGTGAGGGCTCTGATTCAACTGCTCAACTCTGCAGTCATTAACCCACCAGTAAACAAATGGCTGTGGCTGTTACCAAAAAAACTAGTTACAGAAACAGATGGGATTTGGCCTGTGGGTTTAGTTTGCAGATCCTGCTTAAAGGTGCCTGGAGGAGAGTGGTGGCCCTGCAGGTTGAACTTGAATTGTTTTTCTCTTATCAGCTTTAGCAATGCTGAGGGGTTCTCTTAATAGCATTCCTGAAGTGGGTAGATCTGTTTGCCAACTGTGTGCCCTCATTTCTGGGAACCTCAGTATTCATTTGCAAAATGGGTTTAAAAATACTGACCTTACCACTTGTTATCAGAACTTAAGAAGGTGCTATGAATCTAGTGGATAGCCAATGCCAGGCACAGAGCAGGCACTTGGCCTTCGGCAGCTGTTAAGGCCACATTAAAAAAAACCTCTCAATTCTAGGCTGGGTGCGGTGGTTCACGCCTGTAATCCCGGCACTTTGGGAGGCCAAAGTGAGTAGATTGCCAGGTGTTTGAGACCAGCTTGGACAACATGGTGAAACCCCATCTCTACAAAAAATATGAAAAAAATTAGCTGGGTATGGTGGTGCATCCCTATAGTCCCAGCTGAGGTGGGAGGATCACCTGAGCCTGGGGAGGTCAGCGCTGCAGTGAGCTGCGATCGTGCCACTGCACTCTAGGTTTGGGCGATAAAGTGAGTTTTTAAAAAAAAACAAAAAAAACCCCAAATATCTCAAACCAAACAAAAACAAAAAAAACCCCCAACTCTCAATTCTGAGGGTTGAACCAACTTCCTTATGTAGCTCAGGAATGCAGCACATTTGTAATGCAAATTAAAAACTCATTGAAAGATTGCTTCCCAGCACAAAACTTCCTTTATAAATACACAACATACCTTAAGATTAAATCCAAATTTTCCATCTTCATCTGGTGTGATACGGATCAAGACTAAGTAGCTGTCACCATTATCATTCTGGAAAACGGTTTGAAAGTGGTCATTTGCATCACATCTCTCTCCAGCAGTTGGTGATAAGATATTTTCATTTAGTTAGAGCTACTCAGCTGCCCACAAGAGGCCGGGAAGCCCTGGGTGTGTGGATCACCCGGCTGCCTGCGCTCGCTCACCTTGTCACAGTAGTACTGGCTGGCGTCCTCGGTGGAGCCCCCTTTGGTCACCCTGTGGAAGTCATCTAAGAGCTGCTGATCAACGCCGTCAGGTGAGCAGGAGCCTGGAGCATTTGAAGATGGAGACACAGAACTGGATGACTTCTGGGTCAGGTAGCTTTGTGCCGGATTGTTCTCGGATAAACTCCTTCATCATGGGGAAGGAGGAGATATTAATAACTGGGTTAATATTTTATTAGAGCAAACACTACTGACTGTAGGGGCCTGGCAGCTGGGGGCTGTATGTTTCCCTGGAACCTCAGCTGCATAGGTTGTCAGCGGGATTTGAGTACACCCAGGGCCCACTGACCACCCCTGACCGCATCTGGCCTAGACACTGTCACATGGTTTTGGGGAAAAGGGATAGGAGGCAGGGTGGATCTGGAAACTGCTGAAAACTTTGCTCCCTTCCCCGCTGCTTTAGAAGGGTGACAGGGAAATGTGTCCAGCTCCTCTGGTGGTTTCATTACTGAACCAGGCTCTGCCAGGCAAGCTCATGCAGATGCACAGCCCATCCCTTCTGAAAGCTTTTTTCCTTCTGTCTCACTTCTGCGGATGGTTCTGCTTCATAGGACTCTTGCCTCCTCAAAGGAAACAGGACTGTTGTTGTTGTGCGTTCAGGAGAATTTATATTATTCCTAGTTGGCATGATTTGCCTGTGACATCCATGAACTGCCACGCTGAGATCTTGTTACATTTTCCTCTATCGAATATAGTTTCTTCTGTATCGTGGAGCTGCACTGTCTAGTATGGTAGCCACTAGTTATATGTGGCTACTTAAATTTAAATAAATTAAGACAAGAAACCAGCCATACTTCACATGCTCACTAGCCATATGCGGCCAGTGGCTCCCGTATGAGACAGTGCAGTCAGAGAACATTTCACCACGGCAGGAAGTCCTGCTGGACAGCGCTGTCTTAGAGAGTTACAGATGATGAAAACGGAACAGAACTTTGTGGTCATTTGTTCTAACTCCCAGTTCACAGATGAAGAAGCTGAGGTCAGGAGAGGCTGAGTAACTTGCCCAGGGTCACATGGCTTTCCCCCGGCTTAGCAGACAGAAACCTGACCGATGTGCGTCCTAAGCCTTTCTTCCCTCTCCAGACCATGCAGAGCCCACTTCCAAGACCCCTATTTCTAACCCCTCAGAGTCACAGGGATTAACCATCCCTGCTGTCACTGTACAGGACAGGACCCTTGAGTCTCTGCATCACCCACACCAGCCCCTTCCGGAGCCACAGGCCCAGCACAGACACCTTACAGAGCTGATGACTATGGGGCTCTCCTACATTCTAAGACTCTGCCCCACCCTAACCTCATCCAAAGTGAAGTGAGGGGAGAAGCGCAGAGACCAAGTCATTCAGTGAAACCCAGACAAAAGACAGCTGCTACTGCCTCTTTCTTGACCTTCATTTCAAGCCCTTATCCATGGATTTTTTATGAAATTGGTGCTTCTCTTTCTCCTAGTGAGTTTAAATGAGCCTAATTTAAATATAAAATCTGTATCATAGTCACACAGAATGATTCATAATCACAATCTATTTGAATAAAATATTCAGTGACAGACCAATGGAGAAACACAGCGATACAGTAGGACAAGAGTCTGGCCTTATGGTGTCCAAGTGGCTGGTTGGGGGTAGGGTGTTATGGATGGGAAGGCATTTCAGAGACAGAGTATTTTGGAATTGAAGTTGTATACAAGTTTTCAGATTGAAAAAGCATGACTTTCACTTACGTAAAAGGAAGCTTTACAAAATTCCCCCCAAATACGGCATCTTTGCTGGGTTTCACTGTTTACAAGAGCATCACCCAGTGGCAGAAAGGGCAACTGCTTGGCAGTTACAAAACAAGTTAAAATGGTATTTCCAGTTCTCGTTCTGTCTGTCTCTGTCTCTGTCTCTACCTCTGTCTCCCTCTCTCTCCCTCCCTGCACCCCCCCAATCCATTTTTTTTTCTTTTGAGGTAGGGTAAAGCTCTGTTGCCCAGGCTGGAGTGCCATTACATGACCACAGCTCACTGCAGCCTCGATTTCCTGACTCAAGAGATCTTCCTATCTTGGTCTCTTGAGTAGCTGGGACCACAGGCATTCGCCATGTCCAACTAATTTTAATTTTTTTTTTTTTTTGAGTCAAAGTCTCGCTCTGTTGCTAGGCTGGAATGCAGTGGTGCAATCTCGGCTCACTGCAACCTCCGCCTCCCGGGTTCAAATGATTCTCCAACCTCAGCCTCCTGAGTAACTGGGACTACAGGTGCCCGCCACCACACCCGGCTAATTTTTTATATTTTTAGTAGAGACAGGGTTTCACCATGTTGGCCAAGATAGTCTCGATCTCTTGACCTCGTGATCCACCTGCCTCGGCCTCCCAAAGTGCTGGGATTACAGGTGTGAGCCACCATGCCCAGCCTTTTAAAAATTTTTTGTAGACACAGGGTCTCACTATGCTGCCTAGGCTGGTCTAGAACTCATGGTCTCAAGCAATCCTCCTGCACTGGCCTCCCTAAGCGCTGGGATTACAGGTGTGAGCCACCATCCCCAGCCCTATTTTTCTTTTTTGATTTAAAACTCAATGGTCTGTCTAAACTAGCCCATGGTACTAAATGACAACAGTACTACTACTATTACTATTGCTGCTAGTACTAATACTATATTCCAAGTCATTTTATGCCCTAACCTATTTTTTTTTTTTTTTGAGACAGAGTCTTGCCCTGTCGCCCAGGCTGGAGTGCAGTGGCACAGTCTCAGCTCATTGCAAGCTCAAGCTCCACCTGCCAGGTTCACACCATTCTCCTGCCTCAGTCTCCCATGTAGCTGGGACTACAAGCACCTGCCACCAATGCCTGGCTAATTTTTTTTTTTTTTGTATTTTTAGTAGAGATGGGGTTTCACCATGTTAGTCAGGATGGTCTCGATCTCTTGACCTTGTGATCTGCCCGCCTCGGCCTCCCAAAGTGCTGGGATTACAGGCATGAGCCACCGTGCCCGGCCTGCCCTAACCTATTTTCTAAGCAGGGTTGGAGGGGTTACTCTTAGTCATTTATTTCAACAAATGGCTGATTTTTGGCCTGCTCAACTGTGTACACAGGTGCTCTGTAGGGCGCGGTGATATTCTGTTCAGTGTGCAAGATGGACAGACAGACGAGGAAGAGGACATCAAATGAGGAGATGCAATGAGTAAGTGGCAGCTGGCCACAGCACAGGGTGGCCAGGGGTGAAGGCACCAAAGCCCTAGTGCCTCCTCTGTCGCTGGGCAGAATGCAGTGCGGCTGAGGAGCGCAGGGGAGTTGCCCCATGAATTCCACAAGTGGAGTGAAGAAAGGGGCAGGATGAGGGATGCAAGAAGATGGTGAGGATGGGATGGAGCCAATGACAAGGGGGAGGAAGGAGCAGAAGAGGTTTGTCCCTGAGGCAGGACGGGGAAGACACCATGGAAGAGCCAGTGTGGGACTGACCACATCCTGGTTCTTAGGGAGAAAGGGGCAGAGACAGAGAAATGTGAGACACAGACTGACCATCAGGCAGACAAACAAGTATTCACCCTCCAGAAAACACATGCTTCTGAACTGTAAAGGCAGCAGGCATCAGAAAGAAACACTCCCATGAAAGAGACACTCCCGCACGAAGCTCTCCCTAAACCCTAGAAAATTAAAGACCTCCCCGCCCCGCCGCCTGTGAAAGGAGGCAAAGTCCTGCTCTCAAATTGTGGTGTGATGGAACAGGGGCCCTGTTTTGGGAGCTTCTCAAGGTCAGGAGACCCTAGTGCTCTTTCTGTTCCTCTCCTAGTACTCGGAACACAGGACCAGGCACACAGGGAGTACTCAACTGAAATGCTGAGTGAATGAAGAATAAAGCCTCTTGGCAAGGTACCAAGAGGATCACCCGAGGTGATTGGGTGAGTTACTCTAAAAGAGCAAGGAATTTACTCAGGAATCTGGAAGCTCAGGTGCAAAGTGAAGGCGAGTTAAATGGTTCTCATCTGCAAGATCAGAGCTTCTGAGAATGTGCTGTGCACAGGAACCAGCTGGGGTCCTGCTGAATGCAGAGTATGATTCGGCAGGCCTGTGTGGGTCTGAGATTCTGCATTCCGACCAGCTCTCAGGTGCTGCAGCTGCTGGCCTGTGGCCACAGCTGGAATAGCACGGCGCTAGAGGAACTCATACCAGTTCACCCAGAGGGCACAGTTTCTTCTGAATAAAATTCCTGGAGAAATTTCCCACATGGCTCCTCACATAAGGGTCCTTGAGTAACAGAAAGAAGACTGTCTTCCAATACACATTTTTATGATGTGGAGACAGTCACCACAGGAAACAGCTCATCTGGGGCTGTAATAAATGCCAAGGGCACAAGATCAAAGTGGCAGAGGGGATATGGTTCAGGTATGGTGCTTTATGAGCTCACAGTCTTTCCTGCTGGAACAACAGATCATGAATCTGTCTAGGCTTCCCCTATAGATATCAGACACCTCACTGGCAAGAAAGCACTTGCTAAACCTCGGTCAATTCATCCCTGAATTCTCTGAGGAGAATTTCTCATTGACAGATGCCCTGCAGGGGCACCTACCACATAGTCCTGCTCACAGGTGACAGTTACCAAACTTGTCAAAGTAAATATGTTTGAGTTCTTGGGGTACAGATAAATATGGTGTGATGTTGCTCATGTGATATGGACACATGATGTGGAAGTGGCAGAGGGGGCATCCCATTGTGAAAACTTAGGAGTTTGTATCTCGGGGCCCCATCTAGTTTCATCTAACCATTTGTCCGTCTGTCCGTCCGTCCGTCCGTCCATCCGTCCATCCGTCCGTCCATCCAACCATCCATCCATCCATCCATCCATCCATCCATCCATCCATCCATCCATCCAAATAGTCACTGAATGTCTATTAAATGCCAAATAACCATGTCAGGTTTTAAGGAAGGAGAGGTGAATAGGGCACTATCCCTGCCCTCAAAGAATTCACTGTCCAAAGGAGAAGAAATACAATTAACCAAGTAATAATATTATCATGTTACAGTGGAGATGCTCAGATGTCTAGGGTACTGTGTAAGGCCAGGAGAGGCTTCCTGGAGCAGGTGCACTTGAGCTTGAGTTTGAAAGATGAATTAATAGGAGTTTGAACAGGTAGTCAAGTGGGAAAAAAGGCATTCTGGCAAAACACTGATAATAACAAACACACAAACAAAAGCAGTAGCACAGGTAAAGGCAGGAAATGCTGAAAAAGCAGAGAAAAGGTATTTAAGCAGGAAGTGACATTCTTGGATGTGTATTTCAGAATGATAAATTTGCTATTCTTGTGAAGCATGGTGTGGAAGGAGGTGACACCAAAGACAGGGGAACGATTTGGATATGACTGAGCTAGACTGTGCAAGAGACGATGGTGGCTGCATGGGGGCAGTGCAGTGGGGATGGTGGAGGAGTCAAATGTAAGAGATGTCTGGGAGGTAGAATCAACACGATGAGAAATGGCATAGGGACAGTGAAAGAAAAGGAGGAGTGAGGGACGACTGATGTTTCAAATAGGTGCAAACTGGGAAGTACTGAAACAATGGCCCCCCTTACCAAGACACAGGAACAGCCATGGGCTGGACACCAACATGAGGAGCTGAGATTGGATCATATTGGGTTTCAGGTATCTGAGAGACATCTACACGCAAGTGGACTCAAACAAGAAGGCAAGGTTCAAGGAAAAGGGACACAAACACTCTGAACAAAACCCTGTCCCTGCCTGGTGTCCTCCGAGGGGGACATGTAGAATGGTATGCAGATCCTTCCTCCACATTCAGATCTAGTGCCACCCTCTAGAAGGCTCATTTGCACTTGGAGAATGGTGGTTACGAGGGTGATGGGTGGAAAGTGACTACATTGGAATTGTCTATCTTAAGGAACAGTAACCAAGGCTGGCAGGTGGAACTGGGAACAGACACCATCTGTGTTGTCCTGAGAGTTCAAGGCAGGAACCTTGATGCTGGGTCAGCGTCAAGGAGGCTTCCAGCACAGCTTGGGAAGAACAGTGGGCACCTGGGCTGTCTAACGACAGAGCACACAGCTGCACTGTAGGGGACTCTCCATTGCTCGCAGGGCTCTCAGGGCTGGGGGAATTCCTACACTGCCGCCAAAGCTGAAGAAGGGGATCCCCCAGGTTCCTTCCAATGAACAGAAGTTTTTTGTTTTTTGTTTTTTTGTTTCTTTTTTTTTTTTTTGACAGGGTCTCACTCCAATGCCCAGCCTGGAGTGCAGGGGTGCGACCACAGCTCACTGCAGCCTCGACCTCCTGGGCTCAAGTGATTCTCTCATCTCAACCTCCCGAGCAGCCAGGACAACACGCAGACAACATCGTGCCCGCCTAATTTTTGCATTTTTTTGTAGAAATGGGGTTTTGCCATGTTGCCCAGGCTGGTTTTGAACTCCTGGGATCAAGCAATCTGACCAGCATGGCCTCCCAAAGTACTGGGATTATAGGTATGAGCCACTATGGCTGGCCAGCACAGAATTTTTGAAATAAAAAACAATGGCTGCCCCAAATCCCATGGAAGAAGGCAGGCTCTAAGGAAAGAGGCAAACAGCGAAGAAGTTATGCAGGCATGAAGCCCCATCCACTCGGAGGGTGTCATGCTGGTGACCCATCAAGACAACTGTGATAAAATAGCAACCAGAAAGTTTTTCTAATACAACTCTAAACTGCTCTACAATGTGTTTCCCCCAGTTTCTGTTCTGCATGTCTCTTTCTTTAGGGAACATTCTCTCCCTTTTATCTGGGTGGAGAGTGGTAGCTTTTTCATTTCTGCCATGAAAGAAACTTACTTCTCTGCAGAATTTGGTCTTCATTCGGAAGCAGGGAAAGGAACACACAATGGCTGATAGAACCTTGGGAGCAACAAAAGAGTGCAGCCTACTTGGGCACAAAGCAAACTGCCAAGGATTCATAACTATAATCATAAACTTTGCTGTGCTGCTATAAATACGGAACAAACCAGCAAGTGACTCATCCGCTAAGATGGCACTCAGGCAGCCTGAGCTGCGCCACTCTGGGTTTACAGCCAAATCTAACCGCTCTTTTTCTTTCTCTCTTTCTTCTTTTTTAAACGAGTACAGAACATCGCACTTAATTCTTCTTCTTAAAAGGAACCCTCCTCACTGTCTGTGATATTATTCATCCGATTTCTCTGACAGAATGCTTCTTTTTGCCTCTTAACACAAATCTGCTGTATAAAACATGTCAAATATTTTGTAAACATTTTGCAAATACTCACAGAAACTAACCAACAGGTTTTTTTTTTTTTCTTTTTTTCTCTCACCAGGTACAGACCAGTCTGTACTTCTTACCTGGAGCAATGGGGGTTCCCAGACCCTCAGGAGGGCCAGCCTCCTCTGAAGACCCAGCACAAAGTGGCTTCCCACCGGCAGGAAGAGGTCTCCCACCTAACAGAGGTGGTGGGGGCTGCTTTTCTGGCTGTTCATCCCACTTGCAGAGCACAGTCACTAACTTGACCCCCTGACATGTCTATTGTCAGTGCACCTGGTAAAACCCCACAAGGAAGCCTGCCTTTGAACCACTGTTATTTGCTATTCTTAACATTTAGCTGCAAGATAAAAAGAGCCCCAAGATGACACACTTTACAAGGTCTCAAGGAGGGGTTTCAAGAAGACTCATTGTGCAATGTATAGGAACAAGCAGGGCCAGAAATCACTTACATCAAACAGTGCTTGAAGGAGTGAATTTTAAATCTTATTTAATTTTAATGAACTGGAATGTAAATAGTCCTATGGAGCTGGTGGCTGCTGTATTGGACTATGAAGGTCTAGATGCTCTGTGATGGGACTGCAGACCACAGGAGGAAAATCTGATGTAGGGCACGTACTGTTCCCTAAGCCCCCCTTTTCCTTTCACCAAAGTGACAGAGCCCTGGAGTGTGGCAGCGTAGGCTGATAATGTGCTATTTGCCCAGCTGGCCTGGAGGCTCCTGAAACAACTTCTCTGATTTGCTCCGGTGTTCCCCTCAATGACCAGCCAAGGATGTATAAAGTGTGCCGCTGGACTTGGGAATGAATGCAAGCCCTCTAAAGTGCCTGCATGTCATTGGACAGAATGCATCCCTCCCCACCTGGCACTGATTGCATAAAGAGACAGAGGGTGCTGGGCTGTGAGGGCACTCAGAGGCTATCCACCTGCCCCATGCCACAGATGAGCAGCTGGGTGAGTGGTGTGGAGCGCCCAGACTGCAAGCAAGGTGATGATTCCAAACCTACTCCCACATGAATTCTGTGTGAAAAATGCACTTTTCGCTTGTAGATATTCTAGGGGTTCACCCTTTAAATGAACGATGGAATAAACGTGTTAGTCTAGATGAGTGCTGCTGACAACACTTTCTGCAGTGATGGGAATGGGCTGTATCTGTGCTGTCCAAGATGGAGGCCAACACTCCTGTGTGGCTGTCAAGCAATTCAAATGAGGCTCATGTGACTGAGGAACTGAATGCCTACATTTTTATTATTTTAATTAATTTAAATCTGAATAGACAACTGGGGCTGGTGGCTGCTGTACTGGACAGGGAAGGTTTAGATGCTGTACAATTCTGTGATGGGACTGCAAACCACCACAGGAAGCTCTGACGCAGCAGGTGTGAGTGGGCTTCCCAGAGCCCTCCAACGCTTCCCTAAACCGTTTTCTCCTTTTGCCAAAGCCGCAGAGCCCCCACTGCAGACTCAAAACGGCTCTAGTCACGCATGCCTGCACTCCTGCTTTGTATTTCTAGATGTGCTTGTGGTTTGAAAAGCTACAAAGTCACACAAAGGAACTCACAATCATCCACTGTAGCCCTGACAAAGGGGCAGCAGGCTGCAAGTTGGAACAAGAGATAGCAATCATTTAGCAAAAGCATCATCCAAGCTCAGGTCACAAGGAAAGAATGACCACAGGGATTATTTAACCAGAGGTGTTAAGAACACAGATAAACTGGAAACCATGTTTGCTGTGGGCAAGGACAGAGGAGAGGTAGCAGCCTCACATACAAATGGGAAGGAGATTTGCAATTCACCTGCAAATGCCTGGAGTCCAATCAGGGTGCATTTGATGCTTTCAGCCTAATAGCTACAGTGGTAAAAAATTTACAGATTAACTAACGTGCCTGCTTGCTAATCCTCAGCTGTTAGGGGGGCCATTATCTTACTATATTTTAGAAATAGTATGGGGCTTAACAGAATAGATACCCAATGACTATGGTTGATTTCCTAACAGTTGATCCTTTACTATCATGCTTTAACCTAATTTATAATCTATGTCTTACCTACTTAAAAAAATGATTTGCGAGTTTACCCCAAAACGTACAGATATGTAACTATGAATCCATTAAAATAAGAAAAAAAAGACCCATATAACAAAGGCAAATGAGGAAGAGAAGGTCCTATACAAGAAATCTGGGCTGAGGGAAGTGAATACAATTGAGCCTAATGTGCAGTTCTGAACTCCCTGGTAACCAAGGCAAAAAGGGAAACAAATGGGTTAAATATATCCTATTGAATAACAAAAGCACTCAACCATCTTTCAGGACAGACATTTTTTCTGTCCTTGAGCTATGAGGGAACTCTGTCACGTTAAAAAAGCGGGGTGGGGGAGGTAGGACATAAAAATTTAACAAAAAATTTCTCAAAGAAAATTAGAGATGTTCTAACGTTTGTTTCTTTATACTAACTATTAATTGAAAACAAAACCCCTCAGAACCCTGTTGTTCGGAGAAGGCTTTTAGAAGCAAGCATATTTCCAATGATTTGAAATCATGTGATGGTAAAACTTTAATAATCTAGAGAAATCAGAGTTAGCATGGCCCTAGAGTCTGTACCTCCAGAACAGGGAATGATTAAACTGGGCTTTGCTTGTGAGCTGGAGAGGAGACTAATTCAAGAGACTAACAAGTACTTAGTGACTAGGAAGTCTTTGTCGTGGACAAAAAGAAGTACAAGCTCTAGACCCCAGGCACATAGACCGTCTTCCGGGTGAAAAGGTAGAGTCTGATTTATGTTCTTATCCTGGCAGAAGGCACCTGTGGGAGCTGGCTGCAGGCACCAGCTCTTGGTTCCTCTCAAATGGCAACCTGGACCTGAGCAAATTCCGCAACAGCCAAAAAGCAAATACCCAGAAATAAAACAACACGAGTTTCTTACTCTTGGTGCGGGCTTCGGTTCTGAGAAACTTCAGAATCGCTGTCTTGAGGGGCCAGAGAGCCCTTGTACGTGTAAAATACATCTTCCGTTTCCGTGATGTAGGTCATTTCATTTGCAAGGTTATCTGCAGAAGAGTGGCGTGGCTTTCGGATTTCGTGCCGGAGCCGAGGACTTCGCCTGGGTGGGAAAAACGTTGAGTGCAAAGTGTTCAAAGCAAATTCCACTTAAAAATTTTATTAGACACCAGTGAACCTCGTGTCCTGACCTTTCTAAGGATGCCTTCCTTGGCGGAGGCTGACATTCAGAGCCGGTTAACTCATTACTACCCCAGCAGAAGGCACCAAGGGTGACACAAATCCCTAACACTCTCAGTCAAGTGGTGGCTCCCAAAACAGTAGCCTCAGCTGTATAAACAGGCAGAATTAGATGGGTTTATGCCCTTTGGGAAGTGACGGGTATTGACTTAAGGGTAAGTTATTCTTCCAGGAGGACTCAAGCTCTCAAAACATAAATAGGCCATATGGACTGCTATTCAGATAATTTTTCTGATTAATTTGAACAATGCAAACAAAAGGGTTAGAAGCCAAACTACATTTCTCAGCAAAACTCCAACCTTATTTCAACGACATCCCTTCATGTGAATTTCACTTGATCCAAGAGAAAATGTTTGCTTTTTAAGATATATCCCTTATTAAACACGTTTATATGCATTAGATGGGCATATAAACACTGGACTGTCCTCCAACAGTGGCAGTAGGCATGTGACCTTGGGCAAGGCACGTCACCTCTCTGGGCCTCGGCTGTACTTACCTGCTCCTGAGAATGAATCCAATGAGGCCGTGTTCTCAGGGCATCCAGTGTGGCACCTGGGCGTCAGCTCCTGCAGCGGGGGATCCCAAGCTGCCAAGCTTTCTAAGTTCTATTTTCCCTCACAGTTTTTCCATCTTCCCTTTCTTTGTTAGCCATTTCTCCTCAGGACTGTCAGGGCCTCCATGATTTGCAATCCCCCTGGGCCTGGATAATCAATAATGCTGTGTCCAAAGCAGAAGTAAAAAGGCTCTTGTGACTCCTCAGGAGAGGACCTATAAATAGCCACAGGAGCTCCGGGCCACGAGTGTGGCAACATCCAACCCCGCTGTTCCCCTGGATCCAGTCCTGGGCTCTCTGGGCCCCTGGCATTGCTGCCGATGAGATTTTCAGATAAATTAAGCTGCTGTGTTATAGCATAAATTTACCTCTTTAGAATGAGGTATCTAAATGTTGGAAACCAAGAAGCAAATCTATTCAGTTACGTCATGATTTCTAACACTAAATACTATCACTGTCCCTTCCCAGAGCATTAGGCCCCCAGTGAAGGGGTCCTTCCCTAGCAGGCCCAGCACAGCATCTCCTCTGTCTGCCTGTCTCCCAGTTTCTCTTAGGCTTAGCAGATCCTGGATCAGGTATTTACAGCCACGCACTCTTACTCCAGTGTGGAGCTGGGGGCAATGATTCCCTGCTAGGTTTCCCCTCTGGCCCCTAGCCTTTTTGGAGGTATTCACAAAAATGGTGTGATGTCTTTGAGGACCATTATAATAAGATAATGATAATTCCACCTGACTCTTTTAAAAGCTTACTACGTACTTGTACATTATTATTTCATTTGCGGTAGTTTTTATCATCTTTTTAGATATGGGGAAACTGAGGCTACAGAGGTAAAGAAACTTGTTAATTAACAGAAGGGCCAAAACCTGAGTTTAGGTCTTTCTGCTACAAACCCAGTGCCCTTCTCACTTTACCAAACGACCACCTATTTCTTTTTAAGCTGAGTCCATCCTCTTAAGTTGGCCTGCTACTTACTGATGTGCATTTGCTTCTGCTGCTGAAGGTCATACATCCTTACATCATTTACATCACGTACCTGCGTTAGTTTTCCCTAAAGTTTATTTTGTGGGATATTAATGGAAAACATGAATTAAGTAAAGCTAACCGTACTTTTTTATTATTGGACGTCTCAGAGTGTTTAATATGCTAATGTGTGCTGTGATTCCAAAGGAGGCCTTTCAGCAGGCTCGAGTTTCCCAAACTATTTAGATTGAATAAGTTTTTTTAAAAAGAGCATCTCAGCATTATACACGATGGAAAACATTTAGCTAGACTTGTGTACTTCATGAAAACAGTTACTTCTGCCAAGAGCCTAAAATGCAAATTGTAGGTCATCTATCTTTAGGAGTTTATAAGTTGAGTTTTTATTTTTAAAAGAGATAAAGTGTCTACTGTTGGGTAGTACAAAAAAAAAAAAAAGGAGGACATACCAGTTGGGAGTAATGGGAGGGGAACGAGAAGGCAGACTCTTGGTTTCTAAGTGCTCCACTGATAAGGATCTCCGCATGGCTGGGTTCCACACCATCCCGCCAATCACCTTTTTGCAATATTGGTTATTTACCGACCTGAAAAACCAGATGCAGGTTCACTTTCTACACTGACGTTCAACAGGAAAGAAATTACTGCATGTGTGAAACAGTCTACACATGCTTCTTGTCTGAAGGACGGCAGGTTAATGCCAAGGTTATGGGGAGTAGAGGGAGACAGCTCAAAAGCGATTCCTGTCTGTCCTGGAATTTCCTTATGTGATTTCTTCTCTTCGGGTGAAAATCCTTTCTTGTCCTCACTACTCAAGCAACAAAGCTGTTTCCAGAATATAACCAAACCTAACCAGATTAGAAGGAATTCCAGGATCACACAGAAATACAGCTCCAGTGATTTCAAGGAATTCTTATTTTATTCACACTGGCCTAAGTAAAAATATTAACCATTTTTTCAGGTGCTCTTCATCATCCTAGCTGGCAGGAGCTGTCACTATAAATCACTGGTAAATCTTTGAGAGAGAATCTGAAAATGCGCTTAGAAAGTAGTTTCAAACTGGGCACAGTGGCTCATGCCTGCAATCCCAGCATTTTGGGAGGCTGAGGCGGGTGGATCACTTGAGGTCAGGAGTTCAAGACCAGCCTGGCCAACATGGCAAAACCCTACCTCTACTAAAAATACAAAAAATTAGCCAGGTATAGTGGCGCATGCCTATAATTCCAGCTACTTGGGAGGCTGAGGCATGAGAACCCCCTGAATCCCCGAGACAGAGGTTGCAGCGAGCCAAGATCGCACCACTGCACTCCAGTCTGGGGAACACAGTAAGACTCTGTCTCCAAAAACAAAAAATTATACAGAGTTTCAGGCTACGTTCTTTGAAATGTGCTACCCTGAAGGTTACTTTTGAATTTTATTTATACCTAGAGAATTTAAATCTTAGCTATCTAGACCCCTCAGAGAATGAATTATTTGAGAGAATAGAGCATGAAGCCTGTCACCCTGTTAAAGGGTGACAACTTTGGTTCTGGCATCTCTAAATTTTAAACTAGGATTTAATGTCTTATGAAAACATTCTACACATTTCCTTGTGACATGACATCAACCAACCAACAAAAACAAAACAGAACAAAGAACAAACAAAAGAACATAAACAATATGAATCGCCCTGTAGCACATCATGTACTAATTCACATTAAGAAATGCTGTTGTCACCCTGATCAAAATGCTCACAACAGCATCACTGGGAGACTCTTTCCTCTGAGGCAGGCCTACATCAGAAACCACACTGCCAGTGATGAAGAGCACAGGATCAAAACAAGGGGAGCAAACTGCCCAACTCCAAGGTTTAATGTGTCATGGGTTATTAATAGGGACTCTCTGAAAAAAAAGTGTTCCATTGTCCCATAAGCTTGGAAAATAACCCAACAAATTTCTTTTTATGTGGAACCTTTCAGAAGGCCCAATAAGCAGATGTGTATCTGTATCTCTAGGGGCTGGGCAAGTCATGTGACCCTTCTAAGCCTCAGTGTCCTCATCTGTAAAATGGAGGTAATGAGACTTGAAATTCACCAGTATGCTGAAGCTGGCACAGGTAGTAAAAGAACTGCTGACTTGTCCTCCCAAGCCATCCTCCCAACCCAAATGATCCCCTGTGGCAGATTAAAGATGACTGCAAGTTCTTTGAGTCTTGCATCTGGGTTGGCTTGTGACTGCTTTCAGCAACAGAGTCGCTGTGCCAGTGCCAGGTCTCACCCTTAAGAAGGCTGAACGGTTCTGCCTTTCGCTCCTGGAACCCTGAGTGTCCATGTAAGAAATTCAACCACCCTCCTGGAGTATCCAGATGGGGATGCTAAGGAGTCCAGGTGAGTCCAGCCTTCCAACCATTCCATCAAGACACCAGGTATGCAAGAGAAGTTATCTTGGATCCTCTGGCCACATTCACTGAGAAATCCCTATCTACACCACACAGAGCAGAAGAGGCCTCTGGCCAAGCCCTTCTAGGATTCCTGACTCACAAAGTCATGAGATATAACAGAATGGGTGTTGCTTTCAGTCACCAAAATAGGGGTATTTTCTTGTGCCACAATACAAGACCAGAACCCAGCCCTGCTGGCATTGGATGCATGCAGATGACAAAGCTTTGCAGATGAAGAAATAGAAGCAACAAATTAAAGCTCAAGTGACAGAGGCAGGATTTGAACCCAGGCAGCTCAGCAACAGAGGGCATGGTTTCAGTTGCCTCCCCATTCCTTCTCTCATCTGGCCTGAGGATCAGGCCCAACCTAAGTCAATGATATAATCCAGTAAGTTATTTTCATGGCTTGCTCAACAGTAGATCTACTGAATGTATACAAATACTAAACAGTATTATAAGAGCTAAAAACTTAATATATTCACTCTTGGTTCATCAGAAGCTGAGAGATAGCATTTAGCACCACAAATAGTATCACTGATACTAACAGAAATTAGCTACTTATTCAGTTTACAAGTTCCCTAATGATTATCAATGTATTAGGAAAGTAACTGGAACAGTCTGATGCAGTTCCACCTATCAGAAAGATAATGGCTCAGACACGGGTCTCATTTAGTTAGTAATAGCCACATCAACAACAAATCACGAAAACAATTTTGAAAAACCAACAAATGATTTAGAAAATATGGCCTGGCACGGTGGCTCATGCCTGTAACCCCAACACTTTGGGAGGCCGAGGCAGGCAGATCACCTGAGGTCAGGAGTTCGAGAGCAGCCTGCCCAATGTGGTGAAACCCTGTCTCTACTAAAAATGCAAAAATCAGCTGGGCGTGGTGGTGGGCACCTGTAATCCCAGCTACTTGGGAGGCTGAGGTAGGAGAATTACTTGAACCCAGGAGACAGAGGTTGCAGTGAGCCGAGATCACTCTAGCCTGGGCGACAGAGTGAGACTTCGTCTCAAAACAAAACAAAACAAAAAAGAGAGAATAGGCTGGGCACGGTGGCTCATGCCTGTAATCCCAGAACTTTGGGAGGCCAAGGTGGGTGGATCACCTGAGGTCAGGAATTCGAGACCAGGCTGGCCAACCATGGTGAAACCCTGTCTCTACTAAAAATACAAAAATTAGCCAGGCGTGGTGGTGTGCTCCTGTAATCCTAGCTACTCGGGAGGCTGAGGCAAGAGAATCGATTGAACCTGGGAGGCGGAGGTTGCAGTGAGCCAAGATGGCACCACTACACTCCAGGCTGGGTGACAGAGTAAGACTCCATCTCAAAAAAAAAAAAAAAAGAAAAGAAAGAAAGAAAAAAGAAATTATAAGAATAAATTGACAATTTATGCTACCTCTTATACTTAGAGGGTAGTCTTAGAACAAAGAAAACAAAAATACAAACTGCATGGTTATTTCATTTAGAGAATAAATTTATCTTAATTAGAATTTTAAAATGTATATACGAATTATATATATCAATGTACATCCATTTCTTTTACTGTACATCATTTTATTTAGAGAATAAATTTTAATCTAAATTAGAATTTAAAAATTTATATATTATATATATTTATACATAAATATATATAAATTTACATCCATTTCTTTTCCTGTACTAGTCATTAAATATTTTGAATATCATTCCTGTGGCTAATAGTACCTATCTCATAGGAGAGTTGTAAGAGTCAAATATAATTATGTGCCCAGCACAAAGTAAATGCTCAGTAATTATCAACTGTGATTACTACTGTTATTTTGTAATTATTATAGGCAATATATCCCAAAGTCACTTGACTCTGGAAATGTTTTTCTATTCCTTCATTCATTTTTATAGAGCATCTTATGGAATTAAAGTTCTGTGGGAGAGGCTGGCATAGTGGCATCAGACTGGGATAGCCCAGTATGCTGGCACCAGGAGACACACAGAACCATGGCTCCATTTCCTTTATTATGTCATGGTGCAGGGTACAGCTGCCATTCTGACTGCTTGGAAGTGCTGAGTTCAGCAGAGTTGAGGGGAGAGAAATGCTGGGAACATGAGATATCCCTTAGACACTGCTGACCCCGGGAGACTTTTAGTTATGGTTCAGAGATCCAATGCCTGGAGCCCCTGGGCTATGGGTTTCCTCCTCTGCCTAACAATGTCCTCTATTCACTGATGACCAGGATGCATTTACATCTCAGCCTAGTGTGGACACAGTCTTTACAGCACACTCACTTTTTGGTGTTCCGAGAGCCCATAGTCCAGTACTGAGACAGAACATTCTTTTCCTGAGGTAGTAGCTTCTTTGCCTGAAAGAACGTATGGTGCTCAACACAGGATTTCCACAAGTTTTTGCAAGATCGGTAATTCAGCATGTTGAAGGCCACAATATGTTCCCTGGATTCAGCCTGGGAGGAAAAACAGTCAAGATTTCACCCACACAGACATAGGAGCAGGGACTTGTAAGCATTTAACCCACATTGGTGAAATGAGGTAAGATGCAACAGACAGCAGAAAACTGGTTTCAAAATGCCGTGGCCACAAACCAGTGTACCGGAATATTCAAGAGCACGATTTGTTAACCGTCTTTATGAACATGGTAATAGAGATGACCAGAATCTATTCTTTATCATCATCTGCGCTTCTTCATGAATGCTTTTATTTCAAATCTATTTACATTTCTAGGCTGGATACATTTGGAGCAATCAGATAAAAACCGTCTGATACACTCCTTTTAAATTTTAACTCTGGGAACATCTCTCTCCTGAAGGAATACTCTTTCATCTATCAGACAACAGCAAGTTTATAACCCTTTGGGTTTTTCTCTATTTGCTTTCCACAAAGCACAGAGTTGAATCCAGTGCTCATATGTAATAATCATTTTAATCATTTGCTTTGCCTGCATTCTGCATGAGTTTAGGTTTTCTGTTTTCATGTTAAATTGCCGTCTTATACATTTTTGTGCCACCCTGAATCTTGCACTGAGGGGTCAGGAGATCCAGATTCCAGTCCTAGCTGCTCTGAGCTTTTGTGTCCTCATTCCTAAGAGTTCACGGCTCTGTGAGGCCATTTTAAGCATATATTACCTTTGAAAAATTGGGAAATTGACACAGTGACAGTAAGTGAAAATCATGCAGCATAAAAAGATAAGGGTGTAGTGCTGTGGAAAGAGCAGGTGTCTCGGATTCGTAATGATCTGGTTAAAATTCCAGCTCCCCTGACTCACTAGCTGTGGGAGCCTCAGTTTCCTCTCCTCTAAGTTCTACATCTCTGTATGGATGAGCAAATGGAGTTATCACAGTGCTATGGACTTTGCTTATGAGATATATACACCTACCAAGCCATCGTGCAGTTTCAACACATCATGGGAGGGAACTGACCTTGCTGACATTCACTGTTACTTTGTGGTGGGCTCTCTGCCAAGTGCTTTGACCAATCCTCTTTTATTTAATCTTCACAATTCCCTAAGAAGTGGGCATTATAGAATTTCTGGAAACAAGGTAACTTGGGCTAGGGAACGTTAAGTAACCTGGCTAGCTGGTAAGTGGAAGAGCCAGGATCTGAAACCACTGTCTCTGACTCCAAAGCAAGTTAATCCTCCAACCAGCTAAGCAGAATTATACAGACAATCACTGGATCCTCCAGACTCTGGCTCCACAATGGCATGCTCTTTCTTCCCTGATACATACATAGCAAACAGCCTTCAACCCTTAAAGAACTAAAAGCTGAAGTAACTTAAAAACACAAGAAATGGGGCAAAGTGGTGCATGTTTCTAGTCCCAGCTACTTGGGAGGCTGAGGCAGGAGGATCCCCTGAGCTCAGTTTGGGCAACATAGCGAGACCCTGTCTCTAACCACACACATACATATGCACGAAACAAAGCAAGCAAAGACATAACTACTCACCTGTTTCTGTCGCTGATGTATGAAGAACTTTTTCCTTTTGAAAGAAATTTTGAGAATGTTCACCCTTCAAAAAATAAAACAAAACACAAACAAAGCACATCAGGGATCGGCCAGGTTGAAGCTGATGCCTCTCAATGCATGTCCTTTACTCCATGATCCTGATGAGTGGGGGCTCTTGGCTGCCTAGAGTTTACTTCTCTGTAGAAATGATGGCAGCCCCACTGCCGCAGGCTAATACCAAGTAGCTGACTGAAGCTGAGCACTGCGTAAGGGCCACTGGATTATGATGTAGCTTTTAAATAACAAGAAACATAGGCCATGCGCTCTCTTTGCTATAAGCTGCTTTTGTGGCACTGCAGCTCTGCGTGAGCTGGTATATACATGGGGAAGACAGCTGAGAGCAGCATGGAGCAGCTGAAAGAGGACAGACCTGGTCCGAACCCCAGCTCCATTACTTAACAGCCACGTGTCAAGTAGCCTACTTAACATTTGCAAGATAACAGAATTTAGTCACCATTAACTGAACATTTTTTAGATACTAGGCTGCTACTAAGAGCTTTATAAACATCCCCTCAACGAAGCCCTGCAACAATCCTGAAAAGTACATATTGTTATACCCAGTTTTCAGATGAGGAAACTGAGGCTCAGAGACATCACCAAAGTGCTCAAGATCATTCAACTAGAAATTCCTGGAGCCAGGACCTGCACCCCGGTCTCAGCTGACTCTGAAGCCTGTGCTCCTAAGCTCTCCACTATGAAGTCTTCCCAACAGTGGTGAAAACACTGCCCTTCTCAGAGAGCGGCCTTGTGAGGATTCAAGCAGAGTAGGAATGTCAAGTCCCTACCTTGTCACACAGTAGGCCTGCAATGCTTGTTCCTTTAATTAAAAACATAACTTTTAAAATAAATTTACAGTTGACCCTTGATTAACAAAGGTTTGAACTATGTGGGGTCCACTATCTGGGGGATTCTTTTTAACCAAACATGGATGGAAAACAGTATTTGCAGGATGCGAAACCCACATATACAAAGGGCTGGCTTTTCAAATACACGAGTTTTGCGGAGCCAACTGTGTGACAAGTCTGTGTAGATTTCGGTAACTACAAGTGGTCTTGGAACCAATCCCCCAAGTACACCAAGGGCTGACTATCATTCATTTATGCAAAACTTCTGTAATCCATACAAAGGGTGCATATTTCTCTGCTGGAATCTTTACTTCTGAAATACTTTGGGGAAATGAAGGAATTTTACTATTCTCTAGGATCATACAAAGACCTTGGTAGAACATTCTAGAATGGAGAGGCTGTGTAGGTAAAACGAAACTTGAACTATTCATGGGACATCCCCCAGATGGATCAGCAATATACCTCTATTACATATTAGATATTACCTAATACACATCTATTTTCAACGATCTGTTGGTAGATGTAACTGTGAAGTAAATTTTTTGGGGTGACTACAGGTTAATAGTCTAAGGATGAGAAGAGTGTCTGGGCTCACCCCTTCTGGAGATACTCTTCCTAGTGTGTGTTACTGCTCTGCCATCTCCCTGAAGTCGGGGGAGTCTCCTCACGATTCTCCTGTGCCAACTGGCAGATGCAAAAATTCCTGTTCTGCAGAACGAGTCAGGAGAATCAACTCCCCTTTTGAGTTCTTACCTTGCCTTGTTTGGCCCATGGGTATCTGTGGACCTCTTACTCCCCCCACCCCTGGCTTCATATACAGGGGTAGGAGGGCCTGGCAGGCCTCCTGTGGTTCCTAGGGCTCCAGCTCAGCATCGCCTTCCCAGGCTGACCCCAATTTCCCCACCTGACAGCTCTCTCCCTGAGCTGTCAAATCTGATTATGCACAGACATGAACTCTTGTCGTTTCCAGGCTTGGGGCCTCAGCGGGGCTCCCTACTGCCCTTCACTCATTTATAAGAAAAAAAAAATGCACTGAGAGCCTAGGATGTACAAAGTTCTATGCCAGGCCCTGGGGACAGAGGGAAGAGGACATGGAGCCACTGCCATCCAGAGGCTTATAATCCAGTGAGGGAGACAGGAACCACATAAAGAATGATGCATGGAAGTAAATCACTGTAACTGTGAGCACTGCATGCAGGAATGCCTAGAGTCTCACAAGAGCACTAAGAACTGAGCCTATAGGCTCCTATGGCCCGTGAAGCCCTCCATGACCTGGCCCCTCTCCTGCTGCTCCTCATGCCCATGGCCAGCTCCAGCCTGGCCTGTCCCACTCCTCCTGACTCACTAGCTGGGTTCTCTCTTGTCTCTGGACCTATACACCCTGCCACTTCTCTAGAATTTTCCTTGGGCCAAAGCTCAGCTGGTGTTCAGATCCTGGTGAGTGCCTTACCCTGCATGCTTAGGGCCCTTCTTATGTCCTGCCCCTCCTGGGCACTTGCCCATGCACCTCCCTTGTCACCCTGGGGTCACCATCTGGTGCTGGTCTCCCCGCTGGTCTCTGAGGTTTACACTGGAGGCAGGGGCCAGGCCTCGACAGGAGCCATCTTGATGTTGAAGGGTGAGGGAGGCTTCAGCAGGACTGTGGGTGAGCCTGGGGGTTGGAGAGTCCCTGCAGGCTCTGCCAAAAAGGCTTCTGTTCACAAACCTGCTTCTCCTGACCAAGTCTCCCACTTCTCTCTCCTGCAGTGACCTTGTGGGACCCACATCTTCTCCACAATGTGAGGGTCCAGCCCTTGTCTGTGGGCCCTTAGGAGGTTTGGTCACAGTTAGGCTGGACCCAAGGGGCTTTAGGCC
The DNA here is from genome assembly GCF_000001405.40 of Homo sapiens. NCBI lineage: Eukaryota > Metazoa > Chordata > Mammalia > Primates > Hominidae > Homo > Homo sapiens. The sequence continues at coordinate 109,431,380 of NC_000009.12, forward strand.
TGTGGCACCTGGAGGAAGCCCCCGGCATCTGGAGGGGCTGGGTGCAGAAAAATGAGCCGTATGCCCATTGTGCCCTCTGCTTAGCCTGATCTTAGTCCTGAGTGGGCCAGAGAGCTGCCTGGGCACGCCCCAGCCCACCAAGCAGGCTGGAGTTTCTTGCTTCCTCTGAGGGGCTTCTAAAAGAGATGAGGTGAATGAAAGATGGAGAGAAGATCCTGCTATCTGTTACACTGATTTCAGTGTCAAATTGAACAGGGCTGTCGTCACATTTTTTGGTTTTGGAAAATAGATATATTGAAACTTAACTGAACAGCGTCTATTAAGTATGTATGCTACTTAAGCGTTTTCCTACAAATACCACTTTTAGTGTTGAAACAAAAGTCCAGGCTCTGGAGCTAGACTCTGATGTGAGTTTCAACTACTCTGATTATTAGCTGTGTCACTCTGGACAGGTTCTTACTTAACTTCTTTGTACCTCTGTTTCCTCCTCCGTGAAACTGGGGATAATAACCTATATAGTGCCTATTTGGAGTTTAAAGGAGATAAATCAAAGAAAATACACAGTAATAGGACTTGGACACAGTAAGCATGCAATAAGAATTACTGCTATTAATAACGATAATTTTGTTATATATAATTATATATTTATGTGTAATATATATTATTCTATTATATAATATAGGGTATATTATATAACAATAGAGTATTATATTACTAACTCATTAATATTATATATATTATTATATAATACTCCATAGTTTTACTTAAGTTACTTGCAGGTTTTTTCCTGTTATAAATAATGCTGTGATGAACATCTTTGTGTTTCAGGTAATGAAATTCTATGCTCCCAAGTTGGGGAGCAGATTTAGATGTCAAAGGTCAAACTCTGTGTGGCACATACCTGGCACCAAATCTTCTCTTATCCCCATTCCCTAACTTCCTTCCTTGCTGCCACTGTTTTGCCAAAACTCCGTGTTTTTTCCCCGTTTGTCCTTTTCCATCTGCATCTCCTGCCGTCTATGGCACTCACTCTCCTGTACCTTCCTGGCAATGCGTGCTACCCCCATTCCTTGCACCATCACGTTACCATTATGTAGATGGTATTATTTTGGTGGTGTTTCCCCTAAGAAAGCTCCCTGTTGCCTGGCACATTAAACTCAAACTTCTCTCCAAAATTCAGTTCCACTCACGAGTAATGCGGGACAGGCTGGCCTACAGGTCTCTTCCCACCAGGCCTGTGAGCTCAGAGGGCAAGCACTCAGTTGTACACGTCTTTGGGTCCCTTTAGAGTTTAGAACAGAGCTGGACACTTGGTAAAGGTTCAGTTAATAACCGAGGAACAGAAATGAAACGATGGTTCCTGCCCAGAGAAAGCTCTTCTCTGAATTCTGACCAATGTACTGCCCAGGAAAAATTCCTTAATGCCAAGGCCTGCCTGTGCCATTTTATCCACCAGGTTTCCAGAGTATCCCAAACCACAGGGTGAGTTGGGGGAAGGGAATGCTAATGAAAACTAAACTCAAATTTTCCTAAGTACCAAATCTGGACCAAATTTAGAGGTCAGAGTAAAACTCGGGAGGCACTCTCTATCTTTTCTTTAGAAATAAACATTTAGAATGGGAGGTAACATTACTTTTGTTAGGCATATTTTTAAAGCATGATTCAGAAAATAATGAGAACTGTTTGCACTTACCAAGGATAGAAACTTGTGCAAATGTATTTTCGGTACACAGCAACACCCGCGGAAGCAATTCCAATCATTAGGTCTAAATTGTGCAGATCCTGTAAAAAGGAAGATCTCAGATCCACAGCATGTTACAGTCATGCTTATGCCCTCTGGTGACTTTAAAGCACCCACGCTGTTATAAATAGTCATATGTATAGGCTCCAAATGGGAAAATGCTACTGAAAACAGGCAAAAAGCCCCACTTAACGGATACTTAAGATCGAAGTACTGAGTACCAAATTCTTCTAAAGTGAACACAGCCTGTCAAGCAACATGTGGGTGCCACTGGTCTAGAAAGTTACCAAATAAGCCCACTCATTCCACGGAATCATTTACATGAACACTCAAGCTTTAAATTTTCAACAATCAGCACTAAATCAGAAAGGCCTCACCCCTTTGCAAAGCTTTTTGCAAATCTCAATTTCCATTACTGTAAAGGCTTTAGCTATTTTGAAATGATGATGAAAATGTATACATGTAGAACTGCTGACTCTAAATCTACTTAAGAAATAAATGTTGGCTGGGTGAGGTGGCTCACGCCTATAATCCCAGCACTTTACGAGGCCAAGGAGGGTGGATCCCTTGAGCCCAGGAGTTTGAGGCCAACCTGGGCAACATGGCGAAACTCTGTCTCTACAAAACAATACAAAAAATTAGGTGGGTGTGGTAGCATACGCCTGTAGTCCCAGCCACTCAGGAGGCTGAGGTGGGAGGACTGCTTAAGCCTGGGAAGTTGAGGCTGTTTGAGGCTGCAGTGAGCCGTGATTGTGCCACCATGCTCCAGCCTAGGCAGCAGAGGGAGACTCTGTTTAAAAAAAAAAAAAAAAAAAAAAAAAAAGCGTTGCTTCTAAATCCAGTGTATCCAACATTTATGCATGCCTAAGTGCTGGGCATTGCTGTGGACAGTGAGGATACAGAAGACACAGCCGCTACAAGTTTGAGAACAAGGTGAGTACAAATAAAATTTAAAAATAAAATAGTTCCTCCTCTTGAGTCATTTACCTTCTTGTTTTCCCAATCAGATACTTGGTTTTTGTGTGTTTGGTTTTTCTCTGAGAGACAGGGTCTTGCTTTGATGCCCAGGCTGGAGTGCAGTGGTGCACACGTGGCTCACTGCAGCCTCAACCTCCTGGGCTCAAGTGATCCTACAGCCTCAGTTCCCAAGTAGCTGGGACTACAGGCATGTGCCACCACGCCCAGCTAATTTTTCATATTTTTGTAGAGATGGGGTCACACTATGTTGCCTAGGCTGGAGTGCAGTGGTGCACACGTGGCTCACTGCAGCCTCAACCTCCTGGGCTCAAGTGATCCTACAGCCTCAGTTCCCAAGTAGCTGGGACTACAGGCATGTGCCACCACGCCCAGCTAATTTTTCATATTTTTGTAGAGATGGGGTCACACTATGTTGCCTAGGCTGGTCTTGAACTCCTGGGCTTAAGGGATCCTCCTGCCTCGGCCTCCCAAAGTGCTGGGGTTAAAGGCGTGAGCCACTATGCTTGACCCAGATACTAGTAATTATAAAGAGGGGGCATGGTTTGAGTCAGTCACAACTGAGTGTGAACCTTCAGTCTGGCACCTACTAGCTATATAATGTTGGGCTCCTGAGGCTCAATTTTTCTTCTTGTACAATAAAGATGACAGAACCCACCTCGAAGCGTTTTTATCTGGCTGAAATGAGAGATGAAAACCTAGAAGGGGGCTTGGCATATGGAGCTTCTAGAAGAGAGTTTGGCACGTGGAAGACATAAGAAACGTCCATTCCCCTTTGCCGTGGGACAAACCCTTTGTGAACCACAATGTGAACATGGAGTTAGAGAAACGGGACAAACAAAACAGTGCTGATACTGTGGAAAGTCCAGGCAGTATTCACTATCAGTACCCAACAGAAATCACATGCTTATAACAAAACCAAATTTGCTTGATGAAGGGTAGAATTGCATTTAAATATGATACTTGAGATCACAACAGAGGGAGTATGAAGCAGGTGTGACAGAGCAAATTAGCAAAGGAAATCAAAATTGAGTGAACAAGGAAACAAATGAATGGTTTGGGTGGGCCAAAGACCAGGTCTCAAATCTCCTAATCCTGTGGTCTTTCAGTATGCACCTCAACCCCTGCAGCATAGGAAGTTACTGTCTATTCAATTCCCAGGCCCAACCCCACATTTCCCAGCTCCCCTTGCAGAGGGCAGAACTCGGTGACTAGTTCTGGCCACTGTGCTCTGAGCAGGAGGAATGTATGTCTCTTTTGGGCTGAAGCATTTAAGAGCTGGTGTGTAACCCTGCAGCTTCCTGTTCCCTTGTGACAAACATGGAGGTCACATGGAAAGATGGCCATGACATGGAAGCAGCCTCGACTGCTGAGTTATTGCGATGGATGGGGTGGAGGGCTGCCCTGGAAGACTCCTAGACTCAATGCAAGCTTTGAATTACTGAAAGATAAACCTTATGATATGAAGCTATGGAGATTTAGGGGTTTTTAGTTCACGTAGAACAGCCTAGTATGACCAACCCCCTCTGATACTGTGGGGGTCTTTGCCACGCAGATATCATCTGGCCTCACAGCCCTTGAGGGTCATTTCACTGACAGTTCTTGGGGTGGGACAGCACAGCTCAACTCAGGCAGATATAAAGCCCTACTTCACCGACAATTAAAGTTCTCTGAAACATTCTATCTAAGATAAAATATTATTTGCAAATGGAATAAAAATGAATGGTCAAGTCCCAAAGCTGATATTTTGTAAGATCTAACACCATTTTCCTTCCTTATTTCCTATATCACAACTTGCCTACCTCACAGGACTGTCAAGGGACCGAAGTGAAACAAAAATAAATGAAAGTGTTTCTATAAACTATGAAAATACATAGATTTAAAATCTGATCATTTACTCAATCTCTATGAGCCTCGGTTTTCTCATCTATAAAACGGGAATAACTAGAATGTCGATTTCACAAGGTTTCTATGATCACAAGGTGAGACCTTATGGTCTCATATGAAAGCATCTGGATAAAGGCTAGTATATAGTAGGTGCTCAATTAATTTTTGCTTCCTTTTGGATATGATGTGGACCAATCACAGGTAGAAAACGTATGCCACTGATCAAAGGTCAGATGCTAATTAGACAGTGAGGGGTCATGTGCTGAAGCTACAACTTGTGTGCTGTGTGACCTCGGTTATGTCCCTGAGTATCAGTTTCTCCATCTGTAAAATGGGGTTAATGATAACATATGGAACTCATGGTATTACCGCAGGAAATAATCCACTGGTGCATAGAAATTGCTTGACAGATGACAGATGTTAGTAAATCCTACTAAAGTAGCCACAACTAATTTCAAATATTTATTGATTTTAACAATTATATCACCATAATCTTTTTAAAAAAACTATCATATATGAGTAACTATCTCCAATTTGAGCAACACTTGAGATTAAGTAGTAGAAATCTTGGCTCCTTAAACCGTCACCTGAAAAATGAATTTATACCTATTTTTTGCCTTTTAAAACCATAATATAAAATGGTCTTACAAAAATTACTAGTTTCTAGTCCCCTAACCCTTCAAAAGGGAAAAGTCTTCAAGTACAAAAGCAAACATTAAAAAAAAGCAATTGGACAAATGACCAACAAAAAATTCAGCATTACTTAATAAACCTTCCAAATATCTTTTAAAAAGTCCTGTTATAATGAAAAAGAAATAGTTTCATCAAAGAATTTTTCAAACTCTCAGAGATTAAAATAAAAACATAATGTTTGAGCCAAGACATAACAAGAATACATACCCTACCACTGTGCAGTTCTACTCCATAGAAGTCGAGGGTCCGCGCTATGTTGATATAGCAGGATTCTGCTTCTGATTGTTTTAGCCCACTACGGAAGAAAAGACAAAAAGCAGAGTTCATCCAATAAAGAGAGGGCATTAACTCCAATTTTAAAAAATCTAGAACATTTGATACCATTTCTGTAAGGTTATTAAATGCCTTATGTTATCAATCTTCAGCAATCTAATGCTAAATTCTACTAAAGCAAGTTTTTATTCTTATCCATTGAATGTGACTCCCTCTAGACCCTCTTGTTTTTAAATTAAATAATACTTCCCCTTTAGTGGGCTCACAATATTCAGACGGAGAAGACTGTTACCTTTCAGAATCCCTGCCCTAATTATTCCAAGTTGCTAATTAGTAGGGAATCTTTAGGTCTCTCTGCCTTTATCTCTTCTTTTGGCAGTGGCCTCAAACTTTCAAACGCCACTGGCCCCGTACTATTTTAGGAGATTGACTTCTGCCCTGGGAGTAATTCTGGGAGAGAGGTTTGGCAATGCCTTCTTAGAAAGGACACTTGGTTGCCTGGCCTTTGTTTTTATGGCTTTCCCAAGAAGAGAGCAGCCCCTTGAGAGCTGGCCTTCTTGGTCAGGGTGGCCTTTATTTGACCTGGACTGCACAGCTGCTGCTGTAGCTTTAAGTAAAACAAGGAAGGGGAAGAGCAGCCAGAATTGGGCATATGTGTTGGAGCTGAGGCTCGCAACAAATACGCAGGGGCAACTGCAGAAGACTCATGCTCCCCACTTGGACATAGGGCACTTTTCATGAACTGAACACAGGAGACTGGTCAGCACTGTACGTCCATCTGTCTGTCTGTTTAACAAGACCTGAAGGAACAGCTTGTTTTATTAAATGTGGTAAACTGCTAAGAGGTTTACCTTGGTACAGTCCATTGGTGGGGCAATCAGATTTCAAAATGGGCATTTCCTTCAGGAATTTACTGATTTCAATGACATCCTGAAAAGGACGCAGCAGCTATCACCCTAAACTCTTACTGGATTTTACACTTTACAGAAATGCTAGTTATGCCAAATATATCTGCCACCATACCAGCTCAAAGGTTCAAAAACCCCCGACATCTTGAAAGAGGATTCATGCACAAAAGAAAGAGGCTGCATCAAACACAAAGGGATATGATGTCTGAAAATACCCAACCCAAGTCCCCAAAGTAGGCCACCCCAGCCCCCCTCACCTGTGCTGCTCATGCAGAGATTCGACTTTTGTTAAAAAGTCCTCATTTTGATCGGGTATAAAGTGACTATCGGAAAGATAGCCTGGATGATGTATGGAAGAATTATAGTCTCCAAAATGAGCTATCAAGACAGAAGAAGGGGAAAATCATAATTAGTTTTGCCTTTTTAATATGGTTTGCATTTATAAGCATCTACAGCATCATCAGAATAACATTAATTAGAAATACTCTTCTGGTAAGTTCTACACCACATGAACTGAAGCTTCTCACTAGCTCCAGATTCCACACTTATCTGAGCCTTCACTATAGGCTAAGATACTATCACACATGATCCAATCAAATTCTCATTCTCCCCAAGGACACAGAGGGAGAAAATTAGGAGACGGTGTTTGAACCTAGGCCCTGTTCTAATCCCACACCTCTTCCATACACTGTGGTCAGCACAGCAGTTTGCACTCATGCCACTGGATAAAGAGAACCCACTGGGGGAAATGCCACAATCCATATGCCACACACGGTGCAGGCTTTCTCTGCCATACCCCAAGGTTACCATAACACTGGACCAATCTGCTCTAAAAACTGGGTGTAGGCAGAAGGGAGGCCATGCCGACCTGACCACTCTCCACATCCTGACCCATCCCCTGGGATTCAGGGAGGTGTGGAAGAAAGGGGACCAGGATGTGCTCAGAGGCCACAGGGACAAAAGGTGGGTGGGAGTGGGGCTGAATGGTCAGGGCTCAGGCAACAGCAAAGTTCCTAGGGAGAAAGACACATTCTAAGGGGAGTCAGAAGATATGAAGAGAGATTCTGGGGCTATCAGGGGAATCACATTAGGGACCTGCAGGTGCAGAGGGAAAAGGAAGGGTGACTTCCAGACTAGCCCCTGGGCAAAATGGTACTGCTCCCTTGAGACCCTTGACTGTTGTCTGCCAATGTGAATTGAATTGTTGATGCCTATGATGTGATGGGCATTCTTGAGAGTTGTGCAGTGCTCAACCTGTACAAGTGTCCATGGCTGCCTCAAGGACTCAAACCATTTGGGTGTCTGGACCATTGAGGAAACTGGGAAAAAGGATGGCACCAGGTGAAGAGCAAAGGACCAGGCTTATGGGACCTGAGGACATCCATTTCCCTTCTCCACAAGTTTTCCCATTTGTCTAAAAACAGAATTGAGGAGATAATCTCTACCTCTAATGGGGCAACCGATCTCGTATTCCATTTTCTTGACAAACAAAACAAAAAAAAGCTTCTACTTCATCTTTAAAAAAAAAATTAGTCCTGATCTTTCCAAATATTTTAATGAATTTCTTCCTGTAGCTCGCTGCAATGCCAGGAGCCTCCTGAGGACTCTCAATTCAACACCAAAGATTTCCAAATCAAATAACTCCTTCTCTGTTACAAGGGCAGAGTATGGGAAAGATATGGTGATACTTTGTGGCCAATCTCAGAAGGGAAGTGGGTGAGACAGGTAGCTGCTTGGGTGAATTTCACCATGAAGTTGAAAGGGCAATGCAGCCGGGCATGGTAGCTCACGCCTGTAATCCCAGCACTTTGGGAGGCCAAGGCGGGTGGATCACCTGCGGTCAGAGGTTTGAGACCAGCCTAGCCAACATGGTGAAACCCCATCTCTAGTATAAATACAAAAATTAGCCAGGTATGATGGTGCATGCCTGTAATCCCAGCTACTTGGGAGGCTGAGGCATGAGAATCGCTTGAACCTGGAAGGCAGAGGTTGCAGTGAACCGAGACTGAGCCACTGTACTCCAGCCTGGGTGACACAGCCAGACTCTGTCTCAAAAAAGAAAAAAAAAAAAAGGGAAGATGCAAAGGTTATGTTTCATTCAGCCTTGTTCACCTAACTGCCCTCACAACACAGGGCTGCTCTTTTGAGATCCACACCATAACGAAGGGATCTGTTTCCTTCCTACACTGTGCCTCAAGTGCTGGGAGTGGGTCAGACTCACCTTTAGGGCCCCCAGCACCAGGCATGACACACAGTAGGTGCTCAGAAATTTGGGTGCTCAGAACTGATCTGTACAGAGGCTGATGCAAATTTCAGTTCTGGAAGGGGAAAAGGGCAGAGAGCCAAGTGACCAATGCATGCAGACTTGGTCAAGGTTAGACCAGAGGCTGTTAAGGCCAGCCAAATGTGGCCAAGCTGTGGAAAGAAATGTCAAGGCTATGTGGCTGGTGAGTTTGTGCAGGGTTAAGCGCACATGGTGCGTTCACAGGAAATCATTTAAATGCCCTGACACAGCATGCCCAATGAGGAAATTGCTAGAAAGCATTAGAATCACTTCCTTCAAAGCTCTCATGTTAAGAGTGAAGAAATTGCGGTCTGGAAAGGAAAAGACACCTTTGGGACAGGGTCAAGATCAGAACCCAGGTGATCTGAACCCCAGTTAGTGCTCCTACCACCCCACCAGCCTGCCTGCCAGGCCTGTGAGCCGCTGCTGGCCATTTGATGGCAGCAATCATGTCCCCAAAGGCCAACCAAATGCTGTAAATGACTTTTCCTGATCCTCAAGGTGGAGTCCTATGAACCTTTACTCTGTTGGTTTCATTAGCTCATGGAGATCCTCCTGGATCCCAATAAGGTTATCCATCATACCAGTTAACAGTCCCATCCCTGGTATCATTCTGCAAACATGAACAGCAAGGTTCTCTCTTTAGGCAAGTTGCTGACAAATGTTCTGAGCTTCGAACACAACCAATGAGCCTCCCTGTGGGGTGGTTTTCCCTTTAAATCCTAAGCGGCCACTCTGTGCAAAGCTCTGTGCTAACCACTAGGGGGAAACAAAGTTAAACAGTGATAAACATTTGCAAAACACTGGGCGGTTTCACATCGATTTCAATGATGTCATCCCACTTGTTACTCATGGTAACCCTGTGATATAGGCAATGCTTTTTATCCCCACTAAACACATAAGGAAACAGACCCAAAGGGGTCTGCCACTGTTGCTCAGCTGCTAATTTGGAGGCTAGACTCTGACCATAGTCCCTGCTCTTACCTACTTACTATACTATATGCTCCAAACTCCTAAGTAATCCATTTTCCTATCTGTGAGAAAGCAACACATGCAAAAGCTAATTATAGCAAACAAAAAAGGAAGTGCTTATGTGGGAAATACCTTGTCATTTTAAGTTCCATGCTTTCTTCTGGTTGATAATATTTTATGTTTTGCAGCAAAGAGAGGGTATATCCCAGGTTCCAAAGTACAGCATTTCAAGCTGCCCGGCTGTTGTACTTGGAAAGACTTTTACCTGCTATTCATTCAACTCCAACCTGATCTTAGAGGCGGTTCTCAGGGGTCATTCCTAGGACGTTTTCCCAGATGCTCTCCCCTCTCCCTAAGCAGGATGAAGTGCACCCCTGGTGGCCATCTCCACTGCTAGTATCATCCACATCTGCCTCCCTACAGGCTGTAGACTCCTTGGGGAGAGCAGTGTGTTTTATCCATCTGTGCACCCTGAGGCTGGTACAGACCTCTATGTGGCACAGGTGCAGGGAACATTCTGGAATAAACATATATTCCAAAAAATATACTTTATTCTTTGAGCCTCATAAAGCCTTGGCAGGCCATTAACAATTTTCCATCATTGTATATTTTTGGGTACTTTACCTGAAGATCACTTTTTTTTTTTTAAGAGATGGGGTTGCTCTGTTGCTCAGGCTGGTGTGCAGTGGCATGATCATGGCTCACTGCAGTCTCTAATTCCTGGGGTCAAGCAATCCTTCCACCTCAGCATCTCAAGTAGCTGGGATTACAGGTGCAAACCACTATGCCGGACTTTATTTTTTATGTAATAAGAAAATGTGCTTTTGGTTAGCTGGTCACAGTGAGGACTTATATCAGATGCCCCTCTTGGAAGAATTTAGCAAAATATATCATAAAATGTAGGTGTACCTTTTGATCCAGTAATTTCATATACAATAATTAATTTTTTTTTTGAGACAGAGTCTCACTCTGTTGCCCAGGCTGGAGCACAGTGGTGCAATTATGGCTCACTGCAGCCTTGACCTCCAGGGCTCAAATAATCCTCTCACCTCAGCCTCCCCAGTAACTTGAACTACAGGGGTGTACCACCACACCTGGCTAATTTTTGTATATTTTGTAGAGACAGGGTTTCACCATGTTGCCCAGGCTGGTCTCAAACTCCTGGGCTCACGCAATCCGCCTGCCTCAGCCTCCCAAAGCGCTGAGAATACAGGCGTGAACCACCGTGCCTGGCACAAGTATTAATCTTAAAGAAATGTATGCTCTGCAATATATATATTTATTGAGGGTGGAGGGATAAAAGCTTATACTTAAAACTGCTTGCCTGATAAGCCATGATTCTATTAGCATGACAGTAATGTGACTATTTCTACTGAAGCCAGTTTGTACTTTTTAGGTGCCCACAACTTCTTTAGCCCCCATTCTATCAGTTCTTTGCAGAAGGGAACCTGACTACTGAAGCCTGCGATAGAATTCTTTATTTGCTTTTTAAATTTTACTCTAAATAGAATTTACTGTTTACAACAGGCAATTCCCTGACAGCTTTCTTCTGGGCAGACATGAAAATACAGTAAGAGCTAACACTTGACACGTGCCATGCACTATTCTAATAGTTTTACATACAGTCACTCATTTCATCTTCACTACAACCCTTGAAGGAGACACTTATTATCCTCATGGGTCAGGTAATGAAACTGAGGTCTGGAGAAGCTCAAAGTCGGGCAGGTACAAGTGGAAAAGGCAAGACCTAGGTATATGGCTCCAGTCCAGTTCTCAATGACTCAGCCAGGGATGGTCCAACAATAAAGAATTTTTAGTTACAGATCACCTTCACATTATTGCTTAATTTGAACCAAGGTAGCCATATTGAGAGCTGTCTTAAATCACTCACCTCAGTTTTACAGGTGAGAAAACCAAGATTAGGAGAGGCAATCCCACATAACTGGCCACCGGAGACATCAGATTTTTTTTTTTTTTTTTTGAGACAGGGTATCACTCTGTCACAAAGGCTGGAGTGCAATGGCATGATTATGGCTCACTGCAGCCTCAACCTCTGGGGCTCAACAGATACTACCCCCTCAGTCTCCCTAGTAGCTGGGACTACAGGCACCGCACCACCACACCCAGCTAATTTTTCTATTTTTTGTAGAGATGGGGCTTCATAGTGTTGCCCATGCCAGTCTCGACCTCCTGGGATCAAGTGATCCTCCTGCCTCAGCCTTAGAAAGTACTAGGACTACAGATGCACACCACCATGCCCAGATAATTCTTCAGTTTTTGTAGAGACAGGGTCCTACTATAATACCCAGGCTGGTCTCAGACTCTGGGGTTCAAGGGATCCTCCCGTCTCAGCCTCCCAAAATACTGGGATTACATGCGTGAGCCACCACACCTGGCCAGGGATGCCAGGATTTAAATTGAATATGCCTATATTCTAGTTAGTGTTCCTGCCTCATAAACCTGAAGCTCAGGCTGTGAACACCAAACTTGCTCTGAGACATGGGGAGGCTCAGTCTCCTCAGCTGATTGGCCTGGCAGACACAGAGTTCACAAGGTCTACAGATCATAAGAATACAAACTGGTGACCATGCCACTTCCCATATGGATGTGAAATGGCCGGGCCTGTCCCAGGTATATTGTAGGGAGAAGGGAAGGTTCAAATCCACCCAGGCCCATTCGCCTGTTTTGAGTTTCCCACTAAGGAGGAGGCGATGCAGGTATCGATGGAGAGACTAACTCTGGTACTCGTCTTACTCGTGAATAGGGTCATCTTTGATGTCCCCTGCCCTCCACCTCCTGGTTCCATGCAGGTGGGTGGGTAAGCTGCAGGCCCAGCCACCTTGCTCTTCACCTCCTTCATTTCTGTTCTTTCCTGGTAGGGAAATAGGCAGACCTAGGGCCACCTCAGGAGTCCGTCAGCCTTCTCTTGCTATTTTGCCTGTTCTGAGACCAGAGCAGGGTGTGTAGTTCAGCCAGTGCCTGCTCTCAGACCTGATCATCTTGCTGCCTTATCTATCTATCACACAGTAGGTCAACAGGGTAATAGGCCAAGATGGTTTGGGCTTCTGGTAGAGGAGATTTCTTAGGTCTGGAGCTGCAAATGGCTCTACCTGAGTACTATGCTGATGAACTGTACTGCCACCACAAAGCTAGCTACTATAAAGTGACATTTTGCTCTCATCTGGCTATACGTTCTTTTCATTGTGCCTACCCAGCATCTACCCACAGGACTTGGAAGGGAATATACCCTCGATAAAGTTTTGCTGATTGAATGAGCGGATTCCTACTCCAGTTTAAACCAGCCTTCAAGAAAATTCCATCTGGACTTTCTATCCAATATGGTAGCCACTAGCGACGTGCGGTTAGTCCAAATTGAGATGTACCGTCAGTGTAAAATCCAGACTGATTTTCAAAGACTTAGTATAAAAAAAATGTAAAATATCTTGCTAATAACTTTGTACATTAAGTTAAAATGCTAATATTTTCAATATATTGCATTAAATAAAACATAAAAAACCTCCTGTTTCGTTTTACCTTTTTTAATGAGTGTACTAGAAAACTTAAGTTACATATATGATTCACATTATATTTCTATTGAATAGCACTGGTATAGATCAATATACAATCCATTAGCTATACTGCAACTCTGAAAAGAAATTCCTAAGATCCCAGTAGTGTTTTAGAGTAGCACCAACCAAGCAGCAGGGGTGACTCCTAGCAAATTTCTTAACCTAGCTGGGTCTAGGTTTCCATGTGTATAAGGGATGACTGATACAAATATTTGTCCCACTGGGATTTGTATGAAGATCAGATCAAATGCCTGAGCAAAGTTTCTGGAAAATGCAATGTGCAACAGCTGTCTGCTGTCTGATGGGCTCCCTTGGAGAAAATTTCACACCACAGTTCATTCATTCCTTTCCCCTTAACCACCTTCCTTAATCTAACATCCCCATGCTACAGGAGAGTGCCAGTCTGAGTAGAAACACATATCTGGACAGCCAGAGATATGCTGCCCAGCAGGATTCCTGGGGAAGAGGGACTTGGTCAAGCAGGAGGAACCAGTGACTTTCTCCACACACTGATCAGAACAACCTGTCCATCCGTGAAATGCTCCCTTTGTGACTTACATTGTACGGCATAGGACGCTAGAACCACTGCTGAGTTAAGAGGGCAGGTTAACCTGTCAGGAGAAAAACATATTAGCAAAGTCACAAGAACCAACAACAGCCTTAAACATTGACAGATCATGCGTAGTAACACATGTCTTTCTTTGCTTTGATCAACCATTACAAAACAACATGAATTGTAACAAAAGCAACTTTATGCTGCACATAAACAGTAAAGGCAAATGTAATACACTAAAATTTTTTAAAAATAAAACCTTTTCATGTTTAAAATAATATCCATCACAAATACCATGAAACTAAAGGACTAATGCTGGCCAGTGTTTTGGCTGCTCAAGAAGGGTCAGGCTCTTATCTCTAAGAGGGGAAAAAAAAGTAAAAAAATTGTACTCTGAGATCAATGGGCAGCCTTTAAATCTTTCTAGTAAAGACCTGAGACTCATCATAGGGCTCTCTAACTAAATTCCTGAGTTCTAATGACCCTTTGGTTCTAGATTACCCTCTTTCTAAAATAGTAACATCCTCTTAGGAGGGACAAGTAGAAAGGTATTTTCAATTTTAAAACCTGCAATTCCTTAATTAAATTAACTAATTACGATGACTTAGGATTCCTTTATCTATTTGCCCTCCTGAAGATCTACAGAGTTCAGTGATCTGTCTCTCAGTCTTCGTGCCATTCACTAGTAATCATGGACTTGGGTTGGCCTTGTTCTCCTTTCCTCTTAAACTCACTGCTTTCCCAGGTGCCCTGTTTCTGCCAATGACTCCACCTCTGTCTTAGGCACATTTTGAATCCTCTGATTGCTCCCTTTTCTTTTCTGCATTCAACTGCAGACTCCACGGCCTGCCCAGGAGCTCACCAGCAGACCTGGAGCAGGGGTCACTGCTGGGCAGAACAGGTTAGGGGAGGGCAGGAAGAAGGGCTTGAAGGGTGGGGAGGTCTCTGATAAACGGAGGAATCCTTAACAGCAACACTGGGAGCCACTGGGACTTTAAAAATTCTTCCCAGCACCCCAGTGGGAAGTGGGGAACACAGTTTCTATGGCAGCCCGTGAAGTACCCAAGATGTGAACCACTCCGCCTTTCTGACAATGCGGCCCTCCAGGGGTTCCGCTTCCTGTCCACTGCACTGTGTGCTGGTTCTGCAGCTGCATATGAAGTCGACTTTCCCTATCTGAGGGGCCCCCATTGTTCCTCAAGTGATGCTGTGTTCCTGCTGGGACTTGCAAATAATCTCCCCAAGGTTACAGATGAGGTCCAGGGATCTCACCTCTGTTTGTTCATCTGGAAATCTAGAGAGCTCGTGGGGAGGATAGGCAGAAACAGGATGAGTATCAGCTATTTGCTCTCCTAACAAGATGGGGTTTGATTAAATCTACGCCAGTGTCCTTGCTGGAGAAAGAGGAGGTGAATGGGATTTGGGGAACAACTTAGAAAAGAGGCTGAGGAGGTTCCCTCTAGATGGAAGAAACAATCCTATGAAGAAACCAGAAAGAAAAACATTCCAAAAACTGTTCCAAATACATACTAGGGAACACCAGAAGCCTCTGTTCTGCTCTCAACTTGGCCGCATGTTCCTAAACACATCCCTTTCTTTCACCTTGGGCTTCAGGGTCTTCACCTGCTGAGTGAAGGGCTTGGATGAGATCAACCATCTTGGAAAGAAGGAGATGACACCTTGAGTGCCGGCTACCATGGACGGCTCAAACAAGTCGGGACAATTTGACACCTAGGAAAAGTGCTCCATATGTTCCACTGGGCCTGTCAAAAGACCCACAGTTACAAATACACAAATCCACATCTGAGAAGCGTTTGGTAGCAGAGACCCTCTCCTCAGAGAGGTGGTGAGGACTTGACAAGGGCCACAGATCTAAGCCAGGATGTGGCCTTAACAGATTTGCCCTGATTCACATGGAAATAACAAGGGGCATTTTGTTTGGAGAAGAAAAACTGAAGACAACCCATTATTTGGAGAATTAGACTAGAAGTTCCTGAGGAGGCAAGGCCCTGGCCTTATTTGACCAGCGTAGTTCGGTGCCTGTCTCATAAAAAGGTGACTGCAAACTATCTGTGGAAAAGACTAAGTGTGCAGAAGAGAAGGAAAGAATGGGTTTCTGCAGCTGCTAAGGACAGCCTGGACCCAGGAGAGGGGTCGGTAATTTCAACCTTGAGTTACCCTAAAATGTAAAAATGCTGCCTCATGAAAGGGTGAGCTCCCCCTCACTGGGGGTGATCAAGCAGAAGCCTGAAGACCTGTAGATTGTGCTGGGGAAGTGACTCATTCCTACCTTGAATGGCAGGATGAGCTAAGTGATGAGAATTCTATAATTCTATGAGTGCTCAATAGTCAACAGCTCTGGAAATCCTTTCCTCAAGGTGTCTCTTGCTTCTAACTATCCACCTCCTCTCTCCACAAACTTCACTGCCATGCCCCCAGGTCTCTGGCCTGGATGCTACAATAGCTTCCTTGAAGGCTGTCCATTCCCTTCCATCCAGACTGAACCGCCCCTGGCCTCTGCCAGTCTTCCCTTGTGCACAATGATACTATCTTTGTGGATATGGCTCTTGCCACATCCTTCCTGCTTAAAAACCTTCAACAGTTCTCTTCTGCCTGCTAGATGTAAGATGCCCGCCTACGTAGGACACGAACAGCCCTCTCTATTCTCCTGTAAGCTCTCAGCATGTGGTTTCCAAGTGGGACTGTCGGGGGTGGGGTGTCTTCTCACTGCCCAGGGAAATCCACCTCCTCACTTCTCTACCCAACCCAATTCTGGCTCATCCTAGCAATCTATAAAGACTTTTCTAGCTCACACCAGCAGGAGCTCCTCAAGTCTTATGACAACTGTTGTCTCTACTGCCCATATTGGTTCTAATTGTTTCCTAATTGCTTCATGGGATACTGTCTCATTTCCCCAGTGAGACTCCAGCTCCCTCATGGTACAGCACGCTGGTAACCTCTGAAGACCCTCCTCTCCAGGGCTAAACTCACAGGGGTTGGGGGTGCGGTGAAGAGACTGGGAATAAGCTGTGCTCTTCCCACCAGTTTACCTGCTGCAGTTTCTTCCCTAAGTCAAGAAAAGGAGGTAGCTCAGGGACCATCGGCTTGGAATTTCCTCTCCCTTCTAGCTACTGAGATGGTCTTGGTAACACAAGAAGCACTGAATCACAGGCAAATGAGCAAAAAGCCTCCCAGAGAGAAAATGAGTCATCCGTGGGTACTAAGGGGCTCAAAAGTGGACCCAAATTAGGCCTGATCTGCCTTCCTGAATGAAGCCCATTGTACATTCTGGGTCCCCTCCTCCCTTTAAAATTTCTCAGGTCTTTACCAGAAAGATAGCTGCATCCTTTGTAATAAAACTGAAATAACATGAAACAAAGTTATCAATCCTTAGCCTCTCTCAGCCAAGACTGAGGTATAATAAAAACAGATGTCCAAAGCCTAATGCTGTACAGGATGCTTTGCACATCCACTCTGTTTAGATTTGATATTGTTACCAGAAATAAACACTCATTAGATTAAAACCAGGAATTTTGCTAGTCTAACAGGAAAAGAAAAATGTAAAATTCTCATTACCTTCCTTCGCAAATATCCATCTTCAGTTGTAAGAAATACAAGTGCCTATGAAACAATTGTTTTCATTAATTCATACTCAAACTGAAATAAGCAAAAAAAAAAAAAAAAGAAAGTTTGATGAGTCAAAGACAAGAGCTGTACATGTGAAAGATACATAAAAATACGGTTTTGGTCCAAGGTATCAGGTGCTACCTTACGCTCTGCAAAGCTGCCCTGTCATTACTGATGGCTCATGTTGATGCCCTACGTCTTGACTGGTGGGGGCAATTTTCTGCCAGCACAGGCTGTCCTATGAAGAGCTGAGCAGGGATGAATGGGGTGGAAACAGCCCACCAAAGATGGGCTGGTACTATGGGTTCCGCTGTCAGTGAGCGCCCCTGCCCTTGAGGACCAGAACCCACAGGGGCTCTGCACAAGCGGCGCCCACACACTGGCAGGGCCACTGTTCTGAACACTGTGCCAGGATCCATCCACCCAAGCTCCATCTGCATGAAGTTGCTAAAAGGAGGGGAGTCTGTGAAGACACCTTCTTGGCTGGGGTACAAACCCCCAGGTGAGCATTCTGTGTCCCAGGAACTGTGGGTGCATGAGCAAAAGCATAAACATCAGTAAACTAGAAGTTTCCAGGACCTCCAAGCTGAATTCTGCACTCATCTCTGGGCAACCAGCAAATGTAACTTCCAAACTCCAGACCTGTTTTGTGGGCAAGTCGTGGCAGGCCCCTCAGCCTGTGACTTTGCTCCTCTGCCTGGGGAGCGGGGAAAGGAGGCCTTCGGCAGCATTGCGCAGGTCAGGAAGCGCCCTGGGGAGACTTCTATTTAGGGATGCGGCATACATGTGACACTTGGCCACTAGCTCCCATGCTTTTTTAAACCCAGATTCAAACGGGATAGACATTCCATTGTCTGGCCAAGATGACAAAAGGGAAACCTCTTGAAATCTAATATAGACAGGGCAGAAGTGCACAGGGGCAGGAGAGAAATAATTTTCACAATTGAAACAAATCAGTTTCATTATTCCTTCAAATTTATAAAGGCCAAGGAACTGGCTTTTTGAGATGGGAATGCTTCAAACAGTATTACAACCTCCTATTTGCACAGTTCCGGGCTTTGTACATGGTACTACTTTGTAACTTTCCCTCTTATCTCAGCCTCATAACTCTGTAAGGTAGGTACCACTATCTCCATTTTTACAGATGACAAAATCGGAGCTCAGATAGGATATGTGAGGTCAATTGTGTCTTATTTTAACCTGGATGATCATGTTATAAAAAAACTCACTATGCTACAAATTTCTTATATGTTTAATGGCTAAAAAGCTTAGGATCCATGTCGTAACTCTAATATTATTACTTTGATTATAATTAACTACCCACAATGTATTGAACACCTGGCCTTGAGAGACAGTATAACATACATTTGCTGATTCACACCTATTTGGTATTGGAATCTCCATCTTTTCCACCTAGGAGAACATCATCAGTTCTTTCTAGTTTGTTTCTATGTTTATCCAAGCTGACATTCAACCAGAATTAAGTGTTCTCTCCTCCTACAATGCTACTGAGAGAAAAAAAGAGAAAGGAGAGTTATAGATAATCCAATGGTGAACCCGGGCTTTCATTGACAAGCTCAGCTAATCAGTATGTCTTCCTAGGGATATAAATGAGAAGATAAACGTGGAGATCACCACTCACCAAATGCTGCCTTGTCATATATTGAGCAAAGTTTCTGAGTCAACCCCATGGCATCATACACAAAGAAACTAGAATAGTGGAACCCAACCCGAGCTTGGGAGACTTCCTAGGAATCTTGAAGGAGCCTAGTTTTGAGATTGCCAGTATATAAAATTCTGCAAAGAATGATCTAAATTTATCAGAAACAGCAGTTGTGGAGGCTCACAATGAAGAAGATATTTATTTAACAATTAGAATACAGGATAGTTCTTTAGAAGAGATGCCTGGGATGCCTAACTTCAGAAATGTAATGACCTCTCTTGTGGGTACCCCACCTGTGACCTCAACTTCAGAAAAATGTAATGACCTCTCTGCCTAGATCCTTAACAAACAAACAAAAACTAACAGATACCACCTCTATACATCTTCTTTGACTCTTGAGAGCTAAAATTTCCTTCAGAGGGAATTTCCTTAAACAGGAACTACAAAGCTGGGGTAAGATAACTATGTTCCAGGAATATAGGTAAAATCTTTTAAGTTTTTTTATTTTTCATTTTTTTAATTTTTAATTTTTTTAAAGCATGTGAATTAATGGTAGAAGCCTGGTCCAAGATAAGATGATCTGGCAGCTAGTCGTGGTGGTATGTGCCTATAATCCCAGCTACTCAGGAGGCTGAGGGAGGATCCTTTGAGTCCAGGAGTTTGAGGCCAGTCTGGGCAACATAGCAAGACCCTGTTTCAAAAAATATATATATATATCTGGCAGTCCTGGTGGCCCACCAGCTCTATAAGAGTTATGGGGGTGGCTCCCACCATGGCTCCTGTTGCAGTAAGATAAATCTGGTGCCCAAATCCCAGAAGGTCATAGTTACATTCTACTCCACAACGGGATACCACCCTTCTTAAGATGGAAGGTGGGGGTGGGGTGTCAGTTGTCAACCAGTGAATTTTAGAAGAGACAGACACACACTGTTTATTACTCATTCTGTGCTAAAATCTGCCTCCCTGTAGCCTCCACCCACTGGCCACAATTCTACGACCCTGCACATCTAGTTCCCCTTTTCCCATGACTACTCTTCGGACACCTGAAGGCAGCCTTCATTTGTGCCCGAGGCTTCTCTCCATCATGAATGCCCTACATTTCCACAGATGTCCCTCAAATGACAGGAAGGCTCAGCAGGAAGATTTTGTCAGCTCCCAGAGAAGTGGGCTTCTCTTCCACAGCGTATGGAAGTGGATGGCCAATGGCCAGGATGGGCCCTGGAGACAAACTCCTAGGTTGCACTGGCCGTAGGAAACCTCTCCCTCAAGTTTGGCCACTGGAGGGCTCTAATGTGCCCAGTGGATGCCACAAACCTGGGGCTCTAGTGTTATGGGAAGGCAGGAGGCAGGTGACAATCACTAGTTTAGGCAGTGCCGTCCAGACTTGGGGTTGGAACCTCCCAGTTGGTTGTACAATCAATTTAATGCGTCACAGTTGGCAAGTTTTTAAAAAAAGGAAGTAAGGCCGGGCACAGAGGCTCATGCCTGTAATCCCAGCACTTTGGGAGGCCGAGGCGGGCAGATCACAAGGTCAAGAGATCGAGACCATCCTGGCCAACATGGTGAAACCCCACCTCTCCTAAAGATACAAAAATTAGCTGGGCTTGATGGCACACGCCTGTAGTCCTAGCTACTCAGGAGGCTGAGGCAGGAGAATCGCTTGAACCCGGGAGGCCGAGGTTACAGTGAGCTGAGAGCGCGCCACTGCACTCCAGCCTGGGTGACAGAGCGAGCTCCGTCTCAAAAAAAAAAAAAAAAAAAAAGGAAATAAAACAGAATAGAAAACTTCAGAGTACCTGGTACTTACTATAGTTTTATAAAACGTTTGCTTCAGTAATTTATATATGTGTACTGTATTCTGAAACAAAATATATTTTTACTTTGGAGTTGTGATTTTTAAAAAACCCACTGGTTAGAACCACACACACGTACACATGTACATACATACATAATCACACACATTATATATAATATATATAAAAGACACATATACATGTAAACACACACATATTATGTTGTTTTTAAGACATCCCTTCAACAGAGCCTTTTTTTTTTTTCTGCAACAGGGTCTCAGTCGATCACTTAGGCTGGAGTACATGGCTTGATCATGGCTCACTGCAGCCTTGAACTTCTGGGCTCAAGTGATCCTCCTAGTTAGCCTCCTGAGATGCTGACACATGCACCACCACACCTGACTACTTTTTTATTTTTATTTTTGTAGAGGCAGGGTCTTGCTATGTGGCCCAGGCTGGTTTCAAACTCCTGGCCTCAAGTGACCCTCCCGCCTTGGGTTCCTGAAGTGCTGGGAAGCTCACAAGTATGAGCCACCATGCCTGGCCCAGAGTGTGTTATTTAGTACTGGCCTGAGGAAACCTTGGTAGGGTCATTTCAAACACATTCTTATAGATTTCATCACCAGCTCTGTGTCCGTCAGCTTATGAAGTAACCTGCTGGGCTGAGTGTTTCTATCCTATCCCCAGTTTACCAGCATAAAGAGCTGGTATGGGGAAAACTCAGAGGACAGGGCATGCTTCTGTGTGGTCACCGGATGTGTCATACCAGACACCTTGGACATTGGCTTAAAAAGTAATAAAAAATACAGTCAAATTCCCAGTGTCTGCTATAGTAGAGGGAGGAGGTGCACAAAGAAGGCAAAATACAGTAACAGATTAATATTTGGCCTTTCAACATATTACAAGTTAAAATGTGATGTAATTACTGCTAAAAAAAATTAACAAGGCAACACTCTGTGTCTGAGTTAATGCTGCCTCCTTGATTATGTCTTTTGGCCACGATGAATGTAAAACAGGATTCAATACTAAGCATCTATTGCTTTTTTTCTATAGCTTCCCTCCCTAAGAAAAATAAATGGATCAATAATAAAAGGGCTTAACGTTGCCACAGGGGAGGGAAAGTTTGTTTGTGCAGTCTGTGTTAAAACAGCAACAACTTTCTTGTGCTACACTCTCCTACTCCATTCCAATTACTCTGTCCCTCACACCTAGAAAAACCCCAGTACCAGCCCAGGGTTGGGAGAGACTCCAAGCCCTGAGGGGTAAACAACTCCTATCACAGCCCTCTTTCCCTTATCTGGTTCACATATTTCCTGTACTTGCTGATTCACTGAGAAGACAAGCTGAATCCAGCCTGCTCTCCTTTCTAACTCTTGCAAACTGGGGATCTGATAGAAAATTCTTATAACAAAGCTGGCCTGGTGACTCATGCCTATAATCCCAGCACCTTGGGAGGCTGAGGCAGGCAGATCACTTGAGGTCAGGAGTTTGAGACCAGCCTGGACGACATGGAAACCCCATCTCCGTTAAAAAAAAAAAAAAAAAAAATTAGCCAGGCATGGTGGTACCTGCCTGTAATCCTAGCTACTCGGGAGGCTGAGGTGGGAGGATCGCTTGAACCTGGGAGGCGGAGGTTGCAGTGAGCCAAGCTCGCACCTCTGCGCTCCAGCCAGGGTGAAGAGAGAGACTCCGTCTCAAAACAAAAAAAAAGAAAGAAAATTCTTATAACAAGAGATGTCTTGTTATCTTCAAGAGCCTTGATTTTAGCTCTTCAGAGACATCATGCTATTTGACCTGTGGATGACTATTTTACAAATTTGTCTTCTACATCCTGCCTACATTGGTAGAAAATGACTTTTTGTCCTTTGAGCACAGTGTGTTCAGCAGGCAGGAGAGGCCAGGGAGGTGGAAGGAGGTGGGAGAGGTAGGAGGTGGCAGATGGGAGTATGCTGGGAATGGCAGCAAATCAGGAGATAAGAGAAGCAGGCCCAAGACTGAAAACTCATTAGGTGATTAAAATGTCAGTATGTGCACCCCAGATTTTTACTTGGATCATCATTGTTGGTGTAGTTACACCCAAATGAAGTTATTTGGCCATAGTAATAAAATGAAGAGTACATTTTTAGTGGTTACTCATTTTTATACACTAAACAGAAAACTTTAAAAAAATGTTGTTACCTGGTTTGTTCTTGCTGCAGTGTGTTGGGATCAGGTATAAAAAATCTTACTCGAAAATGCAGGGTACAGGGGAAACCTCCTACAACATTTTTCAAAAACAAATTAAATTTTCCCTTTGACAAAGTCAATGTATGTAAGTTGCTTCTCTTCCATAAGTGATGCATTTTTTCACTCAACCATAGCTTTTTCCATTATAAAAGGGCTAATTTCAAACATGGAGTACATAAGTTAGTTGTTTCAGAAATCTCCAAGTCTTCAAAAAGTAAAACATTTATGCAACATCAGCACAGACTGAGTTATCATCTACTTCCTAGCACACGTTTATCTTAGGGCTGTGTTTAAACATTGCACTCCGTCATCTGTATTAGGAATTTAAAAAATCCTTAAATCGGCATTATTATGCAAAATATACAAAGAAATAATAGCCTGCGTTTGTGTAGCCATTTATAAGTTTCAAGCATTTTCATGTACATTCCTGCATTTCAACACCACCATGACTATGAGTGGGCTACGCTGCTACTGGTAGCCCCATTTTACAGATAAGCCAATTAGAGGTGACTTGCCTTAGGTCACACAGCTGGTGACAAAACCAGAATTAGAGTAATGAGATCTTTGATTCTGCTATACCACATTTCAAAATCATTTTTAAACTAGAAAATATCTCATGCTTTTAATGTAAAGTATATTAAGTTAGTATACTAGTAAATCACACAATGAACATATTCAAATACGGCTTTATGCATCAACATCTAGAGTCAATTTGCTTGTGTGGATAAAATTAGTCCATTTCTTCTCACAGAGACGGCAACAGGAGAAGATCAGATTGTGCTGCTAAGATCCCAAGATCTTCATGTCAATTTCACCATCATCCCTCAGTAAATATTCGCCAGCCCTATCTAGGCACTGAGCACTTTCTTGCTCTCTGCAACTCAAGTCCTTCTCACTAGCCTGCTAGATCTCCTCCTCTACCTGAGATCATCCTGAGCTCTACCCTCCCTGCTCTTTAGTGCTTTCTTTCTTCATCTGCAGCGTGTGTTCAAAGAATCCCTAACGGGGGTGTGCCCCTGAGTACACCTGTCCACATGTCTAGGTACCAGCGGATGGCGCTATGACAATCTGCACATCAGGGGAGAACAATGTCCTCCTGCTGCCTTGGGATGCTTGTTCACCTCCCCTCCCCCTCTTCTAAAACTTTTCATCTCTGCGCTGCAGGCATAGCCTCTTTTTCTTTCTGGCTGTCCCCTATCGTGTGCTTACTATTATCATAGAATGTCGAACCCTCTGGGCTGTCTGCACACTTGGCTGTGGGCTCCTTGAGGGGAGAGTCCAAATTTGATCTGGACTGGATTCCCAGGGCTTAGCCCAGCACCTTGCCACAGTCTGAGCTCAGGATACGTTCACCGAAAGCAGGAGTTAATGAGAGAATGAATGACAACACCTATTCATGCCTTGTGTGGACTCATTCCTGGGGACTTGGATGAGGCAGGTATTTGTCTGCAAGTGGCCCTGAGGCTCCCACAGGTACTTCTGAACGCAGAGGATGCAGCTCATGGGAGGGAAGAACTTTGAGAATCGGGCTCCCTGTGGGGGCAGCAGTGAGACGGGAGCGAAGGCCACTGTGTCTACTTCTTCCTGCCTGGGTGCTGAGGCAGGTGTGCGTGTGTGTGTTGGGGGGCATCCTGTGTATGCGCACCTGCGTGCGCAAATCCACTTGCCCTTCTCCACTCCGCCATGCACTGGCCACTTTTTGTGTGTGTTGGGCACCTTGGGGATGCAGAGAGAAATATAACAAGGGTCCTAACCTCAAGGAACTTGCAGTTCTGAGAGGGAACTAAAGGCAACTAACACAGATGAGGACAAGAGCATTCAGAACCCCAACACGGGTGATGGTAAATCTAAGAGAATGTCGAGGGAGCCACCCACAGTTTCTAGGAGAGGAAATGAGATCTGAGCAGCCTTGAAAAAAGGCAGGATTTCGACAGAGGGAAGTGGGAGGGAAAAGCATTCCCAGCAGATGGAACAGACTGAGGGGAGGCACTGGGAGGCCCTGCAGATCAGCCAGGTTGGTCTGGGGCATGAGTGGCATAAAGGGGAACAATGCTGGCAATGTTGGAACATCAGGCCGAGAGCAGATCAGGGCAGAGGGTGGACTATGGTGTGGCCTGACTGGCCACCGAACTGGGAGTTAGCTGCAGCACTGGGATTCACTCCTGAGAGATAAGCGGTAGTTTGGAAGACTTAATCTTTTATATTGGTGACATTACCTACTTATGGTTCGGTTTTCCGTGAACGCGACTATGCTGTTGGAAAGTATGAGGTGTTTGTGTTTGTCTATCTCCCTGTCTCTCTTGTCCACCCTGGCTCTCACATCGGGCTAAGTAAGGCCATCCTCCTTCCTTTTCCTTCCTTGAATACAGAAATGTGGGTTCCCTCGCTCTGAGCTGCCTACTCTCACCCTTCCCCTTCTTTCCCACAGCTGGGGCGGATCCTAGAGGGCTGATCTGGAAGCATCTCTGCTGACTCAGAAGTCAGACAGGGAGAAGTCGGCTCACTCATGACTCCTGGACACCCGGAACTACAGGTACCAGATGTCACAGGCACTGACGATTGGAGGGGAGAAACAGGCTGTGATACACTAACACCTAATGTTCGACTGAAATGAAAAGATCACACCAACCTTTTAACTGCTTCCTGATGGCTTTGCTTGCTTCCAGCCATCTCTGTTGGACAAGAAAACATAAAATATAAAAGCAAACCGTGAAGGAGTTCAGCACATTTTTTAAAAATGGCACTTACAGGAGAGTCCACGGAGTCGTCATCATGCTGTAAACCAAAATATTCCTTTTCAGTCACACCCAGGTGGTTGTGCACCATATCCAGAAGAACCTGGCCAGTGTCTTGTTTCTAGAACAAAGGAAATTATCAAGTGGGAAAAGTCTTAAATTAATTGGTGGTAAAAACATCTTTACTGTAGGCAAAAAAGAGTTAAAATATTCAGAAATGCTATGCACACACACTTCCCACCACAAGAAAAGCTTTAATAAATTTTAAGAAGCCACACAGCACATATGGGAAGTAGGGCTAAGAAAAATGACATCAACACAAGACAATACGAGTTTAATTTAATTGTCTAAGATTTCTTCCTTCCCCCTTAGCTGCAATTCCCAAGTGATAATGTCTAAATCGGAAAACTCAGCTCTCATAATCACAGTGAACTCCCTGTGGCCTCCAGTGGATTATCCACAATGAAATGCTAACCCCAGGGTGGTTTCTGTTGGCTCCTCAGGACACACCTGTGGCTCCTACTCCTGGAGAAGCCACCGAAGTGCATGTCCAGGAAAGGAAAGCTCTCACCTAACAGCCTAAAGGAAGACAGCTAAAAATACTCAACTGCCATTCAAAATACCCTCAGAGTGATGTGGCCTGTGCCACCCTGTGGGATTATCTGCCTCCCTGCTTCCCCTTCCCATCATCTGAAGTGAGAAGCTGAGGGGCACGTTCAACCACACGCCTCTTCAGATCAGGACTCCATTGCCTTCCCCGCTCCATGTTTATGGGGCAGGCACGGTGTGGGAATGGGGACACGGCCATAAGAAGCTCCCTTTTCCTGCCCCAGCCATGGAGGCAGTGGCTGTAACAGAGTGTCAAAGGCCGTCGAGGGCTGTGAAACAGTCGAGGCACAGTGGACACCCAACGGGACCACACAAATGGTCATCTCGACTGGGGCCGTAGAGGAAGCAACCCCCTGATCTGGGTTTGGGAGGAGGACAGGGCCAAGCATCACCCCTCCCCTCCAGGCACACGAGCTAAAAACAGGCCTTTGGATCAGATGGCCCGGCACAAAGGCCCAGGGATGGCAAACAGCATGGAGTGTTTGGAAAACTGCAAATTCTACTTTAACAGGCAGACTTTGCAGGAATCCTTTGAACCAAACCATTTAACTAAAGGACAATATGAGTCAGAAATAGACCGTGTATAGAACAGGCAAAGGTAGCTCCTTTTTTTGAGTGCCTGAGAGCAAATAATGTACTTGAAAATAGGTCACAGTGACCAGCATTGGGAGAATTAGATAACTGTCAGGCCCCACCTGCAGAGACTTCTTTGGGGCAGCCTCAGATTATTCGGTCTGAAGTGTGGGAACATGAAACACGCCCATTTCCTGAACATGCCCCCTTTCCTGCCCAACAGCGCTTGTACCTCCTGCTCCTTCTACCCAGGGCACCATCCATCAGAAAAGAATCACAATAGGTGGGGAAAGAATGACCCAGACCACACATTGCACATTACCAGATGTCAAAAAGCTAGCTGCTCCCCTTGTCGGAATTATTTATGTATGATTTTATATTACATTTAATATATATTATTAACTACAATTTACTGAACATCTACAAGGAGCCAGACATTATGCCAATGTGCTTTTTATATATGATCTCTAATCTTTGCAGCAACTTTGCAAAGTGTAGTAGTCATCACCATCTCCCTTGCCAACGAGCAGAGGCACCGAGAGGCTCCGTGCCTTGCACCATCAGCAGAAGGACAGTCTGACTGCCTGACTCAGGTCTGTTTGTTCCTACTACATCTCCTCCTCTGAAGTGCATAATTCACATATACAGGTATCTATTCTGCATAATTCATCCAGTTCTCAAGAGAAATTAAAATGTAATAACAAAAAACACATTTATAATAAGAAAAGGCCTCCTGGCCTGGCCCCTGCCCTCAAGAGGTCATCTTCACGGCACCAGGTCACCACCAGGGCTCGCTCCCTGGGCTGAGAGAAGAACGACTGATATCCAAGTCAGCTTCCCTGACATCTGCTCCTGGTCACAAGGTGGGCTGGGCTAAAGAGTCTGAATGAGACTGTGCAAACAATTCCTACACATAGAAAGACACAAAGTGAGGGATACTCCAAGTTGCAACCAGGCCCTCCAACTTCTCAAGTTCCATGGGACTCAGCTTTGAACCAGGCTGCTGGAAGCTTGGGGTGGCAGCCACGTGATAAGAACAATGACGTTCATAACTAAGAATTTCTGGGTGCTCACTGTTTGCCAGGCTCTAAGACTTTTTTATTTTTTTAGAGACAGGGTCTTGCTCCACTGCCCCTGCTGGAGTGCAGTGGTACAATTAGCTCACTGTAACCTCAAACTCCTGGGCTCAAGGGATCCTCCTGCTTTGGCCTCTCAAAGTGCTGAGAATACAGGCATTAACCACTGCACCCAGCCTGTTGTAAGGCTTGATATGATGCTCACTCGGGGTAGGTGCTTGCTTTCTCCCCTTTTCACAGAGCTGATCACTCTTCCTCCTGCTGGGATTCTCAGACATTCGCTCTTGGCCTCCTCCCGCCTCCCTGGCTGGTCCTTCTCAGACTCCTTTAGTGCCTGCTCCTCACCTCTCCTACCCTTAAGCACCGTTCGCAGCTTCCATCCACTTGCTTCTCAGGGGATCTCCTCCAGTTTCAAGCTTGAAATCCCATCTCTATCCTGGTGACATCCACATCTGTATCCCCAGCCTGGACCCATCCCCTAACCTCCTGACTCTTCTATCTCGTACCATTCCTATACTGCTACACAGATGAATAACAGGCCTCTCCCCCACAATATGCCCACAGCAGAACTGATTACTTCTACCCTGAGACCTGTTCTTCCCACAGTCTTCCCCATCTCAATAAACTGCAACTCTATTTTGCTGCATTGCTCAGGCCAAAAATCTGGGATTCACCTTGAGGCCTCCTGTTCTTTCGCATTCCAAATCCCATCTATCAGCAAACCCTATTGACTCCACCTTCAAAGTACTTCTGGGCTCAGTTTCCTCTTAGCCAGCCCCACACAGCCACCATGTCCAATGGTCATCATCTCCGCCCTGGACTGCCACACCAGTCTTTCAGCCCCTTCCCTCCTATTGTCAACTGTGGACAGAGCCCCAGTGCTTTCCACCTCATGTAGGAAAAAAAGCCAGTGCCCTCAGAATGATCTACAAGGCTCCATGCGATCCCCCACCCCTTACCCCTGTTATCTCTCTGAGCTTATCTTCTGCTACCCTCCCCCCTTGCTCATTCCACTCCAGACTCCACTGTGTTCTGCAACCAAAGGAAGTGGGCTCCAGCCTCAGGGCCTTTGCACTGCTGTTCCTTCTCCCTGGGATGTGCTCCCTCCAGATGAACGCCTGGTTCTTTCATCTCATCAGTGGGGACGTCTCTGGTTACGTCTATACAATGGTAACCTCACCTTGCCCTGGCACTCTCTCCCTCTTGCTCTACTTTATTTTTCTGCAAAGCCCGACTCAGCACATATTTTTTTATGGCCCATCTCCCCTGCTGGGATGTTAGCTTCAAAAACGCAGGGATTTTGTTCTGTTTTGTGCACTGTTGCCATTTTTTGTACCCAGAACAAAGCTTAGCCCATAGTAAGTGCTCAGTAAACATATGCTGAATGAATACATGAGTTATATACTAACAAACATTCATGTTTTCGTCAGGAAGAGGATAAACGGTTAAAGAACAGCTCCAAGACAGACAAACACACATTTTAACAAAGAAGCCAGACACATACTAAACTATTAGTGTACAGCATCTGGAAGAGACATCTGTGACCTTCATGGAGCTTGTGTAATCACAAAATTCTATGAAAGATTATGTTAAAAGGAAATCAGATACAAGACAAGGTTCTGTAGAACCAAACTAGTTGCCTTTTAAGGGAAATATTTACAACCTTGCCAACAGACCCCTAAATCAGTGGTTCTCTAACTGCACGGCACATTGAGACAACTCGGGGAGCCATTACAATACAGATTCTCAGGCCCCACCCCACAGAGAGCAAGTTTCAAAACACCCAGGCAGGACAAGGGATTGACATCTTTAACACACATCGTAGGAGCTTCTGACACACTTTAAGAAATGTTTACCAAAGCTGAGCAATCTAAAGTGGGGACTATGAACTACTAAAGACTGCTTCCATTTTAATTAAGATAAAATACAAAATTTAAGCCAGGCATGGTAGCTCATGCTTTACAATTCCAGCACTTCAGGAAGCTAAAGTGGGAGGGTCGCCTGAGCTCAGGAATTTGAGACCAGCCTGGACAAGTTAGTGAGACCTCGTTTCTACAAAAAAATAAAAAAATTAGATGGGTGTAGTGGTGTGTGCCTGTAGTCCCAGCTGCTTGGGAGGCTGAAGTGGGAGGATTGCTTAAGCCCAGGAGGTTGAGGCTGCAGTGAGCTGGGATTACACCACTGCACTCCAGCCTGGGTGACAGAGAAAGACCTTGTTTCAGGAAAAAAAAAAAAAAATTAGTTATTCAGGTATATTTCAAATGTCCAATTGCCACATGCGGCTGGGGGGCTCCCCTATGGGTTAGTGCAGACACAGAATATTTCCAGAATTGCAGAATATTCTTTTGGACAGTCCTCCTGAGAGGATGTTTTCCTCCAAAGTGGCTTCTGAAGAAACAGGTCACAGGTATACGTTGTAGCCCCTCTAATTAGACTTTGGAGACACCTAACTAGACAACTGAATTTCCTTGCTGGAGTTTTCACTTGTTACAACAATGTTTCCCACCTACAAAAAAATGATGCCCTGACACTGGGGAATAGCTGGAGGCCTGGGTGCTCGTGGAAGAGTGGGGCAGAAGGCTGGGAAACATCCATCTCTACTGCCCATTCCCACTCTCTGCCAGGCGAAGGGCCCAAACTTCCATGACTTTGGTTGTCCACCTGAGTCTTCTGCACTGACAGGGAGACGTCTGCAGCCAAGGCACTGGGCCACCGCCCCATGCCTGCTGAAAAGGAGATACAGCACCCACCGTGCTAAAACTCCACGCAAACTGCCTTCTCCTCCTGCCTACATCAAGGTCCATGATCACCTGGGATTGGCAGTGGGCAAACTTGTATGGGGTGTGCGGAAGACCCAGGGATCAGTTTTTGTCACCCTTTGCATTCTTGTGGCCTTTTATTGTTCCCTCAATTGTTCTCTCATCCCATCTTCTCTTCTGATGTCTTTCCTTGCACACTGAACTTTACAGGTTGGGGCAGATCCTAGCAGCCAGTTCAGGGTTGGGACTGATCCTGTTAGGACTGGCCAGAGGATGGAAGAGGTCATGGGCAAAGGTCACGGGCTCGGTGGTGACTGGGGTGGGTGGGCACCATAGGCAGCCATGGTCCCAGTATCTTCCTGCAGCTGGCCTGGGAGACTGGAGACCTCGTTTCTAGTGCTGGCTCTGCCACGGGCTTTAAGTGGGATGAGCCAGAACCTCCCCAAGCCCTGCCATCTGTGAGGCTGATTGTTTCACAACCCACTCACTCACACATTTAACGAGCACATGCTGTGTGCCCAGCTTTGTGCCAGGCACGGGGGAAACAACACCCTTTCTATTCTTTCCTGTTTTCAAGGAGCTCAGTTTCATGGGCAACATATACCCTAATCACTACTTGAAAAAATGCAACCTGACGTGGGCTCTAATGAAGCATATATAGGGTGCCATGATGCCTCCAGATGTTGGTGCTTCCGTGGAGTCCTCATCCACTTCCCAAACCAGTCTCCTTCAGAAAGTGGATGAGGACTTCCCAGAAGCACCAACATCTGAGCGTCAAACAGTTCACACCACACAGAAGGGCGGGGGGAAGACCCTCAGGGCAGAGGTGAAATTGGGGCAACATTTTTAAGTATTTCCAGTGCAATCTCAACATACAAGATCTGAGATCTCAAGCTTTCATTTTAAAATATTTTTTTCTTCATTTTGTGAGCCAAGAGATGAAAACTATTTGTTAGGAGCATTAATTCAGGAAAAGTAAAAAAAAAAAGTAGAGAACTTACAGTAACTTTAAAGGTCTGTACCACGCCATCTAAAAAGTGGATGCTGCAAATGACTTCTGATCGAGTTTTCTCTTTGGGTAACTCCGAGGTGCGTATATTATTAATTCTTCCACCCAACGCACGTAACCGGGAGGTCATAACTATCGCTGAATAACCTGTAACATAAAATATACCTGTTAGTGCTTTAATATGCGAATTGTCAGTTACTTGTGAGTGCAGATACCTGTCAGATCCCATCCTCTCGATACTGTCTGACGGACTCACAGATAATGAGAACTACATAGCAGATCATGTTTCCAATTGAGTTTTGACTTCTAAGATGCTCTAAGCAATATGTATTGCTAAATTGTACGTTCACAGAATTACGTGGCTTATTTGCATGTCTTATTAACTCCCTGGTCTGAGTCTTCTAATTTATATTTCCCAGGCTTTTAAATTTTTATTTATGTTTCACAATTTTATGTATTTGTGTTCTACCTCTAAGGTTTTACAGAACTAAACATGGTATAAATATGATTTCAAATGTGAAAAGACTCATTGATAAACTGATATTAAAATTAAGGACCTCTATTCATTGAGAGACACCATTTAGGGCAGCAAAAAGGCAACCGATAGAGTGGGAGGAGATAGTCGCAATATATACATCTGCCAAGAATATATGGAGTGCTCCTGCTAACCTAGTGAGAGGAAGTAACAGAAAACTCCTTAGAAAACAGGAAGAAAACAAAAACAGGTACTCAACCATATTAGCTGTCAAAGAAATGCAAATTAAACCCACAAAGCAATAGTACCACACACCCACCAGAGAACCCCTATGATTCAAGACTGGCAAAACCACGGAGGGTGTGGAGCAACCAGAACTCTCACATGCTGCTGGTGAAAGCATAACTCAGTGCAACCACTGTACGATGGAAAACTGCTGAATAGTATCTACTAAAGCTCAACATATGCATTTATTGTGATAGAACAATTTCAGTCATGGGCACATTCCCAGCAGAAAAATGTATATTCACTCACTAAAAGACATGTACCAGCATCTTGTGGGAGCTAAACTTTGAGAACATATGGACACAAAGAAGGGAGCAATAGCTACCAGGGCCTACGTGAGGGTGAAGTGTGGGAGGAGGGTGAGGATTGCAAAACTACCTTTCGGGTACTATGCTTATGACGCATTTGACAAAATAATCTGTACACCAAATCTCCAAGACACTCAATTTACCTATATAACAAACCTGCACATGTACTCAGAACTTGTAAGCTAAAAAAAATTTTTTTTAAAGTCACGACAATTCAAAGATTTGGACCAAAATATGTATCTAATAAAATCATAATTTATAACAACAACAAAAAAGAATATTCATAATAATCCTAAGCTGGAAAAGACCCCATTTATCAAATGTGGAACGGATAAACTGTGGTACAGTCATACCATATACTACTATACAGCAAAAGAAAGAAATGAACTACCATTACATGCAAAACGTGAATCAATTGCTTTAACATTGAGCAAAAGATATGAGACACAACAGATTATCTGCTGCATGATTCCATTTATGTAAAGTTTACAAACAGGCAAAACTAATCAATGCTGATAGAAGAAAGGATAATGGTTACCTTTGTGTGTAGTGAGGGGAAGGGGGAGATGCATTTTCTGAGATGCTTTTAACATTCTATTTCGTGATGTGGGTGCTAATGACACTGGTGTACTCACTTTGTGACAATTTACCAAGCTCTACATTTATGATTTGTGTACTTTTCCATATGTATGTTTTAATAACAAGTTTACTTTTTTGAAAAAGAGAGTATAATATTTATGAAGAGAGAATTAGAGGGCATTCAAAATCTGACCATGATATTAGGGAACAGTAAGGAAACTGGTTTAACCGGTGATTTCAATGGTGGAGAGGTAGGCAAAAAGACTGGAAAGGTGTGCAACTGAGGACATGACTATATCACGTAGGTGGGAGGATCTAGGCTTCTACAAAGAATACATGAAGCAGCCGGGCACGGTGGTTCACGCCTGTAATCCCAGCACTTTGGGAGGCCGAAGCGGGCGGGTCACCTGAGGTCAGGAGTTCGAGATCAGCTGGCCAACATGATGAAACCTCATCTGTACCAAACATACAAAACTAGCCAGGCATGGTGGCATGCACCTCTAATCCCAGCACTTTGGGAGGCTGAAGCAGACGGATCACCTGAGATCAGGAGTTCGAGACCAGCCTGGCCAACATGGTGAAATTTCATCTCTACTAAACATACAAAATTAGCTGGGCACGGTGGCATGCGCCAGTAATCCCAGCTACTCCAGAGGCTGAGGCAGGAGAATCACTTGAACCCAGGAGGCGGAGGCTGCAGTGAGCTGAGATCTCGCCATTGCACTCCCTGGGCAAAAAGAACAAAACTCTGTCTCAAAAAAAAAAAAAAAAAAAAAAAGAATATGTGAAGTAATTCTACAAATCAAATTGGCTCAGGGAACGGTGAAGATATAACTCTGACAGTGTTGGGTGGAAGAGCAAATAAAGATGAAGGGCCTGAGAGTAAGTTAACTTTTTTTTATTAATTCTCCACAAACTTTCTCTGATGAGCTGGGCCTCTGCATAGGCTATTCCTTCTGCTTGCAAAGCTCTTTCTGCTCCTCTTCATCTGATTAACTCCAGTTCATCGTCAGTGCTCAGCACAAGCATCACTTCCTCTGGGAAGCCTTCCCTGGTCTCCCTAACCAGTCACAGATTTGTGTGACAGAGTTCACTCACTAGTGCTTACCCTCATTTCACACTTAGAACTCATGATGTGTATTTAATATCTGCTTCTCCCACTAGATGCGAAGCCCCACAAGGCTAGGTCTGCTTTTGCTCATTGTACCTCCAAACCTAGGTCT
Source organism: Homo sapiens (assembly GCF_000001405.40). NCBI lineage: Eukaryota > Metazoa > Chordata > Mammalia > Primates > Hominidae > Homo > Homo sapiens. The sequence continues at coordinate 109,466,175 of NC_000009.12, forward strand.
GGTAGAGTTAGTAAATGTCCGAATGAATGGAAGGAAGAATGAAATAGAAAATGAAGCTAAATTTTATAGTCTATATAACATAGACTATATAGCAGTACTGCAGTACAACAATACCGTATAGCAATACAACAGGATAGACAAATTTGACAGAGAAAAATGGGGGAGGGTCTAAGTAGAATGTAGCTAGCTACGGTAGTGTGCACCTGTAGTCCCAGCTACTCTGGAGGCCAAGGTGGGAGGACTGTTTGAGCCCAGGCATTAGAGCCCAGCCTGGGCAACACAGCAAGACTCTATCTCTTAAAAAATGAAAGCAAGCAAGAAAAGAAAGAAGGAATGCAGAGGGGAGGGGAGACAGATGTCCCATAGACCAGTGCTTCTCACACTGCAGTGTGCATACAGAGTGCTTGGGGATCTTGTTAAAATGCAGACTCTGATTCAAGTAGGTCTTGATAGGACCCAAGAGTCTGCATCTTGTCTCCCAGGTGATGACCAAGCTGCTGCTGCCAGGGTCCATTCTGGCAGACGCAAGTCACGGGTAATTGGAAAAGTAGCGCCTAATGTCAGGGCATGGCTAGAGAAAAGATTTGGGAGTCAGTACCAAGGAGTAGTAGGTGACTCAGCTCTTAGACGGATGTGGCCAAAGCAGATTGGAGGACTAAGAAACAAGCTTCAGGGAATGACAGGGGGCACCGGTTAGGTGTAGAAAGAGAAACCGCAATGATGAAAGCTGTGCAGAAAGTACATCCAGGAAGAGAAGCACTTGGTCTCATATCATTATATTTAAGGAGCTCCAAGCAAACCTCCCTTCTTCCTTAGATAAGGATAGAGAGTCTGAAATACTAATAAAAAAAAAACTTCCTGGGACCAGCAGTGCAAAGGAACTTATTCAGTCGCTTATAAAATTCCACCCACCCCACCACCTCCGCCTTGCCCTTTCCAATGAAAATGTCATCAGAAGCAGGGATGCATTTTCTGAGTAATACAAAAAGTTATCAAAAGACAACAAATGTGTTCCATAATGCTTTAACCACATTGACTTTAAAATGTCAATTTTATTTTTTAGTTCTTGTCTAAGAATCTCAGGTGGGTTACATTTTTTTTTTTCAAAAGACACAATAGAACCATTTCAAGTTGGTTTTAGTGGGAGGTGCACATCAGAATCACCTGAGGAGCTTTTAAAACCTGCCTGTCCCCGCACCCCCAGTGGTGATTCAGCATCCTCAGGTGTGGCGCAGGATCACATTCCCTTTGGGAGCCCTCAAAGTAACAGCCAGGAAGACGAGGACTAAAGGAGTGGGTTTCCAGGGAACCTCAGGGTGTGTTTTGGATGGATGGCCTTAGAATACAGGCTCTGCGGAATCTAAGCCATGCACTATGTGGATGAATTCACTGTGTGTGATAAGAGGTGGGCAGTTGTTCTGTGGAACAGCTAAAGCAGAGATAGTCACACAATGACCCCAGGCAGAAAAAAACTAAGATTTGAAACAGGTGCCTCCAAATGAAAGTCACATGGGCTGATGCTCCAATGGTGGACACTGATTTCCAGACTTCACCTGAGCAGCTCCTGCTCGTGCTGGCGTGGGTGCCGCTGGGACTTATTCATTTCACCGTGGTTAGCAATGATGCTGTCCAGCACAGTCACACAGCTAGCTGACAAAATAAAGCCCACCAGCAACCCAGGAGAGACAGACTTCCCTTTCTCACACCCATCTCTGATTGTTACATAAAGGGCTTGAAACCTAATGACAATGTCATAAATAGGTATTTTATGAAAGCTGCAGAAATCTTCCTACAATGGTTCCTAAAGCAAACCTTGGTAAGAATGAGCCTGATGTTGAATAACCCAATAATTGAGCCATGTGGTATTTTCAGATTGTCTTGAAATTACATCTTAAACAATCTGGTCGGGACAATGGATGCTGACTAACTGCCCTGTTTCCTGTACTACAGCAATTGGGGAACTCAGGGTTTCTATGGCTTCCTTTATAAGCCTCTTAATTCTAAACAAAGCCACAACCCAACCAGGAACATGCTGGCCTCTCTGACACAAATGATTACAGCTGCTGCTGATGCATTTTATAATATGGAAGCCAAGCTTGTTCTTTGCATGAGTTTAAAAATCCATTATAGCTTTAGAATGTTTTAAACAATAGCAAACGAAGCTCTATTGTGGATACAGTTTTTTTTTTTGTTTGTTTGTTTGTTTTTTTGAGACAGAGTCTTGCTCTGTCCCCCAGGCTGGAGTACAGTGGCGTGATCTCGGCTCACTGCAAGCTCCTCCTCCCGGGTTCACGCCATTCTCCTGCCTCAGCCTCCTGAGCAGGTGGGACTACAGGCGCCCGCCACCACGCCCGGCTAATTTTTTGTATTTTTAGTAGAGACAGGGTTTCACCATGTTAGCCAGGATGGTCTCGATCTCCTGACCTCGTGATCCGCCCACCTCGGCCTCCCAAAGTGCTGGGATTACAGGCGTGAGCCACCGCGCCCGGCTGTGAATACAGTTTTTAATCAAAGATTATACTTGGAAAATACAGCAAGAGGCAACACCTCACTTTGTAAACAGTAGGGGCACAATAAAGACCATGAGAGTTAGAGTTGCACATGGAAAGTGCCTAGCACATGTGGGACACATACCAGGCACTCAATGAAAGGCATTTTATTAACGTTAAACTTCTAATGCCATTGGGTGCTGTCTACAGATTCCAGATTTTGTAGGGCAATCCTGATTTCAAACGACTTACAGATATATGAATGTTCCATTTCTTAAAGTTTTATGTATCCACTTTAATAAAGACAGCTTGCTAGAGTTAAAAGATAGTTGTGATAGATATGTGATACATCTTTGAGCTGCTCTACAAACTCAGGGGAACCAGAAGCAGTAGCATGCTGGCACAAATTGCCACACCCTGGGCCCATGAGACACCAGAGCCCTGGGAGTCAGGGTTGGGTAACAGGGCTGCTACTAGGGCTCCTCCCTGGCTGCCCTGAAGCCTGAGACAACGAAAGGGTAATGCCGCCGCTTTATTTCCAAAGGGTCTGTCTACATTCGGATCTGGGAAACTGTTCTTTCGCAAGCCAATGAACCATAGACACAAAGAAGGGAGAGGAACACATGCAAATGACAGAGCAAACCCAACTCCACTATTATAATTTTAAATAAAGAGGCCGGCGCAGTGGCTCACGCCTGTATTCCCAGCACTTTGGGAGGCCCAGGTGGGCAGATCACCTGAGGTCAGGAGTGTGATACCAGCCTGGCCAACATGGTGAAACCCCGTCTCTACTAAAAATACAAAAATTAGCTGGGTGTGGTGGGGCACGCCTGTTATCTCAGCTACTTGGGAGGCTGAGTCAGGAAAATCGCTCGAACCCGGGAAGCAGAGATTGCAATGAGCCAAGATCGCGCCATTGCACTCCAGCCTGAGCGACAGAGTGAGACTCTTATCTCAAATAAATAAATGGCAAAGTATTCCATATTCTTATTTTTTAAAGTAAGGGACTTAGGCCTCTAATTGAAGAATATGAGTTCCGTTGAAAAAAAGGAGGAGAATAAGAAAACAGTCTTGATTTATAAATACCCAATTTGTAAGTAACCTGTATAAATGAATCATGGGTGGCTCACTACAGTAATCAACCTACATCAAGCTGGCCTAGCCCAATGCCACCACCTAGTGGCGATCAGAGGAAGACATGCCACCTCCTACGCTGGCATTCAAGGGAAACAGGGACAGCTCTGCTCTTTCTTGCTTATCACTTCCAGTTCAGCTTATTTCAAAAATCCTTTTTGCAGTATAGAAGCCCTTCTCCGTGGCGCAGTCCCCTTTTCCCAATTCTTCCCTATGAACTCAGGAAAGCGCCTTCTTCCCTCTACTTTTTTTTTTTCCTTTTAGCTATTTCTGAGCTCCAACAGATGACCGATCTAGAGAAGGGCATTTCTAGCATGGAAAAGTACATGTACTATCAGCCACCCTAGACAATGATTCATCAAATTAAGTGCACTTCTCGTCAAATGCCAATATTTAACGTATTGCAGACACATGCTTCATTCATTTAGCAGCTAATATAGTACCAGCGTTGTTCTCTCTCGTCACTGTAGACACACAGATGCTGGGTTGCATTATGTGGTATCGAGTTCTTTGTGGGGCCAACCATGGCCCCAACAAGCAACAATCACTCGCATTGCTCACGCCTTTAGGAAGACAGAAACCATGCTTTCCTACTGCTGTTGGTACCTCAAAGAGGACAGCTTCTCATTCCAGTCTGTTTTAAAGCCAGGCCTAACTGTTCCTTAAACTCCTCTGAAGTAAGTGGGGTATTCCCTTCTAAAGATAAAATTTACTAGTGAGACCATCATATCTACAAAAAAAAAAAAAAATTAGCT